>NC_000017.11:48810980-49435980 GCF_000001405.40 Homo sapiens | reverse complement strand
GTGGACAGCTAAGCCTTGGGCACATTGGGGTGCAGGTACCCGAGAGACGTGTGGGTGGAGAGATCTGGTTGAGTTGGAAACACAGTCTGTGCTTGGAAATAAAACATGACCTGGAATGAGAGGCCCAGGTGATGCCAAGAGTGTGGATCTTGGCAGAGGTCTCCTGGTTTCCCAGGGACTCTGCCTCTCACACCTGCCAGAGGAATGTCCCTGCATTGGGGGTGAACGTAGGGGCAGGAAGCTCTGTTATGGGACTGGCTGGTGGTGTGCACTTGCAGAAATCAGGAAAGGCTGAGGGTAGAGAGGAAGGGGCAGCACTAGGAATCACTGGACTTCAAAATCCCCATAGTGATGCCTTAGAAAACATCTGGCTTAACAAAGCTTGCATTTTGCGGATGAGAAATGGAGGCTCAGATGGGTAGAATGACTTTACCCAAACTGCCCCCCCGGTTTGCCCACACTCTGGGTTGGCGAGGTGAAGTAAAGATTTGCTTTTGACTTACGCACAATCTGTATTTCCATAGAGCTGGAATCCCACTGCCCACCACCACCATGTGTGACAAAGGAGAGAGCCGGAGCCCAGGTCAAAGGGGAAGAGCTCCAGGGAAGGCTGGGTGACCTGCAGACCGCTCTCCCTTCCCACCTGCTGAATGCTCCCTGTCCCTAGATGGGGTGGGGTGGGGGTGGGGGCCACCCTACAGTCCACTCAAGGACACTGGCTCCTCCTAGCGGACAAAAGGAGCATTACTTTTTGTCCCAGGTCGGCTTGGAAGGGAAGTCCCTGGAGCATAGGACCTCAGTACCCTCTGACCAGTCACCAAATTGGGCCCAGTTCCGGTTCTTCATCCACCAACAGAAACTCCACCTCCCCATGTAGGAGACATTCACTCTGGCCGGAGCTGAGACTTGACCCTAGCAAGATCCCTTCCCAGGCCACAACTGGGGTGCTTCCACAGTGTATGGTGAGGGGTTGGAGGCTCGAGTCCATCCACAGCCCGCCCTGTCCCATCCAAATGCTTCTGGCAAGCCTGAGAGCTCCTTGAGGGCCAGAGTGCTGGCTTCCCCTCTGTTTCCTTAGAGTCTGACACAGTGCCTCTCATGTACTGGGTGCTCCACACCTAGCCCCCGCCTCATCCCTTCTGGCTACAGGTCCCTGCAGACCTGTCTCCTTCCCTGACCCCTCCACCTGACCTCAGAGGACAGAGGGGACTCAGAGCCCTTCCCAGGGCTTTGCAACACTTCCCAGAGCCCATCTGTTTTCTTTTTCCACATGGGCTTTTAGGAGCTGAAAATTTTCGCCTATTGGAAAATCCTGGGGAGGGGAAGGGGTATGATTTTCATGACCTTTCCTCTCTTTTTTCATGTTGAATTAGTTGTAAGTCACCTTGAAAAAAAAATGGTGAGAAAAAAATGGAAAGAAAGGCTGGGCACAGTGGCTCAAGCCTGTAATCCCAGCACTTTGGGAGGCCAAGGCGAGCAGATCACCTAAGGTCAGGAGTTCGAGACCAGCCTGGCCAACATAGTAAAACCCCATCTCTACTGAAAATAAAAAAAAAAAATTTAGCCAGGCGGGGTGGTGCATGCCTGTAATCCCAGCTACTCGGGAGGCTGAGGCACGAGAATTGCTTGAACCTGGGAGGTGGAGGTTGCAGTGAGCCGAAATCACACGACTGCACTCCAGCCTGGGCGACAGAGCAAGACTCTGTCTCCAAAAAAAGGGAAAAAAAGAGTTAGTTGTGTGGCATCCAATTAGAATGAAATGTCTTATCACTCCTGGCTATGACTACATTTCTGAGGATGCAAGAAGAAAAGAGTCCTGTGTGAGGAGGATATCCTGTCCTGGGGATGAGCTTGGATATGCTTATAACAACACCTAGCACTTACATAGCTTGAGGTGTGCTTTTTTTTTTTCATTTTTTTTTTTTTTTCAGACAGAGTCTCGCTTTGTCACCCAGGCTGGAGTGCAGTGGCGCGATCTCGGCTCACTGCAAGCTCTGCCTCCTGGGTTCAGGCCATTCTCCTGCCTCAGCCTCCCGAGTAGCTGGGACTACAGGCGCCCGCCACCATGCCTGGCTAATTTTTTGTATTTTTAGTACAGACAGGGTTTCACCGTGTTAGCCAGGATGGTCTTGATCTTCTGACCTCATGATCCGCCCGCCTCAGCCTCCCAAAGTGTTGGGATTACAGGCGTGAGCCACCGCACCCGGCCTTTTTTTTTTTTTTTTTTTTTGAGATGAGGGTCTCACTATGCTACCCAGGCTGGCCTTGAACTCCTGGGCTCAAGCAATCCTCCCACTTCAGCCTCTGGAGTTGCTGGGATTACAAGTGTGTGCCACTGTGCTTGGCAACCTTGAGGTGCTTTTGTGCACTGCTTTGAAGCATGAGAGCTGTGCTCATTTTGCAGAGTAGGAAACTAAGGCCAAATGTATTGCCCAAGATCACAGAATTGGCAAGAATGATTCTCAAGTTCAGTGGCCTTTCCCTACAACAGAGGTCTCCCTTTACATGATCCGTGACCTTTCAGAAGCCTGTTTGGTTATAACCTCAGGCTTAGTGACCTGGGGAGAATGGATTCACAGGATGGACTCAGATACAAGGTCCATCTTCCCTCCCTTCCTTCTCCATCCCTCCTTCCCTTTCTCTTTTCTTTCCAGTGAAATCTGTGCTCTGTGTGTCAGGCCCTGGACTCTGAAGGCCAGGAGATCCCCTCTAGTCACTTCTGTCTGAGCATTGGCAGTTGCGCTGTGCCAGGCAGGGAACAGCATGAAGCAAGGGAGGAGCCGACGACAAACAGCTGGTCTACCCAGGTCACTGCCCAGGAAGCCCCTGTGGACTTAGCCACAGCTCAGGGCCCTGAGATGACCAGGATGGTGTCTCCCACTCTGTGTGTGCTGGATGACAGTGGAGGGAGTAGTAGAATGGTGTTACCAAAGTCCCTGGAGAGCTGGAGCCATGAAGGAGGGGTGGTCCTAAAGAGGCTGCAGTTGTTACTGCCAAAAACACAGCCCAAAGCAAAGGGAACAAGGAAGAAACATTCCAACTTCCCTCCCAGGCCATTCCCTGCCAGGGCCTCCCATTGGCTAAAAACACCTGGAAGCAGCTGGCAAGTGAGCCAGGTTGATGTAAGCCCCAGGGACTGTCCTTTCTACTCACAGTGCAGGACAGCAAATGCATCTGGGGATTTGCGGTTCCACCAGGAAGAACCAGCACACTCATATATACTTAGTATTCCCAGGGTGTAACACAGTGTCTGATACAGAGTAGGCACTCAAGAAATACTTGTGAAATGAATACATAGAGTAGGGGTAATAACGCCTACCCAATGAGGTGGAATAATAAAATAATAATAATATAACTTAATAATAATAATCTGGAATATCCGCTGAGCGCCAGTGCTCTGCTCAGGAAATCATACACATGATTTTCAAGGGACAAGCATATGCCTACAGAGAAGATGTTCACTAAGCATGTTTATTCCCCTTTCCTCTCCTGAATTTATTCTGTTTTATCAAACAATGCCCGGAGACCATGTACCTTGAGCATAGCATGGCCTAAAATATAATGGACTCAAAGATAAATTGACGTGGTCCTGGCCTCCAGGAGTTTGGGGAGTGGACAAACAAGCTGAGATACAAGTGACCTAGTGCTAAGGCAGTCACCTGGTGTGTGGGGAAGGCACGGCACTTCCAAATTTCACTGCAATAAAGAAAACAGGTGAGAAGAGAATGAGCAGGAAACAGACTCTGGGCATCCCCATTAGCGGGGATCTGAGAGCCACTGTGGAGGAAGGCCAGGTTACTAAGGGAAGGCAGCATCAGGAAGGGAAGAGACTCGAGCCCACACTCATTCCAGAGACCAGCCGACCAGCCTGCCCCTGCCTCCCTTCCTTCTTTACCTCCATCACCATGAGAAGTCCAAGCCTGGGTGGTCAGCCAGCACCATGCTGCCTCTCATGCCTCACACTGCTCTGCATGTCTCCAACCCCATTCAATCCCCTATTCCTCCCTGCCCTACCACAGTCCCCCCAGCTCGTCCACAGGCCCTCTGGAGCTCCTGGTCTATGACTGGCAAATTCTCTTCTGTTTTCACCTCTGCCCAGGACACCGTCCCGCTTCCGGGCAGCCTCTTCTACAGTCTTCTCAACTGGGGCTTAGAGAGGAGTAAGAGTCAGCTCGGCGAGGTGGCTCACGTCTGTAATCCCAGCACTTTGGGCAGGTGGAGGTGGGAGGATCACCTGAGGTCAGGAGTTCGAGACCAGCCTGGCCAACATGGACAACATGGTGAAACCCTGTCTCCCCTAAAAATACAAAAATTAGCCAGGCATGGTGACAATCAATCACCTTACCCCTTACCCTAGGCAACCACCAATCTGCTTTCTGACACTATAGATTAGACTGGTCTTTTCTGGAGCTTTATATAAACAGAATCATTATAATCTACACCATTTTGAGTCTGGCTTTTTTCACTCATCATAATTTGAGATTCATGTTGCTGATTGTAGCAGTAATTCCTGTTCATTGCTCAATAGTATTTCGTTGCATACCACTGATTTCCATCTATTCATTTTTTGATAGACATTTGAGTTGTTTCGAGTTTGGGGTTATTATGAAGAAAGCTGATACAGGCCAGGCATGATGGCTCATGTCTATAACCCCAGCACTTCGGGAGGCCAAGGCAGGAGGATCACTTGAGCCCAGGAGTTCATGACCAGCTTGGGCAATATAGTGAGACCCCATCTCTAAAAAAAAAATTTTAAATTAGCTGGACACAGTGGTGCATGCCTGAAGTCCCAGCTACTTGGGAGGCTGAAGTGGGAGAATCACTTAGGCCCAGGAGTTCCAGGCTGCAGTGAGCAGTGATCATGCCACTGCACTCCAGCCTGGGCCACAGAGAGAGTACAAGTCTTGTATGGACATTAGTTTTTGAATAAATATCTAGGAATGAAATTGCTGAGTTGTATAGTAAATATATGTTTAATTTCATAAGAAACTGGCAATAGTTTTTTTGAAGTGGTTGTGCCATTTTACACTCCCATCAGCAATGTTCCAGTTACTCTACATCCTCACCAATAGTTGGTACTGTCAAAATTTTTGTCATTTTAGTGGATGTGTAATAGTAATCTCATTATGGTTTCAATCTGCATTTTTTTTTTTTTTTTTTTTTGAGACGGAGTCTTGCTCTGTCGCCCAGGCTGGAGTGCAATGGTGCCATCTCGGCTCACTGCAAGCTCCGCCTCCCGGGTTCACGCCATTCTCCTGCCTCAGCCTCCCAAGTAGCTGGGACTACAGGTGCCCGCCACCACACCCCGCTAATTTTTTGTATTTTTAGTAGAGACGGGGTTTCACCGTATTAGCCAGGATGGTCTTGATCTGCTGACCTTGTGATCCGCCTGCCTCGGCCTCCCAAAGTGCTGAGATTACAGGTGTGAGCCACCATGCCCAGCCTGCATTTTCTTGATGACTAATGATGTCGGGCATCTTCTCATGTGTTTGTTAGCCATTCCTATACCATTCCTATATCTTCTTTGATGAACTGTCTGTTCAAATATTTTGTCTATTTTTAAAACATTTTAAAAATTGAGTTTGTATTATTGTTACTAAGTAGTTCTCAAGAGTTCTTTATGTGTACTGAATGCAGGTCTTTTGTCATATAAACATATTGGGCATATTTTCTCCCCGTTTGTGGCTTTTTTTCCTTTACAATGTGTTTCAACGCAGAAGTTTTAATTTTAATGAAGTCTAATTTATCAATGTTAAAAATTTTATGATTTGTGCTTTTAATTTTTTAAATTTTTTAAATTTTTTTGAGACAGAGTCTTGCTCTGTTGCCCAGGCTGGAGTACAGTGGCGCAATCTCAACTCACTGCAACCTCTGCCTCCCGAGTTCAACAATTCTCCTGCCTCAGCCTCCTGAGTAGCTGGGATTACAGGCGTGTGCCACCACACCCTGCTAATTTTTATTTTTAGTAGAGATGGGGTTTTGCCATATTGGCCAGGCTGGTCTCGAACTCCTGACCTCAGGTGATCCACCCACCTCAGCCTCCCAAAGTGCTGGGATTATAGGGGTGTGCCACCATGCCTGGCTAATTTTTTTATTGTTTGTAGAGACAGGGTTTCACCATGTTGGCCAGGCTGGGAGAACCATTTTTAAAAAAGACTACCCATTAACCATTGGATAACATTGTCATTTTTGTCAAAAATCAGTTGACCATACATGTGTGGGTTTATTTCTGAATTCTCTGTTCTGTTGGATTGAGAACCAATACCATACTTTCTAGGTTACTGTAGCTTTACAGATGGATGTACACGATATCCTTCAGATACCCTAAAGCCTCCAACACTGCTGTCTTTTTCAAAATTGTTTTGCCAATTCTAGGTCCTTTGCAATTCCATATAAATTTTAGAATTAGCTTGTCAGTTTCTACAAAAAACTTTCTGGAGTTTCATATGGCATTGCTTTAAATCCATAAATCATTTTGGAGAGAACTGACATTTTAACAACACTGAAATTTTTCATCAGTGAATAAGGTGCATCTTTCCATTTACTTAGGTCTTTTTAAATTTCTCAGCAATATTCATAGTTTTTATCATACAGTTGTAATTAAATTTTTCCTAAATATCACATTTTGATGCTATTATAAGTGGTATTTAAAACATTTCAGGCCAGGCTGGGCGCAGTGGCTCACGCCTGTAATCCCAGCACTTTGGGAGTCCGAGGCGGGCAGACTGCGAGGTCAGCAGATCGAGACCATCCTGGCTAACGCGGTGAAACCCCGTCTCCACTAAAAATACAAAAAATTAGCCGGGCGTGGTGGTGGGTGCCTGTAGTCCCAGCTACTCGGGAGGCTGAGGCAGGAGAATGGCATGAACCTGGGAGGCGGAGCTTGCAGTGAGCTGAGATCGGGCCACTGCACTCCAGCCTGGGTGACTGAGCGAGACTCTGTCTCAAAAAAAAATAAAAAATAAAATAAAATAAAATAAAACATTTCAGGCTGGGTGCAGTGGCTCATGCCTGTAATCCCAACACTTTGGGGGGCCAAGGCGGGTGGATCACTTGAGACCAGGAGCTCGAGATCAGCCTGGCCAACATGGAGAAACTCCGTCTCTACTAAAAATACAAAAATCAGCCAGACATGGTGGTGCACACCTGTAATCCCAGCTACTAGGGAGGCTGAGGCATGAGAATTGCTTGAACCTGGGAGGTGGAGGGAGGTTGCAGTGAGCAGAGATGGCGCCACTGTATTCCAGCCTGGGCGACAGAGTGAGACTCTGCCAAAAAAAAAAAAAAAAAATGCAATGTCCAGATGTTTGTTGCTGGTTTTTGTATGTTGACCTTATGTCCTGCATCCCTTCTAAACTCACTTACTAGTTCTAATAGCTTTTTCTATATTCTTTAGGATTTTCTATATACACACAGTCCATCTGCCAATAAGGGCAGTTTAACTTCTTTTCCAATCTACATGACTTCTATATATTTTTGTAGCCTACTGTAGGCTATTGTACTGGCTAGGACAATGTTGAATAGAAGTGATAACAGGCTTGGCACGGTTGCTCCCTCCTGTAATCCCAGAACTTTGGGAGGCCGAGGCGGGTGGATCATCTGAGGCCAGCAGTTGGTGACCAGCCTGGCCAACATGGTGAAACCCCGTTTCTACTAAGATTACCAAAAAAAAAAAAAAAAGTTAGCCAGGTGTGGTGGCACATGCCTGTAGTCCCAGCTACTCAGGGGGCTGGGGCTGGAGAATCACTTGAACCCAGGAGGCGGAGGTTGCAGTGAGCCGAGATTGCGCCATTGCACTCCAGCCTGGGCAACAGAGCGAAATTCTGTCTCAAAAAAAAAAGTGATAACAGTACCTTCTTTACTTTATTCTTGATTTTAGGAGGAAATGTTCCATCTTTCATCTCTTCCTTTTTGTCTTAATAGCATCTTGTTCTACTCTCATGTATGGTAGTTATCTTTCCTTTTACCTGAAGATATCAATGATAGGGTAAATTTGTTTAGATTTCCTATGCTCCTTACCTTGTCTCTGATTCAGCCAAGTTTTTGTTTTGTTTTGTTTTGTTTTGTTTTTGTTTTGTTTTGTTTGTGTGTGTGTGTGTGTGTTTTAAAATGGAGTCTTGCTGTATCCCCCAGGCTGGAGTGCAGTGGCGCGACCTCAGCTCACGGCAACCTCCGCCTCCTGGGTTCAAGTGATTCTCCTGCCTCAGCCTCCTGAGTAGCTGGGATTACAGGTGCGCTTCACCACGCCCAGCTAATTTTTGTATTTTTAGTAGAGATGGGGTTTCACCATGTTGGTCAGTCTGGCCTCAAACTCCTGACCTTGTGATCTTCCCGCCTCAGCCTCCCAAAATGCTGGGATTACAGGCGTGAGCTACCACACCCAGCCTTTTGTTTTGTTTTTGTTTTGCTTAGTTTATTTTTGTTTGTTTTGGTTTTCTCTTTCATGTTATGGCTTTTCTCAAATGGACTTAAATCATGTGTGTCTGATTATTTATAAATAAGAGAAGCACTGCAGATGGCTGGTTAGTCCTCAGATCCTTTCTTCTTGTATATTGGCTGCCTGGCTAAAGACTACATTTTTCAATCCTTCTTTGTGACTACATCAGGTCATGTAACCAAGTTTTCAACAATGGAATGGAGTGGAAAGTGTATGTGCTGCTTCTGCCTCATTTGCTTGAAACAAAATTGCTGCCCTGAATTTCCTCTACTTTCCCTTTCCTGCAAGCTAGAACAGACATCCCATGCTTAGATGAAGATAATCTTTTAGGGGATGGTAAACCAACAATAGAAAAGGAAACTGGGTCTGTGAACAACAAGTGGAGCAAAAAGAAATTAACTTGCATCTTCTCTAGGCCACTGTATTCTGGGGTCTCCTTGGAACAGCAACTTAAACTTCAATATCCCAACTAATACAAGCACTGAAAAACTCATTGGAAGCTTAGGTGGATGAGTGTGTGAATGTTATGCAGAGGTGGGTTTTACTCTAAGGAAGTTCTCCAGGTGTAATCCACATAACCCTGCCAGTCCTTGAGATCCTTTCAGTGGGTACTTGAAGGCAAAATTATTTTTGTGATGATACTAAGTCATTATTTATTCTTTACACTTTCATTCTCTCCTGACTGCCCAGTAGAGTTTTTCAGAGGCTGTTATCACTTATGATAGCAAAACAAATTGAATGAAGAATCCAAGATCGGCAAAAATGTCAAATGATGTCACTCTTCTCACTAAATAGTTTTGTTTGGGAAACTATCATTATATTTTGTAATAATATGTAAACACGTAATGGGTTTCTTACTGTTATTCTTTCTTTTTCTTTTAGATAGTCTTGCTCTGTTGCCCAGGCTGGAGTGCAGTGGCACAATCACAGCTCACTGCAACCTCAACCCCCTCATGCTCAAGCAATCCTCCCACCTCAGCTTCCCAAGTAGCTGGGACAGGTGTGCCACCATACCTGGCTAATTTATTTTTTGTAGAGACAGCGTCTTTCTATGTTGCCTAGGCTGGTCACAAACTCCTGGAGTCAAGTGATTCTCCTGCTTCGGCCTCCCAAAGTGCTTACAGGATTACAGGTGTGAGCCACTGTGCCCAACCCGTTATTCTTAAATGGGTAAGTGGGTAATATTTAATTTTTTGTTTTAATTTGAAAAATATATAATTCATATTCTAAGGCTCTTTGCAGTACTTAACAGCTTTAAAAAATATGAAGGCATCCTAAGATCAAAAAGTTTAAATATCTGTCATGTTTGCTGCTGCTGCCAACCACCCATGCATACCATCCAGGGGCCTTAGAACAGGCCCACCCTGCCCAGTACCATGCTGTTTTGGTTACTATAGCTCTGTAGTATAATTTGAAGCCAGGTAATGTGATTCCTCCAGTTTTGTTCTTTTTGCTCAGGATAGCTTTGAATATTCTGGGTCTTCTGTGGTTCCATATAAACTTTAGGATTTTTTTTTCTATTTCTGTGAAGAATGCCATTGATACTTTGATAGGGATTACATTGAATCTGTAGATTGCTTTGGTTAGTATAGGCATTTTAACAATATTGATTCTTCCAATGCATGAACATGGAATAGCTTTCCATTTTTTTGTGTCCTCTTCAGTTTCTTTCACCAATGTTTTATAGTTTTCATTGTAGAGATCTTTCACTTCTTTGGTTACGGTAATTCCTAGCTATTTAATTTTTGGCCAGGCGCAGTGGCTCATACCTATAATTCCAGAACTTTGAGAGGCCTAGGAGGGGGGATTGCTTGGCTCAGGAATTCAAGACCAGCCTGGGCAACATGGTGAAACCTTGTCTCTACGAAAAGTACAAAAATTAGCTGGGCATGGTGGTGTGCACCAGTGGTCCCAGCTACTCAGGAGGCTGAGGCGAGAGGATCAGTTGAACTCTGGAGGTTGAGGATGCAGTGAGCCAAGATCACGCCACTGCACTCCAGCCTGGGTGACAGAGCAAGACCCTGTCTCAAAAATAAAAATAAAAATACACAAATTTCTTTGCGGCTAGTGTAAAATTGCTTTCTTGATTTCTTTTTCAGATTGTTTGCTATTGATATATAGAAATGCTACTGAGTTTTGTAGGTTGATTTTGTATCCTGCAACTTCACCGAATTTGTTTGTTAGTTCTAATAGCTTTTGGTTTTGGGTGGTCTTTTGAAATAACCCAGTCAGACCAAAACTAAAAAAAAGAAGAAGAAGAAGAAAAAGAAAGACATGGGACACCATAAGGCAACCAAATATTAAAACTGGGGCATTCCAGAAGGCAAAGAGAGAGGCAAAGTCATAGAAAACCTATTTAACAAAATAATAGCTGGAACATTCCCCCAAGTCTTACAAAAGATATAGACATCCAGATATAAGAAGCTCAAAGATCCTCAAATAGATTCCACCCAAAAGGTCTTCTCCAAGGCACATTACAGTCAAAAGTTAAAGACAGAGAATTCTACAAACAGCAAGAGCAGGCCAGGCATGGTAAGTCATACCTATAATCCCAGCACTGTGGGAGGCCAAGGAAGGGGGATCCCTTGAGCTCAAGAGTTTAAGACCGAGATCGATCTAAGATGGCGACCGTCGAACCGGAAACCACCCCTACTCCTAATCCCCCGACTACAGAAAAGGAGAAAACGGAATCTAATCAGGAGGTTGCTAACCCAGAACACTATATTAAACATCCCCTACAGAACAGATGGGCACTCTGGTTTTTTAAAAATGATAAAAGCAAAACTTGGCAAGCAAACTTGTGGCTGATCTCCAAGTTTGATACTGTTGAAGACTTTTGGGCTCTGTACAACCATATCCAGTTGTCTAGTAATTTAATGCCTGGCTGTGACTACTCACTTTTTAAGGATGGTATTGAGCCTATGTGGGAAGATGAGAAAAACAAACGGGGAGGACGATGGCTAATTACATTGAACAAACAGCAGAGACGAAGTGACCTCGATCGCTTTTGGCTAGAGACACTTCTGTGCCTTATTGGAGAATCTTTTGATGACTACAGTGATGATGTATGTGGCGCTGTTGTTAATGTTAGAGCTAAAGGTGATAAGATAGCAATATGGACTACTGAATGTGAAAACAGAGAAGCTGTTACACATATAGGGAGGGTATACAAGGAAAGGTTAGGACTTCCTCCAAAGATAGTGATTGGTTATCAGTCCCACGCAGACACAGCTACTAAGAGCGGCTCCACCACTAAAAATAGGTTTGTTGTTTAAGAAGACACCTTCTGAGTATTCTCATAGGAGACTGCGTCAAGCAATCGAGATTTGGGAGCTGAACCAAAGCCTCTTCAAAAAGCAGAGTGGACTGCATTTAAATTTGATTTCCATCTAAATGTTACTCAGATATAAGAGAAGTCTCATTCGCCTTTGTCTTGTACTTCTGTGTTCTTTTTTTTTTTTTTTTTTTTTTTTTTTTGGCTAGAGTTTACACTATCCCAATCAAAGAATTACAGTACACATCTCCAGAATCCATAAATGTGTTCCTGGCCCACTCTGTAATAGTTCAGTAGAATTACCATTAATTACATACAGATTTTACCTATCCACAATAGTCAGAAAACAACTTGGCATTTCTATACTTTACAGGAAAAAAAATTCTGTTGTTCCATTTTATGCAGAAGCATATTTTGCTGGTTTGAAAGATTATGATGCATACAGTTTTCTAGCAATTTTCTTTGTTTCTTTTTACAGCATTGTCTTTGCTGTACTCTTGCTGATGGCTGCTAGATTTTAATTTATTTGTTTCCCTACTTGATAATATTAGTGATTCTGATTTCAGTTTTTCATTTGTTTTGCTTTTGTTTTTTTCCTCATGTAACATTGGTGAAGGATCCAGGAATATGACACAAAGGTGGAATAAACATTAATTTTGTGCATTCTTTGGTAATTTTTTTTGTTTTTTGTAACTACAAAGCTTTGCTACAAATTTATGCATTTCATTCAAATCAGTGATCTATGTTTGTGTGATTTCCTAAACATAATTGTGGATTATAAAAAATGTAACATCATAATTACATTCCTAACTAGAATTAGTATGTCTGTTTTTGTATCTTTATGCTGTATTTTAACACTTTGTATTACTTAGGTTATTTTGCTTTGGTTAAAAATGGCTCAAGTAGAAAAGCAGTCCCATTCATATTAAAACAGTGTACAAAACTGTAAATAAAATGTGTACAGTGAATTGTCTTTAAAAAAAAAAAAGAGTTTAAGACCAGCTTGGGCAACACAGTCAGACTTCATCTCTATAAATAATTTAAAAATTAGCCAAGCATGGTGGCGTGTACCTGTGGTTCCAGCTATTTGGGAAGTTGAGGTAAAAGAATCTCTTGAGCCCAGGTAGTCAAGGTTGCAGTGAGCCATAATCAAACCACTGCACTCCAGCATGGGCAACAGAGCAAGACCCCATCTCAAATATATATATTTAGCAAGAGAAAAGCATCAAGTCACATAAAACGAAATCCCCACCAGGCTAACAGATTTCTCAGCAGAAATTTAGCAAGCCAGGAGAGAATGGAATGATATATTCAAAGTGCTGAAAGTGGGGGAGGGAGGAACTTCCAGTCAAGAATACTACTATACCCAGCAAAACTATCCTTCAAAAATAAAGGAGAAATAGTCTTTCCCAGACAAGCAAAAACTGGGAGAATTAATTACCTCTAGACAGGTCCTACAATAAATTCTTAATGGAGTCCTACATCTGGAAGCAAGAAAACAATATCTACCATCATCAAAATACATGCAACTATAAAACTTGCTAGTAGAGCAGATACCTGAATGAGAATGAGAAAGGAGTCAAACATTACCACTACAGAAAACCACCAAACTGCAATGATAAACAATAAGAGAGAAAGAAAGGAACAACAGATACACAAAACAACCAGAAAATAACAAACAAAAATGACAGGAATAAGTCCTCAGGTCCTTACCTATCAATAATAACCTTGAATGTAAACAGACTAAATTCCCCACTTAAAAGACATAGTCTGGCTGAATGGATTTTTTTTTTCTTCTTTTTGAGACAGAGTCTCGCTCTGTCACCCAGGCTGGAGTGCAATGGCACAATCTTGGCTCACTGCAAGCTCCGCCTCCTGGGTTCATGCCATTCTCCTGCCTCAGCCTCCCGAGTAGCTGGGATTACAGGTGGCTGCCACCATGCCCAACTAATTTTGTATTTTTAGTAGAGACCAGGTTTCTCCATGTTGGACAGGCTGGTCTTGAACTCCTGACCTCAGGTGATCTGCCCGCCTCGGCCTCCCAAAGTGCTGGGATTACAGGCGTGAGCCACCATGTCCGGCCTGGATATTTTTTTTAATGATACAACTATATGCTGCCTATAAAAATACTAACTTCACCTGTAAAGACATATTTAGAGTGAAAGTAAAGGGATGAGAAAAGATATTCCATGCAAGTGGAAAACAAAAGCAAGCAGAAATAGCTATAATTATATCACATAAAACAGGCTTTAAGTCAGAAACACTGAAAAAAAAAGGACAAAGAAGGTCATTATATAACCATTAAAGGATCAATTCAGCAAGAGGATATAACAATTCTAAATATATATACAACCAACATTGGAGCATCCAGGTATATAAAGTAAATATGATTTGATCTAAAGGAAGAGATAGGCCAGGCACAGTGGCACACGCCTGTAATCCCAGCACTTTCGGAGGCTGAGGTGGGAGGATCACTTGAGCCCAGGAGTTCAAGACCAGCCTGGGCAACATGGCAAGACCCCATCTCTACAAAAGTACAAAAAATTAGCCAGGCATGATGGCATGCATCTATAGTCCCAGCTACTGGGGAGGCTGAGGTGGGAGGATTGCCTGAGTCTGAGAAGTCAAGGCTGTGGTGAGCTGAGATCGTGCCACTGCACTCTGGCCTGGGTGACAGAGTGAGACCCTGTCTCCTAAATAAATAAATAAATAAAGAGATAGACTCCAATATAGTAATAGTTGGGGACTTCAACACCCCACTCTTAGCAATGGATAGATTATCTAGACAGAAATCAACAAAGAAACACTGGACTTAAACTATACTCCAGACCAAATGGACCTAACATTTACCCAACATTTCATCTAACAGCTGCAGAATATATAATCTTCTCATCAGCACATGGAACATTCTCCAGAATAGACCATATGTTAGGACACAAAGCAAGTCTTAGAAATTTTTAAAAAATCAAAATCATATCAAGTATCTTCTCAATAAAAGGAGAAACTTTGGAAACTGTAAAAACACATGGAAATTAAACAACATACTTTTTTTTTTTTTTTTTTTTTTTTTTTGAGATGGAGTTTCCTTCTTGTTGCCCAGGCTGGAGTGCGATGGTGTGATCTCAGCTCACCACAACATCTGCCTCCAGGATTCAAGCCATTCTCCTGCCTCACCCTCCCGAGTAGCTGGGATTACAGGCATGCACCACCATGCCCGGCTAATTTTGTGTTTTTAGTAAAGACAGGGTTTCTCCATGTTGGTCAGGCTGGACTTGAACTCCCAACCTCAGGTGATCCACCAGCCTTGGCCTCCCAAAGTGCTGGGATTACAGGCATGAACCAGCATGCCTGGCCCATTTTTTATTTAATTAATTAATTAATTTATTTATTTATTGACAGAGTCTCACTCTGTTGCCCAAGCTGGAATAGTGGTGCAATCTCGGCTCACTGCAATCTCCACCTCCTGGGTTCAAGTGATTCTCCTGCCTCAGCCTCCCCAGTAGCTGGGATTACAGGTGTGCACCACCACAACTGGCTAATTTTTGTATTTTTAATAGAGTGGGGTTTCGCCACATTGGCCAGGCTGTCCTTGAACTCCTGACCTCAAGTGATCCACCCATGTCAGCCTCCCAAACTGCTGGGATTATAGGCATGAGCCATCGCGCCTGGCCAACAACATACTCTTAAATGACCATTGGGTCAATGAACAAATTAAGAAGGATATCAAAAAATGTCTTGCTTGCTTGCTTGCTTGCTTGCTTGCTTGCTTCCTTCCTTCCTTCCTTCCTTCCTTTTCTTCCTTTCCTTCTCTCTTTCTCTCTTTCTTTCTTTTGACGGTCTCCCTCTGTTGCCGAGGCTGGACTGTACTGCCGTGATCTCGGCTCGCTGCAACCTCCCTGCCTCGGGCTCCCGTGATTCTCCTGCCTCGGCCTGCCGAGTGCCTGGGATTGCAGGCACGCACCCCCACGCCTGACTGGTTTTTGTATTTTTGGTGGAGACGGGGTTTCGCCCTGTTGGCCGGGCTGGTCTCCAGCTCCTGACCTTGAGTGATCTGCCCGCCTCGGCCTCCCGAGGTGCTGGGATTGCAGACGGAGTCTTGCTCACTCAATGCTCAATGTTGCCCAGGCTGGAGTGCAATGGCGTGATCTCGGCTCGCTACAACCTTCACCTCCCAGCCACCTGCCTTGGCCTCCCAAAGTGCTAAGGTTACAGCCTCTGCCCGGCCACCACCCCGTCTAGGAAGCGAGGAGCCTCTCTGCCTGGCTGCCCATCGTCTGGGATGTGAGGAGCCCCTCTGCCTGGCCGCCCCATCTGGGAAGTGAGGAGCGCCTCTGCCCGGCTGGCCCGCCTGGGAGGTGAGGAGCACCTCTGCCTGGCCGCCCGTCGTCTGGGAAGTGAGGAGAGCCTCTGCCCGGCCGCCCCATCTGGGATGTGAGGAGCGCCTCTGCCCGGCCGCCACCCCATCTGGGAAGTGGGGAGCGCCTCTGCCCGGCCGCCCCGTCTGGGATGTGAGGAGTGCCTCTGCCCGGCCGCAACCCCATCTGGGAAGTGGGGAGCGCCTCTGCCCAGCCGCCCCATCTGGGAGGTGAGGAGCGCCTCTGCCCGGCCGCCCCATCTGGGATGTGAGGAGCGCCTCTGCCCGGCCACCACCCCATCTGGGAAGTGGGGAGCGCCTCTGCCTGGCCACCCCATCTGGGATGTGAGGAGCACCTCTGCCCGGCCACCCTTCGTCTGGGAAGTGAGGAGCGCCTCTGCCCGGCCACCCCATCTGGGAAGTGAGGAGCGCCTCTGCCCGGCCGCCCCATCTGGGAAATGAGGAGCGCCTCTGCCCGGCTGCCCTGTCTGGGAAGTGAGAAGCGCCTCTGCCTGGCCGCTGTGCAATCTTCCAAGTGTGAAGTGACAGCCTTTCTGCAGGTGTACCCAACAGCTCCGAATAGACAGCGACCATCGAGAACGGGCCATGATGACGATGGCAGTTTTGTCAAAAAGAAAAGGGGGAAATGTGGGGAAAAGAAAGAGAGATAAGATTGTTACTGTGTCTGTGTAGAAAGAAGTAGACATAGACTCCATTTTGTTCTGTACTAAGAAAAATTCTTCTGCCTTGGGATGCTGTTAATCTATAACCTTACCCCCAACCCCGTGCTCTCTGAAACATGTGCTGTGTCAACTCAGGGTTAAATGGATTAAGGGCAGTGCAAGATGTGCTTTGTTAAACAGATGCTTGAAGGCAGCATGCTCGTTAAGAGTCATCACCACTGCCTAATCTCAAGTACCCAGGGACACAAACACTGCGGAAGGCCGGAAGGCCACGGGGACTTCTGCCTAGGAAAACCAGAGACCTTTGTTCACGTGTTTATCTGCTGACCTTCTCTCCACTATTATCCTATGACCCCACCACATCCCCCTCTCCGAGAAACACCCAAGAATGATCAATAAATACTAAAAAAAAAAAAAAAAAAAAAAAAAAAAAGAAAGAAAAGAATCATTATTGGGTAAAACATCAAAAAAAAAATTTATTGAAACAAATGAAAATGGAAACACAGGCCGGGTGCTGTGGCTCATGCCTGTAATCTCAGTACTTTGGGAGGCTGAAGTGGGCGGATCACCTGAGACTGGGAGTTTGAGACCAGCCTGACCAACATGGAGGAACCCTGTCTCTACTAAAAATACAAAATTAGCCAGGCATGGTGGTGCATGCCTGTAATCACAGCTACTCAGGAGGCTGAGGCAGGAGAATGGCTTGAACCCGGGAGGCGGAGGTTGCGGTGAGCCAAGATCACGCCATTGTACTCAAGCCTGGGCAGCAAGAGCAAAACTCCATCTCAAAAAAAAAAAGAAAAAAGAAAAGAAAAGAAAATGGAAACACAACATACCAAAATATATAGGATACAACAGAAGCAGTGCTAAGACAGACATTGATAGCAATAAGCACCTACATCAAAAAACTAGAAAGTTTTCAAATAAACAACCTAACAATGCTCCGCAAGGAACTAGAAAAGCAAGAACAAACCAAACCCAAAATTAGGAGAAGGAAAAGAATAATAACGATTACAGCATAGCAAAACAAAACAGAGAGTGAAAAAAATTTAATCAATGAAATTAGACATTGTTTGTTTCAATGGATAAACAAAATCAATAAACTGCTAGTTAGACTCAACAAGAAGAAAAGAGAGGAGACCCAAATAAATAAAATCAGAAATAAAAAATGAGACATTACAACTGTTTCCAGAGACATACAATAATTCATCAGAGACTATTATGAACAACTACACATGAAAAAATTGGAAAACCTAGAGAAAATGGATAACTGGACACATACAACCTACAAATATTGAACCAGGAAGAAACAGAAAACTTGAAAAGACCCATGACGAGTGATGAAATTGAATTAGTGATAAAAAGTCTCCCAAAACAGAAAAGCCCAGGAACAGATGGCTTCACTGCTAAATTCTACCAAACTTATAAAGAAGAAATAATACCAATTTTCTCAAACTATTCCAAAAAAACTGAAGAGGAAGAAATTCTTCCTAACTCATTCTATAAGGCCAGAATTACCCTGACACCAAAATCAGACAAAAACACAACAAAAAAAGAAAACAGCAGGCCAATATCCTTGATGAACATCGATGCAAAAATCCTCAACTAAATACTAGTAAACAAAATCCAACAGCACATCAAAAGGATAATACACCATGATCAAGTGGGATTTATTCCAGAAATGCAAAGACGGTTCAACATACATAAATCAATAACCGCGGATACATCACATCAGCAGAATGAAGGACAAAAACCATATGATCATCTCAATAGATGCAGAAAAAGCACTTGATAAAATTAAACATCCTTCGTGATAAATATTCTCAACAAATTAGGCATAGAAGAAACATATCTCAACATAATAAACTCCATAAATGACAAACCCACAGCTATCATCATATTGAATGGGGGAATAGAGGAATGCCTTTCTTCTAAGAACTAGAAGAAGGCAAAGATGCCCACTTTCATTACTTATTTATTTATTTATTTATTTATTTGAGATGGAGTTGTGCTCTTGTTGCCCAGGCTGGGGTGCAATGGCGTGATCTCGGCTCACGGTAACTTCTGCCTCTCGGATTCAAGCATTTCTCCTATCTCAGCCTCCCGAGTAGATGGGATTACAGGCATGCGCCACCATGCCCGGCTAATTTTTTTTGTACTTTTAGTAGAAACGGGGTTTCTCCATGTTGGTCAGGCTGGTCTTGAACTCCCGACCTCAGGAGATCCGCCCACCTTGGCCTCAAAGTGCTGGGATTACAGGCGTGAGCCACCGCGCCCGGCCCACTTTCATCACTCTTAATCCACATAGTACTGAAGTCTTAGCCAGAGCAACCAGGCAAGAGAAAGAAATAAAAGGCATCCAAATTGGAAAAAAGGAAGTCAGGCCAGTGCGAATGTAGTGAGTTATCTCAATCTCACAGTAAGTTACAGATTGAACTCCTTGTTCTACTCTTTCCCCACTTCTCACTACTGCACTTGAGTAGTCTTAAAAAAAAAAAAAATCAAATTGCCCCCTTTGAAGATGACATGATACCTAGTATATAGAAAAATCTAAAGATTTCACCAAAAATCTCTTATAACTGATACATTCAGTAAAGTTGCAGGATAAAAAATCATTATACAAAAACTAGCATTTCTGTACACCAATAAGGAATTAGCTGAAAGAGAAATCAAGAAAGCAACCCTACTACCTAGGAAAAAATTTAATCAAGGAGGAAAAAGACCTCTACAATAAAAACTACAAAACACTGATGAAAGAAACTGAAGAGGACACAAACAAATGGAAAGACATCTCGTGTTCATGGATTGGTGGATTGGAAGAATTAATATTGTTAAAAATGACCATACTTTTTTTTTTTTTTTTTTTTTTTTTGAGACAAGGTCTCGCTCTGTCACCCAGGCTGCAGTGCAGTGGCACAGTCACAGCTCACTGCAACCTTGACCTCCCAGGCTCAAGCAATCCTCCCACCTTGGCTCCCGAATAGGTGGAACTACAGGTACATGCCACCACATCCAGGTACTTTTTATTTTTATTTTTGTAGAGACAGGGTTTCAATTTGTTGCCCAGGCTAGTCTCAAACTCCTAGGCTAAAGCAATCCTCTGTCCTTGGCCTCCCGAAGTGCTGGGATTACAGGCGTGACCACCACGCCCAGCCCTCACGTTCTTATTCCTATGTGGGGGCTAAAAGAGTTGATCTTATAGAGGTAAAAACTAGAATGAGAGCTGAGCGCGGTGGCTCATGCCTGTAATCCCACCACTTTGGGAGGCCGAGGCGGGTGGATCACCTAGGTCGGGAGTTCGAGACCAGCCTGACCAACATGGAGAAACCCCGTCTCTACAAAAATAAAAAATTAGCCGGGTGTGGTGGTGCATGCCTGTAATCTCAGCTATTCTGGGAGGGTGAGGCAGGAGAATCGCTTGAACCCGGGAGGCGGAGGTTGCGGTGAGCCGAGATCGCGCCACTGCACTCCAGCCTGGGCAACAAAAGCGAAACTCCATCTCAAAAACAAACAACAAAACAAAACAAAAACAAGAAAATAAACACACACGCACACGGAGGTGGGGCGGCGGAGTGGCGGCAGGGAGGAGGAGGGGAGAGGTAAGAAACAAATGATAAAACAAATGAAGCAAATTGTTAACAATAGGTGAATCTGAGCCAAAGTTTAACGTGCGTTCTTTTGCCCTATTCTTGCAACTTTTCCAAATAAAACGTTTCTCTAAAATCATGTCTAGGGGACCTGGATTCCAAGCCGAGCCCCTTTTCTCACTCGGTGCATGACCCTGAATGAATTCCTTCCTCTCGGTTGGTCTCAGTTTTTCAGCACAGATGGTTCTCTCTGGGTCTGGTAATCAACGTCTCACAACTCTGAGGACGTTTGCAGACAGGGCTTTGGAAGGAAGACGGCCCTTCGTTTCCCCCAAAGGGTCTCAGCCTGCCGGTGATTTCACCACGACTTCCTCCAGAGTTCCACCTGTCCTCTTCATCAGCCATGAACTTGCCCCTACTAATTTTTGCCACCAGCTGGACGCCCACCTCCTCTTTCCCGGAGCCCTAAGGCTCTCCTTGCGGCAGTCTTAGCCTCTGTACAGGATAGGCACGTGCATTTAGCCCCAGAAAACTACAGCCCCCAAAAGGCTTTGCGGCAACATCCTCGCGTTGATCACCAAAGAGAAAACGCTTTTCTCCGCGGGCCCGCCGCTGCATAGCCTTTTGGGAGTTGTAGTTCATCTGCTAAGAGCCGCAGAACCAGGGTGAGGTTCTAAGCCACCCTTCCCAGAACTCACAGCGCTCTTCCACACCAATAGGAAGCGTGGATCTTGGAAAGCGGGCGGGGCAGAGGAGCTCATGCGCAGTATGTGTGGTTGGGGAATTCATGTGGAGGTCAGAGTGGAAGCAGGTGAGAATGGAGGGGGCGGCAAAGGCTCGTTTCTGGGCATCTCTGCAGTCCTCCTCTGCTCCATGATGTGCACTTTGGGCGAGGAGAGTGCGTGCGTGAGTCCGACTTGTGAGGGAGGGGAGAAGGGGCTGAGCCCGGGACGAGCCAGGGGTTGCTCAGAGTAAGGGAGGTGTCCATGGAGGCAGGGTGAGGAATAATCCAGAAGCTATTACAAATGTAAAGGGCCGGGTGTCCCAGCCTCAGAGAAGGAAGATTTAAATGCACTGGACGAGATCAGGGTAGTCTCAGGAGTTGAGGTCTGGGAAGTAGGGAGGGAGGATTTGAGACTGGAGCGGGCAACGACGGTGGGGCGGAGCGTTAGAAAGTTACATGCTGGCGTGATTTCTAGTTAGGTCAACTGTGCTTATGCCCACCCCGCCTCAGCCCCACCCTCCCAGTTATTCCAGAGCTCACTGTCCCTGTGCAGCTAGTTAGAGCCTTTCTCCCAAATGGGTTCTTCAGTTATCTTGGCCCCAGGATGTCATCCAGCTCCTGCTTCCATAAGAAGCATGTCGTTCTTAATACACGATGTTGACAAGCAGTATGGTGAGGAGGTAAGCTGTGTCTGCTAGCATTAGACCTCTGGGTTCTAATTCTGGTTCTACCACTTAATAACTGCAATCTCGGCTTCTCATGTAACCTCTCTGTGTGCCTCTGTTTCCTCTGTAGTAATATGCTTCATAGGGTAATTGTGAGAAGTAAATAAATTGCTTTTATTAGGCTACCTGATATAAGTGTTAGCTGTTACGGTTACTTTTTTTGTTGGCATCAACATGTAGCACATTTTTTAAGTTATTTTTTTCAAACCATAATTGCACCAATCTAACCTCACAGCCTCTTTTTGGGGGCCTACTTGTCCAGGAAATGAGAGGGTGGTTTAGTGTGGTGCTAAGTTCTCTGTGGATTTCAAGCCCATGCATTGTTTTCATTATTGAACCAAGTGTCCCAGACACCTTACTTTAAATGGTTGAGAAAAAAAGAGAAATCAGCCAGGCATGATGGCTCATGCCTGTAATCCCAACACTTGGGAGGCCGAGGCAGGGGGATCACTTGAGCCCAGGAGTTTGAGACCACCTGGGGCAACGTAGCAAGACCCCATCTCTGCAAAAAATGAACAAAATTAGCCGGGCATGGTGGCACACTTCTGTGGTCCCAGCTACTTGGGAGGTTGAGGTGAGAAGATCGCTTGAGCCTGGGAGGTCGAGGCTTCAGTGAGCTGAGATTGCACCACTGCACTCCAGCCTGGGTGACAGAGCAAGACCCTGTCTCCAAAAAAAAAAAAAGGAAAGAAAAGAAACTGAAAAAAAAAAAAAGCAGAAGAATTGATAGTACACTTTCCAAGCTATAAAGCATTATTTATTAGGTATCCTTCAATGGATGATTTAGCACTTTCAGGAATGGGGAAATAAATAGCCAGGTTGAAAAGTGACTGTTGTGTGTCAGAGAGGGCCTTCTCTGAGGATTTGGCATCAAGTTTGATTGTATTTTGTTTTTATCCCCTTAGGTGTGAGAGGGTCCAGCAGAAGGAAACATGGCTGCCAAAGTGTTTGAGTCCATTGGCAAGTTTGGCCTGGCCTTAGCTGTTGCAGGAGGCGTGGTGAACTCTGCCTTATATAATGGTGAGGCATGGAGGGACAGTGGGTCACTGCACTTTCCTAGGAGTTTTCTGTTGGTCTGCATAGCCCATGTGACACTCTTGATGGTAGCTGCCGTCAGTGAATGTGTTTGTGGCCAAGAGGGCTCACCTCCTGCCATTTCATACCACAGGACTGCATTGTTATCAGAGCCCCTGACCTTTCAGTCATAGGTTCTCTCAGAGCCTGTATTCAAAAAGAGCTTCCCAGCCCACTTCCTAGTTGGATGTGTCCAGTGGCTTCTGTCAAGGTGAAGTGAAGCCGCACCACCCAAATGCTGCCGCACAGTGTCTGGATTTCCCTGGCTATCTGAAATGGAGATCTCATTTGTTCTCCTCTGCTTGCATGTGGAATAACAGCAAAGGCTGCAGATCTGTTTGGGTGACCTTGTCCTGAACAGGAACTTTTGCTGTGCTGAATTCGGGTAGTTTCAGAGAAAGTATCTTTGAGATGCATTGCCCAGCTTTTAACAGTGTAGGAGGGAGGTTAAGCTGGCTTTTCTTCCACTTTACTGTGGAAGCTTCCTCATTGGTCAAGCAATGGATTTGACCTGACTTTATCTGTAGGACCTCCTTTAATTCTGACATTCTGACACTTTCACATGCTGCAAAGCAGCAATAGATTGACCCATCCGGTGTGTGGCTGGCTGACAAGAGGAGCTTTACTTTCAGAGTGAAGATATTTGGACCAATGATAAAGTTCAGAGAGGCAGCTGATTAGAAAAGCCTGCTTGGCTTATATGACACATCTTAGCAGTACTGTGATCCTTTTGGCCACATCTGCAACTAGACAGAAATTGCCATCATAAATTTCTCTCTGTGCCAAGACAGCTCTATAACCCCTTAAAACTTTAGCGAAACAGAGCTATTAGGAAGAAAGAGTAGGCTCTTCGAAATGTAGGATTCCCATAATGAGGGTGCTACTTCTGGGAGCACTAGGTTAAATTGGAGCCCGATGGATATGTGGTAACTGGGAAGACCTCACTGAGTTTTAGAAGTTTTGGTAGATGATTCCTGGAAATATGTTGGTGGGAGTTCAGGGATAGAATGGTCATTCAGAAAATCAACAGCCAGTTCCCTCAAGGAGAAAGGATGCTAAGGAACAGGTCCTATTACCAATCCTTGGGGACATGTGGAACAGGAAGTGACTGCTTAGTTTTGCAGCTAGTTAGAAGTCTCTAGAGACCAGGAGTTGGGGAAGACAGAGAGAAGAGGGGAGACTTAATAAGTGAACAGAAAGCACCAGGGCTCTTTCAAAGACATGATCCTTTTGTTTAAAGGATGAGAGGATTTTTATGACATGTCATTGTCCTTTCTTCCTAGTGGATGCTGGGCACAGAGCTGTCATCTTTGACCGATTCCGTGGAGTGCAGGACATTGTGGTAGGGGAAGGGACTCATTTTCTCATCCCGTGGGTACAGAAACCAATTATCTTTGACTGCCGTTCTCGACCACGTAATGTGCCAGTCATCACTGGTAGCAAAGGTGAGTCTTGCCTATGGTTCAGGTAAAGTAGGGAGTGTGGAAGAGGTGCTCTGTTCTTCTGTGTCACAGGAGCATCTGTGGGATACCAGGATCCAAAAGAGTTTGAACTGTACATCATAGGAATGACTAGACTACTTGCCCTGGAGAGCTTGATATGGAATCTTAGAAATACCCACTTATGGCTGGGTGCGGTGGTTCATGCCTGTAATCCCAGCACTTTGGGAGGCTGAGGCAGGTGGATCACCTGAGGTCAGGAGTTCAAGACCAGCCTGGCCAATGTGGTGAAACCCCATCTCTCCTAAAAATACAAAAATTAGCCGGTGGTGGGGGGTGCCTGTAATCCCAGCTACTTGAGAGGCTGAGGCAGGAGAATTGCTTGAGCCTGGGGGGCGGAGGTTGCAGTGAGCTAAGATTGTGCCACTTCACTGCAGCCTGGGCAACAGAGTGAGACTCTGTCTCAAAAAAAAAAAAAAAAAAAGCCTGCTTCTAATCTTCCCATCTCTTTGGAATTTCTTTCCGTACTGTTTTGCAGTTGTTTTCAGGATACATTATGTACCTATTTCTAAAACTATTGATAGGAGCTTCCAGAGATCAGGGAGTTGTAGGTATTAATACATTGCCCACCTCTCTTGGTGCCCAGTTCAGGGCTGTCTCATGGGCGCTTGGTCCATATTGTTGACATCTGTAAGCAAGCCGTGACAGTGCTTTGGCTCCAGGCAGGCCTGAATTGTCCAGGGGAAAGTATAATTCTCTCCCTGGATCCTTTAAATGGTCCAAGTAATGAGAAGCAGAACATAGGATCAGTCTGTTAACCCCTTATATGTGTTACACATTTGACAGAGTGCTTTTACGTCTGTTTTCTCCTTCAATTTTCCCCAACATTTCCGCAAGGCCCAGAAAGCAAATGAAATTGTCCCCATTCTCATAGACAGGGAAATAAGCTCAGGTTGGCTAAGGCTTAGAGAGGCCACATCATTAGTAAATAGCCCAGATCTTTGGACTGATAGTCTAACACCGTTTCCACCAGACCCGAACTAACCTCTCCAAGGCTGACTCCTGACTTGGCCACAATCACCAGAGCATGTAAAGGCCTCACCCTACAATTCTTAGCATTGCCCTGTCTATTGTCTTAAAATGTTCAGTGTTGCAAACTTTGCATGGCACCTGTTAGACATATAATCTGAATTATGTATATCTGAGGGCATTCAGGGGATACCAAAAAGCTGCTATCACTGAAGCCTCTTAAGAAATTATAAACTCTTTATGATGCTCTATTGGGTTCTCTGCCAAGGAAACCAGGCATACCTGCACCTTGCCCTCTGGGATCTTATAATCAGCAGATTTGCTTATAAATTGTAGCAAATTTGGAGCCAGGCACAGTGGTGCGTGTCAGCTACTCAAGAGGCTGAGGCAGGAGAAATGCTTAAGCTCAGGAGCTTGAGTCTAGCCTGGGCCACATAGCAAGACCTTGTCTCTAAAAATAAAAAATAAAAATTGCCAGGCGTAATGGCTCACACCTGTAATTCTAGCATTTTGGGAGGCTGAGGCAGTTGGATCACTTGAGCCCAGGAGTTTGAGACCAGCCTGGGAAATATGGCGAAACCCCAGCTCTACAAAAAGTACAGAGATTAGCTGGGCGTGGTGGTCTGTGCCTGTGTAGTCCCAGCTACTTGGAAGGTGTAGGTGGGAGGATCAACTGAGCCCAGGAGGTCAAAGCGGCTACAGTGAGCTGTGATCTTACCACTGCACTTCAGCCTGGGCAACATGTGACCCTGTCTCAAAATACATAAATAAAAATTGTAGCAAATTGGAGTAGGAGAGGTCATATAAAAGACCACTTGTGGCCAGGTGCGGTGGCTCACACCTGTAATCCCAGCACTTTGGGAGGCTGAGGCAGGTAGATCACCTGAGGTCAGGAGTTTGAGACCAGCCTAACATGGTGACACCCTGTCTCTACTAAAAATACAAAACAGCTGGGTGTGGCGGCGCGTGCCTGTAATCCCAGCTACTCAGGAGGCTGAGGCAGGAGAATTGCTTGAATCTGGGAGGCAGAGGTTGTAGTGAGCCGAGATTGTCCCATTGTACTCCAGCCTAGGCAACAAGAGCAAAAACCTGTCTCAAAAAAAAAAAAAAACAAAAAAAAAACACTTGTTTTCCTACAGTGGTTTTTATTTTTAACTCCAGTGTTTGTCCCCTACCCTAAGATTTACAGAATGTCAACATCACACTGCGCATCCTCTTCCGGCCTGTCGCCAGCCAGCTTCCTCGCATCTTCACCAGCATCGGAGAGGACTATGATGAGCGTGTGCTGCCGTCCATCACAACTGAGATCCTCAAGTCAGTGGTGGTGAGTGAACAGGGGCCTTTAGCCTCGAGCCCAGAGCACCACCCTGGGAGGGTGCCAGGTGGCAGGAAGCGCTTGGCAGTGGGTTGGTTGGGATGTGGCTGCTAGTTTCCTGGTTCCTTTTCTGCTTCCTCATTAACCTGACCTGCCCTTCTGCTCCTCCCTTTGAAACCAGGCTCGCTTTGATGCTGGAGAACTAATCACCCAGAGAGAGCTGGTCTCCAGGCAGGTGAGCGACGACCTTACAGAGCGAGCCGCCACCTTTGGGCTCATCCTGGATGACGTGTCCTTGGTAAGATCCTTCGGGAGACCGAGGAGGGGAAGGGGCTGCAGTTCTCGTTTAGGTGCCTGGCTCCATTTCTGGGTAGACGCTATTAGGTCCTCCCTTCTGCTTTGCTAGATGTGAGACTTGAAAACACGGAAACATGCTGAGGTGAGGCAGTCTCCGTGGGTTTTTCAGTTGAGGGTTCTTTTACCTTCCCCCTGCCACACACATTTTTCTTATGACCTCTGGTTGTATCCAGATAGTCTCTAACCACTAAATGTTTTACCTTCTCCAAACTGTTACCCAGAGAGTGATGCCTTGTTAACCCTGTTTGACACAGGCAGAAACTGCCTGGTAGAGACCAGAGAACAGCTCGGGTAGTCCTTCTCCCTAGCACAGACCTCCCAGCCTGACTCCTGGGAGCTTCCTAACACTTTACAGTCCGAAGCTCAGTGAAGTAAGCTCTGGGAACCCCAGTGAAAGGTGATAGAGTGTAAACGAACGGTTGGATTCCCCCAGGCCTGGTATAGGGGGCAAGGGACATCTCTGAGGCGTAAGCTATCCTCTTGAGACACTATAGCTTGTGTGTTTATATGACATTGGATGTCATAACTCAGAAAGCAATGCAGGCAGGATAGCGTTTCAGGTTGAGGAGGGTGAGGGGAAGGGGTCGTGTTTCTAGATTCTCTGGGAAAAACCATTTGGAGTGATTTGTTCGGGCAGTGAGGTAAAGTGTTTCCTGTTCAGTTCTCCCGTGCATTGCTAGGGAAAGGCACTGCCTCCCCCGGCATCTGTGCAGCTGTTTAAACAGCCACTTGACAACACCCAGTGCTAACCCCTGGGCACTGCTCCACCTTGCTCCGCCTGCTGGAAGTCCTGGGGGCTTGGGGCTCCCTCTGCTGGCAAGAGGCCAGGCTGCAGCCATTCTGTGGGCCCTTCCCTCGTAATTACCGTTAACCTGAACACCTTGGCTGTGAGAAAACGCTGAGTAAAAACCTAAGGGAAAAGTTGGCATTTTACTAGACTTTAACCACATACTCCATTCTGGGGAAATGTGGGCTGACCACAAGAAACCCTATCTAAGGTGTGAGAAGAAAATTAGGTTTCATGGGGAATTTGCTGCCCTCAGCTGGCCCTTGTAGAAATAAATTTTATTCCTTAATTATACATTTCATTTTTCATGTCTCAGGATCAGATTTTCTTACCCAAACTTTGACTAAGAAACTAGAAATGGATCAGGCGAAGTACAACAGCTGCAGTTAGAGTTAGGAGGTTAAAAATTCTGGAAGAGAATGAGACCAGGATTTACTCTTCAGGAGAAGTTTGGAGCTGCTTTTTTAAAAAGCAGAGGTTGGGAGAGTGGAGGAAATGAAACAACTAGAATTTGATGGCAAAACCAATGCTCTTCTCTTGATTCTTTTTCAATAAAAATTAGGATGAATAAGTAAATTGCTCTAGGCTGGGCATTAGGAATTCTGAGGTCCCTTCCCATTGTTTGTGCTATCTTTAGGGACAGTCCCGTCAGACCTGACATGATTAGGGAAGGTCTATGGATCATCAGACTTCTAAACCCTCATGCCGACCAATGACTTTACCTGCTTTCTCTTTCTTTTAAACCGTTTAACAGAACCATTCACATTGGGAATACCATGATTTGCGTTCCACCGTCCCTCGTCCTCTTCCTGTTCAGTGGTGGAGCTGCTGTGGGAAGACGCGGACTGGTTAATCCATAAACAGAGAGCATCAGGCTCTTGGATCCCTGGGAACCAGCTGCCTCCCTCACTCTCAGGGACCCTGTTTTCCATCTGGCCTTCCTTGGGCTTTGAACAAGGCATCAAAGGCCCTTGGAAGAGCACTAGTCAGTGGCGGGGGTCTTAGAACCCACAGTTCTCCTCCTCTGGGGAGGTGGTCGATTGAGTAGATACCTTCTGGTGCCTGTGGGCCCCATCAAAAGCCCCCGGTGCCATTTGCTACATGAGGTCACTGTACTGAGAGTGACAGAGTAATATACAGGAGCAGTTTGGGCAGCCAGAGAGTCTGGGTGTAAACTCAGTTTGGATACAGATACGGAGGTGGAAGAGTGTTCTGGCCTCACGGATGCCTCCAGCTGCTAGAGCCATTGCTGGCCTCTTCTTCCAGCGGCCATGGAGCCCTCCCAGCAGTGCTGTCGAAGCAATCACACTGCCTCATCTTGTGCTCACTCTCTCCCCTTAGACACATCTGACCTTCGGGAAGGAGTTCACAGAAGCGGTGGAAGCCAAACAGGTGGCTCAGCAGGAAGCAGAGAGGGCCAGATTTGTGGTGGAAAAGGTGAGCCTTCGACCAGATGGCAGGAGCCTCTCTCTCCCCTTTCTCCGGCACTCAGCTTCCCCATTTGCTGGGTGGCCTGGAAATTCATCATCTGTCATCCCTTCTTCCGGGATAATCAGAAGGGGCTTGAAGGAATTGTACTTCTGCAATTGGTTCCAGAGTCTTCAGGGGCTAGTCAAGGATATGTGGAGTTATGTTCCTAAATCACTGAAGGGTAATTTTTCTTCCACTTCTCTGAGATCAAAAACACTCTCTTACAAATAAAAATGTTTCTCCTGGAGTATTTTCAGCTTCACTGAGAAGTCATTTTTAACCATAGTTACATAGTGAAAGCTGACAGCAAAAAAGATCAAACGTTGCACCAGATGTGCTTTCGTCACTAGATTTTTTTCTAGTGCTAAATCCATCCAGATGTGTCAAAGAATGTGATGGGACACAGTGTATTTGCGTAGCAGCCTGGTCTTTCTGGTATTTGCAAAGACATGTTCATTTATTGTTGTCCCCTTCTTCCCACCACCAGTATCCCTAATTGGTGGGGAGATGGGGACAGCAAGAAATAAAATGGGAAAAGAGGGATAGATTTAATTTTGGAGAATGAAAACACTGTGTGGGCAGAGACTTGTGTTGCTTTGTATCTGCCATAACTTCAGAGATTATAATAAGTCTAGTACAGTGCCTGGTGATAGTAGGTATACAGTAAATGTTTGTTGAGCAAATAGACGCAGGGCCCAGTCATTTCAAAATTGTATGTAATTTCAGGGAGGCTTAATACTGTCTTCTTCCTCACACTCCTGAAGGTCACACGTTGCAGAGAGCTGTCTTCCTATTGATATTGGTAGGGCAAGCCTAGGAGATCTCACTCTGGGTGCCTGGATTCTGGTCAGGAACCAGCCTAACTCACAGGCAGCTCTAGGAACAGTCAAAAGTGCATGCTGCTCTTCCTTAGCCATCCCGAGGTTTTTTGTTTGTTTGTTTGTTTGTTTGTTTGTTTGTGACAGCTCTGTGGCCCAGGCTGGAGTGCAATGGCATGATCATAGCTCACTGCAGCCTTGGCCTCCTGGGCTCAAGTGATCCTCCTGCCTCCGCCTCCCAAAGTGCCAGGATTACAGGCATGAGCCACCACACCCGGCCCTGTCCTGGCTTTGATGAAGTCCTTTAGACTTAAGGCTGGAGGAAAAGATGAGCCTTGAGGATTGATTCCACCTTTCTTTTGCTTCTGTTTTCCTTGGCCTTGGCTTCTCCTGGCTCAGAGTAGGGTTGTTAAACTAGATTGCAATTAATATTAATGAGGACTTTGAAATAAGACAAATATTCCTGCAGCCAACAGAGATGTATCCCTCCCGTGACAAGGAGTGAGCATGAAAGGATAGGGGAGGACTGGTGGGCAATGTGCTCTGCTTCCCCCCGCTTCCCCCGCTAGCCATCAGGAGGAAGTAAACTCCCCGAGTTCCTTCAGGAGCCTGGGAAGGTGGCTTTCTGGTGAAGGGCCTTTGGTTGTAGCCTGACATGCGGTGCCCTGAGGTTTGATCTTTGTCTCCACCTCCATTCTTTTAGGCTGAGCAACAGAAAAAGGCGGCCATCATCTCTGCTGAGGGCGACTCCAAGGCAGCTGAGCTGATTGCCAACTCACTGGCCACTGCAGGGGATGGCCTGATCGAGCTGCGCAAGCTGGAAGCTGCAGAGGACATCGCGTACCAGCTCTCACGCTCTCGGAACATCACCTACCTGCCAGCGGGGCAGTCCGTGCTCCTCCAGCTGCCCCAGTGAGGGCCCACCCTGCCTGCACCTCCGCGGGCTGACTGGGCCACAGCCCCGATGATTCTTAACACAGCCTTCCTTCTGCTCCCACCCCAGAAATCACTGTGAAATTTCATGATTGGCTTAAAGTGAAGGAAATAAAGGTAAAATCACTTCAGATCTCTAATTAGTCTATCAAATGAAACTCTTTCATTCTTCTCACATCCATCTACTTTTTTATCCACCTCCCTACCAAAAATTGCCAAGTGCCTATGCAAACCAGCTTTAGGTCCCAATTCGGGGCCTGCTGGAGTTCCGGCCTGGGCACCAGCATTTGGCAGCACGCAGGCGGGGCAGTATGTGATGGACTGGGGAGCACAGGTGTCTGCCTAGATCCACGTGTGGCCTCCGTCCTGTCACTGATGGAAGGTTTGCGGATGAGGGCATGTGCGGCTGAACTGAGAAGGCAGGCCTCCGTCTTCCCAGCGGTTCCTGTGCAGATGCTGCTGAAGAGAGGTGCCGGGGAGGGGCAGAGAGGAAGTGGTCTGTCTGTTACCATAAGTCTGATTCTCTTTAACTGTGTGACCAGCGGAAACAGGTGTGTGTGAACTGGGCACAGATTGAAGAATCTGCCCCTGTTGAGGTGGGTGGGCCTGACTGTTGCCCCCCAGGGTCCTAAAACTTGGATGGACTTGTATAGTGAGAGAGGAGGCCTGGACCGAGATGTGAGTCCTGTTGAAGACTTCCTCTCTACCCCCCACCTTGGTCCCTCTCAGATACCCAGTGGAATTCCAACTTGAAGGATTGCATCCTGCTGGGGCTGAACATGCCTGCCAAAGACGTGTCCGACCTACGTTCCTGGCCCCCTCATTCAGAGACTGCCCTTCTCACGGGCTCTATGCCTGCACTGGGAAGGAAACAAATGTGTATAAACTGCTGTCAATAAATGACACCCAGACCTTCCGGCTCAGCCATGGGTTGGTTTTTTGTTTGTGGGAGCCGTGGGATCAGAACAGAGTGTTCTAGCAGTTTTTGTGTGTACATGTTTGCATTGCCAGCTGGGACAGAGTCTCCAGTAAGGCAGAAAATGCTTTGTTTTCAGAAAACACTTTGTGTTGTGTTCCAGATCCATCCCCAACCCGAAGGGAATCTCTGTGGTAGCAGGTGAGGTTTGTCATGGGATAGGCAGTGAAGGTAGGTGGAGGGCAGTTAACTTGTTCTGTGTGTTTTGGTGCCACTACTCACTGGGAGTTACAGGCCTGCCCGCCAACTGCCAGCAACACCTTCCCCCAATGCTAGGGAAGTGGTTGACGTAAATAATGTGTCCGGTAGCCCTCAGTTAGATGGCTTGGGGCACTCTGCAGTAGGTTTTTTTTTTTCTCTTGTTTTCTTTTCCTTTCTTTCTTTTTTTCTTTTCTTTTTTTTTTTTTTTTTTTTTTTTTTTTGAGGCAGGGTCACACTTTGTTGCCCAGGCTAGAGTGCAGTGGCATGAACATGGCTCACTGCAGCCTTGACCTCCTGGGCTCAAGTGATCCTCCTGCCCTAGCTTCCTGAGTATCTGGGACTACATGTGTGTGCCACTATGCTTGGCTAATTTTGTATTTTTTATAAGAGACCAGGTCTCACCATGTTACCCAGGCTGATTTTGAACTCCTGGGCTCAAGTGATCCAGCCTTGGCCTCCCAAAGTGCTGGGATTACAGGCGTGAGCCACTGCGCCCAGCCAGTGGGTTTGTATTGCTTATTCTGCTTTGCTTTGACAATAGGGAAATTGGAAATGCCTTGGCATTTGAGGGGAGCTGAGTTTGTGCATTTTGGATGATGGGGAGGGAAAGCCCACCGCAGGTTGAGAAATGAACTGTGTCAATCACCCACCCCAAATCCTTCTAGGAACAGAGTGGAAACAGCATGCAGTGAGTGGACAGCACTGACTGTGCTTTAAATCTGCTCTTCATTTAATCCCCAGGCTCACCACCTGGCCACAGAGAGGGGTCTTTAAGAAGACTCCACAGGCTGCTCTCTGACCTGGATTCCACATTTCCTCCCCCAGAGTGATCGGGCCACCACCTGTCAGCTGGGGAAGAGGGAGACCCGATGCACAGATTTGGGATGGAGCCAGGGATTGAGTTCTCCCAATCCCTGCATCCTGCACCCCTCCCAGGGCCTCCCAGCAGCCATCCCGGGAGCAGACCACAGTGTGTGGTGGGCTCCTGACCCTCAGCTGCACCTCAAACCTCCCTCCCGTGAGCCTCCCCGCATCCAGCCCATCTCCCTGCCGCCTCCCCAGCATCATTTATCTCAGGCCTCAGGATATCTCTTCCCACTTTGGCTCTTTTGCTGTAAGAATAGGCTTTCGAATGATGAGGTGCCTGAACTCAAAGCGCATTAAAGATTGGAGCAGAAAGAGCCTAATTCCTAAATAAGTTCCAGACCAGCTTCCACTCTGCGCCCTTCCTCCTTTTCCTGCTGTTTATTGCTTTGGACACCCTTTTGGGGGTGGGAGGACAGGAGGCTCCTCTCTCTTTCCCAGGCTCTTTTTAAAAGAGCAGTTGTGTTTCCTGCATTTGGCGGGAGATTGGGTTTCATCCTCCAGGTGTCTGTAGGGGAGCCCTGAGCTGCAAAGCTGCCTTGCACTGCTTTGAGGTTGCTAGTGCCTTCAGGTCAGCCCTTTCAGTGGCAGGAGGGCCAGGTTTCCTGCTGGCTTTGCCATTAGCCTCCCTGCCAGGGATGGCAAAGGCATATCCCAGTGGCAGCCCAGGGGCCTCATTTTGCCTTGACTTCCGCCAAGTAATTCTTTTCACAAATGTTCAAGGGCTGTTAACCAGCTTCTTAGCCCCTGATGGCCTCTGGGTTTCTCCAGAAACTGCCACAATGGGCCTTTATCAGCTCGGGATTCTCTGGGCCTTGGATCAAAAACCATGTCCTGTCCTGGCCAGGGAAGGGAGAGCAGGAAGTGTCTTCCTCCCTCTCCCCTTTGGTCGGGCTGAATAGTTCCCTTGTTCAGGCTATGAAGGGCGAAGAAGGCAGTGCACCCTGGGCAGGGAGAGGAGAGAAAAACCCTCAAAGGGTTGCCATTTTCCTGACTTCTGCTAGTTTTACACAACTTCCGCCAGTGTGGACTGATGGGGAGGAGGAGCGTTGTGTTAATCTCATGGGTTTATTTGAAATACAGGAAAGACAGTGGAATATTAGTCAAATCCCGCCTTAGCAAATAATCTAGTTACATTCCAGCCATCAGCCCCAGGATGTGCAGTTAGGTCCTCCCCTTGACCTCTGCAATCCACCAATAATTGTGCCAAAGCAGCCCACCCAGATTGAAAATTACCTGGGTGAGAAGGACGCAGGAAGCTGCAACTGATTGGTCTGCCTCTCATAGATCTTCCATTCATTCTGTACAGTGCTCCAAACTTCATTTTTCTTTTCTTTTCTTTTCTTTTTTTTTGACAAAGTCTCGCTCTGTCACCCAGGCTGGAATATAGTGGCACAATCTCGGCTCACTGCAGCCTCTGCCTCTCAGGTTGAAGTGATTCTCCTGCCTCAGCCTCCTGAGTAGCTAGATTACAGGCATGCGCTACCACACCCAGCTAATTTTTGAATTTTTAATAGAGATGGGGTTTCACCATGTTGGCCAGACTGGTCTTGAACTCCTGGCCTCAAGTAATCTACCCACCTCAGCCTCCCAAAGTGCTGGGATTATAGGCGTGAGCCAACACCCCTGGCCCAAACTTCATTTTTCTAAAGCAGATCTCATCCCCTCCACAATGAAGAACCTTCAATTTAGTGCAATGTCTTGTCCTGACATTCAAGGTTCTCCGTGTACTGGCTACCCCTTTCTAGCCTAACACTATTTTACTGCTTACCTCACAAACCTACCTAGTGGTTCTCACAGGGTGGGGAGTGCTGTTTGAAAATGCAAGCGGGCCAGGCACGGTGGCTCACGCCTGTAATCCCAGCACTTTGGGAGGCCGAGGCAGGTGGATCACCTGAGGTCGGGAGTTCAAGACCATCCTGGGCAACATGATGAAACCCCATCTCTACTAAAAATACAAAATATTAGCTGAGCGTGGTGGCGGGCACCTGTAATCCCAGCTACTCAGGAGGCTGAGGCAGGAGAATCGCTTGAACCCAGGAGGCGGAGGTTGTAGTGAGCCGAGATTGCACCACTGCACTCCAGCCTGGGCGACAGAGTGAGACTCCATCTCAAAAAAAAAAAAAAAAAAAAAAAAAAGGTGATATTGTAGACATCAAGAGAATGGGTGCTGTTCAAAAAGGAATTCCCCACAAACATTTCCATGGCAAAACTCAAAAGAGTCTACAGTGTTACCAGCAAGCTGTTGGCATTGTTGGAAACAAGGGCAAGAATCTTGTCAAGAGAATGAATGTACTTATTGAGCACATTAAGCACTCTGAGAGCTGGAATCGCTTCCTGAAACATATCAAAATAAATGATCAGAAAAAGAAAGACGCCAAAGAGAAAAGTATGTGGGTTCAACTGAAGCGCCAGCCTGCTCCACCCAGAGAAGCACACATTGTGAAAACCAATGGTAAGGCGTCTGAGCTGCTGGAACCTGTTCCCTATGAATTCATAGCATAATAGGCACAAAATAAATAAATAAAAGACTTCTGGACCGTTAAAAACAAAAACAAAAACAAAAACAGAGCTGGAAGTTGAGACTCTTGAGTTCTCCTCTCATGCCATAGGTCAAGTTATCTCCAGCTGCTCTGAATCAGGGTTTTCTGGGTCTAACTGGCCAACCCAACCACCAATGCCACCTCCCTTCCCAAGACCAATTCCTCAGAATAATATCTATCTCACTTCCTGTGGGTGTCCACTTGCGGACTGTCCCCTCCCTGTCACCTACTCACAGCCCACTCTCTCCTGCTTCTGTCTGGAACACCACGCTTCTCTCTTCCCTCCTCTAATTCCTGACCCTGTGCCTGTGAAGCTCAGCTTAAAATCCCCCTGCTCCAGGAATTCACCTCTGGCTGACCTCTTCCAAGCTTTCCTTGTATATAAAATCTCCCTTAATAAAAGAGGCATTGGCTCCAGAGTTCTGGCAACACCAGGGTAGAGAATTTAACAAAATGGAGTGATGAGGCCTGCCCCAGCCAGTAGGGACTAAGGTGACTCGGTAAGGCCCAGGTGCACATAGTCGAGAGAGAGAATGGGTGGAAATGTACTGGGGAAACCAGTTTATAGCTAGGGGCATGGGAAGGAGGGGTGGCTCTCTAGCACCCTCTAATCAAGCCACTTCAGAAGAGAAAATAAAGCTGAAAGGGTAAGGCTACTTTTAGGGAACTTAAAGCTGTTGCCATCCTTGGAGACTGGGACAACCCACTTGGATTAGCCAGAAAAGCTATGATCATTGAAAGGCTTGGACCATCTAAGTTTGGCTGAAAGAGGTGCAAACACTGGTCAGGAGTTGGCAAGCTATATAACCTGTGGGCCAAATACAGCCTTTCACTTGTTTCTGTATAGCTCATGAGCTAAGAATGATGTTTACACTTTTTTTCGTTTCTGACATTTAACTTGAATTTTTACACTTTTAAGTGCTTAGGACAAAGTCAAAAGAAGAGAATATTTTGTGACACATGAAGGCCAGGCGTGGTCACTCACGCCTGTAATTCCAACACTTTGGGAGGCCCATATGGGAGGATTGCTTGAGGCCAAGAGTCTGAGACCAGCCTGGGCAACATAGTGAGACCCCCATCTCTAAAAAAAAAAAAAAAAAAAATCAAAAGATAAAAAATTAGCGGGCCAGGAGTGGTGGCTCACGCCTGTAATCCCAGCACTTTGGGAGGCCAAGGCGGGCGGATCACGAGGTCAGGAGATCAAGACCATCCTGGCTAACAGTAAAACCCCGTCTCTACTAAAAATACAAAAAATTAGCCAGGTATGGTGGCGGGCGCCTGTAGTCCCAGCTATTTGGGAGGCTGAGGCAGGAGAATGGCGTGAACCTGGGGGGTGGAGCCTGCAGTGAGCCAAGACTGCGCCACTGCACTCCAGCCTGGGCAACAGAGCGAGACTCCATTTCAAAAAAAAAAAAAGATAAAAAATTAGCTAGGTGTAGGAGTGCGTGCCTGTAGTCCTAGCCACTCAGGAGGCTGAGGCAGGAGAATCATTTGAATCTAGGAGTTTAAGGTTTTAGCGAGCTATGATCAAGACACTGCACTCCAGTCTGGGTGACAGAGGAGACCTTGTCTCTAAAAAAATAATAGGGGCTAAGTACGGTGGCTCACGCCTGTAATCCTAGCACTTTGGGAGGCAGAGGCAGGTGAATCACCTGAGTCCAGGAGTTCAAGACCAGCCTGGACATAGCGAAGCCTCATCTCATTAAAAAAATAAATAAAAATAAAAATAAGTATTCTATAATATATGAAAATGTGAAATTCATACTTCAGTCCATAAGTAAATTTTTTTTGGAATATAGCTATGCTCCTCAGCACTACAACAGCAGAGCTGAATAGTTGCAGCAGAAACCATATGGCTTGTACAGCCTAAAATATTTGCTATCTATTCCTTTATGGAAGAAGTTTGCTGACCCCTGGCTGGGTGTGGTGGTTCACATCTGTAATCCCAGCACTTTGGGAGGCCGAAGCGGATGGATCACTTGAGGTTAGGAGTTCGATACCAGCCTGGCCAACATAGTGAGACTCTGTCTCTACTAAAAAAAAAAAAAAAAAAAAAAATTAGTTGGACATGGTGGCAGGTGCCAGTAATCCCAGCTACTTGGGAGGCTGAAGCAAGAAGCAGAGGTTTCAGTGAGCCAAGATCATGCCACTGCTCTCCAGCCTGGGCTACAGAGCGAGACTCTGTCTCAAAAAAAAAAAAAAAGTTTGCTGACCCCTAACTTAGGGGATTTGATAGCCTTGGAGAAGAGAAGGAAGAACCCCAGAATTTGGAAGTCTCAGGCAACAGGAGGGGCTGAGGGATTTAAGTCAGATAGCAATGTAATTGTCACCAGTCTTTGATTGTGTCCAAGGCTATGGTGATCTGAGAAGCAAAGTCACATTGGGGCCCTGGCACACAGATTTATAACACCTGCTGTTCTCTGTGGCTTACACATGTTTCTGAAATGGCAGTAGATGAGAACGAGGGTAGCAAGCAGGTAGGAATTAATAAGGAAGGTCTCCTGGTGGTCTGAGGTTGAAAACCACTTCTTTTCCACTCCTTTGGTCTCCAGGGAGTGTTTGCTGCTGGACTGTCTTTCCAAAGCAAGGAGAGGCCACGGCCGAGGAAGGGAGCCCAGTGTAGCAATGAATCCCAGACACTGGGGCCTCTGGGAGCTTTAGCCTCTGGGTGGAGGAGTGTCTTGACTAAGCCCATATTTGTCCTGGACAACTAGAAACTCCAAAAGAACCTACGGGTGCTCTTTACTGTGAACTGTGCCAGAGCTAATCTTTAAGAAGCATTCAAGAATGAGCTTCTTTCCTTTGTTGCCTCTGCCAAGCTCTTATGTGCAGTGCCACTTCCCTCTTCCATGTCCTACCTTTCCCCTGCTCAAGGTTCTCTTCAAAGCTTACTTTCTTTAGGATTCCTCTCCTGTCTAGCTCCACCCCCATTGAAACCACAACAGCACAGAATTGAAGAGGAGGCTTTCAGATCCTCAGGAACACCCCTTCCTTTGGGTGAGGAGGGTAAGGAGGTTTGCACAATGTCCCACAGGGTATGAGTAGCAAAGCCAGGGTTGGGATGTAGGTCCCCAAACTCTCCATCTAGTGCTTTTCCTATCCCATCTCTCAGCTTCAAATGCTCCAATATCTGGGGCACCTTGGCATATAAATCCTTCCTTTGCATCCGCAGATGGGTGGCGGCATGTGTCCTGTCCATTCCCTTCATACACACTCTTTCATCCCCAGCTAGACTGGAAAAGTGGGGAGACAGAGACAATGTCTTCTCTTTTGAAAGTCCCTTCATGGGCCGGGCGCGGTGGCTCATGCCTGTAATCCCAGCACTTTGGGAGGCTGAGGCGGGCAAATCACCTGAGGTCAGGTGTTCAAGACCAGCCTGGCTAACATGTTGAAACCCTGTTTCTACTAAAAATACAAAAAATTAGCCGGGTGTGATGGTGCATGCCTGTAATACCAGCTAGTCAGGAGGCTGAGGCAGAAGAATCGCTTGAACTAGGGAGGCAGAGGTTGCAGTGAGCCGAGATCGTGCCATTGCACTCTAGCTTGGGCAACAAGAGCGAAACTCTGTCTCAAAAAAAAAAAAAAAAGCCCTTCATCTTCATGCCAGTGAACTACAGCAATGCTTGCTGACACTGAAACTGTGCTGGGCTGGACTTCCCAGGGTTCTCACTCCAGAAGGCAACTCAGTTTAGTGGAACTAGTGCAGGTTCTAGAACTAGAAAGATGTGGGTTTGGGCCAGGCGCGATGGCTCATGCCTGTAATCCCAACACTTTAGGAGGCCAAAGCAGGAGGATCATTTGAAGCCAAGAGTTTGAGACCAGCCTGGGCAGCACAGCAAGACCTCATCTCTACAAAAAAATCAAAAAATAAAAAATTAGCCAGGTGTGGTCATGCATACCTGTAGTTTCAGCTACTTGGAAGATTGAGTTGGGAGGATTGCTTGAGCACGGGAATTCGCATCTGCAGTGAGCAACACTGCACTCTAGCCTAGGCAATAGTATTAAATCCTGTCAAAACAAACAAACAAACAAAAAGCCGGGCTTGTTGGCTCATGCCTGTAATATCAGCAGTTTGGGAAGGTGAGGCAGGTGGATCACTTGAGCCCACAAGTTCAAGACCAGCCTGGGCCACATAGCGAGACCCTGACTCTACAAAAAATTTAAAAAATAGCTAGGCATGGTGGCACATGCCTGGGGTCCCAGCTACTCAGGCTGAGGTGGCAGGATTGCTTAAGCCTGGGAGGTCGAGGCTGCAGTGAGCTGTGATTGCACCACTGCACTCCAGCCTGGGTGACAGAGAGAAAGCCTGTGTCAAAAATAATAATAATAATAATAATAATAATAATCTGGGTTTGTATTCTGACTCTGCCACTGAATAGCTTGGGAAACCTTGGGTAAATTACTTAAATACTTCAAACAGCCTTATTTTTTTCCTCAAGAAACTAAAGATACGAATATTCACATTGTAGTGTTATTGAAGAGTATATGAGGTGATTGATGTGAAGATGCTTTCAGCCAGAGCCATGATGCATTTATCAGTTTTACACAAGGGCCTTAGGCACTGCTGTTGTTAGAAGGAAGGGTTCTGCTGGGCGTGGTGGCTCACACCTGTAATCCAAGCACTTTGGGAGGCCGAGGCGGGTGGATCACCTGAGATCAGGAGTTAGAGACCAGCCTGACCAATATGGTGAAACCCCATGTCTACTAAAAATACAAAAGTTAGCCAGGCATGGTGGCGTGTACCTGTAGTCCCAGCTACTCGGGAGGCTGAGACAGGAGAATTTCTTGAACCTGGGAGGCGGAGGGTGCAGTGAGCCAAGATCTCACTACTGCACTCCAGTCTGGCCGACAGAGCGAGACGTCTCAAAAAAAAAAAAAAAAAGAAGAAGAAGAAGAAGAAAGAAGGGTTCCATGGCCAGGTGCTATGGTTCATGCCTGTAATCCCAGCACTTTGGGAGGCCGAGGCAGGTAGATCACTTGAGGTCAGGAGTTCAAGACCAGCCTGGCCAACATGGCGAAACCCTACCTCTAAAAAAATAAATACATAAAATAAACTTTAAAAGAAGTAAGGGTTCCATGGCTGTGGAAGTTTGAAATCCACTCTCCTAGAAGCGTTCCTCAAAAATTCTTTTCATCTCTTCAGTCTCAGACTGAGCCAGGCAAGGCCGTGGCCCCTCTTCTCCACCAGATGGCAGCAACCTGCCTGTTACTAGCCGTGCCAGCCTGTGTCAACCAGCACAAGATGTTCAGAAAAATATCCCGGGGAAAGACTAGGAGAATGTTAGCGCCAGTACTGAAGACAAGTAAACAGGTTGAAGTGACTCTCTGCAGACGACTTCCTGATACAGAACCCCTTGGGCATCTGTGGCTGTAAATATACCAACTGTTCTGCACCAGCCACCAGCCAAACTAGTGCTACCCATCTCTCTGCCAGGTGGGAGACCCACCACCCAGTTCTGTTTTAACTCCTTCTTAAACCAAGAAGGCTCTCAGGGCGCTACATACACAGCCTTTGGTAGCCTAAGGTCAGTTTGGGCAGCTTACCCAGTTGTTAATGAATTAATATGGCACAGAGCAGGGCCAGGCGCGGTCGCTCAGGCCTATAATCACTTTGGGAGGCTGAGGCGGGTGGATCACTTGAGGTCTGGAGTTCGAGACCAGCCTGACCAACATAGTGAAACCCTGTCTCTCCTAAAGATACAAAAATTAGCCAGGCATGGTGGCGGACGCCTGTAATCCCAGCTACTCGGGAGGCTGAGGCAGGAGAATCGCTTGAACCTGGGAGGCAGAGGTTGCAGTGAGCTGAGATCGCGCCACTGCACTCCAGCCTGGGTGACACAGCGAGACTCCGTCTCAAAAAAAAAAAAAAAGAACCACAGAGGGGACATCAGATTCTCTTTCAGAGGCCCCAGGAGTTTCCTTCCAATTTCCCAAAACACTCATGAGGAGGGGCAACGTTAAATCTGTTAGGCTAAGTACTTGGGGAGGCTTGACCTTCTATCTTGTGGGTGCTTTTATCAAAGAACAGACTTGAAAAAGGACAAGTGCTGTGTACACAGTTGCTCCATTCACTCATCCAACAGGTATTATTGAGTACCTACTGTGTGCAGTCCTAGGCTACATGCTTCAGGGGATTCAAAGGTGAATTCGATTCAGGTCTTTCTTAAAGAGGTTAATATAACTTAGTCCAAATAACAGGTCATTGGGCCATGGGTATTGAAGTGCTGTACATTGAGTTTTTGTTTCTTCTTTTTCTTCCTCCAGATTTCTGTTCCTTATTGTTTGGCTCAGGCCAAAAATTAAATGATGAGGCCATGAAATGGGGAAGAAACAGGGAAAGGAAGTGGTTGGAAGGAAGCCAGAGAAGGCTCAAACGTTTGCCACAGGACTCCATGAAGTTGGTGGAGGCTCAGCCCAGAAGGGTTCTCGGCTTTGCCCAGGAAAGAATTCAAGGGTGAGCTGGTGGTGTTAGACAGCAACTTTTATTGAAGTGGCAGTGTCCAGCAGCAGCAAAGGTACTACTTTTTGCAGAGCAGGACTTCTCCATAGGCAGTGTGTCCAGAGTAGCAGCTCAGAGGCAGGGCTGCAGTCATAGTTATACCCACTCTTAATTATATGCAAAATAAGGGGCAGATTCTGTAGACATTTCTAGAAAAGGGGTATCCGGTCATTGCCATGGGAAGGGGCGGTAACTTCCAGGTGTTGCCATGGCATCAGTAAACTGACATGGCATGCTAGTGGGCATGTCTTATGGGGAGGTGTTTTCGCCCTGTCCCTGTTTTAGCTAGTCCTCAATTAGGCCCCGTGTCTGAGCTCCACCTCCAGACGTGAGCTGAGTCCTGCCTCCTACCTCAAAGAGAAGTGTAGAATCAGGGACACTGTTATTGATGTGTACAGATCTTAAAGCAAAGCATTTCTCCCATCATCTCCCATTGATTTTCCCAGAGAATTAGTGACCCTAGCTCTGACCTGTCTGATCTTGCAAATGCAGACTGCCTGATTCTTTAAATTGTCTTAAAAATAATACTTATCAGTTTAATGCATTTTGTTTTAAAAGATACAGACTGGGCCAGGTGCGGTGGCTCACGCCTGTAATCCCAGCACTTTGGGAGGCTAAGGCAGGTGGATCACCTGAGGTCAGGAGTTTGAGACCAGCCTGACCAACATGGTGAAACCCCGTCTCTACTAAAAATACAAAAAATTAGCCAGGTGTGGTGGCGGGCACCTCTAATCCCAGTTACTCGGGAGGCTGGGGCAGGAGAATCTCTTGAACCCGGGAGGCGGAGGTTGCAGTGAGCCGAGATTGCACTCCAGCCTGGGCGAGAAGAGTGAGACTCTGTCTAAAAAAAAAAAAAAAAGATACAGACCACGGCTGGGCACGGTGGCTCACACCTGTAATCCCAGCACTTTGGGAGGCCGTCTTAATAAATAAATAAATAAACAAATATATAAATAAATAAATGATACAGACCTTGAGGTCTCCTCTCTCGGCTTTGGAGCCCCCTCCCTCTGTCTCTGTACAGGGGAGCGTCTTCCTTCTTTCTTCTCCCTTCTTTCTTGCCTATTAAACTCTCCACTCCTAAAAAAAAAAAAAAAAAAAAAAGAAAAAGAAAGAAAGAAAAGAAAAAGAGAAAAAGATACAGATCTTGCCAGGTACAGTGGCTCACGTTTATAAATCCCAGCACTTTGGGAGGCTGAGATGGGCGGATCACCTGAGGTCAGGAGTTTGAGACCAGCCTGGCCAAGATGGCAAAACCCTGTCTCTACTAAAAATACAAAAATTAGCTGGGTATGGGGGTGGGCACTTGTAATCCCAGTCACTCTGGAGGCTGAGGCACGAGAATCGCTTGAACCCATGAGGCAGAGGTTGTGGTGAGCCAAGATCACACCACTGCACTCCAGCCTGGGTGACAGAGTGAGACACCATCTCAAAAAACAAGACACACACAAAAAAGATACAAACCTAGGCTGGGCACAGTGGCTCACACCTGTAATCCCAGCACTTTCGGAGGCCAAGGCAGGTAGATCACCTGAGGTCAGGGGTTTGAGACCAGCCTGGCCAACATGGTGAAACCCCATCTCTACTAAAAATACAAAAATCAGGGCCGGTTGCAGTCGCTCACGCCTGTAATCCCAGCACTTTGGGAGGCCAAAGTGGGCAGATCACAAGGTCAAGAGATCGAGACCATCCTGGCTAACCCAGTGAAACCCCGTCTCTACTAAAAATACAAAAAATTAGCTGGGCATGGTGGCACGCACCTGTAGTCCCAGCTACTCGGGAGGCTGAAGCAAGAGAATCGCTTGAACTGGGGAGGTGGAAGTTGCCTTGAGCCGAGATCGCGCCACTGCATTCCAGCCTGGGCAACAGAGCGAGACTCTGTCTCAAAAAAATAAATAAATAAATACAAAAATTAGCCGGGCATAGTGGCGGGCGCCTGTAATCCCAGCTACTCAGGAGGCTGAGGCAAGAGAATCGCTTGAACCTGGGAGACGGAGGTTGCAGTGAGTCTAAATTGCACCACTGCATTCCAGCCTGGGCAGTAGAGTAAGACTCTGTCTCAGAAAACAAAAAAACATACAGACCAGTCTGGGCAACATAGTGAGGCCTTCATCTCTACAAAAAAATTAAAAATTAGCTGGTCATGGTGGCACACGCCTGTAGTACCAGCTGCTTGGGAGGCTGAGGTGGGAGGATCGCTTGAGCCCAGCAGGTTGAGGCTGCAGTAAGCCAGGATCACGCCACTGCACTCTAGCCTGGGGGACAGAGCAAGACCCTGTCGCAAAAAAACAAAAAACAAAAAAACAAAAAATGAAATGTAAAGAATAAAACAGAATGAACCATAACTTCATTGTCCACAGGTAACATTTCCTAAATATATATACCTCACTATGCAATGTGAGAAAGATGAATAATGAAAAGAGAAAGCCCTCCCACCACTTTTCTCTCAAAATATTTCTAAAATAACCAGTTAGATTGTTTAAATTTCCTTCCAGAAAAAAAAAAAGTCATGCATTCAGCAGCTCATATATCTCTAAGCCTGTACATACTTATCCTCTGCTATTGTAATTATTTGCACAAAAGATCACACTGTACGTACTGTTCTGTTCTGCACCTTGTTTTCATTTATGGAAGTATCTTGGACATCTTGCCCTGTAGCACAGACTAATCCACCCCATTCTTTTAAATGGCTACATTGTTTTCCCTCATGTGGCTCTGGGATGTGTTGTCACCAGTCAGCTTTTGCTGTTGGAAACAAAACTGCCTGGTTCTTAAAAGGCCCAGCTATTTCTGCACACGATTTTCCCACAGGCCCCACAGTTGTGCCCAGAGTCTTAGGAAATAACCTTTGGGGTGAAGGGAAAGCCAATGCTTGGGCCCCTGGAGCTGCCCAGTGGCTTCATATTACGAATGTGTGGCTTTGACCTCTTTGGGGAAGTTGTCACTCCTCTACCTCCTGTTCCTGACAATCTGGCATGGCTGCTCCCAGGCTGGCCCTCCGGACCATGGGCTGCCCTGGGATGGAGTCCTTGCATCTCCCAGCTGGGTGAGGGCTTGCTGGGTCAGCAGACGGGCTCCCTGGGGCTCTTGGCTTGGGCTGGGATTGCTGTGCTTGGTTGGTGTTCACGGCTGCACGGTGCTGCTCTGAGATTCATAAATAAACAGGAAGCCAGTCCACTTCCTCCTTGCTGGGGTTGGTCCCCAGTCCTTATCAGCCAGTTAGCCCAAAGGGGGAGGAGCAGTCCAGGATTCAGAAGGCTACTTCCTGGTAGAGGTGATGAGGGATTCTGGCCTCACTGCCAGCATAGCCTCCCCATCTCCGTGCACCTATCTACCCAGCACGGATAGCCTTCCTGACAATCAAAGTTAGGCTCAAATTCTCCCCTTTGGGAATATTTTTCTGATAAACCCTGACCTTATTTCTTCGGTTCCGAGGTCAAGTTCTTTTGAACTTGTAGGAAGCAACTGTCTAGGTGTTTGTGTGTGTTTTCTCCCTGAAGGCAGCACTGACACATTTTCTTCTGCTTCTTCCCAGTCCCCACCCAGCATGGCTCTCTATTCATGGGGGATGCTCCACAGAGGTTTGAAGACTGAATGACCAATTATAAAAGCGGTGCCAGACAGGGCTGCAGCCTCAGCTCACAATGGGGCTGGAAAGCATTGCTTCTTGGGACCATGGGGCAGCTGAACAGGAGGGAGTGGTGAGGACAGTTACCAGAGTGTGAAGCTGAGGTGTGGCTGGGTGAGGCTGGCGATGAGAGCTGCAGATATTCTGTCTAGTCAACAAGTCCTGAAAGCCACTAGACCACATGGAAAATCAGTTCCCTAATTAAAGAGTCACTACGTACATTATACCGGGGGTGCCCATTTTAAAGGAATTAGAATTTTAAAAATACAGTCAAACATAAACACAATGCGGAACATATTTAATCTTTTGCAGTGAGACTCAAAGCGCACATCGGGATACCACTGTGCCTCAGGCAGTCATTATGACTATCAATTACTTTACAGAACATTAAACTTAGGCCTGCCGGCCTGGAGCAAGTGAGTCACTGTCAGTTGCTTTTTTTTTTCTTTTTTTTTTTTTTTTTTGAGATGGAGTCTCACTCTGTTGCCAGGCTAGAGAGCAGTGGCACGATCTTGGCTCACTGCAACCTCTGCCTCCCAAGCTCAAGTGATTCTCCTGCCTCAGCCTCCTGAGTAGCTGGGATTACAGGTACGCGCCACCACACCCAGCTAATTTTTGTAGTTTTAGTAGAGATAGGGTTTCACCATGTTGGCCAGGCTGGTCTTGAACTCCTGACCTCAAGTGATCCGCCCACCTCAGCCTCCCAAAGTTCTGGGATTACAGGCATGAGTCACTGCACTGGGCTTGTCAGTTGCTTTTTAAAAAATCTCTGAAATCACCCTGTTCAGTGGCCACCATTTTCTTTTTTTAAGAAAGCTGGTACAGAAACCAAACTAAAAAACAAACACCACAACCAAAACCCCCAATTATCTCCACTTTGCAGCTGTACGGACTTCAAATAAAAGTTTCTCTATTAAGCACCTGGAGTGCAGAGAAGCGTGGGACACATGAGGGTTGGAGACCCACAGGTGAGGACGGAGTGGAGAGTGATGGGTGGGCCTGGCTGGGGGCTTAGGTAGGAGGACATTGAAGCAGAGACCTTCAGGGATGTGCAAGAGGGGCCAGGGTGTGAGGGCAGAGCTCTCTGAGCTGCACCTCAAGGCTGAGGCAGATGAAAGAGCAGCTCTGAAGGCCCATAATCCCTCAGAAAGGCATCCATGTTTATAATGTGGATCATGAAAGTGGACTGAGGGATGATCCTGGTGGCTGTTCCAGGGACGTGTGAAATTCAAGGTGTTTTTTGTTTGTTTGTTTTGAGACAAGGTCTTCTCTGTCACCCAGACTGAAATGCAGTGGCTCAATCACGCCAGCTTTTTTTGTTTTTGTTTTTGTAGAGATAGGTGTCTCACTGTGTTGCCCAGGCTGTTCTCCAACTCCTGTGCTCAAGCGATCCTGCTACCTCAGCCTCCCAAGTGCTGGAATTACAGGGTAAGCCACTGCACCTGGCCTCAAAGTGCTCTTCATCTTCACCTAGCGGCAGCATCCTGGGAGTAGGAGTGGGCATGGGGAGTGCGTGGAGGGGAGGGTGGGAAGTTCAGCTCCTTCCATGCCCTGCACAGTTTCCAAAGCTTCAACCCAAGGCCAGTTTAAGGTTATACTCCAGAAGTAGAGGAGGGGAGCTCCATAGCTCCACAAAGATGGGTAGAGTCGGGGCAAAGTCTGGGCCTAGAGTGTCGGATGCGGACTGTAGCCTCTGAGGCTAGCAAAATACTCCTAGCCCTTCCAGCACACTGGCACCCCTGCCCAGCCCAGTCCCAATCAGACAAGAAGAGATAAGTGGAAACCTCAGGTTAAAAATACCCAGTCTTGTAAAGAGAAATAAGAACAGGAAGGAAGTGTGGGGAGGCAAGGCGGAATAGAGAAAAAGCCCCAGAGAAGGAGATGTTCTGAGTGGCCAGAAGCTGATCAGGTGAAGTAGGTGTGGACACCCTCCAGGTGCCTGCCGGGTTGGTAGGCATAGCATGGGGTCGAGATGGGCTTTGCCTTCCTGGGCATAGTTCAGGCAGGTCCTCCCAGAGAAATGGTTTCGACTCACTAATACCAGGATTCAGATCCCCTCAAAGAGTTTCAGGCCAGGAGATGAGTGGATGAGCAGAGGGCCTCCTCCAAGCATGGTGGGGCATTCGTGACAGGAGGGGAGCCTGTCATATCTGTTACTTTCTCTGAGGGGGAAGGGGCCAGCTAAGCCACCAGACCCTCAGCATTGGGCAGGGTGGAAAGAGAGTTTAGTTGGCCTTGGGAACAGCAGCCACTCTTGTCAGAGGAAGCGGGGACAGTGAGAAGGCTGAGTGAGGCGTCACAGTGTTGTCTGTATGCCCAGAGGCTAATACTAGGGCTCTGGATCTAGGGTGGCTGTGTTCGACTCCTGAGTCTGTCACCTAGCTGCATGACCTGGGACTAACACGTAATTTGCTGTGTTTCAGTTTCCTCATCTGTAAAACGGGGCTAACAATAGGTGACCTCATGGCAGTGTAGTGAGGGTAAGTGAGCTGATAAGCCCACGGCTGCTAGAACAGTATCTGGGCCCTAGTAATAGCTAACACTATTGGGGTTGGGGTTGAGGGCAGTGCAGCAGTGGATAGAAAAGTCGTACCTAACACCTTATACCAGTGGAACAGTCCTTCACAGACAGGCTGACACCACAGCAAGCCAGGAGGGGGCTGGGAACAGGAGGCTGTAGAGATCAGTAGAATACAGGCCCGAGTGCTCAGGAACTGATATCTTATGGAGGATACAAACAACTAAGCGACCACATTTGAGCATAACACAAGAGAGTTTCATACAAGTGCTAGGGTGCCGAGACACAGGGCAACTTTGTCTGCCGTCAGTGTTTGGAAGAGGCCAGGCAAGCTGGTCTTGGACGTTAAGGAGGCCGAGAAGAAAGGACATGAAAAGATAGTCTAAGAAACAGGGAATACAGTGTACAAGGTGGCAGCTCCTGGGTGGTTGGCTGGGGCTTGAAAGTGAGTGGTGTGGCTGGGGGTGACCAGTTTGCAGCGGCCAGCAGGGACTGGTCTTGCAAAGCTCTGCCAAGAGTTTGCACTTTATCCTGTGGCAGGAGGCAAATGGAAAGACTAGGAAGTGGGGAAACCAATCAGATTTGTGCACTTGAAAGATTTCTCGGCCAGGCATGATGGCTCATGCCTGTAATCCCACCACTTTGGGAAGCTGAGGTGGGTGGATCGCTTGAGGTCAGGAGTTCGAGACCAGCCTGACCAGCATGGAGAAACCCTGTCTCTACTAAAAATACAGAAATTAGCTGGGTGTGGTGGTGGGTGCCTGCAATCCCAGCTACTCGGCAGGCTGAGGCAGGAGAATCACTTGAACCCAGGAGGCGGAGGTTGCAGTGAGCCGAGAGTGTGCCACTGCACTCCAGCCTTGGTGACACAGTGAGACTCCATCTCAAAAAAAAAAAAAGAGAGATTTATCTGACAGAAGCATGGAGGGTAAATAAGAGGGGAAGGGAGCAGTGGCAGGGAGGTCCACTGGTTAAGTGGTCCCAGCAGCGGTCAGGACAAGAGACAATGAGGGAGGGGTCTTAGAAAGTGGATTTGTCTGGAAGTATGACAAAGAGGAAGGGGTGGAGATCGGCAACTGGGCATTTAGTGATGTTCTTAATGGAGATCAGGAATATAGAGAGGGGAGTGGGGATCTCAACTCCCATCGCTCAGACTGGAATGCAGTGGCGCAATCTCGGCTCACTTCGGCCTCAACTTCGCGAGCTCAGGTGATCCTCCCACCTCAACCTTCTGAGTAGCTGGGACTACAGGCGTGGACCACCACACCCACCTAATTTTTGTATGTTTAGTAGAGACGGGGTTTCACCATGTTGCCCAGGCTGGTCTCAAACTCCTGGGCTCAAGAGATCCACCCACCTCAGTCTCCCAAAGTGCTGGGATTACAGGCACAGCCACCATGCCCGGCCTACAAAGAAGGTTTTAGAAAGGTAAGCTTGAGGTGGCTGAGACTGCCAGGAGGGCACAGGAGAGGACAGAAATGATGAGTACCGCCACGAGAAGGAGGTCCAGCAGGAGATGCCCTTCACAGTGAGTAGGGCAAGCTTTACCATGATGCAAATATACGGATGGACACTGAGTCACAGGCAGAGTGTAGCATGTGGGGTCTCCTGCAGGAGGTGTGGGAAGTGTATTGCAGGGGCTGAGAGGGCTCCCTCGCTCCAGATCATGGCCAGAAAATGGCAAAGGATCACAGCTTACATTGCCTGGTTAAATTACACAGTGGAGTGTATGATCTAACATAAACTAAATTAACCTTTACAGAATGAACAAGGGGTTTAAAAAGATTCCAGCAAAAACCCTGCAGATTAAAGATCACCCTAATTTAGCAAGCACAGGCACACAAGAAAACGGAAAAGCTGGCCCTGCTCCTCACAGGAACTCTGCCAGCCCTGTTATGAGGCTAAAACAGTGACAGTCTAATCAGGGCTCACAGGAAGATGGCCAAAAGTTTTTTTTATTTTTAATTTTTATGGGTATAGAATAGTTGTACCTATGTATGGGGTATGTGTGATACTGTAACACAAGCATACGGTGTGTAATGATCAAATCTGGGTAACTGGGATAGCCATCACCTCAAGCACTGATCATTTCTTTGTGTTGGGAACATTCCAAATATTCTCTTCTAGCTATTTTAAAAAATACAATAAATGATTGTTAACTATAGTTGCCCTATTGTATTATCCAACACTAGAACTTATTCCTTCTTTTTCGTAATTTGTAGTTATCAAGGTGACTATTTGAAATGTGGGCTTCACATCTACCATTGCTAAAAAAACGAACCTCACCGCAAATATATATTGTATCTTGAGGTCCTAATGAGAGTAGGTTGTGTATACAATGTATACATAATTGAACATATATTAAGGGTACATGCTCAAATGTTATGACTATGTGATATAACACCTCAGTTTGGGGGTTTTCATCTCATACAGAATTTGATTTGGGCAAAAATTCTTAAGTCATGGGTTTTGGGTCTCGGGAAATGAACTGGTTTCCTGCTTATCAGTTCCCCACATCTGAAATCCTATGTATTGCACTTACTTCTAAGAACAAAGGATGCTTGTATTCCAGAGTGTGGCTGCAATGGCTCATTTGTCCTTCATTACCTTGGTCCTCTCTTCCTTCTGGAGATGAGGGAAAGATTAGCTGAGCTCCCTAGAGAAAAGCCTTACGTAAACACAAAGTGTTGCTGAAGTTATTGTTACTATTTTCAACAACACTAAGAGGGAGCAATGGTGTATGGTGCTCCGAGGAGTTCTAATCAGGATCCAGGAGTGGAGCGGTTCTAACCTCTTAATACCATGTGAATCCAGGGGTCCTTCTGGCATATGAGTCCTATGGGGCCTGGAGGCTGCTGGGGCTTAGAAAAGATGACCCATGTGCAACACTTGCAGGGAATTAAAAAATAAAATAAAATAAAAAATAGAAAAGATGAAGCCCCCAAAGGGTGAGATTATCATTCTCTAACAAGGGAAGAACCCACCTCGTACTAGACAGAGTCTGAGATGGAACTGGACCAGCCACTGGTCAAGGAAAGGGTTCCTAGTGTCAGCCTAGGAGCCAAAGCCAGAGAGCTGATGTCTTCATGGAGACTTGGGTACCTGCATCCTACCTACAGAGGAGGCTGGGGTGGGGGTAAGGGGCCTTCCTGGCCTTTGTACTCTTTATTTCTCTCTCAAGCCAATAATACACACTCAGGAAATGTTATATTAAATAAACATTTTGGAGCTAGGGAGACAGGGTCTTGCTCTGTCACTCAGGCTGGAGTGCAGTGGTATGATCTTGGCTCACTGCAACCTTTGCCTCCCCAGCTCAGTCAATCCTCCCACCTCAGCCTCCTGAGTAGCTGGGACAACAGGCATGTGCAACCATGCCTGGCTAATTTTATTTTTTGTAGAGATAGGGTCCCACTATGTTGCCCAAGCTGGTCTGAAACTCCTGGGCTCAAGCGATCCTCCTGCCTTGGCCTCCCAAAGTGCTGGGATTACAGATGTGAGCCATCACACCTGGCCTAAAATAATTATTTTTATTTTTTGGAGCACAATTGTGGGAGGATTTAATAGAGTGAGGATGATTATTCTCCACAATGTATGTCTGGAACTTATGTATTGATTCCTTGCCCTGTGTGCAAGGTGCTGTACTAGCCGCCATGGAGACACAGAGATGAACGAGACATCAGGATGCTGATGATTAAGATATGCACACACCCACAGCACAATGTGAGTACTGGGGCTTGAAAGGGTCTGAGGAAAAGGAAGCAGGGTTCCAAGGTGGATGAGGGTCAGGCATAATCATGGAGGAGATGGCCCCTGGCCTGGGCCTTGAAGGCTAGGAGGGTCTTGCCAGGTGGAGGTAGAGGTGGAAGGAATGACATTCCCAAAGAAGGAGCAAAATCCCCAAATGGAAAAGCATGGGATGTGCATGACCAACGGTGAGTACTTCCTTCTGGCTGGCATCCCAAAGGTGAAGGAGACGAGTGGATTTGGAAAGGTGTTTTAGAACGAGATTTCAAATGGCCACGTACTAGACCTCTAGATCCAGAGTTTATCTTCACTGAGCCATGGGGATCCTTGAAAAGCTTTTGGGCAAGAGAGCGAGTGAACCCAAAAAAGTTAAAAAATGAAACCAAACCTGTCTAGGGTCCCGTGGTGAGTTAGTTTAAGGCCAGACCAGACTTGAATCCAGATTTGGATTGACACAAGCAAGGTACCTGGCCCTCACATTGACCAGACATAGATGGGTCTATGGGAAAGCGTTCCAGGCCAGGGGTGGGCAGACTGCTTCTCCCAGAAGCCATGGAGCACGAGTTTCCAAGTAGCTGGGCGTCTTACCCTGCTGCTGGCTTAGGTCTTGGAGCTGAATATTCCCATGGAAACTGGGTGGTGGATGAGCCGGTGGCTGGACTGCAGTTCTTGGGAATCCAGATGGGTTGGGCTGGGAATGGCAGTGTGGGATCACTGCAATAAAATAAAGGGAGAGGAGCCCTTGCGATGTCCTGGGGTGTGAGGCACACAGGGCGTGGAGCCTTGCATTCCTGGATGGTTGAGACGCCGCAGCTGATTATTATCATTATTATTCCTGTTTTGGCTTCTCCGAGCTTTCATCCTGCAGGACCCTGCCTTGCTAGGCCAGCATCACCAACTAGCAAGGGGCGGGGCAGGGCAGGCGTCTCCTGGCTGCAAGAGAACACAGCATGACTATGGGTTTCTCTCCCAGGGCTGAGCTCCTTCCTAACTCTGGAAGAATTTCTCAAGGGGAAACTGAGGCACAGAGGCAAGGAATGATTTCACCAAGTTTCTGTAGCAGAGATTCCTTCTCTTCCCCATCACCTCCCACTCACTAGGTCATCCCTGTCCTCCCTCAGTTGGGGCAAATCTCGCTGGCCTGGAGGGGAGCCAGAGAAGGTGTGGATTCTAGAAGAGAGAACTGGGCTGCAGCCAGGATAGCAGAACTGGTACCCTCTGTGCCAGATGCTGCGGGCACCATGAGGTCAGGCTCCTGGTTTCGCGTCTCTCTGGAAGGTTCTGCCATATGGGTGGATCCTCCCCAGCCCCCTGAGGGAAGGCAACACTGCAGACGTGCAAAATGCCCAGCTCCCTCCCGTCAGGGGCCAGATTCAGCATCCTTGGATAGGAAAAGCCTGGATCTCTGGATCTCGTAAAGATGGGCCAGGCCCAGGGGCAGAGGTTCAGACAATGGCTCAGAGACAGGGAAAGGTGTGTATGTGTGTGCTGTGTGCACATTTGCTAATGCCAGGCTTCCAGTGGTGGCATGTCCCTGCCTGCTGAGATGAGATGAAAGGGAGAGAGACTAGAAGGGAATGTGAGTGACACTCTGAGGAGTGGGTGCGAATAAGTGGAATATTCTACAAAATGCCTGGGTCCTGCCAGACAGTGGGTTCCCAGAGGAGGAGGGAGTTGCAAGCCGCAGGTGGAGACTGTTTCCTTCCTCAGTACCTGCTGTCCATGTGGAGAGTAGCAACCTTTGGGGACATCTTCTGGCTTCAAGGAGAGGTGGGACAACACAGAAGGGTAGACTGAGGAAGTTGGAGGAGAAAGGACAATAAACACTGCTTCAGTGGCCTCCCCAAGCTCTGGCATCATCCATGCCTCCCAGAGCCAGCGAGGCAGCCAAGCATTCGTGTGTCAATTTATTAAGCAGCTTCTCTGGGCAAGGAGCTCCGCTTGGAGCTGTGGGTGTAGATGGATAAGACATGTCCTCTGCCTTTAGGAGGCTCTCTCTGAAGAAAGACAGACCTTACTTTGGCTTCACTTCTACTCTCCACACCATCCAACACCAGACTCTGGGCTGAGACCCAGGGCATCTTCTTCCTCCCTGGCCATTTTTGGCCATGACTGCACTGGCCCCCGCCTCTGCCATCAAATTGCCTATCAGCTCTCTGAGGTCACACGGGAACAGTGCTCACCAGAATTCTTAATTCTTGCTGGGTTTCTTGTTTGTTTGTTTGTTTTTTGAGACAGGGTCTCACTCTGTCGCCCAGGCTGGAGTGCAGCAGCATGATCACAGCTCAGTGAAGCCTCAACCTCCCAGGCTCGAGTGATCCTCCCCACTTCAGCCTCTGAAGGAGCTAGAAGCACAGGCACACGCCACCACACTTGGCTAATTTTGTTATGTTTTTATTTTTGTAGAGACAGGGCTTCCTTATACTGCCCAGGCTGGTCTCAAACTCCTGGGCTTAAGGGATCCTCTGTCTCGGCCTCCCTAAGTGTTGGGATTACAGGCATGAGCCACCATGCCTGGAGTCTTGCTGGTTTCTTGACACCCACCCAGCTGAAACATTCAGCCCTCAGCCATAAAATTGTCTCTTGAGCTTGCCACTGTGATCAGGCTACTCCAAGACTCACTGTTTGTCTGTGATCCTACTATCTTCCAGATCAAATACACTTTTCAGCCTGGAAAGCCACCACCTGCTTGCCTACTGGTGACCTGAAGAACCTGCAGTAGCTCCCTGTTGCTTATCAGATACAATGTGAACTTTTTGGGCTATTTTCCAGGGCCCTCCCACATGTTTCAAGCACTTATTATTACCCAACAGTGTCCCTTCCTATCCCCAGCACACAAGTGTTTGTAATGTAACTCTCTACATCTGAACAAGAATGAAGACCTTTTTAAGGGAATCATTTTGATGTTTATAGTTGATTTATTCAACAAACATTTACTGAATAACTGCTATGTGCCAGGCACCGTGACAGGTACTAAGACAGTTTTGATGGTGACTAGGGCAAACATGCCTGCTCTGGGGGAGCCCATGAGCTAGCAGGGAGGACAGGCACTAATGATGAAAACAGAATGTGTTGGCCAGGTGCAGTGTCTCATGACTGTAATCCCAGAACTTTGGGAGGCTGAGGGGCGGGGGTGGATCACCTGAGGTCAGAAGTTTGAGACCAGCCTGGGCAACATGGCGAAACCCCATCTCTACTAAAAATACAAAAATTAGCTGGGTGTGGTGGCGCATGCCTGTAGTCTCAGCTACATGGGAGGCTGAGGCAGGAGAATCGCTTGAATCTGGGAGGCGTAGGCTGCGGTGAGCCTAGATCACGCCACTACACTCCAGCCTGGGTGACACAGTGAGACTCCATCTCAAAATAAATAAATAAATAAATAAATAGAATGTGGTGAGTTGTCAGATGGGACAATTTTGGGGTACCTGAGAGTCCTGCTGAGCTGCATTTCCACTGTGGCCTCATAGATTTTTTTTTTTTTCCCACCTGGGTTCTTCACAGAGCAGAGTGTGTCTTGCTGGGACAGAATGGAGACTGTTCCAGGAGGATGTTCACATGGCAAACCCAAAAGGGCGCCAGCCCCCAATCTGTTCTTCCCATCATTGGTGAGGTCTCCCTCTTCCCAAATTCAGTGTCCCGTGGAAGTGACACGGAAAGCAGGGACAGAATTAAGTGTCTAAGAATTCCAAAAGCAAACCCTTTGGATGATGAAATTATGAAGGGCTGCAAAAAGCACTTCACAATTTCACCGTGTTAGGAAATATTAGCTCCCGCCCTCTCCAGAAAGCAGCTTTTTCTGTCTTGTTGGGTGTGATCTATTCTCTTCTGTTCTGACTAAATTGCTCATGACAGGTGGTGCTCCCATGTTTTTGAAACTTGTCCACGAATGAAGGCTCTGACCCCTCATGCCGTTGTTTGATGTTGAGTCAGTGTTTAACCACTATAATTGGCAGAAAAGTCTTCCAACTGTCTCACCAAGATGAGATGCTGCAAATTCCACCCTCTTGCTTGTCTGCTACCCTCTGCAGAATGGAGAAAACAAGGAAAAGTTATAAAGTATTCTCTACTCTGAATGCTCCATAAAAACTCCTACAAAACTGATATAAGTAAAAAGCCATTGGATTTGATGACCCTCACTCTGTCAACATCCCCTATGGACAATTTTTAGAGGATGCGATAGGTGAAAGAAGAAGACGTAGGGTTTGGGCATGCTTGGGTGCTCTCCGAGGGCCCTCTCCTGAATGGGGTTTTCTCCCCACTTGGTGCCTTTGTCACCAAGGCACATTGGGCTGAGGGTAACATTCCTGGTCGTGGAACTGGAATGGATCCCAAGAAGGCTGGGGCAGAGGGAGGATGTACATATGCAGCACAGCGGTAAAGCGTTCCTTTTTAGGTGTGCCTGGGAAAAGTGAAAGTGACTCAATTTCTAAAGGGAGAAAGGCATTGGAGAAAGAGAATTTTCTTTTTTCTTTTTCTTTTGAGACGGAATCTTGCTCTGTCACCCAGGCTGGAGTGCAGTGGTGCAATCTCAGCTCACTGAAATCTCTGCCTCCCGGGTTCAAGCGATTCTCCTGCCTCAGCCTCCCAAGTAGCTGGGACTACAGGCTCATGCCACCAAACCCAGCTAATTTTTTTGTACTTAGTAGAGATGGGGTTTCACCATGTTGGCCAGCCTGGTCTCGAACTCCTGACCTCACGTGATCTGTCCCCCTTGGCCTCCCAAAGTGCTGGGATTACAGGCGTGAGCCATGGGGCCCAGCTGAGAATAAAATTTTCAAAGGCTGCTGCACAAAGTTTGTGGAAGTTTCCTAAATGAAAGGGCAAATCCTTTCCTCTCTCCCTCCCTCCCTTTCTTATTTCCTCCATCCCTCTCTTCTTTTCCTCTCGCTTTCTTGCTTTCCCTCAGAGTCTAAAACAGTGAGTCCCCGCAGAAGCATGTCTTTGTTCTTGCTGGAGTCCACAACCTGGAACACCCTTCCCCTTTTCTCTTCCAGGCGCAATCTTACCATCCTTTCAGCTAAAGTCTAAAGTCCTTTATGTCCCCTTCCCCATCCAGATAAGCTCTGGCTGAACTCTCATTTCTCCCAATTCCCATTTAATTCCACTAAACGATGTGGCTTGATATGATTACATAATGTCTCATGTTCTCCGGCTGTGTAACGCAGTACATGAGTCTTGTCTCCCCAACAAGGTTGTAGACATCTGGAGGGCAGAGCCCAGGCCTTCCATCTGGGAGTCCCTCAGAACACTGAGCACAGGGCTGGGTGTGTAACAGGCTTTTATTGAGACCTTCACTTGCATTTTGCTTCTCATTAAACATCAGAGAATTCATACTGGAGAAAACATTTATAAGTGTAATAAGTGTGCATAAGCCTTTATTTGAGTGGAGTAATCATATTCTACAACATCAGAGAATTCCTACTGGAAAGGAATCTTGTGTCTGGCTATGTCGTGGGAGAGCCCTCGGGGAATTTGGAGGCTTGGAAGGCACACTTTACTCAATACCATGGAACTCAATTACTTGAATGTAGTAACTGTGGGGAAACCTTCACTCAAGATGATATCCAACATCAGCAAGCACCTTAGAGAGGTGAAACTATGAATCTAAAGACTGTGAGACATCCGGGCACGGTGGTGCATGCCTGTAATCCCAACACTTCGGGAGGCCAAAGTGGGCAGATTACTTGAGCTCTCAGGAGTTCAAAACCAGCCTTGGCAACATAGTGGGACCCCATCTCTACAAAGAATTAAAAAAAAAAACAAATAGCTGTGCATGGTGGTGTGTGCCTGTGGTCCCAGCTAGTTGGGAGGCTGAGGTGGGAGGATCACTTGAGCCCAGGAGGTCAAGGGTCAAGGCTGCAGTGAGCCATGATCGCACCACTGCACTCCAGCCTGGGTGACACAACAAGACCCTGTCTCAAAAAGAATGCGAGAAAGCCTCCTCTAAGATCTTCACCAACTAACACCAGAGAATCCACCTGAGAGCAAAGAACAGTGCTAGATGCTGGGGATACAGTGGGGTGCAAAGTAGACACAGTTCCTGTCTTCATGAAGCTTGTCTCTAGATCCATTTCCCAAAGGGATTGATACTTGGAGAGGAAACATTATAGACCGTGGGTACAATTGAAATATTACAGGCCAGAGATGGTGGCTTATGCCTGTAGTCCTAGCACTTTGGGAGGCTGAGATGGGAGGATCGCTTAAGGCCAGGAGTTCTAGACCAGCCCGGGCAACATGGCAAGTCCAAGAAAAAAAGGGAAGGGGAAGGGAAGGGAGGGAAAGGGAAGGGAGGGGAGGGAGGGGGAGGAAAGGGAAGGAAAGGGAATATTACAAAACTTTGGCGAGGCACGGTGGCTCACACCTATAATCCCAGCACTTTGGGAGGCCAAGGTGGGCAGACTACTTGAGGTCAAGAGTTCAAGACCAGCCTGGCCAACATGGTGAAACTCCGTCTCTACTAAAAATACAAAAATTAGCCAGGCGTGGTGTTTCGGGTGGCTGAGGCACGAGAATCACTTGAACCTGGGAGGCAGAGGTTGCAGTGAGCTGAAATTGTGCAGCTGTGCTCCAGCCTGGGCAACAGAGGGAGACCCTGTCTCAAAAAAAATTTTTTGAGAAAATACTACAAAACTTTGATAAGCACCTTTTTCTTTTTTGAACCCGAAGCACTTCCATGTCTGATTTCCTTTGTCCCTGTCTCTTAACAGAGAAGAGAAGGGATGGCTGACCTAATGCATGTTACTGATGGAGAGGTGGAGCTGGAGGGGCTGCATCTCCAGTCCAGGGCATGCTGGCAGGCAGGGTAAGAACTCTTGTCCCTGGGGACCTTTATTTGATGAGCTGAGGACCATGCCAGGTACTAAGGGAGACCAAAGGTCAAATGGGAGGTCCTATCCCCTCACGTAGCTTACAGTCCAGTGAGGAAATGAACAGCTCCTTAAAGTACAGGAGCTGCTTTAAATGGAGTGGACGTAAAACACAGCGGAGGCACAGGAAAAGGAGGCCTAAGTCCCTTTGGGGGAAGTAGGAAAGGCTTCACAGAGGAGGTATTGTTTGAGCTGAGATGTAAAGGATGAGGAGTTTGCCAGATAAACAAGTAAAGAGAGGGTGTTCCAGGTGGAAGAAACAGCACAGACAAGGGCATGGATCGAAGAAAGGGCATGGCCTATTAAGGATGCTGGAGAAGTTCCATATGCAAACCCCTGGTGAGTGAGTGGGGAGACCAGGCTAGCCAGGCAGCTAGGCAAGGGCCAGATAGCAAAAGGCCCTCGAGTGCCTTGCAAAGCAGTTCAGACTTCCCTGTAAACAATGGGGAACCAAATTTATTTCCTACAGCTGCTATAACAAACTACCACAAATGTAGTGGCTTAAAACAACCCAAATCCATTACCTTACAGCTCTGGGCTTAAGTCAACCTGTCGGCAGGTTTGTGTTCCATCTAGGGCTACTTGCATTTCTTGACTCCTGTCCTTCTCCCACCTTCAAAGCCAGCAGTCACATCACTCTAATCTCTGCTTCCACAGTGACACACTCTGAAGCTCCTGCCTCCCTCTTCTAAGGACTCTTGTGGTTACATTGGTCCATCAGATAATCCAGGATAATTTCTGCATCTCAAGATCTTTAACTTAATCACATCTGCAAAGTCCCTTTTGTCATGTAAAGTAACATATTCACAGGTTCCAGAGATTAGGATATGGACATCCTTGGGGGCTATTGTTCTGCTCACTCCGGTAATCCCAGCAGTTTGGGGGGCAGGTGAATCACCTGAGGTCAGGAGTTTGAGACCACCCTGACCAACATGGTGAAACCGTGTCTCTAGTAAAAACACAAAATTTAGCTGGGCATGGTGGTGGGTGCCTGTAATCCCAGCTACTTGGGAGGCTGAGACAGGAGAATTGCTTGAACCTGGGTGGTTGAGGTTGCAGTGAGCCGAGGTTGCACCATTGCACTCCAGCCTAGGCAACAAGAGCAAAACTGTCTCAAAAAAAAAAAAAAAAAAAAAAAAAAGATGGAGTCTCACTTTGTCATCCATGCTAGAGCGCAGTGGTGTGATCACAGCTCACTACAGCCTCCATCTCCCAGGCTCAGGTGATCTCCACCTCACCCTCCAGAGTAGCTGGGACTACAGGTGCGTACTACCATGCTGGCTATTTTTTTTTTTTTTTTGTATTTTTTGTAGGGATGGGGTCTTGCTATGTTGCCCAGGCTATTCCCAAACTCCTGGACTCAAGCAATCTTCCTGCCTCAGCCTCCCAAAGTGCTAGGATTACAGGCATGAGCACTGTGCCCAGACCCTGCTTCCTCTCTGCTGGCATAGAGAAATGAGGTCTAGAAGCTGCCCATCTGTTCCCACTTTATGGTGGGATTCTGTCTGGGTGTTGGATAACATTAAAGAGTAGATGATATTTTGTTTTAGGCTTTCTTTCCTGAGATCTCTGAAACAACTGTTTAATTTGACATGGAGGCCAGTTAAAGACTTCGCAGCATCTTACCTGTGCACCCAGTGCTTCTCAGAGTCAGTGGGCACCTGGTTCTGAATCCCTTGCTTCCCTAATACATTATACCTCCTATCTCTCCATTTCCTAGTACTAATGAATCTGAAGCTAGCAGAGTATCTTTCTCCCGCCTGTTGATTTTTTCCTCTGGAGAACTCCCAAAGAGTAGATATGGATCTCCTAGCAGTGGACCGGACCTGCAAGAAAATGTAGTAGGCTGTTCTTTTTTAATTTTTTTTTTATTATTTTATTATTATTTTTTGAGACAGAGTCTCTCTGTTACCCAAGCTGGAGTGCAGTGGCATGATCTCGGTTCACTGCAATCTCCGCCTTCCGGGTTCAAGCAATTCTCGGGCCTCAGCCTTCTGAGTAAGCTGGGATTACAGGTGTGTGCCACCATGCCTGGCTAATTTTTTGTATTTGTAGTAGAGAGGGTTTCACCATGTTGGCCAGGCTGGTCTTGAACTCCTGACCTCAGGTGATCCACCCACCTCAGCCTCCCAAAGTGCTGGGATTACAGGCATGAGTCCCTGCGCCCAGCTGTAGGCTGTTCTTTTTTTTTTTTTTTTTTTTTTTGGGTTGGTTTGGTTTTGAGACAGAGTCTCGTTCTGTCATCCAGGCTGGAGTGCAATGGCACAATATTGGCTCACTGCAACCTCCACCTCCCAGGTTCAAGGGACCCTTCCACCTCAGCCTCCCAAGTAGCTTGGACTACAGGTGCATGCCAGCAGGCCTGGCTAATTTTTTTTTTTTTTTTTTTTTTTTTTTTTTTTTTGTAGAGACGGGGTCTTGTCATGTTGCCCAGACTGGTCTTGAACTTCTGGGCTCAAGCAATCCATTTGCCTCAGCCTCCCAAAGTGCTGGGATTGCAGGCATAAGCCACTGTGCCCAGCCATTAGGCTGTTCTTACATTGCTATAAAGAAATACCTGAGACTGGATAACGTATAAAGAAAAGAGTTTAATTGGTTCACAGTTCTGCAGGCTGTACAAGAAGCATGGCAACAGCATCTGCTCCTCTTCTAGGGAGGCCTCAGGAAGCTTTTACTCATTGTAGAAGGTGAAGTGGGAGCAGGCATGTCACATGGCAAAAGTAAGAGCAAGACAGTGAGTGATGGGGGTGGGGGTGGGGGCGGGGGGTGGCGCCACAACTTTGAAACAACCGGATTGAGAGAACACACTCACTGTGGTGAGAACAGCACGAAGCCATGAGGGATCTGCTCCCATGACCCCAATACCTCCCATCAGGCTCCACTTCCAATACTGGGGATTATATCTGAACATGAGATTTGGAGAGGACATCTAAGCTGTATCAGTAAGGTCTCCAGACAAAATACAGAACACCTTGTTAAATTTGAATTTCAGATAAACAGTGAATAATTTTAGTATAGGTTGAGTATCCCTTATCCAAATGCTTGGAACCAGAAGTGCTTTGGATTTCAGATTATTTTGTCAGGGATACTCAACCTGTATAAGTATATCCCAAATATTACTATACGTTGAGTGCTACTTTGTTAACCAGATTATTTGATTAACGAGAACACTCCATTCCCTAACTTCACCAAATAATACTTTACTGTATGTTCTCTAATGCAACCTATAAGGCAGATTGTTATTCAAGCCCTGAAAGTTCCAGTACCTTCTTACAGATGACTTTGTAGTAATACAGGTAAGAGAAGAAAGGCTATGATTCTAAAGGAATAGGGGAGGGGCCTAAGGTCAGAAGAGTGGGGACTGGTCCCTCTTATTTCATGACATAGATTCTTCTGCTGCCCAGCTCTGAGATTCAGATAGGCTTAGCTCCTGCTCTAGATTTCACCTGCCCTTTCATTAATGGACAGCATCATGACCCCACCCCATGACCTAAGGACCACCAGGAGACCCATTCTGTTTAAGTACATTGAGGTTTTGTTGTTGTTGTTGTTGTTTAAAACAAGGTGTTGCCCAGGTGCAGTGGCTCATGCCTGTAATCCCAATAATTTGGGAAGCCGAGGTGGGAGAATTGCTTGAGCCCAGGAGTTCAAGACAGCCTGGGGAACATAGTGAGACTGCCATTCCTACAGAAAATTTAAAAATTCACTTGAGGTCAGGAGTTCAAGACCAGCCTGGCCAACATGTGAAACCCCGACTCTACTAAAAAAAAATACGAAAATTAGCTGGTCACCATGGTGCACGCCTGTAGTCCCAGCTACTCGGCAGGCTGAGTCAGAAGAATTGCTTGAATCCGGGAGACGGAGGTTGCAGTGAGCCAAGATCACAACACTGTACTCCAGCCTGGGTGACAGAGCAAGACTCTGTCTCAGAAAGAAAAAAGAAGAGAGAGAGAGAGAGAGAAAAGAAAATTTAAAAATTACCTGGACATGGTGGCACAGGCCTGTAGTCCCAGCTACTCAGGAGGCTGCAGCAGGGGGATCACTTGAGCCTGGGAGGTCCAGGCTGCAGTGAACCGTGATTGTGTCACTGTACTCCAGCCCGAGTGACAGAGCAAGACTCTGTCTAAAATAAAATAAAAAATAAATAAATGTACTATACAATACACACTCTATATTGCTGCCTTTGATATTTGACTGGAATAATGATGATGACTTTCCCATCTACCAGATGTGAATACAAAGTCCGTCTTTGGATTGGAGCATATATAATAATTTGTAGTAATCGCTGCTATGTTTAACTCTGCAAGGCCAGCCACTATTGGCACTAAAGTTTGCTCAAGGCTTTTGGAGCAACCGCTATCCCATGTGATTCCCCCAATCTAAGAAAACTCCTTTTTTAACTTCCCTCAAGCCTTTGCTCTAAATTTCCCTTCTTGGTCCGCCGGGGCAGATACCTGAAGTCTTGCCCCATCTCTAGCAGAGACTCAGCCAATCGGGGCCTCACCATGCAGTATTGGGGCATTTCCAGGCCGTCCTCCACTGGAGCATGTTGTTCAGGCTGGTGCTCTTAGGTGGGGCTTGAGTTTGTTTCCTTCCTTTCTTTTCTTTTTCTTTTTCTTCCTTTTTTTTTTTTTTTTTTTTTTTTTTGACAGAGTCTTGCTCTGTCACCCAGGATAGAGTGCAGTGACGCGATCTTGGCTCACTGCAACCTCTGCCTTCCAGGTTCAAGTGATTCTCATGCCTCAGCCTACTAAGTAGCTGGGACTACGGGTGTGAACCACCACATCTGGCTAATTTTTGTATTTTTAGTAGAGATGGGGGTTTCATCATTTTGGCCAGGCTGGTCTCGAACTCCTGGCCTCAAGTGATCCACCCGCCTTGGCCTCTCAAAGTGCTGAGATTATAGGCATGAGCTACCGCTCCTGGCCGAGTTTTCAACATCAAAGTTGTGTTGGCATCTTATGGTGGTGATTTCTGACCTCACTTCATTTAAGCATCGTTTCAGAGACTTTAGATAATGCAAAAAATTATAACAGTTTACGATGCCCTAATCGAACTCTGGATATTATCCCCGTGTAAATGAACTAACCCAGTCAGCCAAGGGCAGCAAGCCTAGCAGACTGGCCACAGGACACCAGTTCAGTCCTCAGGTGCACAAGGATTGTTTGTGTCTGCTTGCACCAACATTTACTTTTTAGGAAAAGGTGGCCCTCAGGGGCCAGGGGAATTAATGACTTAATGCCTACAATCTCTAGGAACAACTTTCTCCAGATAAGGTCTCATTATCGTTAATTGTTATTATTACTGTTATTAACCCAACTCCTAGGAAAAGCTGCCACAGCATTGTTAACGACCTCAGGTAAGGGGTTTAATTAACACCTCCTCTGAGTGCTGAGGCCTCAGGCACCATGTTACCGCCCCCACACCCAGGCTCCACCTCCTCTGAGCTCCGCCCATAGGCCTCTCCACCCCCGGATCCTTCCATTCCCTACCGGAGCTGCTACACCGTTCTCACACCTGCGAACCCCTCCCCCTCCCATTCCAGCCCCCTGGCTTCCCCTCCCCCAAAATCTCGCCTGCCCCTCACATACTTCCATTTGAATTTCCCACCCCTTTTTCCCAGTTACCTAGTCCCCCCGAACAGTTCTCAAGAGCTAAGCCTTTGGGGGATCATGAAAGTGAAGAGTGGGTCCCTTGAGCCCCACCGTTCCCCCTTGCAAGCCCCTCTTCCCTGCACTGCTTCCCAGCACTTCCATCCCATCTCATCTCCATGAGAGCTGCAGGGATTGTTCCTCAGGTGGTGAGGCCAGTTGGGTTGGTTGGCTGGTTTAGGGTTACAGAGCTTGGCACCAACTACCAGGCCCGTGCAGCTGCCTTCTTTAATTAATTAATTCCAATTTTTTTAAAAAACCATCTCAATTGGACCTCAGTGCATGCCTCTGGGGCATATGTCACATCAATTACAGACAACAATTAAGCTTGCTGCTTAAAAAGATTTGTGAGTCTCTTTAAAGACTCAAACACAATTTGGGCCTCGCTCCCTTAGATCCTTAGATCATTCTACTGGAGACAAGAGCCTGAGGCAGAACCCCCAAAGGATGAATTGAGGGCTGCAACAGTCTGCTCTGAGATAGGAGGATAGGGAATTCTCCGGCTGCAGGTCTTTGCCCACACTACCTAACCCCAGGGTTCCTTTCTACCTTTGCTTAGGGATCCAGGAAGCCAAGCTATTGCAGGTGGGTGGTGGCCTCACTTCTCTGGGATAAGACCAATTTCTCTCAAATTCAGAAGTCCACCTCTTCATTGTCCTACCCGACTGCCCTGCATGGATAAGGACGAATCTCAGGCCGTCTAAAAATAGGATGGGTATTGAGTTGACGTGTCTTTTTTCCCAGCAGTAGAGATGGTATATACAGGATATACATTTTCATCCCAGTGGTTTGAATTAGGCGAATGGTTAAAGATGTTGCTCGAGGGCACAGATGACTTTTTTTCTTCTCTTTTCCTTCCTTTTTTTTGGGGGGGGTGGGGATAGAGTTTTGCTTTTGTTTCTCAGGCTGGAGTGCAATGGAGCAATCTCAGCTCACTGCAACCTCTGCCTCCTGGGTTCAAGCGATTCTTCTGCCTCAGCCTCCTGAGTAGCTGGGACTACAGGTACATGCCATCATATCCAGCTATTTTTTTTTTTTTTTTTTTTTTGTATTTTTAGTAGAGACAGGGTTTCACCATATTGGCCAGGCTGGCCTTGAACTCCCGAGCTCAGGTGATCCACCCGCCTCGGCCTCCCAAAGTGCTGGGATTATAGGCTTGAGCCACCGCGCATGGCACAGAGATGATTTCTTAATGGTCCTTCATTCCCACTTTGTGTTACACTTGGTAGCTGCTCAGGGAAAGTTTACAGATTGTTGAAGACGAGGAGGGGAAAGAGTTTGCATGCAGTTACAAATATTTTTCCAGGTGCAAAGCAAGTAGGCAAAAATGGGACTGGCCCAAAACCTTAGTCTTATTAACATTGCTCTCTACTCAACTGGAATTTAAAAAATATCAGTAGACCAGGTGAACATGCCTTTCCTTATCTATTTAACTCAGTTATTTATTGCGTATGTGAGTTGACACTAAATCACTTTGTCCTTTTATGTTTGCCAGAATTGTGGCTGTCCATTTGAGTCCAAACTTTCAGAGGGCAGAGAACACATCTGCTCAATTTGCTTTGTATGGTATCCAGCAAAGGGCTGCAGTAGGGTGTCATAGAGAAGTCCTGGACTTGGACCTTGGAGACCCAGGTTTTAGTTCTTGCTGCTGTGTGGCCCTTAAAATCCAGACTGCATTTTTATTTGCTGTAAAACAAACAAACAAAAACAAAACAAAACAAAAAAACAGCAAGGGGCCAGGCACAGTGGCTCACTCCTGCCTGTAATCCTAGCACTTTGGGAGGCTGAGGCAGACAGATCCCTTGAGCTCAGGAATTCGAGAACAGCCTGGGCAACATGGCAAAACTCTGTCTCTACTAAAATACAAAAAAAACTGAAGTGAGAGGATCACCTGAGCCTGGGGAGGTCGAGGCTGCAGTGAGCTGTGATCGTGTCACGGGACTCCAGTCTGGGCAACAGCCACCCATCTCATAAAAAACAAAAACAAAAACAAAAAACAAGGGCCAGATCTCCCAGCACTTTGGGAGGCTGAGGCAGGAGGATAGCTTCAGCTCAGGAGTTGGAGACCAGCCTGGTCACATAGTGAGACCTCGTCTATACTAAAAATAAAAAAGAATTAGCCAGATGTGGTGGTGTGTGCCTGTAGTCCCAGCTACTTGGGAGGCTGAGGTGGGATCACTTGAGCCCAAGAAGTCAAGGCTACAGTGAGCTATGATCATGCCACTGCATTCCAGCTTGAGTGACAGAGCAAGAGCCTGTCTCAAAGAAAAAAAAAGAAAGGAAACAAACCAAAACCAAACAGTGGAAAACAGTGGGAACAACATTTTCTGTCCTTTGCTCTCAGGATTGAGAGAAGGATTAAATGAAGTAATGCAGAAGAAAAATGTGTAGAAATTGCCACATAAATATGTTTTCTTTAACACTATAAAATGCATTTTGGTTTTTTGTGGGTTTTTTTGTTTGTTTGATTTTGGTTTTTTGAGATGGAAACTCGCTCTGTCGCCCAGGATGGAGTGCAGTGGCACGATCTCAGCTCACTGCAACCTCTACCTCCTGGCTTCAAGCAATTCTCCTGCTGAGGCCTCCTGAATAGCTGGGACTACAGGTGCCTGCCACCACGCCGGCTAATTTTTTGTATTTTTAATAGAGACAGGGTTTCACCATGTTGGCCAGGATGGTCTCGATCCCCTGACTTCGTGATCCGCCTGCCTTGGCCTCCCAAAGTGCTGCATTACAGGCGTGAGCCACCAGGCCCGGCCCATGAAATGCATTTTGATGTTAACACCAGAGTAGTCAAAATTCAAATTCTGAGATGTTTCAAATGGAGAAGCTGATGTAGAGACCAGAGCTTCTGGCTGCAGTCCAGGATTTGCTGCAATACCCGCTGTCAGGACATGGGGGCAGTATTAGGGTAGAAGAAAGCTCTAGCTAAAACCAAACTTTAGACCTATGTGACATTGGCTATCCCAATGGCCTCCTTATCACTACAGCTGCACTCATATATCTGGCCTCTTAGTACATACTCTTTTGTTCTTCTAGGCATCCTGGCATTTATTTATTTATTTATTTATTTATTTATTTATTTATTTATTTATCATTGAGGCGGAGTTTCACTCTTGTTGCCCAGGCTGAGTGCAGTGGCACAATCTCAGCTCACTGCAAGGGCCTCCCAGGTTCAAGCAATTCTCCTGTCTCAGACTCCTGAAGTAGCTGAGATTACAGGTGCCCGCCACCATGCCTGGCTAATTTTTTTGTATTTTTAGTAGAGATGGAGTTCCTTTTCTCTTCTTTTTCCTTCCTTCCTTCCTTCCTTCCTTCCTTCCTTCCTTCCTCCCTTCCTTCCTTCCCTCTTTCTTTCGAGATGGAGTCTTGCTCTGTCGCCTAGGCTGGAGTGCAGTTGTGCGATCTTGGCTCACTGCAACATCCGTCTCTCAGGTTCAAGTGATTCTCCTGCCTCAGCCACCCAAGTAGCTGGGATTACAGTTGTGTGCCACCAAACCCGGCTAATTTTTGTATTTTTAGTAGAGATAGGGTTTCACCATGTTGGCCAGGCTGGTCTCGAACTCCTGACCTCAGGTGATCCACCCACCTCAGCCTCCAAAAATGCTGGGGTTACAGGTGTGAGCCACTGTGCCTGGTCCTGGCATTTAATTACTATTTACTAAAATTCAAGTAGGGCTGGTGGGAGGTGGGGGGCCACAGAGTGAAGGTGCCCATGGCCCATATCCCTTTAAGAATGAACATATACATACATTTGTGCATGCATGCATGTACATATACAAGCCCTATGACGAAAAGCTAAAAATCCAGCTTTCTGAGCTGTCTCCGGATACTGTCACTTAGAGATATGAGAAAAAGTGAGGAAAAAACGGGAATCTAGGACAACTTTATTCATTCTGTAAAAGGGGCAGTTTCTTGTAGGAAGGGCTTAGGGATGATCTTTGGATAGTAATTCTTAGGAAAGGAATGAAATTGCCATGTATTAATGAACATAATCAAGTCTTTAGATTACAGTCCTGGGTATCAGATCTGGAGGACCCTAACAGTCATATAATTCCCCCATTTTATTTATTTATTTATTTGAGATGGAGTTTCACTGTGTCACCCAGGCTGGAGTACAGTGGCATGATCTCGGCTCACTGCAACCTCCGCCTCCCAGGTTCAAGCGATTCTCCTGCCTCAGCTGCCTCAGAGTAGCTGGGACTACAGGCATGTGCCACTATACCTGGCTAATTTTTGTATTTTTAGTAGAGACAGGGTTTCACCATGTTGGGTGGTCTCAAACTCCTGACCTCAGGTCATCCACCTCCCTCAGCCTCTCAAAGTGCTGGGATTACAGGCATGAGCCGCCGCGCCCGGCCAGTCTCCCCTTTTTATAAAGCCTAAATGGTGAAATGATTGAGTAAAAGTCAAGTGTGAGAACCTAGGAGGCCATGACCAGGGCTCTGGCTCTAAGTCTGGTACTGTATGTAGGATGTGATCTTAGTTAATGGGTGAGCAAGGAGCCATGGCCGCTGACCCTGTATATGTACAGGTGGTAAAAACTATTATTCACTGGAGGTACATCCCTAGGAATTTAGGAAGTGAGGAAATGCAGTGAGCAGGGAGCTTGTATCAAGCCATCCTGTTCACATTACCAGGAACCAGATATCTCTGCTGCTATTTAAATTAAATGTGTGAAGGTTTTAAGAATTCTCAAAATGTACAGAACTTTTAAATAAGAATTTTAAATTAAAAAACAGGTTCTGGGCTGGGCGCGGTGGCTCACGTCTGTAATCCCAGCACTTGGGGAGGCCGAGGCGGGCAGATCACCTGAGGTTGGGAGTTCGAGACCAGCCTGACCTACATGGTGAAATCCCATCTCTACTAAAAATACAAAATTAGCTGGGCGTGGTGGCGCATGCCTGTAATCCCAGCTGGTTGGGAGGCTGAGGCAGGAGAATTGTTTGAATCCAGGAGGCAGAGGTTGCGGTGAGCCGAGATCGCGCCATTGCATTCCAGCCTGGGCAACAAGAGCAAAACTCCGCCTCAAACAAACAAAACAAAAACAAACAAACAAAAAACAGGTTCTGGCCAGGCACAGTGGCTCACACCTGTAATCTCAGTACTTTGGGAGGCTGAGGCCAGCTGATTGCTTGAGTTCTAGAGTTCAAAACCAGCATGGGCAACATGGCAAAACCCCATCTCTACAAAAAAATACAAAAATTAGTTAGGCATAGTGGCATGCACCTGTGGTCCCTAGCTACTCAGGAGGCTGAGGTGGGAAGATTGCTTGAGCCCAGGAGGTCGAGGCTATAGTGAGTTATGACAGAACCTCTGCACTCCAGCATGGGTGACAGAGGGAGACCCTGTTTCAAAAAAAAACAAAACAACAACAACAACAACAACAAAAACCCCAAAAAAAGAAAAAACAGGGTTCTGCTGCTTTCTGCCCACTGCCTTAATGAATAAAAGTTAGTGAAGAACTATCCAAGGCCAGGAAACCAGGACGACAGAAGCCTGATCTTCCAATCAGGTCAGATGTAGGAGCTAAATATTGCCTTCAATGACTGCCAAGCTGCAGTGTCAGCAGCTGAACAAGGGAGGCACTGGAACCAGCCCTCTTGTGGTCTGTCAAGTGGTAACATTGGTTGGCAGCCCTCATCCCCATCCCTCAGACAGATGTGTGAGGAGAAAGAGGTAAAGGAGGGCGGGCAGAGGAACTGGAATCTCCAGAAAGGGACCTTGCTAGCCCTGAGGCCCAAGGCCCTCCAAAGCACCAGATCACAGAGGCAAGTCCCAGGCTTCTGGGGAGAGAAAGAAAGAAAGAAGAAGGAAAAAAACATTAAATAAAGGAGATAGAGAAGTAGAACTGAATGTTAGAATTATTCTCCATCACATGCTAAGGGCACCTGTTTTCACTACATGGCAATAAATGGCGGATTCTCAGAGCAGGCCTGTCAAAGCCTCTGAAAGACCAGCAGGCTGGGAGTCAGGGAGCCTGGGGCCTGCTTTGGCTCCGTTGTTTACTGAGCTGGGTGACTTTGCCTGAGCCATTAAACATTCCTTGGCCTGAATTTCCTTCATTGGGAATAATATCTATCCTGTCTGCCTTGCAGGGTTGTTGGAAGATCTGATGAGATAATGGACATAAGTCCGGATGCGATGGCTCACGCCTGTAACCCTAGCACTTTGGGAGGCTGATGCGGGCGGATTGCCTGAGGTCAGGAGTTTGAGACCAGCCTGGCCAACATGGCAAAACCCCGTCTCTACTAAAAATACAAAAATTAGCCGGGTGTGGTGGTGCGCATCTATAATCCCAGCTACTCAGGAGGCTGAGGCAGGAGAATCGCTTGAACCCAGGAGGTGGAGGTTTCAGTGAGCCGAGATAACGCTACTGCACTCCAGCCTGGACGACAAGAGCAAGACTTCGTCTCAAAAAAAAAAAAAAAAAAAAAAAAGAAAGAAAGAAAAAGAGATAAGGGACATAACCTCCCTGCAAAAACCATACTTAGTTACTAGGAATCCTTCAGAGAGTTGGCCTGTGGGTGGAGAGTCACAGACACTGGGAAAGTCACCTCATTCATTAGCCATCATTCTGCACACCCCTCTTCTAAGCTGGATAGCTCTGACTAGCAGAGGGTGGGGAACGGATCAAATGTCTAAAAAGGCAAAGCGAGACATTGACCTCACTGAGATGTCCCAGGCTCACCAGCTCCTATGGATACCATGGTCTTTCTCACATTGAATCTGTCTCTCCTTTTATTACTTCTGCTTATTTCCTCCTGTTCTACCTGAAGATTTTCTCTCTACCTGCTGAAATATGGTATTGTTTTTAGTGTTTATTCACTGAAAAAAACTCATTATTGAAAAACATGACCCAAAGTTGCCAAAATTATCCCTAGAGTCCAGAGACCAGATGTAATAAAAGTCAAGCATCTGTTTTTGGAAGGGGACAAGGACAGAGTCAGCTCTTGGACCCCTTTGCTTAGAAAGTTTCAATCTTTTCCCTAACCTTGTCCCAGACTCAGGTCATCTTACTCCCTGCAGGATTTTGGGTCACGGGAGTGGGGTGCTTGTTGGAGTCTATTTTGTGTTGCTGTAACAGAATACCACAGACTGGGTAATTTAAAAAGAATAGAAATTTATTTCTTACAGTTCTGGAGGCTGGGAAATCCAATATCAAGGCGCCCTCATCTGGTGTGGGTCTTCTTGCTGCATCATCCCCTAGCAGAAGGCAGGAGGGCAAGAGAGTACATGAGAGAGCAACAGAGCAAAGGGGTCCAAACTTGATTTTATAACAAGCCCACTTTTGAGATAACTAACCCACTGTTTATTTTTTAATTAATTAATTAATTTATTATTATTATTTTTTGAGACAGAGCCTCACTCTGTCACCCAAGCTGGAGTGCAATGGCGCGATCTCAGCTCACTGCAACCTCCGCCTCCCAGGTTCAAGTGGTTCTCATGCCTCAGCCTCCTGAGTAGCTAGAATAATAGGTGCATGCCACCACGCCCAGCTAATTTTTTTGTATTTTTAGTAGAGACGGGTTTCACCATGTTGGCCAGGCTGGTCTCAAACTCCTGGCCTCAAGTGATCTGCCTGCCTTGGCCTCCCAAACTGCTGGGATTACAGGCATGAGCCACTGCGCCCGGCCTGGAGATAACTAACGCACTGTTTATGATATGAATCCATTCATGAAGGCAGAGCCCTCATGACCTAATAAACTCTTATTAGGCCCCAGTTTCCAACACTTTTGCATTGGGATTATTAAGTTTCCAACATGTGAACTTTGGGGGACACATTCAAACCATAGCAGTGCTATTTTAGGGAAAAGTAGCTGCATGTGTATTGAAAATGTCAGCCAGGTACAGTGGCTCATACCTGTAATCCCATTACTTTGGGAGGCTGAGGTGGGAGGACTGCTTGAGCCCAAGAGTTTGAGACCAACCTGGGGAACATAGGGAGACCTTGTCTCTACAAAAATTTAAAAATTATCCAGGTGAGGCAGCACACTCCTGTAGTCCCAGCTACTCCACAGGCTGAGGTGGGAGGCTTATGTGAGCGTGGTAGGAGGAGGCGGCAGTGAGCCGTGATCATGCTACTGCGCTCCAGCCTGAGTGACAGAGTGAGACCATGTCTCAAATAAGAAAAAAAAAAAAAGAAAAAGAAAATGTTTATGTGCTATTGGGGTCAGCCTTAGTGCAAGAACATTAGTTAAGTGTGCTTTTAATAATGGAAGGAGTTCCAATTAAGGTAGGATTTGGACAACTTCAGGGAAGTTTGGTTTATGTTGGGAAAGGGAACCCTGACCTCGGATTTGCTGTCTTGGGTCTTTTCCATCCCAGGCCTTCACCTTGCCGGGTTCATTTCCTCTCCCTGTACCCTAAACACTTTCAATTATGGACACTCTCTTGTCTCTGAACTCGGATAAATGCTACCTTGTTAACTAATAGTACCACTGAGTATATTAATGATTAATAGCTAATTAGTCATAATACTGTAATACAATGGAGGCTTCCTTTACCGCAGCTGCTGTAGGTCTCAAACACACACATCCCCTTCCCTATTCCTGGCCACAGGACAGGCGAGGCTCTAAATCTGTTTTTCTGAGCACCCTGGCAATCTCGAAACTGTTCAGTTTTTAGCGGTCCCATTCATACGGCGAATGACCACTACTGCTTGCATGCTGCCGAGCTGATTTCTGCCCCCCGTCACTCCCACTGCCCTCCAAGGAGAACAAGGAGGTCAGCAGTCGTTAAGTTTTTATTCAAAGTCTCTTTTTACTTCCAAATCTCACGTCGACCCACTTTTCTGCTTTGGCCCGTTTCTTCACTTTACCTTCCCCATCCTAACCCGCGCCTATTTTGTGGAATCCCACAGCAGCGCCTGCTACAACCCCCTGCACTCTTCACTTTGGCTTCCTTTCGGCAACCACGCCCCCCGACTCACGGAGAGCGCCGCGCATGCGCAGCTCTCGTCTTTACCTGGGCTCCCGGCAGTGGGCGGAGTGGGAGAAGGCGGGGGCGGCGCGGGGAGCCGGCGGTTATCTGGGCGGCGGAGCGCTCACAATGTGGCAGGAGACAGAAAAGGTGCGCCCGGGCCGGCCCGAGGGCTGCGCATGCGCGCCGCCGCTCCCAGCGGCCGGGATGCTGAGGGGGCGGGCGGAGGGAGGTGTCGGGATCCCCGTTGGGCGGGGGGGCCAGCGAGGGAAGGGGCCGCGGGCGCGCGCGGGCGCGCGCGTCCTCGCCGCCGCTCGCCTCCCTCCCTGCCCCCTCCGGCACACACATCCACACACGCACACCCCCTCCCCTGCCGCCCGCCCCGCGCTGCCCGCCCCGCCGGCCCCGCTCGCCCTCGCGCGCTGGGAAGGGAGTCGCGAGACGTCGGAGCGGCGGCCACGTAGCGCTGCGGCGGCAGCGGCAGCGGCCGAGGCCGGGTCTGAGGAGCGGCCCTGAGGACAGACGTTGGGCAGGGGGGGAGGGGCTGGCCCAGCCGGCGGTTGTGACTCGAGCGCCGCGGCTGCAGGCCCCCGCCGCAGGGATGGACCGCCGAGGCGGCGGCCGGGGCGGCGGAGGCGGAGGCGGCCGGCCCGGGTGAGTAAGGGCCCCTTCCCCCACGCACTCGCCACCGCCGCGGCGGCGCCCCCGGCAGCCCTTCCTCTCCGCCGCCCGCGGGGCCGGCCCGGGCTCCGGGGGCCGGCGTAACCCTTCGCCGAGGCAGCTGCGTGCGCTAGGCCGGAGCAGCCCCCATCCGGCTGGGAGGCCCCGGGCGCTGAGCTCCTCAGGCACCCAGCTTGGGCTGGGGGCGCCCCGCTCCTGCTCTTTCGCCCCCTTCCTCCTGGACCCGGGCTTGGCTGCAGTTTTGCAGCGGGTCCGCTCGCCCTGAGGCCTGAGGGGAGGCTGGGGCGGCACGGGTTAGCGGGCCGAGAGGAGGTTTGCACCGGTCCTCCTGCGAGCGTTCTCCTGCCCTGCAGCTGGTGGCTTGCACCCACTACCTCCCCCGCCTTGCGGTTGCACCCAAACCTCCAACCCCCGGGAGTATTGTGCCGCCAGTAGATAAAATGCGTCTGATGTACACCCGCCACCGGCAGCCCCACACTCACCCCAGTGGGTAATGCAGACCTTTCTCCACCCCCACCTCCTCCTCCCCTCCAATCAGGCTCTGCTGAAGATTCTTAGATCCGAGACACCAAAGGTAGTGACACCCCCGTTACATCTCCACGTAACATGTTCATTGTCGAGGGATGTCTCCAATAGAAATGATAAATGCCCCTGCCTCACCTCGAAGTCTGTCTTCAGGATTCGAGACCTTCTCTGAAAAGGTCCAGCTTTGATCACAACTAGAGCATCCCTCCCCCACAACACAGACACACTCATACACTCACTCACTTCCTGATTGCCGAGCAGCCCCTGTCACCGCGGATCCATTGTCAGAAATGGCTTTTGCCAATCAAAGGAATGTGCTTGTGCCTTTGGAGAAGGGTGCTTTCCACATCCACGTTTTCGGGGTGTTCCTGCGTGAGTCTGCCTTTGCCCCCAGATTGTTCCCGTGTTCAAGCATCATTATCATAGTGTATCCCTTACATGCATCTCCCGTGGACCCTCAGGAACACCTGAGTGATGCTTTTTTCCCAGTTGATTAGATATGGTGTGTGCAAGTTTCTCCTATTTTGTTGTAGTGTTTGGGATCTATGATCAAGGCATAATGTATTCGTAGGGTAGTATTCAGGAAAGAATGTGTATTTTTTTTTTCCAGAGGATGGCCAGGCCCGTATTGTTCTGGGAATGGCAACTAGCACATGCTTTGTTGACAACATGTGTGTGCTTAGGGATTGAGGAGCTGCTGTTGCTGGGATGTGTGGTGTCTGAGCTGAATACAGGTGATGTCGTCGAGTGGGGCTGTTTTGTGAGTGGGGCTTGACACTGTGATTGTCAGTGGTGGCAGGCAGCTTGGTTGTTTATATCAGGACCGTGCACAGTATTCAGATAGGTAATACCTTTAGTATAATTTTGTTTAAACTGTTCACTAAGTTTTAGTGATCCTGGAACTGACTTCAGTGGTTAGTAATCTTTGTTTGGGTTCATGGAAGTCTTTAGAACCGTCTTCTCCATTAAATAGACACATAATTTTGTATGCCACTAAAGTCAACTTGAAGCTGGTCCTGGGACTTCAGGTTAAGATCTCTGTTATGCAAAAGTGAAAGGAACTTGCGTTGTGTGTTTTGTTTAGTTGGTTAGTTTTTTTTTAAAAAGGATTAGAGTACATTGTCTGGCCCTGAGCAATAAACAACAAAGTAGCTTATGCATGTAACCTTGTGTTTTGTTCTTTGATTAGGATAAGTTAGGTATTTGTAAATTATCATTTCCTCGTTTTCCTGTAAAAAGGAAATGTATGTGAGAGTCTTTCAGAAAAAGTTAAAACTAGAGTCAAAATAATTTGTTTAGACTTGACCAATTGGTAATGTATGTTCCTGGCACCAGATTCTAAATGTAGCAAATTTCAACAGCAAAGTCCAAGGTCTGTTTTATAATGCCTATCCTGAATCTTTATGCGTTGGCTGAAGTTGATCTGATCTCTTAAAAGAAGGCTATATCATTCTCATAGCGGTGTACCTGCTCCATAAAAAGGATTTTTTTTTCAACTTTGTTAACTGTGATTTCATGTCTTAATGGGGATGGTGCCATCAAAATCATTCATTTTGAAATTTTGTTTTAATGGAAGGATTTTAATTGTGGTTAGGGAATTCAGCCTCCATATATAGAATCTGGAACTGAGGATGAACTTTGCACCATTCTATCAATAAGCAGGTGATAAATATCAGCTATTTTTGTTTAAATTACTCTGCACCCAGCTTTTGCCTTTCGGTCGTATTGCAATCAGGAGATATTTATTCCAGCTTGTGATAGTGTTGGAATGGGTAGTAATTTTAAGCACAGTACCGGCTCTTTAGGAGCTTACGATTCTGCCATTATTTTTCACTTAAAAAATTCTTTGAGACCTTCCTATTCTTTGCATCTGGGGGGTTCTGAGAAGCTAAGGAATTTATGATATTAACTGGCACTTTGGAAGGCAAGGGAGCCTTGGAATCTTGCCTATAGAACCTGTTCCATACACCTGAAGAATAGCATTTATTCTACTAATTATGCAGCATACCCTATAAGTTTGAAAGCATGCTGAAGTTGCAAATATTGCCTTTTTTATTATCTCATAAACATGCTGCCAGTGCTTTATATTACACATTATATTTTTTGCTCATGTCATGCCTGAAGTTTTACTGTCGGAAATCATTTGGCTATTCTAAACCCAAACCATTTCAAAGTTGCAAGTAGGTTACTTTTCTTTGTATATACTTTGTAGTATACTGACAGACCATTAAAATCTCAGAGGACAGTGTGCTTCCTTGATTTAGTATTGCAGAACCTCTTCTAAACCAGTCACTTACCTAGTTAAACACCCACACATCATAGAGCAGCTGATCATATAACATATACGGTTGTGAGAACAGCATTCTCTCCCTGCCAGATTCAGAACTTGGAAGCTGGAAAACAATTGCATAGCAGTGAAACACTTAAGGAGTAGTGGTGCCAGCAGTTCACTCTCATTAATACAAACAGCTTGCTTTAGTTTCTCCAACACTCTTCTTCAGACACCCTTCCCTTAGGAGGTTTCAGATCAGCAGCTCCTACTCAAGGGAAACAGCACCTACTTTCTGCAGCTGTGGTCTCAAGATCTGATTCGTGACACCCAGAACTGTTGCCATTTCTGTTCTAAGTATGGGAAGTAATCTCGTAGTGTGGTAAGAAAATACTTTTCAAGTCTGTAGAAAAAAAAAGTTGATTAGTAATGCTACTGATGTGATTTTGTTTTTGAATGTCTGAAGCCTAACGAAGAGGTAAACTAGAATGTGAACTTTTGAAGTCACCCTTTTCTCAGGGGTTTTAGATAATTTTACCAAAAAAATGTGACTATACTCTTGAATTTCATTTCCCTTGTTATAAAAAAGTCAGCTGAGAGACAACAACAAAAAAAAGTGGATTGTCTTGTATTTTGAACCATAGCCTTTAAAACTTGTTATTCTAAAGGGCATAACTACACCTCCTTGTTGTGAAGTCTTAGGTCTTGTGCTACCATTTTAGGTGTGATATTTTTCTCAGGTGTTGTCATCATTTCTGACAATCAGCACTTGAATTTACTTCGATAGAGGTGAACTGGTGCTGCGTTTAGTGACTTTAGCTGAAGAAGGCTCATGGAGATAGATGATGCTTTGGAGGTAGGCATAACTCGATTTAAAACCCCCGCTCCACTGTTTACTGGTCTTATGATATTGAACAAGTCACTTTGAGCTCTCTGGCCTCAGTTTCCTCAGCAGCAGAATGGAATTTGTTATGAGGATTAGAGATAATGTATGTAAACTCCTAGCAGTTCCTGGCATATGATCATATTAGAGACTCAATACATGTTAGGATATGGAGCATGTTGGAGTAAAACTACAGATCATTTTGTCTTATGACAAGATTTAGAAGTCTGGCACTGCGATCTGCATTTTTTCATTTGTGCAGATTTGGGATGAAAAAATTGCAAATATTTGACTTGGAGCATACCTAAGTCTTGCAGGTGCAATGTGCTTATTGGAACTTTGATTTGTTGCTCTATGGCTGGCGGAACTTGGTGGGGACAGTAAAATCTAGCTCCAAATTCTACAGTGCTACCCATAGGCTGTGCTTGTTTTAAGCCTATTCAGAGCTTATGTAGTGAAAGGGGTATTTTAGGACATTAACGTATCTCAATGGGTTCTGTGTCCAGAGTTGAATCACGTGCAAAGCCTTGTATAAATTTTCATGGTTAATGCAAGCCATAAAGTGCTTTGTAGAATCAGTGGCAATATCAGTTGCTTATTTTAGTTATCTGTTTGTTTATATAGTAGTTATATTTGATTTTTAAAAATACTTATGAACATTTTATCTAATACAATTTCAATTGTCTTCTGAGATTTTTATTATAAACTGCTATTGGGGCTATAGATTTGAGTGCTTTATGAATTTTTACTTTGGCAAGGGAAGGAAAGAAAAGTAGAGTGTCTTTACCTGTCAGATTTTATGAACTCTGCTTTAGGCCTGTAGATTATATATGTAGTTCCTTCTCTTGTTTTTTAGCCAGAAAGGCAGCTTTATGGTAAAGATGACATTATCTTTTTTTTTTTTTTGAGACAGAGTCTCGCTCTGTTGCCCAGGCTGGAGTGCAGTGGCATGATCTCAGCTCACTGCAACCTCCTTCTCCTGGGTTCAAGCAATTCTCCTGCCTCAGCCTCCCAAGTAGCTGGGATTACAGGCATGCACCATTATGCCCAGCTAATTTTTTTGTATTTTTAGTAAAGATGGGGTTTCACCATATTGGTCAGGCTGGTCTTGAACTCCTGATCTTGTGATCTGCCCACGTCAGCCTCCCAAAGTGCTGGGATTACAGGCGTGAGCCACTGTGCCCAGCCTCTTTTTTTTTTTTTTTTTAAAACATAGTTCAAGTGATTGATTACCTTGAAAAGTAAATGCAATTAGGGCCATGTATACAGTTTTATTCCATGCATACAGCTTGTAAAATAGGATTTCTTAGGTTACTATAGAATTAAATTATTCTGTAATTTGTTGCAGGATAGCGTTGTGATAAGTCTGTGAGCCCACAAGAGTTACCTAGAGACTTTTCAGATAAGGTAGACACATCAGTAATACAGTAGGATTTACCTCAGGAGAATCTGCTAATCCTTATTTTCTTTTATTATTGAGCCACCTACAGGCTTGCCCATCAGTGGACTCAGTCACTAGTATTGGATTGCTGATAAAGAGGGATTGAAATATGGTGGTCTTTGACTCACCTTAGATTTTGCAGTATACTTTAAAAAACTTAATTTGGCTAGAATGTATAATAGCCCTAATGCTATGTGAGCCGAGAATGACTAAACAAACAAAATTTAGGTGATTGATTTACTGTCATACGTTTTGCTAAGTGAACTTTTTCTTTGTGAGGAGGGGTTTTTTTTGTTTTTTTTTTGGTTTTGATTTTTTTTTTTTTTTTTTTTTTGCAGACAGAGTCTTGTTCTGTCCCCCAGGCTGAAGTGCAGTGGTGTGATCTCGGCTCATTGCAGCCTCCGCCTCCCGGGTTCAAGCAATTCTCATGCCTCAGCCTCCCCCAAGTAGCTGGGATTACAGGCGCCTGCCACCGTGCCTGGCTAATTTTTGTATTTTTTAGTAGAGACAGGATTTCGCCATGTTAGCCAGGCTGGTCTTGAACTCCTGTCCTTATGATCCACCTGCCTTGGCCTCCCAAAGTGCTGAGATTACAGGTGTGAGCCACTGCGCCCGGCCCTGTAATATCACATTTTAAATGAAATAACGAAGTATTTGGTGGGGGAAAATAATTTCAAACCCTTTTTTAGCACATTCTCAAAGACCTAGCTTGGATTTTCACAATATTAAGAGAATTCCCAAGTCAACCTAAGAGCAAAACCTGTATACTTTTATCCTTAAATAAAGAGGGGCTAAAATGATGGAAAATGTCTTTAAAATGATTATAACACTTGAAGGATTTGTTTTTTAGATACTATTTTTTTTTTAATTGGTGTCTCGCTATGTTGCCCAGGCTTCAGTACAAATGGTGCAATCTCGGCTCACTGCAACCTCCGCCTCCCGGGTTCAGGCAATTCTCCTGCCTTAGCCTCCCAAGTAGCTGGGATTACAGGTGCCCGCCACCATGCCCAGATAATTTTTGTATTTTTAGTAGAGACGGGGTTTCACCATATTGGCCAGGCTGGTCTTGAACTCCTGACCTCGTGATCTGCCCGCCTCGGCCTCCCAAAGTGCTGGGATTACAGGCGTGAGCCACCGCGCCCGGTCACTACTAATTATTTTTATTTTTTAACTTATTTTTTTTATTTGAGACAGGGTCTCACTCTGTCACCCAGGCTGGAGTGCAGTGGTGCCATCTTGGCTCACTGCAGCTTTCACCTCCCAGACTCAAGAGATCATCTCACCTCAGCCTCCTGAGTAGCTGGGACTGCAGGTGCGCACCACCATGCCTGGCTTCTTTTTGTATTTTTTCCCTCACTATGTTGCCTAGGCTGATCTCAAACTCCTGCTGGGCTCAAGTGATTCTCTCCTCTCGGCCTCCCAAAGTGCTGGGAATACAGGCGTGAGCCACCATGCCCAGACAAATTTTTTTCTTTTACTGTCTCATTTCATAATATTGAAATCACAATCCCTCGTGAATTAATTATTAAAAGTTTTTTATCTAATGTAACTTTTATAAGTAACATATATTTAAACTTTTTAGAACCCTGAAGTTCTAAACAAAATAGCAACATGAATAACTTACTTAAAATAGTTCATCTTGTTTTGAATATTTTGGAATTTAGAAGACCTGTCAATCAATTGGTTGATGAAATTGTATGTAATTGTATGTAGCCATGCTCTTTAATACTGCCGATGTGGCCGGGTGCAGTGGCTCATGCCTGTAATCCCAGCACTTTGGGAGGCTGAGGTGGGCAGATCACTTGAAGTCAGAAGTTCGAGACCAGCCTGGCCAACATGGAGAAACCCCATCTCTACTAAAATTACAAAAATTAGCCGGGTGTGGTGGTGCATGCCTGTAATTCCAGCTACTGGGGAGGCTGAGGCATGAGAATCGCTTGAACCTGGGAGGTGGAGGTTGCAGTGAGCCAAGATTGCACCACTGCACTCCAGCCTGGGTGACAGTTGAGACTCCATCTCAAAAAAAAGAAAAAGAAAAAGAAATAAGCTAGGTAACTTTCAGAATAGTAATGGTGTTTTATATATGAAGATTTTAGAATAAGTTTTAGTGGACAGGTTTTTTTTGTTTTTTTGTTTTTTTGTTTTTTTTTTTTGAGGCGGAGTCTTGCTTCCATGCCCAGGCTGAGGTGCAGTGGCGTGATCTCGGCTCACTGCAGCCTCTGCCTACCAGGTTCAAGTGATTCTCCTGCCTTGGCCTCCCGAGTAGCTGGGACTATAGGTGTGAATCTTTTTAAAAATAAGTTATTTATAGTCTGCTGGTGGCTAAAGCCAAATTATCTTGGAAAATAGCTTTTATCTGAAAGGTTATTCTACAAAGAGAAAAAGCCTTTTTATATATTACACAGCAGAGACTTAGCAGTATAATTTTCTTAAAAGTAGATACATTTTTACCTTTTCCCCTCTTTTTCTCTTTTATAATTTTTATTTTTGTGATCTTAATGTGTGTCTTACCCTGCTCTAATAGAATATAATTTGGTTCTTTGAGATATATTTAAAGCTTATATAATATAATAAGAAACTATTGCTAAGTGAGAAAATGTTTAAATTAAAATTTGGAAATGATATGCATAGTAGAAATTATTGAATTTCATATGGCTGATTTCTTCTTGTTAGATTATGGTAAAGAAATAAACACTTCTGCATGTATTATAATTTGTCAGGTATTATAGTTAATATCCAAAAGGTAGTTTGTTCTGCCTTCCAATCTCTCCTCAATCCTTTCATCACCTCTTATGGAAAGTTAGATTTTTTAAGATATTTTTTATTTCTTTAAAGATGATTTATGTTTGTAAGACCAGGTGGTGCACTGTGTACTAATACATGTCCACAGAAGCCAACTCTTGCAGGGCTGGACTGTTCTAAATCTAGAACTGTTGTTTATTTAATTCCCTCTAGCAGTATTTCTCAAACTTTTTGACTATGATCCACAGTAAGAAGCAGTGCATGCGTGCCCACACATATTCACATTCATACCTACACCCACAACTGAAACAAAAACTTTGAGACAGTACTTAATCTTACTGTGAGGCAATCTGTTAGAATTTTCATTCTGTTTTATTTCATTTAGAAAAATTGGGTTGGTATGGGCACTTTGAAAAAAACACTGCCCTATATAGTGCTTAACAAAATGTATTTTCCCAGGAGGTGGAGGTTGTAGTAAGCCGAAATCACATCACTCTAGCCCGGGTGACAGAGCGAGACTCTGTCTCAAAAAAAAAAAATTTTAAAGAATTTGTCTGGGTACAGTGTCTCACACCTGTAATGCCATCACTTCGGGAAGCTGAGGCGGAAGGATCACTTGAGTGTAGGAGTTTGAGACCATCCCAAGCAACATAGTCAGACCTCTCTCTACAAAAAATCAAAAAATTAGCCAGGTGTGGTGTAGTCCCAGCTACTCAGGAGGCTGAGATGGGAGGATCACCTGAGCCTAGGACGTGGAGGCTGCAGTGAGCCAGAATCATGCCACTCCATGCCAGCCTGGTGACAGGGTGAGACCCTGCCCCTCCAGAAAAAAAGAATTTGAAATTTATAGGTACTTCTGGCTTTTAGAAACCAGAGACTGAGTAAATAATTTATTTTTTAAATTAATATACAGTAAAATTGACATTTTGATATTCATACAGTTCTGTGAATATCAATTTGTATAACCACCACCACCACCACCACAGCCAGGACACGGAACAGTTCCATCACTCCAGATAACTCCCTCCCACTGTCCCATTGCACTCATACCCTCCCCTCACCCTGGGCAACTATCGATCTGTTGTCACTGTAGTTTCGTCTTTTGCAGAATGTGACATGGACTCATATAGTATGTAACCTTTAGAGACTGGCTTCTTTTAGTCATAGTAATGCTGCTGAGATTTTTCTAAGTATTTGGGTTTATCAACAGTTTGTTCCTTTTTATTGCCAGGTAATACTCCTTTGTATGGATATACCACAGATCACGTACATTCGTAACCATTTGAGGGACATTTGGCTTCCAGTTTCGGGTGATTATGAACAGAGCCACTGTAAATGTTCATGGCAGGTTTTGGGGTGAATATAAGTTTCATTTCTTGTGGGTAAATACCTAGGAGGGGGATTGCTAGGTCATATAGTATGTATCTTTAACTTATAAGAAATTACCAAATTGTTTCTACATCCCTACTGGAAAGACATAAAAATTCTACTTGTTCCACATTTTTGTCAGCAGCTGATACTGTTAATATTTTTATGTAGGAATACTTCATTTTGAGCCTTATGAGAAGAATCTGGGTACTAGGCTCAGCTCTGCCATCAGCTAGCTGCTGACTTAGAGGAGCCATTTAACTTTTCTGAACCTCTTGTTTCCTCATCTCTCATATAATAGGTTTATTTTGGATATATTATAAGTTCTTTCAGCTCCCAAATTCATTGATTTGGAAAGGTTAGTCCTTGGCAAGAAGACGAGAGATTTGTTTGCTTGTGAAAAAAAAAAAATATATTGACTGATCTTCTCAACTAAAGTACAAACACTATTAGTAGTATATATATTTACAAATGGAATTTATATGAAATAACTTGATATTTTAAATTACAGTTTGTCCATTGGAGTTAAACAGTATTGTGATGGTGTATGTTATATCTGTAAGCTAAAATTATATAGCTAATATTGCAGTTAACATTGACAACCTGTGAACTTAGGGTCTTTTGGCTGATGGCTAACTTTTTGTTTGTTTTTTTGTTTTTGAGACAGTCCTGCGCTGTCACCCAGGCTGGAGTGGTGTGATCACAGTGGTGTGATCCTAACTCACTGCAGCCTTGAACTCCTGGGCTCAAGTGATCCTCCTGCCTCAGCCCCCTGAGTAGCTGGGCTTACAGACATGTGCCATGGCACCTGGCTAATTTTTGTACTTTTTCCTGTATAGGTGGGCTCTCACTATGTTGCCCAGGCTGGCCTCAAAACTCCTGAGCTCAAGCAATCCTCCCATCTCAGCCTCCCAAAGTGCTGGGATTACAGGCATGAGTCACTACATCAGACTACATGCTTATTTTAAAACTAAGGATTCTAGAAAAATATGAAGAAAAAAAAATATGGCCTTTTCCACCTTTACTTCTATCCTGAGACATCTCTCAATATGAGCGCACATATATATATATGTATGTCCGTGGTTTTGAGTAGTGAAATTGCATGACACCATCCTCACATGTTCTTTAATCTTTTTTATATGGTCATATTTCTATGTCAGTTATTATAAATCTGCATCATAATTCAGATGGTTATACAGTATGCCTGTGTCTGTATGTACCATTATTTATGTTATAATAAATAATGCTATAATGAATGTTCTTGTATACACTTTTTTTATACTTACCATCTTCTGGTGGTGAATTCTTCAATGGCTACATCCAAAAATATGCACGTTTCACGGTTAGGAAAATAGTGCTGAATTCCCATAGTGTTATGATCTGTAATCAGCCATGCCAGTTAATGTCAGAAGTCAGTCAGGTTTTCTTGGTATTAGCCAGTTTGGGATTTGTGCCATAAAGCATACTTACACGTGTTTGTATGTGGATTCTGGTGAAAAACCCAAGTCAACTTGCTAATTGGTAGTCTTTACCGAGAATCCTGATAATGTCTTAAAACATCAAAGTTTAAAATATATATAAATATTTATATAAAAATATGTGTGTGTGTGTGTGTGTGTGTGTGTGTGTGTGTGTGTGTATATATATATATATATATATATATATATATATATATATATATATGTAGACAGAGTCTTGCTCTGTCACCCAGACTGGAATGTAGTGGTGTGATCTTGGCTCACTGCAACCTCTGCCTCTCGGGTTCAAGCAATTCTCCTACCCCAGCTTCCTGAGTAGCTGGGATTATAGGCATCTGCCAACATGCCTGGCTAATTTTTGTATTTTTAGTAGAGATGGGGTTTTGCCATGTTGACCAGGCTGGTCTTGAACTCCTGACCTCAGGTGATTCGCCTGCCTTGGCCTCCCAAAGTGCTGGGATTACAGCTGTGAGCCACTGCACCCAGCCATTTTTTAAAAGTCTCACTTTTGAGAAAAGTAAGGTGATAAAGCAGCCTGCCTTTTTGAATCAAAGAAAATCTGTTAATTGAAGTGATTATAACATAGTTTATGCTATTGCAATAAGTTCTTTTCACAATTTTTTTTTTTTTTTTTGAGGCGGAGTCTCTCATCTCTGTCACCTGAGCTGGAGTGCAGTGGCGCGATCTCGGCTCACTGCCACCTCTGCCTCCCAGGTTCAAGCGATTCTCCTGCCTCAGCCTCCCGAGTAGCTGGGATTACAGGCACGCATCACCACGTCTGGGTAATTTTTGTATTTTTAGTAGAGACAGGATTTTGCCATGTTGGCCAGGCTGGTCTCGAACTCCTGATCTCAGGTGATCTGCCCGCCTTGGCCTCCCAAAGTGCTGGGATTACAGGCATGAGCCACCTGCCCAGCTTACACTTTTTTTTTTTTATTTTTGGAATAATCTTAAATTTACAGAAAAGTTACAAGTAGAGTGCAACTCTGTACTCATAAACTCCTCATGGTTTCTTTTGTTAAAGTCATAACCATAGTGTGTTTCTCAAAACTAAGGAACTGACATTGGTATATTACTATTAACTACACTTCGTATTTAATTCAGATTTCATTAGTTTTTCAGCTAATATCCTTTTTCTATTTGGAAACATCCTAAGCTTTAAAACTCTATTCCGAAGCCTGAATATCTGTTCATGGATTCGCTTTGGTTATAACATAGATTGTACACATATATATACTATATATAATGTAGCTGGATCTCTGTGTTTGTTTAAACATATGTAAGTTATCTTTGACATTAGTATCTTTAAGAGTTATCTTGTGACATTCACAGATAGTTCTGCCCAAGGCCATTTTAAGGTAGGGCAGAATTTTCCCCACCCTTCTTGTATTCCATGCAGAAACATGATTTATCACTTCTGTGAGTATAGTTCTTGTGCAATAGTACCCTTTTCAGTATAGTTATAAGCCCCTAAGTCCATTAGTGTATGGAAAATAGCCAACTTTTGTTTACTAGGAAATTAACTGTTAACTGAGAGTAGTAGTCAAGAGTCTTCTCTGCAGGATGGTTTCATGTCTTGCTCTGAGAAAATTTAAGTATTTAGTGATTCTTGAAGGAGAAAAAGCTACTGATCTTGAGGCAGAATACCATTGTAGATAAGGTAGTACTTGGGTATCTTTCACTCTACACTTACCAATGCAAAGAATCCCTGCTATGGCAAACCATGGCATCCAAACTCACTGCATTACATTTGTTTTGTTGTTTTTTTTTCTTTTTTGAGATGGAATTTTGCACTGTTTCCCTGGTTGGAGTGCAATGGTGTGATCTCGACTCACTGCAACCTCTGCCTCCTGGATTCAAGCAATTCTGCTGTCTCAGCCTCCCGAATAGCTGGCCTGGCAAATTTTTGTATTTTTAGTAGAGACAAAGTTTCACCATATTGGCCAGGGTGGTCTTGAACTCCTGACCTCAGGTGTTCAATCCTTCCCAAAGTACTGGGATTACAGGCGTGAGCCACTGCACCTGGCCACTGCATTAAATTGAGTAATTCCTTGAAACAGTTTAGTTTATGGCAGAGGAGGACGGAATTGGCAATATGAAGTAGATATGGATTTTTAAAAAATCACTTTTTCTCCCAGCTTAAATGGAACTCTTAAGTGTTCCTTCCATTAGCAAATCACTTTTTTAATTCTTTTTTTGTTTTGTTTTCTTTTTCATTCAGTTTCATTCAGAAGCATACCACTTATTAGAAAAAAAGAAAAAATCCTCAAGCATTCTAGGAAACAAAAATGCATAGGGATAACTTGGCAGTTCCATAAGAAAAAACACACTAGGATGAGTGCAGTGTGCATATCTGTAATCCCAGAACTTTGGGAGGCCATGGCAGGAGGATTGCTACACTCACTACACTTCCCTACCTGTCCCCTCTCATTTTAAAGCAACTCCAGACATCATATTATTTATAAAAACTTCCTGAGCATCATTAAGTATTCAGTCAGTATGTGTATGTCCCAATTGACTCATAATTGTTTTTTCAGTTTGTTTGAATTAGCGTCCCAAGAAGTGATTGGGTAGGTTTGTTTTCTTTCTCTCCCCTCCCCCTTTGCCTCTCCATTCCTCTCCTTGCGGGGGTTTTTCTTTTCTTTTCTTTTCTTTTCTTTTCTTTTCTTTTCTTTTCTTTTCTTTTCTTTTCTTTTTTGAGGCAAGGTCTTGCTCTGTCACCCAGCCTGAGGCTCAGTCTTGGCTCACTGTAACCTCAATCTCCCGGGCTCAAGTGATCCTCTTGCTTCAGCCTCCCAAGTAGCTGGGAGGCACACACACACCACTGTGTCCAGCTAAATTTTTTTTGTAGAGATAGGGGTCTCACTATGTTGCCCAGGCTGGTCTTGAACTCTTGATCTCAAGAGATTCTCTCACCTCAGCCTCCCAAAGTGCTGGGGTTAGACATACGCCACCATGCGCAGCCTCCTTGCAGTTTTTTGTTGAGGAATCCAAGTTATTTGTTGTATAGTTTTCCATAGTCTGAATTTTGCTAATTATATCCACATGGTGTCATTTGATATGTTCCTCAGTCCCTTTTATTTCCTGTAGATTGGTGTTTAGATCTATAGGCTTGATAAGATTAAGGTTTGGTAGGGTGTGGTGGCTCACACCTGTAATCCCAGCACTTTGGGAGGCCAAGGCGGGTGGATTGTTTGAGGCCAGGAGTTTGAGAACAGCCTGGGCAACATAGTGAGATCCCCATCTCTACAAAAAATACAAAACTTAGCTGGGTGTGGTGGTGCACACCTCTAGTCCCAGCTATTTGGGAAGGTGAGGTGGCAGGAGTGATTGAGCCTAGGAGGTTGAGGCTCTAGTGAGCTGTGATCATGCCACTGCATTTCCAGCCTCAGTGACAGAGTGACTGTGTCTCAAAAAAAAAAAAAAAAAAAAAAACAAAACCAAGGTTCAATTTTTCTTGCAGGCATGGGGCAAGATTACTTAATAGGTAGTGGTGTATAATTCTAGGAGATATAAAAGCTGGTTGCCTCTTTTTGGGTATTGTTATGAGTCATTGATGATCTTTTTGCCTACATCCATTCATTAGGGGTTGCAAATTTTATATATATTTAAAGACAGAGTCTTGCTCTGTCACCCAGGCTGGAGTGCAGTGGCATGATCACGGCTCACTGCAGCCTCTACCTCCCAGGCTCCAGCGGTCCTCCCACCTCAGCTTCCAGAGTAGCTGGGACCACAGGCACGTGCCATCACGCCCAGCTAGTTTTTGTATTTTTAGTAGAGACCAGGTTTCACCATGTTTCCCAGGCTAGTCTGAAACTCCTGAGTTCAAGCAATCCACACATCGTGGCCTTCCAAAGTGTTGGGATTACAGGCATGAGCCACCACTCCTGGCCACAAAATAATGTTTAATTCTATAATTTGTTTTTCAGTTATTAGCTGGAATACTTATATAAAATTTCCCCTCAACTGTTTAGTTTCCTTAGGGTACAGATCTGATAGGAATGATTTTTGCCCTTCATTTATCTGTTTTCAAAAGAATGAGTTGGCTGTCTTAGCATCCTCTAAAGGTGACCAGTGGATTTAAGCATATTTGGTGTGTTTCAATCCATGACTCTTATTAATCCTTTGATACTCAGTTGTCCTATCTTTGCCAGATAGGCATTTATCAGGCTGGTTCCTCATTCTTTTTGACACATTCCTGATAGTTTTTGATAGCTTCCTTTCTTTCCCTTAGGACAAGATATTCCAAACTCATACATTCCCTGCCCTGTTTCCTTTTAGTGGGAAATATCTAGAAACCATAATATGTTCTCAGTACTAAGATAGGCACAAGCTGGAATGCTAAAGCAGTATTTTAAAAAGAGCTACCTGCCCACAAGGGACTTGGTCTTTGACATTTTGATTTTTTTAATTCATTTTATTTACTTTGTATACATTTTGATGTGATAAAATCAGAGTTGATTTCCTCTTTTTAAACTAAAACAAATATTTGCTTTCATTATATAACATATATATATCAAAATGAGAAGAATGTCTAAAATAAGTTTGAAGCTAAAGATTAAAATCTTAATATGCATTTTACAAACATGTGGCCCTATAGGAATAGTAGTTTGTTTGTTTGTTTGAGACGGAGTTTCACTCTTGTCACCCAGGCTGGAGTACAGTGGTATGATCTCAGCTCAGTGCAACCTCTGCCTCCCAGGTTCAAGTGATTCTTCTGCCTCAGTCTCCCAAGTAGCTGGGATTACATGTGCACACCACCATGCCTAGCTAATTTTTGTATTTTTAGTAGAGACAGGGTTTTGCCACATTGGCCAGGTTGGTCTCGAGGTCCTGACCTCAGGTGATCTGCCCACTGCAGCCTCCCAAAGTGCTGGGATTACAGGCATTAGCCACTGAGCCCATCCTGTTTGTTTTTTTATAAATAAAGTAACCATGTAACTTGTCCAGACTTGGAGACCTGTGAGGGGGCATCATTAGCATTATTCTAGGAGAAAACAGTGATAAACTAGGACTTTTCCCAGTAAACTAGGACAAATGCTCACAATCTATTTATAAACTAATTGTGAGACTGTAAGCCTCCTGAGACCAGGAATCCTATCTGTTGTACTACACTTGTAGTTGTGGCTGCGGCACTTGGCACATGGCAGGTGCTCAATAAATATTTTGTGAATTTAATAAAAGTCTGATATTTTGAGGCTTGATGATGTTGATTTTAAGTGTTTCTTATGCTTGTGCTTTTTTCAACATCCTTTTGTTAACACTTCGCATCTAAATGATCTTAGGCATTGAATCTGAATGGGTTTGATTACTTCATTTCTTTTTTTTTTTTTTTGAGATGGAGTCTCGCTCTTTCGCCCAGGCTGGACTGCAGTGGCACTATCTCGGCTCACTGCAAACTCTGCCTTCTGGGTTCACGCCATTCTCCTGCCTCAGCCTCCTGAGTAGCTGGGACTATAGGCACCCACCACCACGCCCGGCTAATTTTTTGTATTTTTAGTAGAGACAGGGATTCACCGTGTTAGCCAGGATGGTCTCGATCTCCTGACCTCGTGATCGGCCCACCTCAGCCTCCCAAAGTGCTGGGATTACAGGCGTGAGCCACCACGCCCGGCCTACTTCATTTCTTTTTAAAGTTTAGGATTAGTTGTTTTGTTTATTGAAGAAATAACACGGCCAGGCGCGGTGGCTTACGCCTGTAATCCCAGCACTTTGGGAGGCCGAGGTGGGCATATCACTTTAGATCAGGATTTCTCGACTAGCTGGCCAACATGGTGAAACCCCGTTTCTACTAAAAATACAAAAATTAGCTGGGCCTAGTGGAACATACCTATAATCCCAGCTACTTGGGAGGCTGAGGCAGGGGAATTGCTTGAACCCGGGAGGAGGAGGTTACAGTGAGCCGAGATTGCGCCACTGCCCTCCAGCCTGGGTGACAGAGCAACACTCTGTCTCAAAAAAAAAAAAAAAAAGAAAAATCTAGATAACTTCCTTACTACCACCCCTCACTGCCCCTTCCAAAAAGTCGCCAGTCATCTGAATGGATTTTATCTTAAGGGAGAAGAGCGCATAGCAGTTATAAATTTGGCTAATTCTTACTCTTAGGGCCCCTCTGACTCATCTTTTAGCCAGTGGGCCTTAGTTTCCTGCATTTATAAAAGAGACTAATAATTACTTGGCAAGAACTTTTTGATTCTTAGATAAATGTGCTTTTTTGAGGGGGGATTAGGTGGGAGTTGGGGAAGGAGGGAATGCTAACTTGAACAATGTTTCTGTGATCAAAACTATCTTTGGTTGTCCTAGCCACATTCCTTGAAGATGTTAGCAAAAGTAGTGATAGAAAATTTGCTTTGATGGGCCAGCGTGGTGGCTCACGCCTGTAATCCAAGCACTTTGGGAGGCTGAGGCAGGCGGATTGCCTGAGCTCAGGAGTTCGCGACCAGCCTGGGCAACACAGTGAAACTCCGTCTCCGTTAAAATACAAAACATCAGCCAGGCATGGTGGCGTGCGCCTGTAGTCCCAGCTATTCGGGAGGCTGAGGCAGGAGAATTGCTTGAACCCGGGAGGCAGAGGTTGCAGTGAGCCGAGATTGCACCACTGCACTCCAGCCTGGGTGACAGAGCAAGACTCTGTCTCAAAAAAAAAAAAAAAAAAAATTTTGCTTTGATGTGAGCTAATGTGAAAATTCTTTGATTTTGGTAAGGGAAGTATATTTGAAGAATATTATATATATTAAAAAACATTATTAATTAAAATCTTTTCTTCAACATAAATCAGTGAAGGGGAATAAATTTTTTTTTCTTGTTTTTTGAGACAGGGTCTCACTCTGTTGCCCAGGCTAGAGTGCAGTGGTGCAATCACAGCTCATTGCAACTTTGAACTCCTGGGGTTCAGTGATCCTCCTGCCTCAGTTTCTCAAGTAGCTAGGACTATAGGCATGCACCACCATACCTAGCTAATTATTTTTTTTTTTTGAAACGGAGTCTCGCTCTGTCCCCCAGGCTGGAGTGCAGTGGCACGATCTCGGCTCACTGCAAGCTCCGCCTCCCGGGTTCATGCCATTCTCCTGCCTTAGCCTCCTGAGTAGCTGGGACTACAGGCGCCCGCCACCACACCCGGCTAATTTTTTTTGTATTTTTTAGTAGAGACGGGGTTTCACTGTGTTAGCCAGGATGGTCTCGATCTCCTGACCTTGTGATCCACCCGCCTCGGCCTCCCAAAGTGCTGGGATTACAGGCTTGAGCCACCGCGCCTGGCCGGCCTAGCTAATTTTTAAGTTTTTTGTAGAGATTAAGTTTCACCATGTTGCCGAGGCTGGTCTTGAACTCTGGGCCTCAAGCAATCCTCGCACTTTGGCCTGCCAAAGTTTTGGGATTACAGGCATGAGCCACTGTGCCCAGCTGTGAATTAAACTTAGTTATGTGTACCCAGGGCTCTGGGCAGCCTGCTCGGTCACATCCTTGGTTTGGTTATCTTGACCACGCATTGGATTTGTGTTATTTAAAAAAAAAAAAAAAGTTATTTTTTTTTAAAGGCAAGCAAGCAAAAACAAAACGTTTATTAAGGTTTTCGACTGATGACATCTATTTATAGCACATACATTGTGAAGATCTGTGGTTTCCTTTAGATTAAGAAAGATATTGTATAAAATCATCTCCCCACATAAATGTTTCCACCACCTACTCATTTGTCTGCAAGCCAGGAGTCTGTTCACTTCCTCTTGGGCTCTGTCACTTTGGTGTTCGTAGGCTAATTTTTTAGACATTCCAGTGCAGTTAGAATGTAAATGTCTGTGGTGTGTAAGGTTACTAATGGATTTATCTTATATCCTAAAAGTAACTTCTCTGGAGTTTATAGGGAGATAGTGTCTTGAACAGGTTGTTCATTCAGAAATGTAGATGTTTGGGACTTTTGTTTTACTGAAATATGCAGTCATTCATTGTACATTATAGAGAACAGTATTTTGGGAAAAGATAGTTAAGAATTACATGTGGGCCGGATGCGGTGGCCCACGCCTGTAATCCCAGCACTTTGGGAGGCTGAGGCAGGTGGATCTCTTGAGGTCAGGAGCTCAAGACCAACCTGGCCAACATAGTGAAATCCCATCTCTATTAAAAATACAAAAATTAGCCGGGTGTGGTGGCATGCACCTGTAATCCCAGCTACTTGGGAGGCTGAGGCAGGAGAATCGCTTGAACCTGGTAGGCGGAGGTTGCAGTGAGCTGAGATTGTGCCACTGCACTCCAGACTGGGTGACAGAGCAAGAGTCTGCCAAAAAAAAAAAAAAAATTCTATGTGGAAAAAACCTTTGTATATTTGAACATCTTCCATCAGCTTTCCCAGCTCATGTTATTACTGACCAGTTGTTGTGCCAGTGAGCAAATAGCTAAGACTTTTATGTGATACTGAGGGGGGTTTTCTCCTCACAAGCAGATCATTAAATTGTCACATGTTCTATAGTTCAGCCTTGAGTTGAAATTTTCGTGTGGTCACCAGTAACTGAGGTTTGTCAATATGATACACATGTGTGTTCATATGGACTGTGCTTTTCTTCTTTTAAACTGAAGAGTTAAGATATGTTGTAGCATGAAAATGTATTGATTCCCCCCCCCCCCCCCCCTTTATCTGTTATCTGGCATTTAATGAAAAAAAGTCTTGCTCGAAAGTTGCAGATCCCTTGAGGGCAACAAACACTATACTCAAAATGAAACTAGGTTACTGTTTCTGCAACATGCGGTGGTTTGTGTCAAAAGCTGTTCTGGTCTTAACTTTGAAATTATCCCCTTTTCTTTGAAGTGGTCATGTTTTAATTTGGAGTGGTTTCACATTTTAGAATTTCCTGAATTTAACATAAAAATTTTTAAATATTTTCTTATGTGGTTCTTGTACACAAGTTTATAGAAAGCTTATCTCAAGACAACATACTTCTTCAGTAAGACCAAAGCGAAAAAATACTTTAGATTTGAGAAAATTCTTTTTTTTTTTTTTGAGACTGAGTCTTGCTCTTGTCATCCAGGCTGGAGTGCAGTGGCGCAATCTTGGCTCACTGCAAACTCTGCCTCCCGGGTTAAAGCGATTCTCCTGCCTCAGCCTCCTGAGTAGCTGAGATTATAGGCGCCTGCCACCATGCCCGGCTAATTTTTGTACTTTTAGTAGAGATGGGGTTTCGCCATATTGGTCAGGCTGGTCTCGAACTCCTGATCTCAGGCGATCTGCCTGCCTTGGCCTCCCAAAGTGCTGGGATTACAGGCGTGAGCTACCACGCCTGGCCAGATTTGAGAAAGTTTTGAAGACTAAAAGTGTTTTAAGGGGATATTCCAGATGGTTTCATGTAGTTGTATTGTAGATTTTCTTAGTTCTGAAAGTACCTGGGCTTTTGTGGTTTAGTACTTTGGGTTTGTGTTTTAATTACGGAATGATCTTTGTAATATAACCAAGAGAAAATTAGACGCTTTTCCTTTACTATTTTCTATTACTACTTTTTAAAAAGGTATCCTTTTTCTTTTTTTCTTTTTGAGACAGTCTTGCTGTTGCCCAGGCCAGAGTGTAGTGGTGTGGTCACAGCTCACTGGAGCCTTGACCTCCCTGGCTCAAGCGATCCTTCCTTCTCAGTCTCCTGAGTAGCTGGGACTATTGGCATGCACCACCACACCCGGCTAATTTTTTTTTTTTTTTTTTTTTTTTTGTAGAGATGAGGTCGTACTATGTTGCCTAGGCTGGTCTAAAACTCCGAGGCTCAAGTGATCTTTCCACCTCAGCCTCCCAAAGTGCTGGGATTACAGCCATGAGCCACCTTGCCCAGCCATCCATCTTTTTTCTTTTCCTTGTCAGGCCATCCATCTTTTTTTTTTTCAGTTGATGTGCTCTGAAATGAGGCAGAGTTTAAGATTTGTCATAGTTTTTCTTTGACATAGTTTTGTCATAGTTTTTCTTTTCTTTTCTTCTTTTCTTTTCTTTTTGAGACAGTCTCGCTCTGTCACCCAGTCTAGAGTACAGTGGCCTGATCTCGACTCTCAGCTCACTGCAACCTCCACCTCCTGGGTTCAAATGATTCTCCTGCTTCAGCTTCCTGAGTAGCTGGGATTACAGGAGCCTGCCACCATAGCCAGCTAATTTTTTGTATTTTTAGTAGGGTTTCACCATGCTGGTTAGACTGATCTCGAACTCCTGGCTTGAAGTGATCCACCCACCTCAGCTTTTCAAAGTACTGGGATTACAGGTATAAGCCACTGCACCTGGCCATACTTTTTCTTCTATATATAATTTTGTTGTTGTGGAGACAGGGTCTCACTCTGTGGCCCAGGCCCCAAATGTTCCACTCCACTGCAGCCCCAGCCTCCTGGGCTCAAGCTATCCTCCTGCCTCAGCTTTCCAAGTAGCTGAGACTACAGGTACACCATGCTACCTGGCTAACTTTTTGTATTTCTTGTAGAGATGGGGTTTTGCCATGTTTCTCAGGCTGAACTCCTGAGCTCAACCTATCCGCCTGCCTCAGCTTCCCAAAGTGTTGGGAGTATAGGTATGAGCCACCATGCCAACCAGTTTTTAAAAGCTTAATGAACTAACCTATAATTAATTCCAAAATATATTTTTTCTTTCTTTCTTTTTTTTTTTTTTTTTTTTTTGAGACAGAGTCTCGCTTTGTTGCCCAGGCTGGAGTGCAGTGACTCAGTTCACTGCAACCTCTGCCTCCCAATTTCAAGAGATTCTCCTGTCTCAGCCTCCGGAGTAGCTGGGATTACAGGCATTTGCTACCACACCCACCTAATTTTTGTATATTTAGTAGAGACAAGGTTTCGCCATGTTGGCCAGGCTGGTCTCAAACTCCTGACCTCCAGTGATCCACCCGCCTGGGCCTCCCAAAGTGCTGGGATTATAGGTGTGAGCCACCGTGCCCAGCTGGGATTAATTTTTCTATCTCTGGTAGAGATGGGGCTTTGCCATGTCGGCCAAGCTGGTCTCAAAATCCTGGCCTCAAGTAATCCGCCCGCCTCGGCCTCCTAAAGTGTTGGGATTACAGGCGTGATTCACTGCACCCGGCCCCAAAATGTTATTTCTGTAATAGAGTTTTGTAATCAGAGGTGATCTTTCCCTTCAGCATTTAAACATGCTGTTTCTCCCATCTTTAAAAGTCCAAACTCAAGGCTGGGAGTGGTGGCTCACGCCTGTAATCCCGGCACTTTGAGAAACAGAGGCAGGTGGATCACGAGGTCAGGAGTTCAAGACCAGCCTGGCCGATATGGTGAAACCCCGTCTCTAGTAAAAATACAAAAACTAGCTGGGCGTGGTGGCATGTGCCTGTTGTCCCAGATACTCGGGAGGCTGAGGCAGAAGAATCTCTTGGCTTTTACATCGGCCTTCGCGATCGTTTGGTCGTGTGGCAGGAACAATGGCTCTGTCTTCAGTGGCACAGCGGAGCAGCTCTGTGAAGATGCAAAAATACACAAAAAAAATTCCAGAACATCTGGGAGAATATTTAATGGAAAATCGCTTGGTTAAAACCTGACACTCTTCACAGCATTCTGAGTGTGGACGAGTAGCCAGTGAAGATAATGTCGGATGTCACTGACTAGCAGCTTCATTTTGAATGAGGGTCGCTGTCTGCCCATTGATAGAGGCCAGATTGTCTTGGAAGTTCCAAAGTTGCAACGATTTCTGGCTAGTGCCACGAGGTTTACTTGACTGTTATGTGAAAAGCTGATAAGAAAACCATCCAGAAAAAAACCTCTTCATTTTACAAACATGAAAATAAAACATGTAATTTTGGATTATGTTGCTTTTTGTTATTACTTTTAAATAGGTCCTGAAATAACATGGGGGGCATTAAATGGAAAATACACTTAAAAAAAAAAAAAAAAAAAAAAGAATCACTTGAACCTGGGAGGCAGAGGTTGCAGTGAGCCGAGATCATGCCACTGCACTCCAAGCCTAGGCGACAGAGTGAGACTACGTCTCAAAAAAAAAAAAAAAAAAAAAATTTCCTAACTCAGACCTTTTCTTTGTTTTGAGTTCTACTCTAGCTCTGTTCCTCAGCTTCCATTCCCCTCCTGATCACACTTTTAACTAGTGTGGCTGGTTAAGTATCACCCACAGCTAGTGAGTGATAGCTCCAGAAGTCCGCCCAAGTCTGAGCCCTTAACCATTATGCTAATGAAGTCTGGTGTTTTTTTCAGAGAGGAGGAGGCTGGTGGAAGGACAAGGGGACCTTCATGTTAAGGAATTATTGAGTCACTGAATTCAGTGGTCATTTTTCTCTGTCTTTTTTAATCTCTTGGCTTCTGTGCACTGTACTTTAGTGTTTTTGTTTTACCTCACTGTTAATTTCTTCTTTCTTCATTGTTATCCTTTTCTTCTCTGCCCTTGGGGTGCCCTAAGGCTTGGTGCTCAGCCCCTTCTTTTCTGTTTATCCTGTCTCCTCAGCCCCCAAATGTAAATTCTTTCTGTTTGCTGATATCTCCTAAATATGTAGCTATAGTGTTGACTTTTCCTTTGATCAGGTGCTTCTATCCAGTTGGCTATTGGACAACTCTACTTAATTGTCTAATTTGCATCTCAAACATGACTGTATGCATTATTAGGATGCTGTAGACTTCAAGTAATAGAAAATCCAATTCAAAGTAATTCAAACTAAGGAAAATATATCCTTACAAGTAACAAGACGCCTCAGTCTAGGGTTGGTTTAAATCTGTGGTTTAGTGACATCAGTCAGGACCCCTCTTCTTTTCGCCCTTCTGCTCTGCCAGCTTGAACATGTCTGCCTTGTCTTTTGGCCAGCACACATTATAGATGCAAGATGGTTACCACAGTTCCATGCATCACATCCAGACAAGGTGACATCTAGCAGAAGGTGTTGGTTCTCATTCTTATGCTTTTTAAGAGTTCAGAAACTGGTGGAGTGCAGTGGCTGACGCTGTAATCCCAGCACTTTGGGAGGCTGAGGCAGGAGGATCGCTTGAGGCAAGGAGTTTAAGACCAACATGGGCAGACCAATACAGTAAGACTCCGTCTCTACCAAAAAAAAAAAAAAAATTAGCCAGGCATGGTGGCGTGTGCCAGCTACTCAGGAAGATGAGGTGGGAGGATTACTTGAGCCTGGGAGGTCGAGGCTGAAGTGAGTCATGATCGCGCCACTGCACTCCAGCCTGAGCGTTGGAGTGAGACTCTGTCTCAAAAACAAAAAATTGTTGTATTTGGCAATCATGACTTATTTTTTGTGCATAGGTCTTGCTTCTCAACCTAATTTTAAGCTTGTGAAGGTGAGGGTCAATGCAATGATTATTTTAAAGAATAAATATTTTCTCTTTATATTAGCCTCTTGGTACTTTGCATGTAGATAATAATCAAAGCTTGTAAATGCATGAATAGAATGTAGGAATTGGACAGACAGCGCTTAGTGTATAAACCCATGAGACCTATAAACTTCACATTTTAATTAGAAAAGAAAAAGGAATTTCTGCATTCAGGGAAAAAAGAAGACATGGGCTCCTTGTTTATTATTTACCTCTAGATAAAAAATAAATAAATCCCTTGTTTGAGTAGCAGTAGTTTTAGTAACACAGAGTCCCATTACTTCTAAGACAGATATACTGGATGTCTCATGAAGATTCATAAAGCGTAACTCAGTGTATTTAGGGTAACAACTCAAACCCTAGTAATCAGTCTCTTCTCTGTGTTCAACTATACTTCCCAAAAGGGAGGAAGGATCCACTGGATCAGTTTGCCAACATCCAGTGTAGAAAACCTCTATTGAGTTAAATTTTGTTCTAAGTAAGCTACCTACAGAGTTGTTGGGCATTTTTGCCTTTAATTTTTCTTTTTTCTTTTTTTTTTTTTTTTTAAGAGAATGGGTATTGGTCTGTTGCCCATGCTGGAGGGCAGCAGCATGATCATAGCTTACTATAGCCTGGAACTCTCGGGCTCGAGTGATCCTCCCACCTCAGCCTCTTGAATAGCTAAGATTGTAGGCATGCACCACCACACCTGGCTAATTTTTAAAAAATTTTTGTAGACATGGGATCTCGCCATGTTGCCCAGGCTGATCTCAAACTCCCAGCTTCAAGTGATCCTCCTACCTTGGCTCCCAGTGCTGGGATTATAGGCATGAGCCACCATGCCTGATCACCTTTAATTTTAACAAGTTGTGTTAAAATGTAACAGTTGTGGCATTGTTACCAGATTTTATTTCACTCAACCTGTGACTTACATACTTAAAAAAAAAAAAAAAAAAAAAAACACCATTAAGAAAAGTAGGCCGGGGCCGGGTGTGGTCGCTCATGCCTATAATCCCAGCATTTTGGGAGGCTGAGGTGGGCTGTTCTCGAACTCCTGACCTCGTGATCCAACATGATGAAACTCCATCTCTACTAAAAAAAATACAAAAACTAGCTGGGTGTGGTAGCATGCGCCTGTAATCCCGGCAACTCAGGAGGCTGAAGCAGGAGAATCACTTGAACTTGGTAGGTGGAGGTTGCAGTAAGCCGAGATTGCGTCTTTGTACTCCAGCCTGGGTGACAGAGCAAGACTCTGTCTCAAAAAAAAAAAAAAGTAAAAGGCCGGGCACCGTGGCTCACGTAATCCCAGCACTTTGGGAGGCTGAGGCAGGCAGATCACTTGAGGTCAGAGGTTCAAGATCAGCCTGGCCAACATGGTGAAACCCTGTCTCTAATAAAATACAAAAGTTAGCTGGGCGTGGTGGTGCATGCCCATAATCTCAGCTACTTGTGAGGCTGAGGCAGGAGAATCACTTGAACCTGGGAGGTAGCGGTTGCAGTGAGCTGAGATCATGCCATTGCATTCCAGCCGGGGCCTAGGTGACAGAGTGAGACTCTGTCTCCAAAAAAAAAAAAAAAAAGGGCTGGGCATGGCAGCTCATGCCTGTAATCCCAGCACTCTGGGAGGCCGAGGCAGACAGATCATGAGGTCAGGGGTTCAAGACCAGCCTGGCCAACATGGTGAAACCTCATCTCTACTAAAAATACAAAAATTAACTGGGCATGGTGGCGCGTGCCTGTAATCCCAGCTACTCAGGAGGCTGAGGCAGGAGAATTGCTTGAACCCAGGAGGCGGAGGTTGCAGTGAGCCAAGACTGCACCACTGCACTCTAGCCTGAGCGATGGCGGGAGACTCTGTATCAAAACAAAAAAAAAAAAGTAAAGGTAACAATAGATATGACAGGTCTTAGGCTTCATGGATTTCTTCTACATCCTTTTTTGCATATTGCCTTAAATGCTTTCTGACTAAGGCAGAGGATTATGAATAGAATCATCCAAGGAATGGTGTTAAGTGTGCTCACATCTCTGTCTACCCTAAGAAAGTGTGGTGGACTCTGTGTTGTGTTTAGAAAAACCTACCTATTCCATGGTTAAGGTTGTGGGGTCATTTCCATCAAGCATCATATTTATTTAAAGACTGTGGACTGTTTTCTTAACCCAAGTATCTCCAAACTGAGATTCATAAGCTAATTTTTGTGTTCAAAGAGTTGAATTGAAATTATGGTAACACTTTACAGTGTAACCAAAATATCATAACTGGCTGTTATATATATATTTGATTAGTAACAAATAAAGTATGACCTCAATGCAAATTCTTAGACACAGTTTTTTTTTAATAATAAGAGAGAACATGGTGGGGTAGGGTGGGGTAAGGGGTGTGTGATAACCCTTAATATTGAAAAGTTGGGAGTTACCTGTGTGGCAATAGGTGACCAGATGAATTAGGTAACAGAATAGACACAAATAATCAGCACAAACTTGTAGAACATTAAATGTCAGTCGTGGAAGGGAATCCCGTGAGTTCGTGGCTGAAAAAACTGAGAGCTAGAAAGGTGAAATAACCTGCCCAGCAGTATGGAAGAGTTCCAAATAGAGCCTATCCAGATCTGTTGATTCTCAGCACTGTGACCAGGTTGCAGTTTATGAGCTATCCAGTAAATCAATAATATCATTTTATACAAAATATCATAATTTATTTTCACATGATCTTATTACTTCAGATCACCTTTGAACTATTTATATCCAAATAGCCTATTTGATTTTGTTATTGAAATATAATTCATTTACTATAAAATTTATCATTTTAAAGCATACAAGTCTGCAGTTTTTGGTATATTCACAAGATTGTGCAACCATCACCTATGTCTAATTCCAGAACATTTTCATTGCCCCCAAAAGAAACCTGGAGCCCATCAGCAGTCACTCCCCCCTCCTCCCTACTCCCAGCTCCTGTTAATGACGATTTACTTTCTGTCTCTATTTGCTTATTCTGGCTGTTTCATATAAATAGAGTCATACAACTAGGTAGCCTGTTATGTCTGGCTTCTTTCACTTAGCATAATGCTTTCGGGGTTTTTCCATCTTGTACCACATATCAGTACTACATTCCCTTTTTTTTTTTTTTGGAGATCGAGTCTTGCTCTGTCTCCCAAGCTGGAGTGCAGTGGCAAGATCTCAGCTCACTGCAACCTCTGCCTCCTGAGTTCAAGCAATTCTCCTGCTTCAGCCTCTCAAGTAGTTGGAACCACAGGTGCATGCCACCACTCTCAGCTAAATTTTGTATTTTTGGTAGAGATGGGGTTTCACCATGTTGCCCACGCTGGTCTCGAACTCCTGAACTCTAGCAATTCACCTGCCTTAGCCTCCCGTAGTTCTGGGATTACAGGCCTAAGTCACCATGCCCGGCCATTTCTTCTTTTTGAGACAGGGTCTCACTCTGTTGCCCAGACTGGAGTGTAGTGGAATGATCATGGCTCACTGCAGCCTCAACCTCCCAGGCTCAAGCAATATTCCCACCTTAGCCTCCTGAGTGGCTAGGACTACAAATGTGCACCGCTACACCCAGCTAATTTTTGAAAAACTTTTTGTAGAGACGAGGTCTTGCTATGTTGACCAGGCTGGTTGCAAACTCCTGGGCTCAAGTGATCATCCCACCACAGCCTCCCAAAGTGCTGGGATTACAGGCATGAGCCACTACACCTGACTTCTTCATTCCTTTTTATAGCAGATAATATTCCATTGTATGATTATATATTTTGTTTATCCACTCATCAGTTGATGTATATTTGGATTGCCTTTTGGCTATTATAAATAATGCTTCTGTGAACATTTGTTTACAAGTTTTCGTATGAACATGTTTTTGGTTCTCCTGAGTTTATGCCTGGAACTGGAATTGCTGAGTCATATGTTAACTGTTTAATTTTTTTTTTTAAGGAACTGCCAAACTGTTCTCCAGTGTACCATTTTATATTCCTACCAGTAACATATGAGGCTTCCAATATCTTCACATCCTCACCAACACTTGCTGTGTTCCAATTTTTTATTATAGCCATCCTAGTAGGTGTGAAGTGGTATCTCATTGAGATTTTGATTTGCATTTCACTAATGCTGAATAATGTTAAGCATCTTTTCCTTTACGCATTGGCCATTTGTATATCTTCTTTTTTTTTTTTTTTTTTTTTCTTGAGACAGAGTCTCACTCTGTCGCCCAGGCTGGAGTGCAGTGGCACGATCTCGGCTTACTGCAAGCTCCGCCTCCTGGGTTCACACCATTCTTCTGCCTCAGCCTCCCAAGTAGCTGGGACTACAGGCACCCGCCACCACACCTGGGTAATTTTTTTTTTTTTTTTTTTTTTTTTAGTAGAGACAGGGTTTCACTATGTTAGCCAGGATGGTCTCGATCTCCTGACCTTGTGATCCACCCACCTTGGCCTCCCAAAGTGCTGGGATTACAGGTGTGAGCCACCACGCCTGGCCCATTTGTATATCTTCTTTAGAGAAATGTCTTCATATTCTTTCCGTTTTAATTTTTTAAATTATTTCATTTTGGCCGGGTGCAGTGGCTCATGCCTGTAATCCCAGCACTTTGGGAGGCCGAGGTGGGCGGATCACGAGGTTGGGAGATCGAGACCATCCTGGCTAACAAGGTGAAACCCCGTCTCTACTAAAAATACAAAATATTAGCTGGGCATGGTGACAGGCACCTGTAGTCCCAGCTACTCGGGAGGCTGAGGCAGGAGAATGGCGTGAACCCAGGAGACGGAGCTTGCAGTGAGCTGAGATCGCGCCACTGCACTCCAGCCTGGGCGACAGAGCGAGACTCTGTCTCAAAAAAAAAAAATTATTTTATTTTATTATTTTTTTCAGACAGGGTCTTCTTGCTCTGTTGCCCAGGCCAGAGTGCAGTGGTGCAGTTATAACTCACTGTAGCCTCAACCTTCTGGGTTCATATGATCCTCCTGCCTTAGCCTCCCAAAGTGCTAAGACTATAGGCATGAGTTTTGTTAATTCATTTCTGACCATAGATATGCTGGAGAAACTGAAAGAAAAGGGGGTAGGGAGAAGAAGGAAAGAGGTAGAGAAAAATTTAATTTACAAACTTTGTCTAAGTAAATATATACTACAGGCTGGGTGCAGCAGCTCACACCTGTAATCTCAGCACTTGGGAGTCCAAGGCAGGAGGATCATTTGAGGCCAGGAGTTTGAGACCAGCCTGAGCAACATAGCAAGACCTCTGTCTTCAAAAAAAGTTAAATATATATCACAAGGAAAGGTAAAATCTGCTCTGTGATGAGAGTTTTTAGCCTGGGGTTTTGGGACCCCTAGAGAATCCTTGGATGGATTTCTGGGAATAGGTGGATCCCTTGAAATTGTTTGTAAAATTGTGTGTGTTCCTTTTGGGAGAGAGAGGATTTGTATATTTCAAAAGAATCGGAGAGGGAACATACAGGCTTATGGGAAGGAAAAGGCAGAGGTGTGTTAGCAATTTGTCTTTTTCTGTTGGCTATGTTTTGCATACATTATGTTTGGGTTAAAACTTCCTACCTGGTTTCAAATATTTTTGTTTTAGACTATTTATTCATACCTCTTGGTTTAAGACTAGTTCAGTTAAGATGTTTTCAAAATGTTATATTTATTTATTTATTTTGAGGCAATGTCCCCAGGCTGGAGTGCAGTGGTGCGATCTCAGCTCACTGCAACCTCAGTCTGCTGTGTTCAAGCAACTCTCCTGCCTCAGCCTCCCAAGTAGCTGGGATTATAGGTGACCACCACCAGCTAAATTTTTGTATTATCAGTAGAGACAGGGTTTTGCCACGCTGGCCAAGCTGGTCTTGAACTCCTGACTTCAGGTGTTGGCCTCCCAAAATGCTGGGATTACAGGTGTGAGCCACCATGCCCAGCCTTTTATTTTATATTTTATTTTATTTTATTTTTTGAGACGAAGTCTCACTGTCTCACCCAGGCTGGAGTGCAGTGCTGCGATCTCAGCTCACTGCAAGCTCCGCCTCCCTGGTTCAACCGATTCTCCTGCCTCAGCCTCCCAAATAGCTGGGACTACAGGCATGCACTACCATGCATGGCTAATTTTTATACAAAATGTTAATTTTTGAAGTGTCAAAAAATTTTTGTTAATGAGAAAACAATAACACTCCTTTGTCTTTTTGTAGGCCAAATGTATAAAATAAATTCCCAGCATTTTCTGATGTTATCCACAAATCTAAAATATTTGTGATTTTTATTTTTTTATTTTTTTATTTTTTATAAAATACAAGAGTGTAATAAAGACATATCTGAGTTATTTTCATTTTCTAAATGAGTTTTAAATTCAGGTTCACAATGATCTAGTCAATTTGACATCTCTCATAGTGGATTATATCATAGGTAGCCACAATGTGAACATCTGTACCTATACTTACACCTGATAAATATATCTCAGTTCTAATTTGTGGTGTTACCTTTAGGAGTTTAAGAAAAGGCACATTTGGCCAAGCATGGTGGCTCACGCCTGTAATCCCAGCACTTTGGGAGGCCGAGGTGGGTGGATCACGAGGTCAGGAGATCGAGACCATCCTGGCTAACACGGTGAAAGCCCGTCTCTACTAAAAATACAAAAAATTAGCCGGGCGTGGTAGCGGGCACCTGTAGTCCCAGCTACTTGGGAGGCTGAGGCAGGAGAATGGCGTGAACCTGGGAGGCAGAGCTTGCAGTGAGCTGAGATCGCGCCACTGCCCTCCAGCCTGGGTGACAGAGCGAGACTCCGTCCCAAAAAAAAAAAAAAAAAAGACACATTCATAAGCCCTTTTCTTTTCTTTCTCTTTTTTCTTTTTTTTTTTTGAGATGGAGTTTTGCTCTTACTGCCCAGGCTGGATGCAATCTTGGCTCACCACAACCTCCGCCTCCCTGGGTTCAAGCAATTCTCCTGTCTCAGCCTCTGGAGTAGCTGGGATTACAGGCATGTGTCACCACGCCCAGCTAATTTTGTTTTTTGGTTTTTGTTTGTTTGTTTGTTTGTTTTAGTAGAGACAGGGTTTCTCCATGTTGGTCAGGCTGGTCTCGAACTCCCAATCTCAGGTGATCCACCTGCCTCAGCCTCCCAAAGTGCTGGGATTACAGGTGTCAGCCACTGTGCCCGGCCTCTGATTTTTTTTAATAAAGTTAATAGGCAGGATATCAGTTAATAACGATCAAGATACTGATATAGTTGCTGTTTTAAAAATGGACTACTCCATTTATTAATTGTATTTTGGCCAGGTGTGGTGGCTCACACCTGTAAACACCTGTAAACCTAACGCTTTGGGAGGCCGAGGCGGGTGGATCACCTGAGACCAGGAGTTCAAGACCAGCCTGGGCAACATAGTGAAACCCCATCTCTATTAAAAACACAAAAAACTAGCCAGGCATGCACCTAATTAAAAATTAGTCATGCTAAAAATTAAAATTAAAATTAAACATTAGCTGTGGTGTGCACCTGTAGTCCTAGCTACTCAGGAGGCTGAGACAGGAAAATCACTTTAACCTGGTAGGTAGAGATTGCAGTGAGCTGAGATCATGCCACTGCACTCCAGCCTGGGTGGCAGAGTGAGACTCCATCTCAAAATAATAATATAGCCCACGTTTTTGCAAAAATAAAAATAATTGCATTCCATATAGTGACCTTTGGTTAAGGCTAGACTGAGACCTTCCAAGGTTATATATCTTGTAAATATGTTCTTCTGGTTGGTTTTAAGGGCACTGAATTTTATTTGAGCCAGTACTTTGTCTGATTCTGACAGAAAAGATGGCAACAGTACACACAAAACTTACCTTCTTTTTAAAAATTGCTTCAAGTTATATTCTCCTATCTGTAGATGACATTTGTGAATGGAATTGAATAATGGGAAAATATTCTGAATATACATTGTGATCATGTCGGTCCTGTGGTATAGCTTAATTAGTATTTGATTTCTTCTTTGGCCCTGGGCGTGGTGCTTATTGGTGAAAGTTAAGATTGCTTCAGCTGACTTGTGTAATGACTAATGCACATTAGTTTGTATTATCTTATATGGAAATGTAGAAACTGTTGATGCTTGAAGGTAATTAGGTAGTACCTAGGAAGAGTGCGTCTCTCCTTTGTCCTCTTTTACTAGTTGCACTTGCATATTGTTGAGGAAACACAATGGCAGTCTCATTTAAATGCGTGTGTAAAAAACTACAATGAAATTTTATTTTTATAAAAGCTTTGTCTAAAACTGAAGGTGACAAGCATTTCTCAATTCCACTTCTTACAGAGAGTGGATTAGATGGACTGCTTAAAAATTGTTTGACATATTACATTTTTATTAGATGAGACTGTAGTTCTGTTTCTTGACCATATAAAATGTATGCATCTGAGAACAGCTTGTAATGCTTATCCAAAATAAGGCCCAGTGATATATGACATTTGATGTTTTTGTTTGTTGTGAAGATGACTGTTACAAGTTGATGTTGGTAGCTTTTCTATTTACAGGTCGATATTGTGAGCACCTTTGGAAATGAAGGACATTTATAAATATGCGTTGATACTGTAATAACAAAACCCTTTTCAATGTAAATTTTGTTTCTATAACTTCTACTTTACATACAAAATTCAAAGTTGACAAATTTATTTAGGTTTTACCCATTTGAAAGCTTACCATTTTGTTGCAAGAAGATGAACTAAAAATATACTTTAAATTTTGAGTCTTTAGTTTGTTAAAAGTGGTTACTGTGAAACCCAGACTACAGGTGGATCAGTTTGAAAACTGAAATGTATCCATATGAATTAACCTAACATTCTGGACATTCTGAAGGAAGGTATGAGTTTCACCAGCTAAGGATAAAATTTACACCCTCAAACATGAGTCTGGAATTCTGTTATTTGCTTTGTATTGTAAAGGTATTTTGTTGTTCAAAAACCTAAGTACATCTTTTGAGACTGTTGTTTACCATTAACTCAGTAGGAGACAGTGTGGTAAACTTGGACTAGGAGTTAGAAAAGCAGAATTCAAACACTTGTTCCATCACTTACCAGCAATGACAACGGGAAAGTTGAGCCTCAGCTGTAAAATGGGAGCAGCATTTGTATTAGTCTGTTTGCATTGCTATAAAGGAATACCTGAGGCTGGGTAATTTGTAAAGAAAAGAGGTTTATTTGGGCTTGTGGTTCTGCAGGCTGTACAAGCCTGGCACCAACATCTGCTTGGCTTCTGTTAAGGGCCTCAGAAAGTGTACAATCATGGCAGAATGCAAAGGGGGAAGCAGGTGTATCACATGGTGAAAGAGCAAGCAAGAGATAGAGATTGGGGAAGTGCCACAGTCTTAACCAGATCTCATGTAAACTCAGAGCAAGAAATAACTCATTCCTTCGAGGACAGCACTGGGCCATTCATGAGGGATCTGCCCCCATGACCCAAACACCTCCCACCAGGCCTCACCTCCAACATTGAGGATTACATTTCAACATGAAATTTGGAGAGGACAAAACATCCAAACCATATCAGCATTCCAAGTTATTGTAGGGTAATCATGCATAAGTAGGTAAAAAAACCCACATGGTTTCATTCCTGTCATTTTCCTGTGGTGTTTTTTGTGTGCAACATTCTTACCTTCCCACTTCTCCATCTGACTTCTGCTTGTCCTTCAAGACCAGCCCCAGCTTTATCTCATCTCTGAAACTTCCCGTGGCCTGTTCACCACCTCCCTTCACATACTGCCACTGTATGTTATGTGTATAGGTGAGTGTATTTAGCAAATACTTATAATAGTGCTTACTATTGCTAAGTATTTTCATAAGCATTTATACCAGTAATCCATGAGGTAGAACTACGACTATCTCCATTGTACATATACAGAAAATGAGACATAAAGAAGTAACTTACCCAAGGTCATGACTCACCTATGAGGTTTTAGAGCCAGATTTTTAATGCAGGCAGTCTGGTTTCAGAGTTTGTGCTCTTAACTGCTATACTGTGTTTTTACTTTTTAAAAAATTACAGGTGTGATGGCTCATGCCTGTAATTCCAACTCTTTGGGAGGCCGAGGCAGGCAGATTACATGAGGCCAGGACTTCGAGACCAGCCTGGACAACATGGTGAAACCCTATCTCTACTAAAAAAAAAAAAAAAAAATATATATATATATATATATATATATATATATATATATATATATATATATTTATTTATTTAAAAGTAGACACGAGGTCTCATTATGTTGCTCAGGTTACTCTTGAACTCCCTTGCTTCAAGCGATCCTCCTGCCTCAGCCTCCCAAAGTGCTGAGATTACAGGCATGAGCCACTGTGCCTGGTCTGCTATGCTATATTTTTCATGTCTGTCTCCCCAGGTAGATCTTTGAGCACCTTGATGGTTCCAACTCCTACAATACCTAACACATAGTAGGCACTTCATAAATGTTTAACAATTATATGATAAATATGCCTTAGGTAGGCCAGGCGCAGTGGCTCACGCTTGTAATGCCAGCACTTTGGGAGGCTGAGACAGCGGCTCACGAGGTCAGGAGTTCGAGACCAGCCTGGCAAACACAGTGAAAGCCCGTCTCTACTAAAAATACAAAAATTAGCTGGGTGTGGTGACAGGCGCCTGTAATCCCAGCTACTAGGGAGGCTGAGGCAGGAGAATCGCTTGAACCCAGGAGGCAGAGGTTGCAGTGAGCTGAGATTGTGCCACTGCACTCCAACCTGGGCAACAGAGCTAGACTCCGTCTCGTGAAAAAATAAAAAAAATTATCTATATATGTGCTTTATGTAAACTGTAAAGCATCATATAAATGCAAATTATAACCACTACCAAATGCATTTTTTGTAAATCAGAGTAGAATTTACCAAGCGTTTCAGTTTTTTAGTACAGTTTCTTGGCCCCAACTTTTCAGACTAGGAGTTTACTAAGGTATAGATTGGTAAAATTTATGGACTGACAATATCAAATCATGGCATCAGGCTCAAAGTCTAGGACCTCAGTGATGCAACAGTGTGATGCTTGGTGGCATCACCAAGAGAAGGTGATGCGTAGCAGTCTCTACATTGGGTCCAGACGTTGCTCTTCTTGATCCAGAGATCCATGAAAGAAATTGACAAGTGATCTGCTGCCCCCAATACAGTATACATTACAATAGTGAATAGTGAAAAGATAATAAAAATAAGTACTCCTGTTTGAAAGGAGTATGAATAGGAGACATAGAGCAGTTGATGAGCTGCAACAAATTCTGAAATCCCTCTGTGCTGTCATTGAGAAGGCCCTCTCCAGGGGTGGGGAATATTCTTGGACAGGCCTTGATTTTGCCCCTGAGGAGTAGTTCACATGTCGGTTTTTTCTTTGGTCCCTAGGTTCATCTTCATGGACCACCTTTTTCTTTTTTGTTTCTATTACCTTTCTTGGCCATGTCCAAAATATACAATGGGGGATATACCCCCTTAGGAGGATGAATACCTTTCCTAGCCTACTTTCTGTCATTGACACTTGAGAACCCAAAGATCACTTTGGTCTTGAACAGTGACAGTCTCTCTTAGCCCAAGCTGGTTGTTCTTTTGGCAGTATAACTTTCAAAACTGAGTTGGCTTTTTGCTTGTCTCCTGTCAGCTCCAGGTTCTCTAGCCACATCCACAGTTCTTTTCTTACCATACTTCTTTTTTTTTTTTTTTTTTTTTAGAGATGGGGTCTTGCTATGTTGCCCAGGCTGGTCTCCTGGGCTCAAGCAATTCTCCCACCTTGGCCTCCCACAGTACTGAGATTACAGGCATGAGCCACTGTACCTGGCCCATACTTATGTTTGCTACATAGCTCTGCTTTATTGGTCCCATACTTCTTCCTTGACTTAATTTTGAGTACAGATGTTTCTGCTATACTGCCATATATGCTTTTCCGAAAAGCCCCCATTCTGCAAAATCGTGCACTAAAGTAAACAGGACTTATGGGAAAAATAGAGTTGAGGCAAACCACTCTAAATCTGTGGAACACCATAGTCTTTGCACTAATAAAAACAAAAATAAATGTTTCAACTCTGCTAGAATTTGTCTAGCAGGTTTTCTGGTCTTTGTGGAAAAACCCCCAAAAGTAAAAAAATTAAAGAAAATAAAATTAACCATAATAAAAACAGTAGCATGCAGTGGCACAGTCTTGGCTCACTACAGCCTCCGCCTCCTGGTTCAAGCAATTGTCGTGCCTCAACCTTCCAAGTAGCTGGGACCACGGGCATGCAGCACCATGCCTGGGTAATTTGTATTTTTTTTTTTTTGTAGAGACGAGATCTCACCATGTTGCCCAGGCTGAAGGCCTACCTTGTTTTATTGCACTTTGCTAACAAATTGAAGGTTTGTTGTAACCATCCATGGAGCAAGTCTACCAGTATCATTTTTCCAGCATGTGCTCACTTTGTGTCTCTGTGTCACATTTTGGTAATTCTCCCAATATTTCAAACACTGATATCTGTTAACAGTGATCTGTGATAAATGATCTTTGATGTTACTGTTATAATTGTTTTGGGGTGCTAGAAACCATACTCATATAAGATGGCAAACTTAATTGATAAATGTTATATGCGTTCATACTGTTCCACAGACCAGCTGTTACACCATCTCTCTCCCTCTCCTCAAGCCTTCCTATTCCCTGAGATACAACAATATTGAAATTAGGCCAATTAATAACTCTACAGTGGCCTCTCAGTGGTCAAGTGAAGGGAAGAGTCACCCCTCTCTAATTTTAAATCAAAAGCTAGAAATCATTAAGCTTAGTGAGCAAGGCCTGTCAAAAGCCAAGACAGGCCAAAACGTAGGCCTCTTGTGCCAGACTATCAAGTCGTGAATGCAAAGGAAAAGTTTTTGAAGGAAATTTAAAAGTGCTACCCCAGTGGGCCGGGTGCAGTGGCTCACACCTGTAATCCCAGCACTTTGGGAGGCCAAGGTGGGCGGACCACCTGAGGTCAGGAGTTCGAGACCAGCCTGGCCAACATGGTAAAACCTAGTCTCTATTAAAAATACAAAAATTAGCCGGGCGTGGTGGTGCATGTCTGTAATCCCAGCTACTCGGTAGGCTGAGGCAGGAGAAATGCTTGAACCCAGGAGGTGGAGGTTGCAGTGAGCTGAGGTCGCACCACTGCACTCCAGCTTGGGTGACAAGAGTGAAACTCCATCTCAAAAAAAAAAAAAAAAAAAAAAAGTGCTACCCCAGTGAACACATGAATGATAAGAAAGTGAAACAGCTGGCTGGGTGTGGTGGCTCATGCCTGTAATCCCAGCACTTTGGGAGTCCAAAGTGGGCAGATCACCTGAGGTCAGGAGTTCGAGACCAGCCTGGCCAACATAGTGAAACATCATCTGTACTAAAAATACACAATTAGCAAGATGTGATGGTACACACCTGTAATCCCAGCTACTTGGGAGGCTGAGGCAGGAGAATCGCTTGAACCCAGGAGGTGGAGGTTGCAGTGAGCTGAGATCACGCCACTGCACTCCAGCCTGGGTGACAGGTGAGACTCCGTCTCAAAAAAAAAATAAAATAAAAAAGGCGAAACAGCCTTATTGCTGAGATGGAGAAGGTTTAGTGGTCTGGATGGAAGATCAAGCCAAACACAACATTCCTTTAGGCCAAAGCTAGAACAAGGTCCTAACTCTGTTCACTTCTTTGAAGGCCGAGAAGTGAGGAAGCTACAGAAGAAAAGTTGGAAGCCAGCAGAGAGGTTGGTTCATGAGGTTTAAGGAAAGAAGCTATCTCCATAACGTAAAAGTGCACGGTGAAGCAGCAAGTGCTGATGTAGAAGCTCCAGCAAGTTATCCAGATCTAGCTAAGATCATTTTCTGGTGTAGACAAAATGCCTTATATCGAAAGAAGATGCCATCTAGGACTGTCATTGACAGAAGTGAATGCCTGGCTTCAAAAGATAGGCTGACTCTCTTGCTAGGGGCTAATGTAGCTGGTGACTCGAAGGTGAAGCCACCTTGTTCACTTACTATTCCAAAAATCCAGAGGCCCTTAAGAGTGATGCTAAATCTACTCAGCCTATGTGCTAGAAATGAAACAACAAAGCCTGAATAACAGCACATCTGTTTATAGCGTGGTTTACTGAATATTTTAAGCCCACTGTTATAACCTACTGCTCAGAAAAAAAGATTCCTTTCAAAATGTTACTGCTCATTGACAGTGCACCTAGTTACCCAAGAGCTCTGATGGAGATGTACAAGGGGATGAATGTTGTTTTCATGCATGATAATTTAACATTCATTCTGTGGCCCATGGATCAATGAGTAATTTTTACCTCCTAGTCTTATTATTTAAGAAATTGATTTTGTACTATAGCTGCCATAGATAGTGATTCCTCTGATGGGTCTGGGCAAAGTAATTTGAAAATCTTCTAGAAAGGATTCACCACTCTAGATGCCATTAAGAACATTTGTGATTCATAGGAAGAGGTCAAAATATCAACATAAACAGGAGTTTAGAGGAGTTGATTCCAAGCCTCATGGATGACTTTGAGGGTTTCAACACTTCAGTGGAGGAAGTCACTGCAGATGTGGTGGAAATAGCAACAGAACTAGAATTAGAAGTGGAGCCTGAAGGTGACTGAGTTGCTGCCATCTCTTGATAAAACCCAAACAGATGGAATCTACTTCTTGAGATGGAATCTACTCCTGGTGGAGATGTTGTGAACATTATTGGAATGACAAAGGATTTAGAATATTCATTCCATAAACTTAGTTGATAAAGCAGTGGCTGGGTTTGAGAGGATTGACTCCAATTTTGAAAGAAGTTCTACTGTGGGTAAAGTGTTATCAAACAGCATCACATCCTACAGAGAAATCTTTTATGAAAGGAAGAATAAGTTAATGCAGCAAATTTCATTGTTGTCTTATTTTAAGAAATTGCCACAGCCACCCCAGCCTTCAGCAACCACCACCCTGATCATGCAGAAGCCATCAACATTGAAGCAAGACCCCCCATCGGCAAAATGATTGATTCACTGAAGGATCAGATAATCGCTAACATTTTTAACATTTATTTATTTATTTATTGAGACGGAGTCTTGCTCTGTCACCCAGGCTGGAGTGCAGTGGCACGATCTTGGCTCACTGCCAACTCCGCCTCCCAGGTTCACGCCATTCTCCTGCCTCAGCCTCCCGAGTAGCTCGGACTACAGGTGCCTGCCTCCACACCCAGCTAATTTTTTGTATTTTTAGTAGAGACGGGGTTTCACCATGTTAGCCAGGATGGTCTTGATCTCCTGACCTCGTGATCTGCCTGCCTCAGCCTCCCAAAGTGCTGGGATTTTAAGATATAAAGTTATTGCATACTTAATAGACTATAGTGTAATGTAAACATAACTTATATGCACAATGAAACCAAAAAATTTGTGTGACTTGCTTTATTGAGGTATTTGCTTTATTGCAGTGGTCTGGAGCCGAACCGGCAATATCTCTGAGGTGTGACTGTTCTCTCAGCTTCATCAAATATAAAGTGGAAAGAGTTTTGTTCATGAAGCCACTGAATGAACCATTGCTTGCCTTAAAGGAAGGTATAGAAGTAGAGTGTTTAGCTTTTTTCTTGAGGTCTTCGTGTATTGCTAAGGCTTGCTTTCTTTGTAATTTTGAGAAAGCTTGCTCCTGATCACTTCAGACATTAAACTTGGGAAAATCTTGTATAAACTAACATTATTTCTGAGTTATTCTGCTATCATTTCCCTATTTACTAATAGCATTTGAATTAATTCACATTAGAGAAATATGCATTGTAGCAGAACTCATCTTTAGTCTCTTTAGAAAAGCTATTTTATTGAGTACCATCTTAATCAGTGATTGTGAAAGCCAAATATTTGATTTGAACCTTGCCTCAAGACTGAATTATATTCAGGCTTTGTAAATCAAAGACTTCAGTTTTACATTAAGCACTTGCCTGTTCTTACTCTGCAAATCCCTGACTTTCTGGATTTCTTTTATTCTTGATTATAAACTGATCATTATTTTCTGAATTCATCCTTTTCATGTAATAATTTGTTAAATATAACTAACAGTGTTACAATACAACACACTTGTAATAGTCCATTTTCCCACTAGAGCTGCTAGCTCTTATGGTATAATATCTACCTTCTGCGATAGCTGATAGTTTCACTGATCATTTGATCACTGCATAATATAAGTTGCTAATCTTTTAGCCTCCAATAACTTTCCTTGCCTCCTTCCACCCAGCTCCTAAGGCTTCATCATATATTTTAGGCTTTTTGGTAAGGCAGCACCCCACTTCTGGTTTCTACTCGTAGCAGCTTGGATAAGCCAAATTATGCTGTGGTAATAAACAATGCAAGGTCTCAGTGGCTTTGAAAACACACTGTGTGGCTGGGCACGGTGGCTCACGCCTGTAATTCCAGCACTTTGGGAGGTCAAGGCGGGTGGATCACCTGTGGTCAGGAGACCAGCCTGACCAACATGGTGAAACCCTGCCTCTCCTAAAAATACAAAAAAAAAAAAAAAAAAAAAAAAAGCGTGGTGGTGGGCGCCGGTAGTCCCAGCCATTCAGGAGTCTGAGACAGGAGAATCACTTGAACCCGGGAGGCAGAGGTTGCAGTGAGCCAAGATCATGCCACAGCACTCCAGCCTGGGTGACAGAGTGAGATTCTGTCTCAAAACAAAACAAAACAAAAAACACCAAGAAAATACATATGTCTATCCAGTAGGTCATCTTAGGGGACCAAGCTGAGAGCAACCATCACCTGGAAGATTGCTAGCCACTGTGCCAGAAGGAAAAGAGGTCTTAAGGATTTTATATTGGTTAGTAAATGCCCTGCCTCTCTCTGTCACTTCTCATAATATGCTGACCAGAAGTAGTCACAGGGCCCCATCTAACTACAGGGAATAGAAGTTGTGGGCGTGGTTTTAAAAGTGTAGCCTAGGCTGGGTGCAGTGGCTCACGCCTGTAATCCCAGCACTTTGGGAGGCTGAGGCAGGAGAATTGCTTGAACCCAAGAGGCGTGGTTGCAGTGAGACGAGATCGCACCACTGCACTCCAGTGTGGGTGACAGCGAGACTCCGTCTCCAAAAAAAAATAGCCTACCATGTGCCCAGAAAGCCGAGAGCCAGAAATATTTGGAAAATGAATTAATGATTACTCTTTATTCTTTTCTTTGACTTTCTGATTTTTGTTTAACTCCTAGCTTTTGCTAGTTAATTGAATTTTACCATCATTCCTCCCTTACTTAATTTGAGATAATATGAGTTTATTTAAATGATACTCATAGTAGTTCACATTGTTTCCATGGGTTAGAAGTTTTGGCACAAGTAGAATAAGGTTGCTAGGATTTTCCTACTTAAAATATGAGGCATGAAACTGGTACAAAAAGATAAGCAGTTAAAAGAATAATTGAGTTTAAATTATTTCAAGGTGTCATTTGTCATAGTAGAAATAGACAATGAGCTTTGGAGTCAGGCAGGCCTGGAGTCAAATACTACCTCTGTCGTTTGAGCGACTTGTGATCTTAGACAAATTATGTTGCCTCTCTGAGCCGTAATTTTACCATTTATAAATACAAGAAAGTAGGAATATATCTATTCAAATGTCAAGTAAAACATGGTAGCATTTATTACCACTCCTTCCTGAAATTCCATGAAAGCAAAAGTAATTTTTTTGAAAAAGAATAAACTCACAAGGAAAAAGGAAATGGAAGAGAAAATGGAAGAGAAGACAAAGGATTAGCATAGGAGTGATAGAAATAATTGTGAACTACTCATAGTAATAATAAATACTGATTTTTTTCAAAGTTGTGATATAACTATTGGGAGCATGAGGGAAGAGTTGGGAACAATAAGGTAAGAAAACTATAGAGAAAGACAAGGTAATATCTGAAATTGAAATAAAAAGTCCAGAAACAGAAACATAATCAAATTATGTAGAAATATAGAATTAAATGGAGAGGGGGGCAGCTAAAACAGCATTATTGCCTCCAGGAAATGGGACTGAGATAAATTGGAGTACGGCCAATACATTTGAATTGTAAGACTATGAATTTTTAAAATGATTATTTTGATAAAAAATTTAAAAATCAGTCCCACCAGCCTGGGTAACATAGGGAGACCCCATCTCTAAAAATTTTTTTGAAAATTAGCCAGGTGTGGTGGTGCATGCCTCTGGTCCTAGCTGTTCAGGAGGCTGAGGTGGGAGGATCACTTGAGACCAGAAGGTTGAGGCTGCAGTGAGCCATGATTGCACCACTGCATTCCAGCCTAGGCAATGGAGTGAGACCCTGTCTTTTTTTTTTTTTTTTTTTTTTTTTTGAGACAGAGTCTAGCTAGCTCTGTCGCCAGGCTGGAGTGCAGTGGCGCGATCTCAGCTCATTACAATCTCCGCCTCCTGGGTTCAAGCGATTCTCCTGCCTCCGTCTCCTGAGTAGCTGGAATTACAGGCATGAGCCGCTATGCTCAGCTAATTTTTGTATTTTCAGTAGAGATGGGGTTTCACCACGTTGGCCAGGATGGTCTCGATCTCCTGACCTCGTGATCCGACTACGTTGGCCTCCCAAAGTGCTGGGATTACAGGCGTGAGCCACTGCGCCTGGCCCGACACTGTCTTAAAAAAAAAAAAATTCAACCCCACAGTTTTGTGGTGGGTATTAAACATAAATAATGAACAATAAAAACTATTATAGTGCCTATGTCCATAGCAGGCATTTAATAAATACTCATTTCCTTCCTTTTGTCAACTAGACAGGGTATGTGTTTACGGTAATATTCATATGACTCAAGAGGATAGGTGGGTTGGCTAAACAGCAATGTGAGGTATGTCACAAAGCAAATTATATGCCCTTCTAAGCTTTTTAAAAATTAATATTGGATGGTTTTATTTTTCTTGGAACCATATCAACCTCATGGTTATGGTTTCTTAGAATTTAGACTCCTGTGCAACTGACATATAAAAAATCACCGACTTACTGAGTGAATGTAGTGAGCTATGCACAGAACAAATGTTAAAATATTTGGCAACTTTGAAATTACTCCAATAAACCTGAAAACAATTATATTTAAACCTAGATTATAAATGATTTAAGGCCAAGGACATTTTTCTTCTCTTCTATAGTTATGTCAATTAGCTGTTTTATTTCCGGGGACCACAATGCCTGCCCCACTACCCCCTTTGTTCTGCGAGCTCTCACTGTGATGGACATGGTGATTGATGTTGAAAGAAAGTCAGCCAATATAAAGCTCTTGCGTGTTTCATGCCCAACACGTTGTAAACTAGACTGTAAAGATCTTGTGGATAGAGACCGTATATTTTGCCATATCAGCATATTGCGTAGTATCTAGGAAAATGAATGCTGTGCAATATTATTTTATTCATCAAATATATACTGTATGCTAGACACTGTGCTAAGCTCTGAGGATATCTCAGTGAACTGGACAGATGTGGCTTTTGCTGTTGTAAAATTTATAGTCTAACAGAAAATGTTTATGAATTCCTGTAATCCAGTAAAATAATGGCTCATACTGAAACATTTAAGCAGTTAAAAGCATTGTATATGTAAAGAGTTTAATAATTTTGGCCAGGCGTGGTGGCTCATGCTTGTAATCCCAGCACTTTGGGAGCCCCAGACAGGTGGATCACAAGGTCAATAGTTCAAGACCAGCCTGGCCAAGATGGCAAAACCCCGTCTCTACTAAAAATACAAAAATTAGCCAGGTGTGGTGGCGGGCGCCTGTAATCCCAGCTACTCGGGAGGCTTAGGCAGGGGAATCACTTGAACCCAGGCAGCAGAGGTTGCAGTGAGCCAAGATTGCGTACTGCACTCCAGCCTGGGTGACAGAGTGAGACTCCATCTCAAAATAATAATAATTATTATTATTTAAGCCCTGTTTCTTGTGATTTAAATGCATGCTCTAAAAAGGAAATAGTGGTATTACCTGATTTTTTTCCTCTTTGCTTTTCTTTGTAGATAAGATGCTCCCAAGTCCCTTGCAGCTCTCTTCAGAAGAAAAATCACTAGTGCTCTGCTCTTGCCATAATACCAAACCTTTTTGACTCATGCTTTGGTGCTGCAACACTGGAAGAATTGCACACAGTTTCCAGGAATATCTTTTTTTCATTTGAGTGATTCTTTGTGGATGAGAAAAGATTTGAGTCTTAATAATTACCTTGTTTTAAAGCTATTTCTTTATAGTCTGAACTGTTTAATAAATTGGGCCACTTACCAATGAGCCACACAGCCAGTTCTTGTCAGGAGCTGGTTGAAAACTGTGCTGTGCATGTAGCAGGAATGGCACAAGAAGATAGCCGTCGTGGTCAAGTGCCATCTTCCTTTTATCATGGTGCCAACCAAGAACTTGACCTGTCCACCAAAGTGTACAAAAGGGAATCAGGAAGTCCTTATTCTGTGTTAGTGGACACCAAGATGAGCAAACCGCATCTCCATGAAACAGAAGAACAGCCATATTTCAGGGAGACAAGAGCAGTGTCTGACGTGCATGCTGTTAAGGAAGACCGGGAGAATTCTGATGACACAGAGGAGGAAGAGGAAGAAGTCTCTTACAAAAGGGAGCAGATCATAGTGGAGGTAAACCTTAATAATCAAACATTAAATGTATCTAAAGGGGAAAAGGGTGTCTCTTCTCAGTCCAAAGAGACTCCTGTTCTTAAGACAAGCAGTGAGGAGGAAGAGGAAGAGAGTGAGGAAGAGGCCACAGATGACAGCAATGACTATGGAGAGAATGAAAAGCAGAAGAAAAAGGAGAAGATAGTAGAGAAAGTCAGCGTTACACAAAGGAGAACCAGGAGAGCTGCCTCTGTTGCCGCAGCTACCACTTCCCCTACTCCCAGAACTACAAGAGGTCGTAGGAAGAGTGTAGAGCCACCTAAGCGTAAGAAGCGGGCCACAAAGGAGCCCAAAGCACCAGTCCAGAAAGCTAAGTGTGAAGAGAAAGAGACTCTGACCTGTGAGAAGTGCCCCAGGGTATTTAACACTCGCTGGTACCTGGAGAAGCACATGAACGTTACTCATAGGCGCATGCAGATTTGTGATAAATGTGGCAAGAAGTTTGTCCTGGAAAGTGAGCTGTCCCTTCACCAGCAAACAGACTGTGAAAAAAACATTCAGGTAGGTTTCATCACCGAGAGGGAAAACTTTTCAGGATAGAACCTGGCTGTTCAGATTCATCTGGTATCCGCCCAAGAGAATAAATGCAATAGAGGCTGAAGGGACAGTTTTCACCAATTTATCATTTGAAAAGCTCCTGCTTTGGTCTTTTCTAAACCAAGGCTTTTATTTCAAAAGCATTAAATTTGACGCTGGACTAGTGGGAACCCAGGCACACTGGAAGGGGGATCTGTTATAGTTGATTGACCAGGAGGTTAAAATCAACACCAACTTTGCACTGAGATTCACTGTTGTAGGACGTGTAATAGAATTCATTCTGGCATCTTCTCTGTGGAGGTAGGAGTTACTGATTAAAGGTTAGGAGTAGAGAAAGGTCCCTTTCTGGGTTTACAAGGATGCCAGATTCTAGTACAGCTGATGGGGACAAAAACCATAATGACTCAGACCGGTGGAAATGGAAGATCTTCAGCAGTGAGTTTGCTTTTACCATTGGAGAGATGACAACACTAAATTTGCCAAGAGGCTGAGCCCATGGGAATATGCAAACTTTAAGCAGAGGCTGAGCTGGTCGAAAATGTTGCCCACCTGGCAGTAGGGTTACATAATGCCACTGTACAGTATTGTTAAGGTAACAAAATAACGGTATTCAAACCAGGCTGTTGTCGTGAAAGGACTATATTGTGATAGGTTAAAGAGGTATGCTAATTATATTATGTCAAGTGGATTGCAGTTATATTGGTTTGCACGTGTGAATGCATATTAATGAATATTCGTAAGAGGTAAGTCTATTCATGTCTCCATAAGATATGTAACAGAAATATTTTGTACCATATTTAAGCTAAACTTATAAAGGATAAATTGTGTTGGTTTGGTTTGTTTTTTGGTGTGCTTCTAATATTGGTAGTCACTTTTTAAGTTTCACTTTTCTTCTGTTGCTTTTAATCAACATCTGAGATCATTGCTCTACTTTAAAGAGTTTTAAAAAATGGAAATTGCATTTGCTAAAAATTCACCGCTTTTGATTCACCAATTGTGACTTGATCTCCAACACGCTGGGTAAATAAAAGAAGACTGAGTCATGGAGCCCATATCCTCCGGTAACTGCCAGTGCCCTGGCTTGGGTATGAATTGTTTGCAGCACTTCAGGCCAAAGGGAGTGTGGTGCACTGCTGCACTCTAGGGGTCAAACTTGGATTCTGTAATGATCCATTACTGAAAGCGTTCTTGATCTTTATATATAGGTTTTGTGGGTTTTTTTTTTTTTTTAACTTAAGTCTGTTTAAGTTACAGAAAACATTTAATAAATACTTTTTGTGTGTGACTTTCCTCACGATTCTTCATCATACTACTTTTAAATTTGTGTTTAAGTTTTGTGGATTCTGCTAAATGAACTTTATTCACATTCATAAAGAACACTGTACTTTGTTCTTATGTATAGCTCCTAATAATCCTGATGACTTGGTAACAAGTAAAAACTAAAACCCAGACCGGGCGCAGTGGCTCACACCTGTAATCCTAGCACTTTGGGAGGCCAAGGCAGGTGGATCACGTGAGGTCAGGAGTTCGAGACCAGCCTGACGAACATGGAGAAACCCCATCTCTATTAAAAATACAAAATTAGCCAGGTGTGGTGGCACATGCCTGTAATCCCAGCTACTCAGGAGGCTGAGGCAGGAGAATCGCTTGAACCTGGGAGGCGGAGGTTGCAGTGAGCCGAGATTGTGCCATTGCACTCCAGCCTGGGCAAGAAGAGTGAAGCTCCGTCTCAAAAAAAAAAAAAAAACAAACTAAAACCCTCCCCTAAGGCCGGGTGCAGTGGCTCACACCTGTAATCTCAGCACTTTGGGAGGGTTGCCTGAGCCCAGGAGATTGATCCTGCAGTAAGCCATGATAGCACCACTGCATTCCAGCTTGAGCAACAGAGTGAGACTGTCTAAAAACAAAACAAAAAACCTGCCCTACAAAATGGCTGATAGTAGTAGTCTGTCCTTTTCTAGAGCATTTTCCAACCAGAGGTTTATCTTTTAACTCTTCTCAGAGTTCTTGTTACCTGAAGTGACAATGATGTTTAGAGATCTTTATTTATAGTGAATATTAACATGTTCCCTTAAGTATCCAAGGGTCTAATGATTACCAAGAGCTTTCTAGTATTGTTTTGCTTTAACCAGAAATACTCTGATACACATTATGCCTAATATTCCAGGCTATTAATGATTCATGATACAAGGAACTAGGCAGTGTGGTGTGTTTTCTACAGATTCTTACAAGAGAGCTCTGGAACTGATCTGTAAGGGAAAAGGTATAGGCTTTAGTTAATTAAAGTTTAGACTAAAAAAATTTTCTTTAATTTTTTAAAGAAACAGTAAGGCTGGGTGCAGTAGCTCACACCTGTAATCCCAGCACTTTGGGAGGCTGAGGCGGGCAGATCACAAGGTCAGGAGTTCAAGACCAGCCTGGCCAACATAGTGAAACCTCATCTCTGCTAAAAATACAAAAATTAGCCAGGCATGGTGGCACGCACCTGTAGTCCCAGCTACTTGGGAGGCTGAGGCAGGAGAATTGCTTGAACCCAGGCGGTGGAGGTTGTGGTGAGCCGAGATCACACCACTGCACTCCAGCCTGGGCGACAGAGTGAGACTCCATCTCAAAAAAAATAATAATGATTTTAAAAAGGAGAGAGAGTAATACTAAGAGTTCAGAGGGTATATTCTGCCCGAGGGACGTGTTTGAAAGTATAAATTAGATTTGAGGAAATATAACATTTCAATTATTCGTATTAATAAATGCTCCAAATGCATTTTCTTTTCTTTTCTTTTTTTTTTTTTTTTTTTTTTTTTTTTTTTTTTTTTTTTGAGATGGAGTTTCGCTCTTTGTTGCCCAGGCTGGAGTGCAATGGCACGATCTCGGCTCACTGCAACCTCCACCTCCCGGTTCAAGAGATTCTCCTGCCTCAGCCTCCTGAGTAGCTGGGATTACAGGCATGCGCCACCACGCCCGGCTAATTTTTTTATTTTTAGTAGAGATGGGGTTTCTCCATGTTGGTCAGGCTGGTCTCGAACTCCTGACCTCAGGTGATCCTCCTGTCTTGGCCTCCCGAAATGCTGGGATTATAGGCGTGAGCCACTGCACCTGGCTCCAAATGCATTTTCTAAGGCATAAAAACATTTTTATATTTCTACATACCTATAATACCTATACCACTAATATGTATTTTGTTTAATCTTGTTTTTATTACACTAATTTAAAATTAGTTTATATTCTCTGGTAAAACCTTACTAACTGATGTGGAGGAGGCAGCCACACTTGCTTAATACATATATTTTTAAAACTCGAATGTCTTGCAACTTCTGTTTAAAAATTAAAAAACTTGGCTGGGCTTGGTGACTCATGCCTGTAATCGCAGTACTTTGGGAGGCTGAGGCGGGTGGATCACGAGGCCAGAAGATCGAGATCACCCTGGCCAACACGGTGAAACCCTGTCTCTACTAAAAATACAAAAAAAATTAGCCGGGAATGGTGACGCCCACCTGTAATCCCAGCTACTTGGGAGGCTGAGGCAGGAGAATCGCTTGAACCCGGGAGGTGGAGGTTGCAGTGAGCCTAGATCGCGCCACTGCACTCCGGCCTGGGCGACAGAGCAAGGCTCTGTCTCAAATAAATAAACAAACTTGAAGTTTCTTTTCATAGGTACAATACTAACTTCATAATAGCAGTGAATTCTTTGATGTTAGTGGAACTTTCCACTTTTTGTCTTAGTTTTTGCCATTGTTTTCATACTCCCAAAGAGTGTCTAAAAGATGCATCTTAGAAAAGAGAACATACAGATGTTGGTGTTGGAATCTGGGCTCTGTGGAAGAATAGCACTTATCTGGATTCTGGCCTTGTGCCATGAACCTAAAGCACATCCGTTTGGTCTGCCAGTAGGCTGGTATGGCATGCTGTAAGCCCCTATAAATATTATTTCTATTTATCCTGCTCAGTGTGTTTCCTGTAACAAATCGTTCAAGAAACTCTGGTCCCTTCATGAACATATCAAGATCGTCCATGGATATGCAGAAAAGAAATTTTCCTGTGAAATTTGTGAGAAGAAATTCTATACCATGGCTCATGTGCGGAAACACATGGTTGGTAAGTTTTTCTGCTTTTCTCTTATACCTATAATTTTCCCTTGTTCTTCTGTGTGCTTTATGCCCTGGATTGGGCAGGATATGAGGAATTGCCCTAATCAGTTTTGACATGTTGAAACTGAATGCATTATGTCTTCAGTAAGTATCACCAAATTGGATGGTATAGTCTTCCACACCCAGCTTTCTTTTCAACATTATTTTCTCTTCAGACATTACTGTTAGAGCCTCACAAAGGCCAGGTGTGGTGGCTCACACCTGTAATCCCAGCACTTTGGGAGGCTGAGGCAGGCAAATCACTTTAAGTCAGGAGTTCGGAACCAGCCTGGCAAACGTGGCGAAACCCTGTCTCTACTAAAAATACAAAAATTAGCTGGGCGTGGTGGCGCATGCCTGTAATCCCAACTACTCGGGAGGCTGAGGCAGGATAATCACTTGAACCCAGGGGGCAGAGGTTGCAGTGAGCCAAGATTGCGCCACTGCACTCCGGCCTGTGCGACAGAGCAAGACTCCATCTCAAAAAAAAAAAAAAAAAAAAAAAAGCCTCACAAATCAGTGTAGAAAATTAGGATGGCCTAATTGCTTTACAGTAGGATGCCTTTTTAGTTTGAGCTTTTTGGTGGATTTTGTTTTGACACTAAGTACATTCTGTGTTGCAGCACACACAAAAGACATGCCATTTACATGCGAAACCTGTGGAAAATCATTCAAACGCAGTATGTCACTCAAGGTGCACTCCTTGCAGCATTCTGGAGAGAAGCCCTTTAGATGCGAGGTAAGGAATGTGCTACCTACAGGCCCAGGCCTAGGGGCTAGTGTTTGCATAGATGGCGGACCAGTGAGAGAGAGGTGTGCTGGAGCAGGAGGCACAAGGCTGCCTTCCACAGAACTTTCAGACATGTGTTCTGAGCTCTGTGTGCGCTGTCACTGCAAGGTAGAAAAATGTCACTTTTAACACACTGTTAACTCTCTTAGATTAGGTTAACTTGGAAATAACACATAATGACTTATTTTTCTTTTCTCAGTGATTCTGAGAAGTCGAGTATACTTCAATGATAATTTTGTGAGGAAATTTCCCTTTTATTAGTAACTCACCTGCAGAAATATAGCAAAGCCAAATAGCTGACACAAGCAGGTTCTATTTTGAATATGAAAAATAAGCCTAGTATCAGAGACTGTGTTAGGGTGGGCTCAGGTAAAGCTACTATGCTTGGCATTCAAAAATCTCCACTGTATCCAATGCAGAACTGTGACGAAAGGTTTCAGTACAAGTACCAGCTACGCTCCCACATGAGCATTCATATTGGGCACAAACAGTTCATGTGCCAGTGGTGTGGCAAGGATTTCAACATGAAGCAGTACTTCGACGAACACATGAAAACACACACTGGTAAGAATTTCTTGGGAAAGGTACAGATAATGTCTCAAGCACTTGTTGATGATCATCTGTGGGTCTGTTTTTTAAAAAAATCAAAACCACAAATTTGCATTCAAAGCAAAAATCCCACTTTAAATAAACCTAATATGTAAAAATATAGATTAGTGATACTGAAAAATTTAACTTTAATAACTGATTGTTTAAAAAAGAATTATTTGTGAGTGCCTTTTTACTTTGAGCTCTTTTAAGACAATGGGGTCTTTACGTGGGGTTCAGAAACTCCTGAAATTGTATGAAACTTCTTTTGTGTATGTGCATGTTATTTTCCTAAGGAAAGGGTTCTGGGCCTTAAAAGGATGGAGGACACTGACTGCTTTAATAGAATACCCCTCTCTCTCTGTTTTTTGTTTTGTTTCATTTTAAGACAGGGTCTCTTTTCCATTATCCAGGCTGGAGGGCAGTGGCGCGATCTCAGCTCACTGCAGCCTCCGCCTCCCAGGCTCAAGCCATCCTCCCACCTTAGCCTACCAAGTAGCTGGGACCACAGGTGTGCGCCACCATACCTGGCTAATTTTTGTATTTTTTGTAGAGACAGGGTTTCACCATGTTGCCCAGGCTGGTCTCGATCTCCTGGGCTCAAGCGATCTGCCTGCCTCAGTCTCCCAAAGTGCTGGGATTACAGGTGTGAGCCACCAAGCCCAGCCCCTCTCATTGTTCTTTAAGTTTGATTTGATATGATTTACCAAGATTCACTACTTTTCAGGAACACATCCGTTCCAAGAGGTTAATTAATATTTTAACCACTTTGTGGTTTTAGGAGCATATGTTCCATAGCATGGATTTGAGTTTTACAAGCATCTGATTATCCTGCTTCCAGGGAACTGGCTAAAATAATAGCTCCCCCATAAACACTATCATTGTATCTCAGTCTAAACTTGATATTCTGGGATTAGCCATCTTTGCATAAATTGAACAGGATGAAACATTTTTCAGGTTTCTAAATAAAATCTAATCACAGGATTCCAGGTTCCATTAGTCTACAGAGTGGTGGAGCTAGAAAGAACAACAGAGGGCCGGGCGCGGTGGCTCACGCCTGTAATCCCAGCACTTTGGGAGGCCAAGGCGGGTGGGTCACAAGGTCAGGAGATCGAGACCATCCTGGCTAACACGGTGAAACCCCATCTCTACTAAAAATACAAAAAATTAGCCGGGCATGGTGGTGGGCGCCTGTGGTCCCAGCTACTCAGTAGGCTGAGGCAGGAGAATGGCGTGAACCCAGGAGGCGGAGCTTGCAGTGAGCCAAGATCGCACCACTGCACTCCAGCCTGGGTGACAGAGCAAGACTCCGTCTCAAAAAAAAAAGAACAACAGAGATTATCTTGCTTAGCCTGCTGTTCTTTTTACTTAACTAGTGGTGAGGAAATTCTGCCCATGGCTGGATCTCTTTAGTTCCCAGTTCTCTGTTGAAGCCCAAAGAAAAATGCCTACCTAATGGGCTTCTTTCTCATTCAGAACAGAGCACCCTCAGATTTTAAGGATTTTTAGTCTAGATGAAGAGTCATGAGAGCAGTTTTATTAGTTAAATTAGACCTGAAAAGAAAATGATAACTTTGAAGATATAGCCAAGTGGATAGCAGGATACATCAGAATAGTTAACAGATTCTCCTTATAATTTGGTGGCTTTTGGATAGGCTCTTAGTTCTAGTGTCATTTTTAGGGTTCAGGTTTTTTTGTGTGTGATACGGCAAGAAAACATGGAACTAAACAGCATAAGTTTTGGGGGGTTTTTTGGTTTTCTTTCTTTTTTTTTTTTTCCGAGATGGAGTCTTGCTCCGTCACCCAGACTGAGTGCAGTGGCACAATCTTGGCTCACTGCAGCCTCCACCTCCCGGGGTTCAAGTGATTCTCCTGCCCCAGCCTCCCTAGTAGTTGAGATTACGCGAGTTCACCACCATGCCTGGCTAATTTTTTTTTTTTTTTTTTTTTTTTTTTTTAGTAGAGACAGGGTTTCACCATATTGATGAGGTTGGTCTAGAACTCCTGACCTCAAATGATCCACCTGCCTCAGCCTCCCAAAGTGCTGGGATTACAGGCGTGAGCCAGCACCCCTGGCCAGAACATAAGTTTTTTGTGAAGGCGGAAGTTGTGTCATATTCACACACACTGCTTGGCACATAGATGCTTGGTAACTGTCACAGAATTGAAAGGAACCTCTAGCACTTAAGTCTCTGCCTCTGCATCCCCCTTATCTTCTCTGCCTGTCTCCCTGTGTGTTTTTCTCCCCATTCCTTCCTCCCTCTTTCTCTTGTATTTCTTTGTTTCTTCTTCTTTGTCATTTTTTTAGACCCTTAAATGTTCATAATGTGAAACAAGTGTTTCTTTCATGATTATTTTAGTTATTGTATAAATTTATGTTGAGTATTCGTCTTTGACCAAATAGGCAAACTGAATACTTCTTGTTTCTTCTAAAGGAATACAACTACCTAAATTCCCATCCCCCACAAAACTTTTTTTTTTTTTTTGAGACGGACTATTGCTCTGTCACCCAGGCTGGAGTGCAGTGGTATGACCTCCACTCATTGCAACCTCCACCTCCCAGGTTCAAGCAATTTTCCTGCCTCAACCTCCCAAGTAGTTGGGACTACAGGTGCGCACCACCGTGCCTGGCTAATTTTTGTATTTTTAATAGAGATGGGGTTTCACTGTGTTGGCCAGGCTGGTCTTGAACTCCTGACCTCAGGTGATCCACCTACCTCAGCTTCCCAAAGTGCTAGGATTACAGGCATGAGCCACCATGCCCAGTCCCCCAAATTTTTATCTTTCTCATTAAAAGTGTAATTCATATGCACCTGGACATGGTGGCTCATGCCTATAATCCCAGCACTTTGGGAGGCCAAGGCAGGTGGATATCTTGAGCCCAGAGGTTCGAGACCAGCCTGGGCAACATGGCAAAACCCCATCTCTGCAAAAATACAAAAGTTAGGCAGGGGTGGTGACATGTGCTTGTGGTCCCAGCTACTTGGGAGGCTGAGGCAGGGAGGATTGTTTGAACCCAAGAGATCGAGGCTGCAGTGAGCTGTGATTGTGTCACTCCAGCCTGGGCAACAGAGCAAGACCTGGTCTCAAAAAACAAAACAAACCAAAAAAAGAGTAACACATACTTATTAAAATATATGGGAAACTATGAAAATTGCAAACAAAGTAAAATCATACCACCAAGAGATCACCACTCTTAACATTTTGGCATATACACATTAAAAAAAATTCTTCAGTTTCTTAACACACATATAGACCAATACTTTGCATAAGTGTTTATGTGTTCATGTATATAGTAAAAACAAATGTTGGGTCTTTATACTCTGTTGTAACCTGCTTTTAATTTTACTGTATTATGTCATCAGCAATATAACTTTAATGGCTATATATTTCTTATAAATTTGCTATAATATTAGCTATAATTTATTACATACATATATGTCAGGCATTATCTTAAGTGCTTTTTCTCAATTAATGTAACCTTTGCAACAATCCTATAAAGTGAAGGATTTTTGTTGTTGTCGTTTGTTTGTTTTGAGATGGAGTCTCGCTCTGTTGCCCAGGCTGGAGTGCAGTGGTGCGATCTCAGCTCACTGCGACCTCTGCCTCCCATGTTCAAGCGATTCTCCTGCTTCAACCTCCTGAGTAGCTGGGATTACAGGCTCATGCTGCCACGCCCAGCCTATTTTTTTTTTTTTTTTGTATTTTTAGTAGAGATGGGGGTTTCACTGTGTTGGCCAGGCTGGTCTTGAACTCCTGACCTCATGATCTGCCCGCCTTGACCTCCCAAAGTGCTGGGATTACAAGCTTGAGCCACTGTGCCTGGCCTTTTTTTTTTTTTTTTTTTTTTTTCTTTTGAGACAGAGTCTCACTCTGTTGCCCAGGCCAGAGTGCAATGGCCCGATCTCGGTTCACTGCAACCTCCACCTCCCAGGTTCAAGTGATTCTCCTGCCTCAGCCTCTCAAGTAGCTGGGATTACAGGCATGTGCCACCACGCCTAGCTAAATTTTTATTTTTAGTAGAAACGGGGTTTCACCGTGTTGGCCAGGCTCTAAAACTCCTGACCTCAGGTGATCCACCCGCCTCAGCCTCCCAAACTGCTGGGATTACAGACATGAGCCCCACCCCTGAGCCCGGCCAGTGAAGGATGTTTTCTCCATTTATTTAGCCAGTTCCCTGCTAGACATTTATGTTATTTCTGTTTCCAGTTTTTCTACTGTTATAGATAGCCACAGGCCAGGCACAGTGGCTCACACCTGTAATCTCAGCACTTCGGGAGGCCAAGGTGGGTGGATCACTTGAGGTCAGGAGTTCGAGACCAGCCTGGCCAACACAGCAGAACCTGTCTCTACTAAAAATACAAAAAATTAGCCAAGTGTGGTGGCGCATGCCTGTAATCCCAGCTACTCAAGAGGCTGAGGCAGGAGAATCGCTTGAGCCCACGACAGGGAGGTTGCAGTGAGCTGAGATCGCGCCACTGCATTCCAGCCTGGGGGACAGAGCAAAACTCCGTCTCAAAAAAATAGCTACAATATCGTTTATCACAGTGTTATCACAGCCATAATTATTTACTTAGGATAAATTTTTGGAAGTAGGATTATTATAGCAAAGAGATATATACATTTTTAAGACTTAGTGTCATGTATTATGAAATGCCCTCCACATATACTCCCACCAGCTGTATGAAAATACTTATTTGCGACCAGGTGCAGTGACTCACGTCTGTAATCCCAGCACTTTGGGAGGCTGAGGTGAGAGGATCACTTGAGTTCAAGACCAACCTAGGCAATATAGCGAGACACCATCTCTATTAAAAACCAAAAAAAATTGAAAAAACCCAGAGGGAAAATACTCATTTGTCCAGCCCTTTATAATTGTAAATAAAATCCTTGCTGATTTGATAGGTGAGAAATGATTTCTTATATTAATTTGCATTTAATTACTAAGTAAGAGTGAACATGTTTATTTGCTTGTAGTTATCAACGTATTTTCTTTTCTGAATTGCTTGTGCCTTTTCTGTGTTCATCTTTCCATTACAGTGTTTGACTTTTTTAATTTCATTAATGTTGAAATACTTTCCCCTGGTTTGTCTATCTGCCTTTTAATATTATTCAGAGTGTCCAAACTGGAAAAGCAGCTAGATGGTGAAGTTGGACAAACCTGGCTCTGCCAGTCACTAGCAGAATTGTGTAACCTCTCTAGACCTCTGTTTTCTTGATATTAAATAAGAATGACAGTAATACCTAAAGGGTGCAGGAGAAATGCTGGTTTTAGAGAAGGATTAGCTTTAGAGAAGGAAGGGGATGCGGATAGGTCTCTAAGGCTGAATGAAACTACATTTAGAGACAGCAGTGTGTTTTGGTGGGGATTAAGGACATTGTATGAACTGACAGTATTGGACTGTTTCTTTGCAGTTAAAGAGAAATGAGGCAGACCTTATCTAGGAAGGGTGACCAGCCATCAGTCAGGGTTTACTAGGATGATGTGGACATAGGGTGAGTTCAAAATAGAATACCTACTGATTCTTCTTATACCAGGCACAGTGCTATGTGCCTAGAGACACAAGGATGAATTAAGACCTGGTTTCTGCTCTTCAGGAGCTTATAGTCTGGTGAATGGTAATGATGGTGTTGATGATGATGATAATAGCAGGTAAAATGCATTGAGTACTATGTGCCAGATACTGTTGTAAGCACTTTACCAGATACTGTTGTAAGCACTTTACCAGATACTGTTGTAAGCACTTTACCAGATACTGTTGTAAGCACTTTACTTGCGTTTTGTATCATAATAATCTATTAAGGAGATTATTATCTTTATTTTATTTATTTATTTATTTTGAAACAGAGTCTCGCTGTGTCACCCAGGCTGGAGTGCAGTGGTGTGATCTCAGCTCACTGCAACCTCCGCCTCCCAGGTTCAAGCGATTCTCCATCTCAAAAAATAATAAGATAAAATAAAATAGAATTTATGGTAATGGCAACGAATGAGATTAAAGTGATAGACAAAGTAGAACTTGGTGAATTGACTGGATATCAGTACTATCAAAATAGTATTCAATCACCAAGTTTGAATGAACTTTTTAAAATTTATTTGTTTGAATGAACTTGGTGATTGATTGGATATCAGTAGTATCAAAGGGTAGCATAGAAGGGAAGAATCAAGGGTTAGTCCCAGATGTGGGGTATAAAACTATTTGTCAAGGTAGAGAATAGTAGAGGGAAGAGCAGGTTTGCTAGATGGGATAATGAATTTAATTTTGTACTTGTTTTGAGATATCTCTGGGGCATTCACGTAAGCAGTTTGAAAAATGGGTTTAAAGTTCAAGAAAGATTTCAGTTAGATGTATATATGTAGGTATGTGTGTGTGTATATATGTATGTGTGTGTGTATATATATATATATATACACATATATATACATATATGTATATTCTGCCCAAGGATATTCACCCTAAGCAGACTGGAATGCTTGTGTTTATTGGACAGATCACATACAAAAGACAACTAGCCAAATTTTTGCTCTTTTCTATCTTCTCTGTAGGTTCTCTGTCTTCATTTATACTGTTCTTTCTTCAGACTCATTACATTGCTGTACAATTAGGTTAGCTTTATCTACATGTAACAGTTAGGTGATATAGTTAGATATATTAATATACATGCTTTTCCAGTTACCTTAATGAACTTAACTGTTACTATATCTTCTTGCCACCCATTTACCAGCTCTTCCTTAAAGTGGGACATTGTACAGGTAGTTGATTTTAAATGTTACATTTGTATTTATCCTTGTTTCACCCTCATTGTAATCTTAAACTTGAGGTTTCAGAGAAACCTTAATATCAACCATTAAACACATTTAGGAGATGCGGCCTAATGAATAATGAGATTTAGAGGCAGATGGGATTGTGGGTTAATGTCAAGTGAAGGTCTGGAACAACAAATGTGGACATTAAGAAGTGAGTAAAAGATTACTAAGCAGTAAAAAAAACCAATTTTAATTTGAATCCAGGCATTTGTAGTAGGCTAGTTCTAGTAGTTTTTGGTCTTTCTGTGGCAAATCACTTATAGTATAGAAGACTACAAATGAGGGCCAGGTGTGGTGGCTCACACCTGTAATCCCAGCACTTTGGGAGGCTGAGGTGGGCGAATCATGAGGTCAGGAGATTGAGACCATCCTGGCTAATACAGTGAAACCCTGCCTCTACTAAAAATACAAAAAAAAAAAAAAAAAATTAGCCAGGCATGGTGGCGGGCGCCTGTAGTCCCAGCTACTCGGGAGGCTGAGGCAGGAGAATGGCATGAACCTGAGAGGTGGAGCTTGCAGTGAGCTGAGATCACACCACTGCACTCCGGCCTGGGTGACTGAGCGAGACTGTGTCTCAGGAAAAAACAAAAAAAAAGAAGACTGCAAATGAGAGATGATTAGAGAGGTCCAGGAAGGGGATTTGAGCACATAAAAAACCTAAACATCCATACATTCAGTAACTGCTCAGGGAATCCATTCTGTCTGTGAGTAGTGTCTAGTGTGCCTAAGAAGTGATTAGTAAATAATGTGGAGAGGATTTGCTCATACTAGACTAAAATTCAAAGATTAGGGCCTTTGGCTGTGTTTCCATATGGCTGCTAGGTGTGAAGAATACTAACTCTGAAGTCACAGAGCAGGGGAGCTTAGAGGTTAATCAAACATGTGCTTTTAAAGTATTTTATTGTACAAGTAAATCATATTTAATTTAGAAAACAAACTACATGGCCAGGCGCAGTGGCTCACACCTGTAATCTCAGCACTTTGGGAGGCTAAGGTGGATGGATCAGTTGAAGTCAGGAGTGTGAGACCAGCCTGACCAATGTGGTAAAACCTGTCTCTACTAAAAATACAAAAACTAGCCAGGTATGGTGGTGCATGCCTGTAGTCCCAGCTACTTGGGAGGCTGAGGCAGGAGAATTGCTCAAACCCAGAAGGCGGAGGTTGCAGTGAGCCGAGATCACACCACTGCACTCCAGCCTGGGTGACAGAATGAGACCCTGTCTCAAAAAAAAAAAGATAAGCGTAAAGAATAAAACATCACCCATGATCTTATTACCTAGAGATAATCACTGGTAACATTTGTTGTATTTTTTTCTTTTAATAAATTTGGGGTCTCACTATGTTGGCCAGGCTGGTCTTGAACTCCTGGCTCAAGCAATCTGCCCTGCCTCAGCCTCCCAAAGTGCTGGGATTATAGGTGTGAGCCACTGTGGCTGGCCTGTTGTATTTCTTTCCATGTATATATATTTTTAAAAGGTAGATAATACCATGCATGCTTTTTTGTTTGTTTGTTTGTTTTTTGAGATGGAGTCTTGCTCTATCACCCAGGCTGGAGTGCAATGGCACGATCTCGGCTCACTGCAACCCCTGCCTCCTGGGTTCAAGCGATTCTCCTGCCTCAGCCTCCCCAGCAGCTGGGACTACAGGTGCGTGCCACCACACCCGGCTAATTTTTGTATTTTTAGTAGAGATGGAGTTTCACCATGTTGGCCAAGCCTGTCTCGAACTCCTGACCTCAAATGATCCGCGTGCCTCAGCCTCCTAAAGTGCTGGGATTACAGGCATGAGCCACCACACCCGTCCTCATGTATACATTTTCATAACTTGCTTTTATTTAATAGATCATAGATAAACTTAATAGATTATACATTTTGATGTTAATAATTACATTTCTGGGCCAGGCGCAGTGGCTCATGCCTGTAATCCCAATACTTTGGGAGGCCGAGGCGGGCAGATTACAAGGTCAGGAGATCAAAACCATCCTGGCTAACATGGTGAAACCCTGTCTCTGCTAAAAATACAAAAAATTAGCCGGGTGTGGTGGTACGTGCCTGTAGTCCCAGCTACTTGGGAGGCTGAGGTGGGAGAATCACTTGAACCCAGGAGGCAGAGGTTGCAGTGAGCCGAGATTGCACCACTGCACTCCAGCCTGGGTGACAGGGTGAGTCTCCACCTCAAAAAAAAAAAAAATTACATTTCTATACTTTATAACGTTGTTGTTGTTGTTCTGACACAGCATCTCTCTCTGTGGTTCAGGCTTGAGCGCAGTGGTGCAATCTCAGCTCACTGCAACCTCTGCCTCCCAGGCTGAAGTGATTCTCCCACCTCAGCTTGTTCAGTAGCTGGGACTGCAGGTGCACACCACCATGCCTGGCTAATTGTTTGTATGTTTTTGTAAAGACAGGGTCTTACCATGTTGCCCAGGCTGGTCTCAAACTCCTAGGTTTAAGCAATCCTCCTGCTTCGGCCTCCCAAAGTGCTGGGATTCCAGGTGTGAGCCACCTCACCTAGCCTGTAACATTGTTTTCAGTGGTATTTTCCATCAAACAAATATACTATAATTGATTTGCTTAATTCCATTTAACACAGAAGTTGAAGGGCTTTTGTTTGTTTTTTACTATATAGACAGGGTGCCACTGTGTTGCCCAGGCTGGTCTCGAACTCCTGGCCTGAAGTGATCCTCCTGCCTTGGCCTCCCAAAGTGCTGGGATTACAGGCTTGAAACAACACACCCTGCCAGAAGTTGAAGTTTTTAAGACGGTTAGAGGAAATCGATTAAAAAGAAGGAAAACAATCTGGGCTCAGAATTCATCCAGAAAGATGAATATGAGTCACAGTAAGGAGCCTAGCTGTGGCAGTAATTGAAGAATGAAAAGTGTAAAGAGGGCCGGGTGTGGTGGCTCACACCTGTAATCCCAGCACTTTGGGAGGCCGAGGTGGGCGGATCACCTGAGGTCAGGAGTTTGAGACTAGCATGGCCAACATGGTGAAACCCCATCTCTACTAAAAATACAAAACTTAGCTGGGTGTGGTGGCACATGCCTGTAATCCCAGCTACTCTGAAGGCTGAGGCGGGAGGATCACTTGAGTCCAGGAGGCAGAGGCTGCAGTGAGCTGAGATCGTGCCACTCATTACACTTCAGCCTGGGCGACAGAGCAAGACTCCGACTCAAAAAAAAAGCGTAAAGACAAGGGAAATATGATAGTCTTCAAATAATACTGATAGTTATGGAGAAAATTGACTCTTCAGTCTCTCAGGAAAGTGAGGAAAATTCTGGCTTCCATGGAAGAGGCCATAGGGGATGTCAGTTTTCTACTATAATGAAAAGCTGGAGACAAGAAATTTGGACTATGCTATGGGTAAAGAGGTGTTTTCTCTTAGGTATAAGAAGGGGTCCTGGAGGGTGGGAAAAAAGGAGTCCCAAAGTAGATGAGAAAGTAAGAAAATACATCCCTTCATGTGTGCAGAAATGCATGTTGAGTGATTTGTGAAATACTGTGGTTTATATGTCAAAAACATAAACTCTAGAACCAGGCTGCAGATTTTAAATCCTAACTCTCCATTAGCATATAAACTTGAGCAAGTTTATTAATTCCATTATGAGTAAAATAAGGGGTAATAATATACCTGCCTCATACAGTCACTGTGAAGATCACCAAGGTTAATAGATGTAAAGCAGTTAGCAGTGTCTGGTACACAGTAAGACCCAATACACATGAGTAGAATAAACACATTCGTTGAGAGAAGAGGGAGCAGCAAGGGAAGTGACAGCAACGCTCTTATAGCAGGAGTTAATGTGAAGAGACGAGCTATAGATATGGAGGACTGATGCAGGAATTGATCAGTACAAGCGTATGGTTCACCGAAGTGCATATACAGAAGTACTCCCCGCCTCACCTCAGCATCCCATACAAAATGATTGATGGACATATAGAATCATAAAGGATTTTATTTTCTATAGCCTGGGTAGAGAAGCAGGCAGACACAGCATGGAACTAAGCAATAAGTTCAAAAGAAAGTTAGGGAAGCTTAAAAATTAAGCCCTCAGAACCCAAACGTAATTTCCTTTCTAAATGCTCTAAGAACTATGGGATTCTGTCTCCTGTTTTGACTCGCTGGCCCACTGGTCCTCAACTAGGAGCAGTAGCCCCCAACACCCTCCCTACACCCACGGACATTGGGAAATGGCATAGCGGCATTTTTTTATTGTTGAAATCTCTTGTGGGTATTCAGTAGGCTGGCACCAGGAATGCTGGGTGCCAGATAGTCCCACATAATGAGGAATTGTCTGCAGAAATGCCATAGCACTCATTGAGAAACACTGTGGTGTGAAATTCATGTTGTAGGTTTGTTAAGCCAGTATTTTCTAAGTTCAGTGCCAAAAAGCAAGCTGTATGCTAAGGATTGTGTATGAATAGACAGGAAGAGACTTCTTTGTTCCACAGGACATTTTCAGAAAATTCTTACTTTTGTTTGGAGTATCAGAAATTGCTTACAGGGCAGGGCCTTAGCTCATACCTGTAATCTCAGCACTTTGGGAGTCTGAGGCGGGAGGATCACTTGAGCCCATGGGTTCAAGACCAGCCTGGGCAAAATTCCGAGGCCCTGCCTCTACAGAAAAAAAAAAAAAAAAAGATAGCCAGGCGTGGTAGCTGGCACCTGTAGTAGTCCCAGCTATTTGGGAGGCTGAGCTGGGAGGATTGCTTGAGCCCAGGAGGTTGAAACTGCAGCGAGCTGTGATCACACCACTGCACCCCAGCCCTGGGTGACAGAGCAAGATCCTGTTTAAAAAAGAAATTGCAGCCAGGCGCAGTGGCTCACACCTGTAATCCCAGCACTTTGAGAGGCCGAGGTGGGTAGATCACCTGAGGTCAGGAGTTCGAGACCAGCCTGGCCAAAATGGCGAAACCCCGTTTCTACTAAAAATACAAAAATTAGCCAGGCGTGGTGGTGCACACCTGTAGTCTCAGCTGCTCAGGAGGCTGAGGCAAGAGAATCATTAGAACCCGGGAGGTGGAGGTTGCAGTGAGCCAAGATTGCACCATCGCACTGTAGCCTGCGTGACAGGAGCAAAACTCTGTCTCAAAAAACTAAAAAAGAAAAAAAATTTCTTACAGATTAACTTGCCTAAATTTAAAGGCAAAGAGTCATCTAGGATATTTCCTTGAGCACAGAAAGCCATTTGAACTGTTCTTTGTGTAGGATGTAGAGGATCACTAATGTAGATGCCTTCTCCCCCATCTTTATCTTCTTCTTTTATCTAAGCCCAGATGGTAGGGTGTATGTAAGTTTTAGTTGTATCTACTGTGATCTGTTAAGTCCAAATTTGAGAGGATTTTTAAATGACTCTAGAATACAGTCTCATAGGCCAGGCGCAGTGGCTCACACCTGTAATCGCAGCACTTTGGGAGGCCAAGATGGGAGGATCACTTGAGGCCAGGAGTTCGAGACCAGCCTGATCAACATAGTGAGACCCCATTTCTATTAAAAAAAAAAAGCTTGAGCACACAATTACCACCTAATATGTTAATCATTTTTATGTCTGTGTTCATCTCAGGAGAGAAACCCTTTATCTGTGAAATCTGTGGCAAAAGCTTCACCAGCCGCCCCAACATGAAGAGACACCGCAGAACTCACACAGGCGAGAAGCCCTATCCATGTGATGTGTGTGGCCAGCGGTTCCGCTTCTCGAACATGCTTAAGGCCCACAAGGAGAAGTGCTTTCGGGTGACCAGCCCCGTGAATGTGCCACCTGCTGTCCAGATCCCACTTACAACTTCCCCAGCCACCCCAGTTCCTTCTGTGGTGAACACAGCCACAACCCCAACCCCTCCAATCAATATGAATCCTGTAAGCACTCTTCCCCCTCGGCCCATCCCCCACCCCTTCTCACACCTGCACATCCACCCACACCCTCACCACCCACACCACCTTCCCATCCCTCCAGTCCCTCACCTCCCGCCACCTCCAGCTCTCTTTAAGAGTGAGCCTTTAAATCATAGAGGCCAGAGTGAGGACAACTTTCTGCGGCACCTGGCAGAGAAGAACAGTTCAGCACAGCATCATTAACATCCGTCTCCTTAGTGTGTTCTCCAGGAGACACGTCCCCATGTGTGAGCGTGCACAGAGGGAGTCGGTGAGCATTTCCTTAGTTCTCAGACTCTCCTCCGCCTCTACCAAGAGCTTCGCCAGTGTCACTGAATCAACAGATCCAAGGGAATGAACAAGAAGACTACCTTGAGCTCACAGAGGGACTGTCATCTAAACCAGGGGAACCACTGAACTAAAGCCCAATTTGCTTGCATTTTCTGATGACTTTTATAAGTTTCAAATACTCAGACTTGTGGAATTTTATAATTTCATATCAGCTGATGAGGTATGCTTGCTTTTATATCCCAGACTTCTCCTCAAAGAGGGGATAGGCCTGGTTTCCTTTGTACTAATCGGGAAGGCTGTGAGATTAATCCAGAGCATTAATTGTATCACTGTGTATGGTAAGGAATTCTTTTCAGCTTTTGGTGCCAGCTACAGAGTTGAGCTGGCCATGTTTCACAGTATATCAAGCATTATAGAGAAAGACAGAAATTTTCTTCTTTGTGTAGCTCTCCTAACGCACTCTTTATTTTACTACAGAAATTATTTTAGAGTTTTTGTATAGACTTCTTTGGTAGTCTGTTTCTAAAATGAAATGTATTTCAATAAGCAGTGTAATTTTTTCAGTGTAGCTGAACCTATGTTGTAAAATAGAAAAAAATTTTTATAATCATCAAAATGTGATTCTTAAAGATGCATATAACTTCTATAATTCAAAGCTATTCTTACATCCGTACAACTCAAAAGGTGCTTCAGAGACTAGATGTATCTGAGAGGGTCTCCAGACCAGGTTACTGCAAAAATGAGGTTTTGCTTTCAGGATTTGGCGTAAATACTTGGTAGTTTTGACATCTCTGCTTAACACTCAAGAGAGGCTCCCTAATGTGCTCCTGTCCTCCATGTTCTGCTTGGCTTCGTTAGTGCATTACATGAAATGATTTGCAGGGGATGGGGCCTTTTCCAGGGAAGTCACCTAAAGCTTGCATGTTTTGAAAATTTGAATAAGGCTGTTTGCTGACAGGAGGAGGAAGTAGTGGAGATCATTTCATCTCAGTCACGTCTGTTTCTCACTTCCCTTAGGAATTGTGTTGATGTTTAACTTTTATGGGATGACAAATTGAAATCGCTCATTTTGAGGTTGCTTTATTTTTCTAGAATTGTTATAAGAAGCTAAAATAGTAAACTTAAAATCACAAACATGACATTGCTGATAGTGGCTGAGAAATTCAGATGAGAAGACAAATTGGTTATGAATTTTGAAATATCTATTATATGTAAAATGTGGATATGTTCACAACCTTGAGCTATTTTAACACAGTTTAAATATAGTGAGGGAAAACTCCTAAGTTTTACTGCCCTGTCCTCTGCAAATTATGTAATACCAGCATTCTTAGGCGATAAAGAGAGCAGCACCTCTAGTACCTTTAGGCAGATTACTTTTTCAAGTTTGGGGAACTTCAAAAGACCATAATCAACCAGGAGCTTATTATAGGAAAGGCTGAACAGAAGGGCTAGTGTATTGATTACACTTAACAGATCATATTTATCCAGACTCAGTATAGCTTAAAATTTTGTATTTCTTTATCTGAGAGAACTGAGTTCCCAGGCTAAATCACTTACCTCCCACCCCCTCTCCAATTTTTTTTTTAAGAGACAAGGTCTTGCTATGTTGCCCAGGCTAGAGTGCAGTGGCTATTCACAGGTGCAGTTATAGCACACTACAGCCTCCAACTCTTGGGTTCAAGCAACCCTGCCTCAGCTAACCAAGTAGCTGGGACTACAGGTGCATGCTACCATGCCCAGTCCATTTTTTAATCTTGAAATTTCTTCATTTTTCTTTCTTCGGTTTCTTAAAATCTTTGCCTGAATCAGAACGCTGGCTTTTATTTATTTTTTTATTTTTAATATTAAATGTGCAGATATGCTTCGAGCACTTTTCTAACTAATGAGCTCTGTGGTAAGAAAAAATGAACTCTTTCAATTGAGATTAAGTCCATATTTTTCAAACATCACGTTCTCTATTGGCTTTTTGGTTTAGTGTTTCTAAATTTTCTCCTTCTGATTTTGCCTGTCTTATATAATGAGCATAGGAAAATTTTGGAATGAGGCAGAAAAGTATATCAAGACATACTTCCTGGTTTTGGATGTAAGTTTTAAAGAATGGTATTTTTAATATTTGTACACATTCTTTGAGCACCCAGGTACCCAAGCCAATAAGGAAAGTTAATTCCTTGCATATGACTGTTATATCTTTAGTGGTTGTCTCCCTCTCCCTCCACAGTCTCCTTGGCATTCCATGACAAGTTTGTCAACCTACACTTTTATATAGACATATCATTATTTCATGGTCAAGCCTGTAGTATTAAAATGATTTTTTTAAAAGATGTAAACTGTGCTTAGTTAATTGGTTATATTTTGTTCTGTTTTTTTTTTTTTTTTTTTTTTTTTTTTGAGGCAGAGTCTTGTTCTGTTGCCTGGGCTGGAGTGCAGTGGCGTGATCTTGGCTCACTGCAACCCCCGCCCCCCGGGTTCAAGTGATTCTCCTGCCTCAGCCTCCCGAGTAGCTGGAATTACAGGCATGCGCCAGCACGCCCGGCTAAGTTTTGTATTTTTGGCAGAGATGGGGTTTCACCATATTGGCCAGGCTGGTCTCAAACTCCTGACCTTGTGATCCGCCCACCTCAGCCTCCGAAAGTGCTGGGATTACAGGCGTGAGCCACCACGTCCAACTGCCTTATTTTGTTCTGAATAAATTTACAGTATTGGGCAGCAATTCTGGATTCTAGACTTGAGACCACAGAATCAACCATTTCATGAGGTTGTACTGTAATTATACACTGGAATATTCAGGTAGTCATCTTTGATTTTTCATTCAAGTAAATATAGCCATAAGAAAATATCTGCTATACAGGAAAACCAGTATTAAGCAAATACCACCATCCTTAACAGAAACAAAAATATATATATATATTATTTTTAAAAATTAGCATTGTCATACAGTACAATTCTTAGTGAAGTGTATTGTGGAACAATTTAGAAACTTCCTTTTTTTCCCCTAGATTAAGGATACTTTCCTTGACTTGAGACTTGTGGTCTTCAGGAAAACTACTCAGAATATAATGACTCCTCATCAGTATCATATTGTATATAAATAATGAAATGCATTAAGAATATTCACAACATTGAACCCAGGAGGCGGAGCTTGCAGTGAGCCGAGATTGCGCCACTGCGCTCCAGCCTGGGCAACAGAGCGAGACTCCATCTCAAAAAAAAAAAAAAAAAGAATATTCACAACATTAATGCTTCTGAATAGAAGAACTGCAGGATTAAGCCTTAAACATATATGTGCAACACGTTTAACATGCTTAAGACTCAAACTCAGGGTTGAAAATTTGGTTGGGGTCCTCTTTGTAAGATAAAAGTTGCATTATGTGGTATGTTCTCTTCCATATATGCTACAGCACCCCATGAATTCTTCAAAACTTTTTACCTACTTGTTATCTGTTTATGAAAAAAAGAATTATGGAGAAGTTTGAGTTCTCAGCCCTTATCTGTACATGTCTGTTAAAGACAACAAAGGCTGCATTTAAGCATTATATAGATAACAAATTGAGGCTGTCTCTCGTTACTTAGTTTTACTGTCTTCAAAGGCTTGTATCATTGCTAGGGTTAAGACTTATTTGAGGATGAGTTGGCATTGTATTTTTTGTGTGTGTGGGTTGGTTTGTATTTGTTTCGTTTTTATTTTTCTATTTTCTCTCATAGATTTATCAGTAAAATATAAACTCTTCCTTAGCCTTAATAAAGGCTGCTGCTTTCTCAAATTGAGTCAGATAGGCTCATTCGGAGTTAGATTTTTAAATTTGAATGAAGAAAAGACAACAATTTAAAGGCATGTGGCTTCATTTCCACATATATTTGTGACTGGATTCTTATTTTTAGCAAGAGGGGAGATCGCCACAAAAAAAACTTTAGTTCAAAGAAGACTGTGCAAATCAGTTACCTGTACTTTCATAGTCTACCATTTACATTAACTGTTCTAGATTAATGACTAAGCATGGCCATTACCATAATTACATCATTTTTTTAAAACCACATTTGTTCGAAGTATCCTTTTCTAGTGGTTAGAACTGTCCCTATAATTTGATTGTCCCTCATATACTAACCGAAAGCAAAATGCTCTGATGAGATGCTTATAAACTATGAATTTTTTAATTCTTGAAATTTTTTTCAGTTTTTATGATTGTTGAATAGATATGTATGTTTAGTTCCATTATTATTTCACTGGAAGTTTTAAATTTTGAGAAGATGAAGCAGAGATAGAAATCCATTGCAGATATATGTATATTTACCCCATCTTGCAGGTTTCAGTTAGTAAAACACAGAATGATAGGTCGGTTTTAATGTTTTAAAAAAAAACTAAAAAACTAAAGTTAGAGAAACCTTTCTGTTTGAGCTACTGTATAGAAAAGACAACTTTTATTGCATTGCTGGTCCACATGATAAATATTTCAATGCTGTTCTAGACTGTATGAGAAGTACTTAATGAAAAAAGGGATACATTACATTTAAGAATTGTATCAGCTAATTACTGTTTTAAAAAAATCAACTCATTTGGAATTCTTCGGACTATAAAATTGAGCAAGTAAAGTTTGGGTTTTAATTTTCCTTTGCCTGAACCAAGATAGGAAATTACTTAAGAGTTTTTTTTTTTTTTTTTTTTTTTTTTTTTTAGGAATGAAAGGTCATAAGCCATTAGAAATAGTGGCATTATTATGCAATAACAACACCCTAGCTAACCTGCTTTTGTCATCTGTAGCACTTACAATAAAGAATGATGACCTTCCAACCCTGGACACTACCTCGATAAAGCAAACCAGAGATCCTCTCTACACTTTCTATGGAAGCCATAAAAGTTGCCATCAATATATCCACTTTCATAGTTCTATACTTTTATACTTTCTAGACTTTTTTATAGACTTTATGATCAGATCTTTTTGTCTCAGAGGATAGGTTTTGCAAGATTCAAAGGAAAATCAAACTCCTTGGTTGTTCCAGCTTTGAAGCTTTTGCTTCAGTAAATTTGTTTAAAGAACCAGATCACATACCATTTATCAAATTCTTTACTTAAGTCAGAATACTTTGCAGACATACATATTTGGAAAACAAACTGTTTCTTGTTCACTAGATAGAATCTGTATTGTAGTAAGAAACTACTTACAAGGTGGCTTTCTTTCTGCTTTGTTACTCTATGTATTACTCAATAATATATGTATGGTCACAGGTTCCTGGAGTTGTTTTATTTCTTTATGACAGACACATGAGTATGCACCTCTCTCTAATCCTCTGATGTCACTGCAGCTTCAGTCTCTCTCACTCTGTTTTTGAGTGCCTTCAAAATGCCAGCATCCTGGAACATTCTTTTCCTGATCTAAATCCTACCTCTGACTATTTCATTATCCATGAATATTGGAATTCACCCATATTCCAATGGGCTTAACTCTACAAACTAGCTAAAACCTTGGACAAGAATTTTGACCGTATTTCTGTTTTGTTCCTCCATGTCATTTTTAGGTTATATTTTTAACTTTTATTTATATCTTATTTCTTCACATATTTCGTCTCTCTGTTGAAAGATTTTATCCTTATTTGACTCTTCACTTTTTTTACTTTCACCAGAAATTTGACGTTCCTTTAAAATTAAAGGTCATTGAATGTCTTTTGAACACCTTTTTCTCAACTGAAGTCTTCCTGAATGCCTCCCCTTTCTGATGAAAGGATCCTGAGTGCTGCTGTTGCTCTGCCCTGTTCCCATGTGCCCACTCCCTTCCGTACACATTTTGCAAGACTATACTCTTTATTTTAGTCAAATTAATTTAAAATTGCTCCCTGGGTTTCTGCTCTCTCATGGCCCTGTCCCTCAAAAACTTCTGTTTACTTTTTCTAGCTGTTTTCATCTAATTTGTTTAAAATGTATGATGGATCCATAATATATGAAGGATGTAATGAAAAGGAGGTTGCAGTGTTTTATATAATATGATCGAGCACCTCCGTGATGAAACATTTAGCAATTGGCTAGTCCTTCACAGCCAGAGTGGAAGTTTGTGCTGTGGACAGGTCTTTTTACTCCCTTCCAGTTCTCCTCCAAAACTGGAGAAAAAGGAAAAAAAAAAAGAACTCTTTCAAATGAGGAGATTTGATTGCATTTTTTTAGGTGAATGAAAGCTTGGAGTTGAGCATTTGGGCCTTAGTCAGCATTTTTCCTTTCTGACTTAAAATCTCATGTCCTTTTCCTTAAAGTTAATAGTACTCAGGTTTTTAAGACTAATAACCACACAAGGTGGGTATCTAAGAAGGCAGCTGTTAATACATTCTCCATCTTTCCTGTCTGGCAACAGGAAAGATATTATTGGTGAGATAGTGCAAAATTGTGAGAATTGGTTATGTTTGATGATGAATAAATTCAAGATTTTTGAAGGCTTCACTGCTATTTGGGATGGGAAGGTGAGTTTACAAAATGAAAAAGGTAGATTTTTATGTTACAGAAATCAGTAACGGGTTTCTTGTTGTGTTAATTACCTTTCACTTGATTTGCCATGATGTTTCTTCCTCATTATTGATCTAGAAGTTTGCCTCTTGGATAGTAACTAGTAACTTAGTATCTACTTTAAAATTTGTGGCTTTTCTCTTCAGGGTCCCAGGCCATAAAACAACGGAGAGCTGTACTTGCTTGTCACTTGGAGGAACCACATCCTTGAGACAGCCTGCTGTCTTGTATGTCTTCAGTAGGAAACTTCTGACACACACATTCAAGGGAGTTCCTGCCCCTGAGAAGTGTTCCCATAGCTTTCCAGTCGCAGGTTACTTTCACACTACGTCAGCTTCTCTGGTGAGATCAGGGATGTTACATATTACTTGAAAATGATTTCATAGGAAGTGAGGATGGGGCAAGAAAGGAGGTAGAAGCTGAATTTTGCTTAACTTCAGAAGGAAATCTGATACTTGCCTTGGCTAGTTCTGATCAACTAAAGAGCCTGTGTCTGTACTGGATGTGCCAAAGAGTCAAGTTGTTTCTGGAATATCCAGCTCCTCTGAATGAACACAGCTTCCTCCCTACCTGTCTTTTATGGGTGAAAAGGGACCGTCTGATGAGCATGATAGACATCCTGTACAGGACTCAAGACTGTTTCATTGCATTTGAAAGTTGGTGGGAAGTATTTTATTCTGCTAGAGCTCCTAACCCTCCTAGAAATATCTTTTCATGCTCTATTAATTCAATTCATTAGTTTAAAAAGAAACAGTGTGACATAATTTTGGTGTTTACTTCTTAAGTTGTCTCCCCAAGGGCATATATGTAGCCTCTGAAAATGGGATGATTTCTTCTCAATCTTCCATAAATTTGAATATGCATTTTATTCATTTCTTGACATGGGCTGTGTGACTGTTTTCCATCAGCAGTTCTGGCTTTGTCCACAAGGGAGCAATAAAGTACGTTAGCTTTATTCTCAACCTTCTAAAGAAAGATCCCACTTTTAAATCTCTTCTGGAATAGCCTCTTAGCTCAAAGCTTATTCATGTATTTTGATTATTTAAGAAATTTTCCCTTATTACAAAGTCCAGTCGTCGTTCATCCCTCATGATGCCAAGCAATGATTGATGTGTGGGTGTGGAGTCCTTGTGGGTCAGGCATCTTAATTAATTAGACTTTTTACATATTGATGATCCCCAGATTGAAAGCCAGGACCTTCCCATAGGGGCGCCTTTGTGTGCTAAAGGCAGAGCAGGCAGGCTTCTCCACTCCTATCTCCTCCGCAGGCCACCACCATCACATCTATAGGAGGAACAAGAGCACTGGGGGAACTCTGGAGTATGAGTAAGGAAATGCTTCTCACCTTCTCTGCTCCAAAGAGATATCTGTTACATCAGGGAACAAGTCCTCTAGGTCAGGCACTTCCTCCTGACCAGTGCAACGGGCACTCCAGGTTAGAAACTGTGTGTGCTCCCTCTCTGTCAGTTACTTGTCTAAGGGCTCCTATCCGTGGTCATCAGCTCTCTGGCCATGAGTTCTGTTTGTGCTTATTGCAGCAGCATCTTCACAACAAACAGGTCAGTAATCAACCTGGGAAGGGAAAAGACGACAGTAAATATTACCCCCTGTAGAGCCGGGAGGCATTTACACCTGGAATGGCCTTCTTAACTGATTTCTGCCTGGCCACCTCACCCCCAGCCAAGTCTGAACCTGAGCAATACCAGGCACAGAGAGGTGTCTACTTGTAACTCCAACACTTGACAAAAAACAAAACTGAAGCTGTGATTGGTTTAGGCAGCAAGTGGCCAGGTGCAACTTGTTTGTTTTTATTTTTGTTTTCCCCAACAGTACTGAGATCACTTGCACTTTTCCTCATTTCTTAAGAAAATCCAGTTTGCTTGCCATGACTTGTTTAGCGTTAGGTTTACAAAGCTTGTTGTTGAATGTTGAATATTTGTCCAAAGGAGTTTGACAAAATAGAAGCTGCTTGGTCCCTGTTCTGCCTGCTAGGTCATAAGGATGAAGGCCATGTGGCTGGGGTACTTATGTCAAGTCCAGAATGGGGCAGTGTCCCTCTCCTACCTCTCTGCGGAGACGCAATTGAAGGTCAAGTAGACTCAGTGTAGGGCAGGCAGCTGTCATGCTGCAAAGAAGTTTAGAGGAGTCTTTGGGTTGGGGAGGTGACAGGTAGGTAGGACAGGATCTCTTAAGATGGGAAAGATACTGGGGAGAGGAGGGCTGCTTGGCCCCAGGGAACTGCAGTGAGGTGGAACTGAGCTCCGCTCCTGAATCTCCAAAGGAGCCCATGCTGCCCGGCTTCCCTGAGTCATTTTTTCCAGCATCCTGTCAGATCCCTCAATGTACTGATTTCCCCCTTGTGTTAACTATACCGATATTATTTTTTTAGCAATTGAAATGCACTTTTTTATTTCAACTCAATCATGATTTTAAGTATAAAAAATTTATAGATTGTTAAAACTACTTTTTTGTGTATTTTTAACCACTCAATGTAGCATTGTATATTTTATTCTTGTGAGACTCTGGTACAGGTGTGCCGCCTAATGATTTTTCTGAGATGCTGGGCCTTTGGATGTGTACGGTAACCAACTTAATGCTAATGTTCAAAGTAAAAAAAAAAAAAAAAAGCAGCCATATCCCCTGTGTGTCTTTCTTCATTTCTTCCTTACCCTCAGGTGACAACATTTTGAGGTCCCCCTGGCTAACAAATTGCCCTTTTTGAGAAAAATGAACAATCCTGCAGTCCTCTTCTGCTGTTATTTGTTGTTTCTAGTGATGGTAATAGGCTGACCTACCTCAAACCCTGCCTGATCTCTTCATGAATAACATGTTTTCAAGGCTGTTAACCAAAGGCAGAGTGATTAGTTCTCTCTTTGCAGCGCTGTTTGGTTTCAGTAACACTAGTTTGTTCAGCCGAGCAATAATCTGAAAGTATCCTTGAGAACAGTGTTTGGAAAAAGGATCAGGATTGGGTTCTGAACCAATTTGAAGAAAAATCAACACAGATGGAAACAGCTTACAAAGTACAGTCAGTGAAAAGCAATAATTATAAAATATGGTACTTGGGATGAGGCATCTTTCCCTACCTCTACCCCCTTCATTCAGTCATTCATTTATTCCACAAATGTTTATTAGATGCCTAATACGTGCTGGACATTGATCTGGCCACTGGGGATTCAGCAATGAGAAAGACAGGCTCTACTCTCACAGACCCTGCTTTCTAGTGGAGAAACCCTGACAATAAACAAATGATGATCTTATATAATGTCAGGTGGTGTGGGCCCTTATACTGTGAAGCTTGCCCTCAGAGCTGTGACTGTAGTCAGCTGGAAGATCAACTAGCTTCTGTCATAATAAGCCTTCCCAGCCCATAAGCCACCTGATTTTGTTCCTTCTAAGGATTCCAGTGAGGGAGTTGGGTGTATAGGAAGGAAATCTTATTGTCCAAGTTTCCCTTTGAAACCTCTTAGAATGGAATAAAACTGCCCAAATCATAGAATTGCTATTCTTTATCATCTTGTATCTCTAACTAGATGTAGATGTTAACACAGTTTCTTCATAGATACAGGGTAGGTAATCACTCCCACCTGAGTATATACTAAATAAGTGCTTTCAAACTTTCACCATGACCCCATAGCAAGAAATATTTTTACCACTACTTTGCTACTCAATACATATATATATGAGTTTATTTATATAAGTGAATAAAAGGTTCAAGAAAAATATATGTGCTGCACTTTGATATTTTCTATTTTTCTTTTTTCTTTTTTTTTTTTTTTTTTTTTTGAGATGGAGTCTTGCTCTGTTGCCCAAGCTGGAGGGCAGTGGTGTGATCTCAGCTCACTGCAACCTCTGCCTCCTGGGTTCAAGCGATTCTCCTGCCTCAGCCTCCCGAGTAGCTGGGACTATAGGCGCACGCCATCATGCCCAGCTAATTTTTGTATTTTTAGTAGAGACGGGGTTTCACCATGTTGGCCAGGATGTTCTCGATCTCCACCTCGTGATCCACCTGCCTTGGCCTCTCAAAGTGCTGGGATTACAGGCATGAGACACCGCGCCCAGCCTCTGCCTTTATTTTCCTTTCTTGAAACATGCCTGCCAAGTAAAAAGCTCAGGCTAGACCAGAGCGATGAGAGCTGTATCGAGACAAGAGTTCCCAGCTGTCCCTGCCCAGCTCCAGACGTGGGTGAGGACATCTTGGACCCACCAGCTCAGCTGACCCACAGGTAAATGCATGCTTAAGAGTCTAGGCGAGGCCGGGTGCGGTGGCTCACACCTGTAATCCCAACACTTTGGTAGGTTGAAGTGGGTGGATCACTTGAAGTTAGGGGTTCAAGACCAGCCTGGGCAACATGGCGAAACCCCATCTCTACTAAAAATACAAAATTAGCCAGGCCTGGTGGTGGGCACCTGTAATCCCGCTACTCAGGAGACTGGGGTAGGAGAATCACTTGAACCCAGGAGCCAAGATTGCACCACTGCCCTCCAGCCTGGGCAACAGAACGAGACTCCATTTCAAAAAAAAAAGTTCAGGTGAGACCAGCAGAATAACCTCTCAGCCAACCCATAGGATCATGAGATATAAACTATTATTATAGTATTATTATAAATCACTAAGATTTGGGGTGGTTTGTTACACAGCAATAGATAACTTGAAACAGCCCCCAGATTTAGGTATAAGTTACTGAAAGTTTATATCTTTGTACCAGTTCCTTGTGCAAGAAGCTTGACTTTTTTGGCCATAACTGAGTACAGGTTGAGCATCCCTAATCCAAAATTTAAAATGCTCCAAAATCCAAAACTTTTTTTTTTTTTTGAGACGGAGTTTCGCTCTTGTTGCCCAGGCTGGAGTGCAATGGTGCGATCTCGGCTCACCGCAACCTCCGCCTCCCAGATTCAAGCGATTCTCCTGCCTCAGCCTCCTGAGCCACCGCACCCGGCCGACTTTTGTTTGTTTGTTTGTTTGAGACCGAATCCCACTCTGTCACCCAGTCTAGAGTGCAGTGGCGCAATCTTGGCTCACTGCAACCTCTGCCTCCTGGGTTCAAGCAATTCTCCTGCCTCAGCCTCCCGGGTAGCTGGGATTACAGGCACGCGCCACCACCCCGGCTAATGTTTTTTTTTTTTTTTTTTTTTTTTTTTTTTAGTAGAGATCGGGTTTCGCCATGTTGGCCAGGCTGGTCTTGAACTCCTGACCTCAGGTGATCCACCCGCCTCGGCCTCCCAAAGTGAGGTTGGGATTACAGATGTGAGCCACCCCGCCGGGCCAACTGAGTGACTTCAAACAAATACAATATGGCAGAAATGATGAGATGTCACTTCCAAGATTAAGTTATTATACAAACAGACTTGGTGTGGTCTCTTGCTCTCCATTCACCAGCCGCCATGTCACGAGGTTACTTAGGCAGCCTACGGAAGTCGTGCCATGGATCGCAAGCCTGCCAGCACCCAGTGAGTGGGCTTGCAGTGGGTCTTCTGAGGCCTGCCGACAGTCACATGAGTGAGCCTGGAAATGGTTCCCTCCAGCCACAGCAGAGTTTTGAGGTGCTTCTAAGCCAGTAGCTTGATGACTGTCTCCTGAGAGCCCCTGAGCCAGACACACAGCCTCAGATTCTTGACCAGCGGAAACTGCGAGGTTACAAATATTTGTTGTTTTAAGCCTCTAAGTTCAGGGGGTAATTTGCTATGCAGCAATAGACAATTAATACAAAGTACAAATATTAACTATTGGGAGATGCAGAAAATAATAATGGCAGTGGATGGGGCAGGGGGGCCACCCAGGTCCCCTCCCTTCAGGGACTGAGGCACTCATCCTCCCGGCTGTTTGTGCCAATAGCTCTCAGCTGTGTCCCTCTCCTGGAATTGCGCTAAGCTGAGGAAAGCCACCTCCCCTCCCCCGGGCAGTTCACATACAATGGCTGGTTGATGAAGAGGCATAAAGACCCTTATCTGTGCCTTGGGTGGGACAATTCCAAAGAGCCACCCTCTCCCAAACTTCCGCAAGATCACCTGAGGCCCTTGTGACTGCATGACAGCTCACCTCTGCACCCCACATGGCCTTTTGTCCAATCCTGCTTCCTTCAGTCCTCAGGTTTTGGTTCTCAGTCGTCGTGTGGGTTCCTGGGGAACCTGATCTAATACAGTTAGCACCAGGAGTGGTGTGGGAAAGCCAACTCTAAAAAGGAGTTCGGGGGCCAGGTGCGGTGGCTCACGCCTGTAATCCCAGCACTTTGGGAGGCCGAGGCGGGTGGATCACCTGAGGCCAGGAGTTCAAGACTACAACATGGTGAAACCCTGTCTCTACTAAAAATACAAAAATTAGCCAGGGGTAGTGGCACACACCAGTAATCCCAGCTACTTGGGAGGCTGAGGCAGGAGAATCGCTTGAACTCCATCTCAAAAATAAAATAAAATAATAAAATAGGGTTTTGGACCTGGATCACTTGCCAGCCATCACTAGTGGCAGGTGGAACTGATATCCTAAGTGTGCCGAAGTGGTGGAATTGCTCAAACTTTCACTAGTGGTGAACCTGTGGAAGGGAATGCATGGTGGTGCGTGCAGTATCATAGACTTTTCTTTTAGAGACAGTCTCACTTTGTTGCCCATGCCGGACTTGAACTCCTGGCCTCAAATGATCCTCCCATTTCAGTCTCCCAAAGTGCTGAGATTGCAGGCATGAGCCACCATGCCCGGTTATCATAGGCTTTTGAGAGGTTGGAGGGAGTACTGATTCTACAGATGGTGAAGGCTTCAGATTCCGAAGAATCTGAAGGCTTTTGGTGAACACCACTGATGCATTCAAGAAAGCTAATGAAAGGCTGGAGGCGTTTAGCCACCAATTGAGGTCATGTGTGAAAATCAGAAGGCCTTGTGCTGTTTAAAGCCACCACATTTGTGGTATCTGTTATGCAGCACTAGAAAACTAAGAGAGATGTGGCTACCCAGAAGTGGGATGCTATAACAAATATCTAAAAATGTGGGAATGACTTTGGAATTGCACAGTGAGTGAAGGCTGGAAGAATTTTGAGGAGCTTGATAGAAAAAGCCTAGATTTCCTTAAGCAGACCTTTCTTAGAAATATGGATACTGGCTGGGCACGGCGGCTCATGCCTGTAATCCCAGCACTTTGGGAGGCTGAGGCGGGTGGATCACCTGAGATCAGGAATTCAAGACTAGCCTGGGCAAAATGGTGAAACCCTGTCTCTACTAAAAATACAAAAATTAGCTGGGCATGGTGCACACCAGTAATCCCAGCTACTTGGGAGGCTGAGGTAGGAGAATTGCTTGAACCCAGGAGGCGGAGGTTGCAGTGAGCCACGATCACGCCACTGCACTCCAGCCTGGGTGACAGAGCATCTCAAAAAAAAAAAAAAAAGAAATATGGATGCTAAAGACGTTGCTGGTCAGAAGAAAGGAGAATCCTAAATTCTAAAGAATGTATAGAAATTCTCAATATCTTAGATAAAGGTTCAGTCTCCACGAACAGACCATTAGTAGAAACCTGACTTGACGCTGACAGTGGGAGCTCAGGAGGAAATGAGGAGCATGTTGTTGGAGGCTGGGGATGGGAGATTCTTATCATGTAGTGGCAGAAAGCTTAGTGGAATTGTGTCTAGCAGTTCTATGGAAAAACAGAACTTGTAATCAATGAATGTACATATTTAGCCAATGACATTTTTCTAGGCAAAGCCTACTTTCTTTTTGCTGCTCATAGTAAAATGCAAGAGGATAGAAATAAATTGAAGAGGCTGGGCATGGTGGCTCACACCTGTAATCCCAGCACTTTGGGAGGCAGAGGCGGGCGGATCACTTGAGGTCAGGAGTTTGAGACCAGCCTGGCCAACATGGAGAAACCCCGTCTTCACTAAAAAATGCAAAAATTAGCTGGGTGTGGTGACACACACCTGTAGTCCCAGCTACTTGGGAAGCTGAAGCAAGAGAACTGCTTGAACCCAGGAGGCAGAGGTTGCAGTGAGCCAAGAGCACGCCATTCTACTCCAGCCTGGGCAACAGAGTGAAACTCTGTCTCTCAATAAATAAATAAATAAAGGAATAAATGAAAGAAGAACTGTTAAAAGAACCAGGGATGGACACCGTGGCTCACACCTGTAATCCCAGCACTTTAGGAGGCTCAGGAGGAAGGATTGCTTGAGTTGAGGAGTTTGAGACCAGCTTGGACAACATGGTGAGACCCTGTTCCTACAAAAAATGAAAAATAAAACTAGCCAGATGTGGTGGCCATGCACCTGTAGTCCCAGCTACTTGGGAGGCTGAGGTGGGAGGATCGCTTGAGCCCAGGAGGTCAAGGCTATGGTAAGCTGTGATTGCACCACTGCACTCTAGCTTGGACAACAAAGCAAGACTCTGTCTCAAAAAAAAAAAAAAAAAAAAGGAATCAGGACTTGATAATTTGGAAAATTCTCAGCCCATCCAGGTTGCAAAAGAGGCTAAAATTCAGAAGTGCCTGCCCAAAACTAACATAGATAAAAGTCCAAGTATGGGACTACACAAACTTTTGCTGACATCTCAGAAAGATCAAAATGTCAATCATAAGCGATTAAAGGTTGTGTTAGTTTCCTAAGCCTGCTGTAGTTCAGTACCTCAAACTGGGTGGCTTAAACAACAAAAATGTATTGTCTCTGGCTGGGAACGGTAGCTCATGCTTGTAATCCCAGCACTTTGGGAGGCCGAGGTGGGCAGATCACTTGAGTTCAGAGTTCAAGGCCAGCCTGACCAACATGGTGAAACCCCGTCTCTACTAAAAATACAAAAAAATTAGCCAGGTGTGGTGGTGGATACCTATAATCCGAGCTACTTGGGAGGCTGAGGCCCGAGAATCAGTTGAACCCAGGAGGCAGATGTTATAGTGAGCCAAGATTGAGCCACTGCACTCCAGCCTGGGTGACAGAATGAGACTCTGTCTCAAAAAAAAAAAAAAAAAAAAAAAAAACTGTCTCACAATTCTAAAGGCTACAAATACAAGATCAAGGTGTCTGCAGGGTTGGTTCTTGTTGGAGTTGGACAATCTGTCCCATGCCTCTTCCCTAGATTCTGGGGTTTGGTTTGCTGGCAATCTTTAGTGTTCCTAGGCTTGTAGAAGCATCATCCTTGATCTTCACTTTCATGTGGCATTCTCCCTGTGTGCATGTCTGTGTCCAAATCTCCCCTTTTTATAAGAACACCAGTCATATTGCATTAGGGGCCCACCTGACTCCAGGTTGACCCCATCTTAACTAATTACCTCTGCAACTACCCCATTTCCAAATAAGGTTACATTCCAAGGTGGGATGTGGGTGGTTAGGACTTAAACTTAGCAATTGGAGGAGGGGGTGGGCAGGACACAATTCAACCTGTACTAAGGCTGTCTTCATAGATCTCACTTAAACCAGGGTGTCTCTAGGAAGCTTACGAGGTATTATCCCTTAGGCTTCTCAGCAGAAGCCGAATATCAAGAAGGGACTATTTTAGAAAGATCCGTGGAAGAGCATTTGTCTGATGGAGTGAATCCCTACAAAATCTATGCAAAGCCCACAAGGTTCTAGAGAAGTTTATACCAGCAGAAACACTGTGAGCTTGGACTGAGAGGGACAGAGTACAAAATAAAAGAAAGTCTAGGCCAGGCGCAGTGGCTCACGCCTGTAATCCCAGCACTTTGGGAGGCCGAGGTAGGTGGATCACCTGAGGTTGGGAGTTCGAGACCAGCCTGGCCAACACAGAGAAACCCTGTCTCTATTAAAAATACAAAATTAGGCTGAACGCGGTGGCTCACGCCTGTAATCCCAGCACTTTGGGAGGCCAAAGTGGGCGAATCACTAGGTCAGGAGTTTGAGACCAGCCTGGCCAACATGGTGAAGCCCCATCTCTACTAAAAATACAAAAATTAGCTGGACGTGGTGGCACACGTCTGTAGTCCCAGCTACTCAGGAGGCTGAGGCAGGAGAATCACTTGAACCCAGGAGGCAGAGGCTACAGTGAGCCGAGATCGTGCCACTGCATTCCAGCCTGGGTGACAGAGCAAGATTCTGTCAAAAAAAAAAAAAAAAAAAAAATTAGCCGGGCATGGTGGCATATGCCTGTAATCCCAGCTACTTGGGAGGCTGAGGCAGGAGAATCGCTTGAACCCAGGAGGCGGAGGTTGTGGTGAGCCATTGCACTCCAGCCTGGGCAACAAGAGTGAAACTCTGTCTCAAAAAAAAAAAAAAAAAAAAAAAAAAGAAAGTCTTTGAGTCCCCAAAATTTTAGTGGCAGAAAGCAGGTTGATAAAACTTAGCTGCAGGCCAGGCACAGTAGTTCACGCCTGTAATCCCAGAACGTTGGGAGGCCGAGATAGATGGATCACGAGGTCAGGAGTTCGAGACCAGCAGCCTGGCCAACATAGTGAAACGTCGTCTCTACCCAAAATACAAAAAATTAGTAAGGTATGGTGGCAGATGCCTATAGTCCCAGCTACTTGGGAGGCTGAGTTAGGAGAATTGCCTGAACCGGGAGGCAGAGGTTGCGGTGAGCCGAGATTGCGCCACTGCACTCTAGCCTGAGTGACAAGAGTGAAACTCTGTCTCAGAAAAAAAACAAAAAACAAAAAAAAACTTAGTGGCAAACATGTGCTATGTTTCATGAAAAAGTAAAGATGACTCAGGAGTTGCACCCAAGAGCACAGAGGATAGAGTCAAGGGCCATGAAGGATTATTTCCAGGCCTTGAAACCTAATGGAGTTTGCTCAACTGGATTTAAAAATTGCTTTGGACCAGTGACCTTTCCCCCTTGTTGGACCAGAATATAACTATTATCCTTTGCCTGTCCACTATTGTATGTTGGGAGTGTCGGGAGCATACAACTTGGGTTTTTTGTGTTTGTTTTTGAGACAGGGTCTCACTCTGTCACCCAAGCTGGAGTGCGGTGACGTGATCACAGCTCACCGCAGCCTCGACCTCCTGGGCTCAAGAGATCCTCCTGCCTTATTTTTTTAATAAAGAGACGAGGTCTTACTATGTTGCCCAGGCTGGTCTCGAACTCCTGGCCTCAAGTGATCCTCCCACCTTGGCCTCCCAAAGTGCTGGGATTACAGGTATGAGCCACCGTGCCCAGCCACAACTTCAGTTTTTTTTTTTTTTCCTTTCCTTCCTTCTTTCTTTTTCTCCTTCTTCTTCTTCTTCTTTTTTTTTTTTTTTAGAGGCAGGGTCTTGCTGGTTGCCCAGGCTGCTGGTCTTGAACCTCCTGGCCTCAAGTGGTCCTCTCACATCGGCCTCTCATTGTACCCAGCTTCAATTTGTTTAATTTCCTAGGTCCATAGATGGTGAGGAACTTTGTCCAGGAGCTATACTTAGTGGATCATATGCAGTGAATTCATCTGTACTTGATGTAGATGATATAATTTTGGGCTTTTGAGCTGACGATATTTAGATAACATTTGAGACTTTGAATTTATGTTGTAGTAGGATGAGACCTTTGGGATGCTTCAGAGGAGGTAAATGTATTTTGCAATGGGGGCAAGGAGGATGTGAATCTTTGGGAGCCAGAAGGCAGACTGTAGTAGGCAAAGTTCTAAAAACAACCCCGCCTTGGGCCGGGCAGTATGGCTCATCCTTGTAATCCAAGCCTTTGGGAGGCCAGGGCAGGAGGATCGCTTGAGCCCAGGAGTTTGAGACCAGCCTTGGGCAACAGAGTGAGACCTTGTCTCTATGAAAACAAAACAAAAAAAAACTAGCCAGCCATGGTGGCCCTTGTCTGTGGTCCCAGTTACTTAGGAGGCTGACGTGGGAGGTTCACTTGAGCCAGGGAGATGATGACTGCAGTGAGCTGTGATCACACCGCTGCACATCAGCCTGGGTGACAAAGTAAAACCTCCATCTCAAAAAAAAAAAAAAGAAAAAAGAAAAGAAATAAAAATAGCACCCCCCCGACAAAGATTCCATACCCTGAACCCTGGAATCTGTTAATGTGATGAGATATTACTCCTGTGATTATGCCATGTTATATGGCACAGTTGACCTGAACTCTGAGCAGAAGCCAGTCAAGCATGGGCCGGGTGCGGTGGCTCATACCTGTCTCTCAGCACTTTGGGAGGTTGAGGCGGGTGGATCACTTGAGGTCATTTCAAGACCAGCCTGGCCAACATGGTAAAACCTTGTCTCTACTAAAAATACAAAAATTAGCCGGGTGTGGTGGTGTGCACCTGTAGTTCCAGCTACTCAGGAGGCTGAGGCACAATAATCACTTGAACCCAGGAGGCGGAGCTTGCAGTGAGCTGAGATCGTACCACTGCACTCCAGCCTGGGCAACAGAGTGAGACTCCGTCTCAGAAAAACAAACAAACAAACATAAGCCAGTCAAGCATGTCCAGACTCCTGACCCACAGAATTGCATGATAACAAACAGATGTTGTTTTAAGCCACTGTTTGTGGTAATTTGTTACACAGCAATAGAAAACTAACACAGCTCCCTTGGCAGCCAATGAGGAGAAACTCAACTCCTGTAGCCAAAAGGCAGAAAGCTGAGGATCATGCCCAGGACGTAATTATAAGTAGAGCAGAACTCCATAAAAAGTTGAATTCTCAGCCGGGCTCGGTGGCTCATGCCTGTAATCCCAGCACTTTGGGAGGCCGAGGTGGGCAGATCACGAGGTCAAGAGATCGAGATCATCCTGGCCAACGTGGTGAAACCCCATCTCTACAAAAAAATACAAAAATTAGCTGGGCGTGGTGGTGCACTCCTGTAGTCCCAGCTACTTGGGAGGCTGAGGCAGGAGAATCGCTTGAACCTGGGAGGTGGAGGTTGCAGTAAGCCAAGATCACGCCACTGCACTCCAGCCTGGTGACAAAGCGAGACTCCGTCTCAAAAAAAAAAAAAAAAAAAGAAAAAAGAAAAAGAAAAGTTATTTTCTCATCCACTGCAAGCCTACTATAATGAGTTGAAGGTCCTGGTTGGGATGGGATGGGATCCTGAGATTTGGGATGGAGACATCTGGGTCCATGAAATCCCAGATCTCCCTGAATTCTCTGGGACTGCAGACATGGTCCACTCCTCTCTGTAAGAGGCTAATGTTCCCCTCTTGCTTGAATTCAGAGGCTTGTGCCTTGTAGTAATGCACACTTCTCTGGATGTATCCCCCATCTCTTTTCCTTGCCACTAGGCCAATTACTACAGTCAAGTCACAACATACCCTAGCTATGTAAGTGCTGGCCTCGCTAAAGGAAAAGGACTATGCCAGTTGTCATTTTTTTGCCACTTCACTCCAAATAAATCCTTCATTGCCTTCTCTATGAAAATGGATCGGAGCCCCTCAAATATTTCTCCTCTGCCAGTTGGCACTATGTCAAACTTTGTCATTAGAGGCTGCTGGAGAAACTTTGCAGGAGGAAAGTGTTTTCCTCCCTAGTGCAATTGTGCTGTTCTCGGCAGCCTCCTATGGCTCCTCTAGCTCCCAGCTCCTGCAGTGTGAGCAGCTTCTCCACTGCCCAGCTCTACTGCATGCAAATAGCAGCCCCCAGCAGCTAGCAGCCACCCCCAGCATTCCCCTGAGGAGTTGCTTAGGGAGCACTTCTGATAACACACCTGTGTGTGCACGACTTCCCCAGGCACCCTAGAGGTCAGATTGCCAGTGAGTTCGGCAGGCAGATGGGCTTTAGCCCCACAGTGATGTTTTTGACCTCCAAGGAGCCATGACCCTTTCCTGCCAACAAGATTGGGATCTCAGCCCTGGGATGGCCCCTTCCTTGGGTGCTCTATCTCAACATTAGGGGTAGTGACTGTTCCTTATGTCTGCTATTCCTGTGCTCTTGAAAGTTTCCTTTTTACTAGCTAATCCTTCATTACTCCAATTCCCTGGTATACTTAGTCTATGTATCCAACTTTCTCCCTGTTCAAATTACTAGGTGTTTTTTTGTCTTCTGATTGGACTGTGACTCATTCAGGCTCTGTATCCTGAAGAAGTTGCAGGACCTAGCCAACATGTACTCACAGAAGCTGGGGCAGTATTACAGGACTTGACGGGGGTGAGAAGGGCATTGCGTAAGGTTGGAGAAGTGAAAGTTTATTGATTGGAGGCCGGACGCGGTGGCTCACGCCTGTAATCCCAGCGCTTTGGGGAGGCCGAGGTGTGCGGATCACCTGAGGTCGGGAGGTCAAGACCAGCCTGACCAACATGGAGAAACCCCGACTCCACTAAAAATACAAAAATAGCCGGGCATGGTGGCGCATGCCTATAATCCCAGCTACTCGGGAGACTGAGGCAGGAGAATCACTTGAACCCGGGAGGCGGAGGTTGCAGTGAGCCGAGAGTGTGCCATTACGCTCCAGCCTGGGCAACAAAGAGCGAAACTCCATCTCAAAAAAAAAAAAAATTTTATTGATTGGAGCATCTTGGGAGCGTCCTGATAATAGACTCTAGCAAAGATCCCAGGAGATGGTACTAATATACTTCCCGGGTGGCTCTTGGAAGCCGGGAGAAAGCAATGGCCCACACTGAGTGAAGTAGAAAAACTGAAACTGCTGTGGAAAACAGAGTATTGGGCATCCTTGGCAACATGGTGAAACTCCATCTCTACTAAAACTACAAAAAATATTAGCAGGAGTGGTAGCACGCACCTGTGGGCCCAGCTACTTGGAGGCCTGAGGTGGCAGGCTCACTTGAGCCCAGAAGGCGGAGGTTGCAGTGAGCCGAGATTGCACCACTGCACTCCAGCCTAGGTGACAGAGGGAGTCTGTCACCTGCCTCAAAAATAAAAATAAAAAGAGAATTGGGCACGCCAGAGTGTATATACTGGAAAAAAAGCTGGAAAATCTACCAGCTAACTATGCTCCATGGGAGGGTCTGGCGGACATCCCTTCTATCAAATGGGTGAGAAATTTCTGGTGAAAGGGACACCATCATCACTGAGAAGTTACAGAACTAGACTCCTAAAAACAGTGAGAATGGTCATGTCCTTACCTAACAGAGGCCAGGTGGCAGCACTGAAACATCAGAAGCCAGGTGGGTTGAATTATCATAACAAATGGCCATGTCAGGGGACTGTGGGGTGGGGTGGCTCGTCTGCAGAGAGCTATGGAGGTGATTAGGGTGCAGCAGGAGTGCTGGTCTCCATTATATCTTTTTTTTTTTTTTTTTTTTTTGAGACAGAGTTTCGCTCTGTCGCCCAGGCTGGAGTGCAGTGGCACAATCTTGGCTCACTGCAACCTCCACCTCCCCATTTCAAGTGATTCTCCTCCCTCAGCCTTCTGAGTAGCTAGGATTACAGGCGCCCACCACCATGCCTGGCTAATTTTTTGTATTTTTAGTAGAGATGGAGTTTCACCATGTTGGCCAGGCTGGTCACGAACTCCTGACCTCAAGTGACCCACCCACCTCAGACCTCAGTCTCCCAAAGTGCTGGGATTATAGACATGAGCTACCACGCCTAGCCCTTTTTTTTTTTTCCTTTGAGATGGAGTCTTGGTCTGTCACCCAGGCTGGGAGTGCAGTGGCATGATCTTGGCCCACAGCAGCCTCTGCCTCCCGGATTCAAGCGATTCTTGTGCCTCAGCCTCCTGAGTAGCTGGGATTACAGGCGCACGCCACCACGGACAGCTAATTTTTGTATTTTTAGTAGAGATGGGGGTCTCACCATGTTGGCCAGGTTGGTCTCGAGCTCCTGACCTCAGGTAATCCGCCCGCCTCGGCCTCCCAAAGTGGTGGGATTACAAGCGTGAGCCACTGCACCTGGCCTCCCATGATATCTTTCTTAAATTCACCAGACAGATCCTAAAGGACTAAAATGGACTACTGCAAACTCAGCAAGAGGTAAGCCTCACTTGAAACTGCTGTGCCAGAGGTGGATAGCCGCTAACGCTGATCAACACAGCCTCAACTACATGGTTTATGCCCATTGCTCTAATAATGCTTTATTTTTCATCTCTATCAAGAGGAGGATCAGAAAAATTTCCATTCACTTTAGATGGCTAAAAGTTACGTTTATAGGGCTGGGCGTGGTGGCTCATGCCTCTAATCCTAGCACTTTGGGAGGCCGAGGCAGGCGGATCCCGAGGTCAAGAGATTGAGACCATCCTTGGCTAACATGGTGAAACTCTGTTCTACTAAAAATAAAAAAAAGCCAGGAGTGGTGGTGTGTGCCTGTATTCCCAGCTACTCAGGAGGCTGAGGCAGGAGAATCGCTTGAACCCAGGAGGCAGAGGTTGCAGTGAGCTGAGATGGTGCCACTGCACTCCAGCCTGGTGACAGAGCGAGACTCCATCTCAAAAAATTTTTTAAAAAAATTTGCGTTTATGGTCTTATTCCATCCCCCACCCCACCACACACACACCCTGCCTATGTGATCTCTCTCACCCTCTCATATAATGTAGTCCAAGTGGACCTTACTGGACATCCTGAAGAACAGCATTTTGATCCACAACACTGATGTTAATCAGACTGGATGGGAAAGAAGTGGCAGTTGCAGTTGGAGTATGTTGGAGTTTTTGCTAAGAAACATGTACTCCAGGCCCAGCGCAGTGGCTCACGCCTGTAATCCTAACAGTTTGGGAGGCCAAGGCGGGTGGACCGCCTGAGGTCAGGAGTTCGAGACTAGCCTGACCAACATGGTGAAACCCCATCTCTACTAAAAATACAAAAAAAAAAAAATTAGCCGGGCATGTGCACCAGTGTTCATGTAGCCAGAACTGCCCATCATAACTCGATCCTGTCAGACCCACCCATTCATCCAGTTAGGTAGACCCAAGAGCACTCATGGATGCAAAGAGTATCCAGGATTGAACTTGAGCAAGAACAGAGAACACAAGTAGGAGGTGCGAGTAAGCTGCATGAGCATGTGGCCCAGCCCCGCACTATTGTCATCCACCACAGCTGCACGCAGACCCCCATGTTGTCCACCACTGTTGCACTGCTACCTCTCCTTTAGCTTGCATGTACGGTGGCCACATGGGGAAGTGGGAATCCTTTATGATTAACTAAGGAAAAGGAATAAAAGCAGAGCTTGGCTCACAGATGGATTGGCTCAGTGGATGCAAGCTGGGAATGGGCTCCCGCTGCACTACAGTCCTACTCTGGATTGTCCTGAAGACGGCAGTGAGGGAAAATCCTCTCAGTGGGCAGAGCTTTGGCAGCACACCTGGACATCCACTATATATGGAAAGAGAAGGAGCCCAAGGTAAGAATATACCGGAGTCATGTGCAATGGCAAATGGCTTGACTGGTTTGCTAGGGGTTTGAGAGAGAAAGATGGGAAGATCAGAGACAAAGAGACATAGTAAAGGGACATGTGGCTAGGCACGGTGGCTCACGTCTGTAATCCCAGCACTTTAGGAGACGGAGGCGGGCAGATCACGAGGGCAGGAGTTCGAGACCAGCCTAGCCAACATGATGAAACCCCGTCTCTACTAAAAATACAAAAAACTTAGACAGGTGTGGTGGCACATACCTGTAATCCCAGCTACTTGGGAGGATGAGGCAGGAGAATTGCTTGAACCCAGGAGGCGGAGGTTGCAGTGAGGCAAGATCACACCATTGCACTCCAGCCTGGGTGACAGAGAAAAAAAAAAAAGACATATGGATGGACCTGTGGGAGCGGGCATGGGCGTAAAGTACAAAGATCTTTGCACTGATACCCATCAGAGAGCATCCGCCATGGAAGATGTACTATACAACTAAGTAGACAGAATAACTAGGCCAGCTGACATGAGCCAGTCTCTGTCATTGGTCAACTTAGTGCTTCCCCAGTTGGTGCATGAATGAAGATCCATGGTGGTAGAGAATGAAAGCTATAACTGGGCCCCAGAGCATGGGGTCCCACTCACCAAGACTCATTTTAATACTGCCAACCAACCTGCCAGTAACAGACCAATGCCACACCCCATACGGCACCATTCTTCCTCAGAGATCAACTAGACACATGATGACAAGTTGATTACATTGGATCCCTTCCACTCTGGATGAGGCAACAATCCATCTTGACTGGAATTGACATTAATTCTGGGTATGAATTTGTCTTTCCAGCCACAGGACCTGTGATGGTTAGCTTTTTATTTCAACTTGCCTAGGTTATGTAGTATCCTTGTTCAGTCAGATGCTAATCTAGGAGGCACTGCAATGGTATTTTGTAGATGTCAGTTGACTTTAAGTAAAACAGATTATCTTTGATAATTTCTGTGGGCCTTATCCATCAAGTTGAAAGGCCTTAAGATCAACTACCGCCGGGCGCAGTGGCTCACGCCTGTAATCCCAGCACTTTGGGAGGTCGAGGCGGTCGGATCATGAGGTCAGGAGTTCCAGGCCAGCCTGACCAATGTGGTGAAACCCCGTCTCTACTAAAAATACAAAAATTAGCTAGGTGTGGTGGCGTGTGCCTGTAATCCCAGCTACTCAGGAGACTGAAGCAGGAGAATTGCTTGAACCAGGGAGGTGGAGGTTGCAGTGAGCCAAGATCAGACCACTGCACTCCAGCCTGGGTGACAGAGCGAGACCCCATCTCCAAAAAAAAAAAAAAAAAAAAAAAAAAGGCCGGGCGTGGTGGCTCACGCCTGTAATCCCAGCACTTTGGGAGGCCGAGGCAGGCAAATCACGAGGTCAGGAGATCGAGACCAGCCTGGCTAACACGGTGAAACCTCGTCTCTACTAAAAATACAAAAAAATAGTCTGGCGTGGTGGTGGGCGCCTGTAGTCCCAGCTACTCGGGAGGCTGAGGCAGGAGAATGGCGGCTCATGCCTATAATTCCAGCTACTCAGGAGACGGAGGCAGGAGAATCGCTTGAACCCAGGAGGCAGAGGTTGCAGTGAGCCGAGATAGCGCCACAGCACTCCAGCCTGGGCAACAGAGGGAGACTCCGTCTCAGAAACAAAAAAAAAAAGATCAACTCCCGGACGGGCACGGTGGCTCATGCCTGTAATTCCACCACTTTGGGAGGCCGAGGAGGGTGCATCACCTGAGGTCAGGAGTTTGAGACCAGCCTGGCCAACATGGTGAAAACCTGTCTCTACTAAAAATACAAAAATTAGGCCAGGCGCGGTTTCTCACGCCTGTAATCCCAGCATTTTGGGAGGTCGAGGCAAGCGGATCAACTGAGACTGGGAATTTGAGACCAGCCTGACCAACATGGTGAAACCCTGTCTCTACTAAAAATACACAATCAGTGGCCTGGCGGCACATGCCTGTAATCCCAGCTACTGGGGAGGCTGAGGCAGGAGAATCGCTTGAACCCAGGAGGCAGAGGTTGCAATGAGCCGAGATCACGCCACTGCACTCCAGCCTGGGTGACAGAGAAAGACCCCGTCTCAAAAAAAAAAATCAACTCTCAACTCCTAAGGTTCCCTTGAGGAAGAAGAAATTCTCCTTGGGCACTGCAGCATCAGCTCCTACCTGAGAGCTCCAGGCTGTCTTAGGGATTTTGAATTTGCCTATCCAGCCCCCACAACTGTGTAAATCAGTTCCTTGTGGTCTCTCTCTCTCCATTTTTTTTTTTTTTTTTGAGGCAGAGTCTCGCTCTGTCACCCAGCCTGGAGTGCAGTGGCGTAATCTTGGCTCACTGCAACCTCCGCCTCCTGGGTTCAAGAGATTCTTCTCCCGAGTAGCTGGGATTATAGGTGCGCGCCACAACACCCGGCTAATTTTTTGTATTTTTAGTAGAGACAGGGTTTCACCCTGTTAGCCAGGACTGTGTCAATCTCCTGACCTCGTGATCCGCCTACCTCTGCCTCCCAAAGGCTGGGATTACAGGCTTGAGCCACCGAGCCCGGCCAAATCTTTCTCTTTACACACACACACACACACACACACACACACCCCTACTGGTTCTGTTTCTCTGGGAGAGCCCTGACTGATACAGGACCTGTACCAGCATCACTGTGGTTTGAATGTATGTGTCCCTCCAAAATTCATGTTGTAACTTAAACCCCAAGGTGATGGTACTAAGAGGCGGGGACTTTGTGGACATGAAAGTCAAGAGGGTTCCACCACCCTCACAAATGGATTAGTGCTCTTTATTTATTCTTTATTTATTTATTTTATTTACTATTTTTTTTTTTTGAGACATAGCTTCTCTCTTGTTACCCAGGCTGGAGTGCAATGGCGCGATCTGGGCTCACCGCAACCTCCGCCTCCCAGTTCAAGCGATTCTTCTGCCTCAGCCTCCCAAGTAGCTGGGATTACAGGCATACGCCACCACCCTGGCTAATTTTGTATTTTTAGTAGAGACGGGATTTCTCCATGTTGGTCAGGCTGGTCTTGAACTCCCAACCTCAGGTGATCTGCCTGCCTCAGCCTCCCAAATTGCTGGCATGAGCCACCGTGCCCGGCTGTTTATTTATTTATTTTGAGATGGAATTTCGCTCTGTTGCCCAGACTGGAGTCTAGTGGTGTGATCTCAGTTCACTGCAACCTCAGCCTCCCAGGTTCAAGTGATTCTCCTGCCTCAGCCTCCTGAGTAGCTAAGACTACAGGTGCCCGCCACCATGCCAGGCTAATTTTTGTATTTTTAGTAAAGACAGAGTTTTGTCATATTGGCCAGGCTGGTCTCAAACACCTGACCTCAGGTGATCTGCCCAGCTCGGACTCCTAAAGTGCTGGGATTATAGGCGTGAGTCGCCACACCCAGCCAGGATTAGCGCTTTTTTATTTTTATTTTTATTTTTGAGACAGAGTCTCGCTCTGTCGCCCAGGCTGGAGTGCAGTGGCATGATCTTGCTCACTGCTCTGCCTCCCGGGTTCGTGCCATTCTCCTGCCTCAGCCTCCCAAGTAGCTGGGACTACAGGCTCCTGCCACCACGCCTGGCTGATTTTTTATATTTTTTTTAAGTAGAGACGGGCTTTCGCCATGTTAGCCAGGATGATCTCGATCTCCTGACCTCATGATCCGCCCACCTCAGCCTCCCAAAATGCTGGGATTACAGGCGTGAGCCACCATGCCCGGCCAATTAGTGCCTTTTTAAAAGAGGCTGGGCCGGGTATGGTGGCTCACGCCTGTAGTCCCAGCACTTTGGGAGGCCAAGGCGGGTGGATCACGAGGTCAGGGGATGGAGACCATCCTGGCTAACATGGTGAAACCCTGTCTCTACTAAAAATATTTTTAAAAAATTAGCCAGGCATGGTGGCGGGTACCTGTAGTCCCTGCTACTGGGGAGGTTGAGGCAGGAGAATGGCGTGAACCCAGGAGGCGGAGCTTGCAGTGAGCCGAGATCGCGCCACTGCACTTCAGCCTGGGAGACAGAGCGAGACTCTGTCTCAAAATAAATAAATAAATAAATAAAAGAGGCCGAAGGAATCTCCCTCATGCCTCTTCCCTCCCATGCCTTACCCCCTGGGAAGACACAACATTCATACACTCCAAAGGATGCAGCAACAGGAGCCATCTTAGAAGCAGAGACAGTCCTTGCCAGCCACCACATCTGCTGACACCTTGATCTTGGACTTCCCAGCCTCCAAAACTGTGAAAAATAAATTTCTGCTGGGCATGGTGGCTCACACTGGTAATCCCAGCACTTTGGAAGGCCAAGATGGGCAGATCACAAGGTCAGGAGTTTGAGACCAGCCTAACAACATGGTGAAACCCCGTTGCTACTAAAAATACAAAAATTAGCCTGGCGTGGTGGCACACGCCTGTAGTCCCAGCTACTCGGGAGGCGGAGGCAGGGGAATCGCTTGAACCCAGGAGGCAGAGGTTGCAGTGAGCCGAGATAGCGCCACAGCACTCCAGCCTGGCGACAGAGCAAGACTCTGTCTCAAAAAAAAAAAAAAAAAGAAAGAAAGAAAAGAAAAGAAAAAGAAAGAAAGAAATTTCTGGGGTTTTTTTGTTTGTTTGTTTGTTTTTGAGACGGAGTCTCGCTCTGTCACCCAGGCTGGAGTGCTGTGGTGCGATCTCGGCTCACTGCAACCTCTGCCTCCCGGGTTCAAGAGATTCCCCAGCCTCAGCCTCTTGAGTAGCTGGGACTACAGGCACGCGCCACCACATCTGGCTAATTTTTTTTTTTTTTTTGTATTTTAGTAAAGACGAGGTTTCACCATGTTGGCCAGGATGGTCTCAATCTCCTGACCTCATGATCTGTCTTCCTCGGCTTCCCCAAAGTGCCAAGGATTACAGGCGTGAGCCACCGCACTTGGCCTTGAATTTCTGTTTTTTATAAATTACTCATTCTTAGGCATTTTGTTGTAACATCTTGAACTGACTGAGACACTATCTGAGGGCTAAACAAAGAAGGACGGGCCACAGGCACTGAACCTCCCATGCCCAAATCACCTGTTTCCAGGAACTGACTTCAGCACTGAGTGCCTATCGTGGGGTATTTGTTAGTCTAGACTTGACTGGAGAAGAAAACTGCATTTGGGGCCAGAACGCCCTGGGCTGGTAATCCATTCTGCCCGCTGACACCCAGTAAGTGTTAACAAGCACAAATGGTGGTAAATCACATTTTGTGATGCTGTCCATTGATGGCAGGATGGTAACCACAGAATGTGGCCGGCCTGGGTGGTGGGCACAGATTAATCCAAAGAAGACTTTTGCTGAGAAGTGACACCTTGAGTAAATGGACAGATGTTGATGTTTGGGGTGGGGGTCAGGGGGTCCCTGTAAGATGAGTACAGACGCCCAGCCTCCCACATGTGTGAAGTGACCAGGTCACGTTCTGAAAGGGGTCAGAAGCTGAGGAATGATAGATGGACCAGAGTAATGAGGGATGCTCCCCTGGAGTCAGAAATGTGGAACTGAAAAATAAGGACAGTTGTGGAAATTACTTTTCTTGCTTTCCGGTTGTGACTTTGTGGAAATCAGTTTAGGAAGCCACTGAGTTGCTTTGACTGATGCACTGATCTCACAGCTGGGGTTTTTCTTTGCCTCATGCTGGGCCCAGGTGAGAGTATATTCATTAGTGTAGGCCAGCCCGATGGTGGATTAAGTCCTTGGGAGAATGCCAGCCCAATGCAGACCTGGGCAGGTGGAACTTTTTTTTTTGAGATGGAGTGTTGCTCTTGTTGCCGATTGGAGTGCCCGGGTGCAATCTCAGCTCACCACAAACTCCACCTTCCAGGTTCAAGCGATTCTCCTGCCTAGGCCTCCCGAGTAGCTGGGATTACAGGCATGTGCCACCATGCCCGGCTAATTTTGTATTTTTAGTAAAGATGGGGTTTCTCCATGTTGGTCAGGCTGGTCTCGAACTCCCGACCTCAGGTGATCTGCTTGCCTCGGCCTCCCAAAGTGCTGGGATTACAGGCATGAGCCACCGTGCCCTGCCAAGTGGAACTTTTATAGAACAGGAATGTCGGTAGGCCGTGGTGAGCGCTGGTGGCTTGGGTTAGCAAATAACGTCCCAGACAATCCTAGACCACAAAACAGTGTTCACCCTGGAAAACTACAAAATTAGAGCTTCCAACCTCAGCTAGTGACAAATTAAGACTCCCTTATTTACCTTTCTCACCCTCAAGAGGCCACATCTTTCTGCCCAGGTGGCTTCCGCAAGGAGCATGAATAGAATTATGTATTGAGAGATGATGTGACATGTTTGGGTTGAGTCTATTAAGAACCACACCCAGTGTCTTGAGTGAAAGAACAAGGGCCTTTTCAAAGGAATTGGTTTTTTCCACCTTTTTGTGATCCAAGTTTCCAGACCCTAGGGAAGGGTGAAGGGGAGAAGTGGGGACTTCAGCTCAGGAGACCAATTGCAGAGAGTCTGAAAGCTCCACAAAACTCAGGTACGCACTCTAGTGACAGGAGCTACCCCATCAGTTGAAGCACCGGTGGTGGGATGGCAGGAGAGCAGGGGACAGCAGGGGAGAGTCGGGGGAGAGCAGGGGAGAGTAGGCTTCAAGCCCAGGACCTGGCAGAACTGTCTGCAGCACCTTCTGCCTTCTCTGCATTCCCCCAGACCAGCCCTTTCATTACCAGATGGTCCCTCTGCCTGCCCTAAGCCCATGGCTCCCTGACCTCCCTCTACATGTGCTCAGCTGTACCTGGGCCTCAGGTGCAGGCTTCTCCTCCCCTGTCCTGGCCTTGCTCCTCACTTCTGTGCTCTAAACTGATGTGTAGGACAATTACCTGGGGACACCGTTTCCCATTGTTTTTAAAATTAGGCAGCAGGCCTTAGGAGAGAACCCTGAGTCAAAATTTTGTGCTACACATACACTGGAGTCTTCCCCCTCCTCATTTATAGCTGAAGAAACTGACTCCAGGAGAGCAACGGCCACCCAAGGCCACACTGAAAATTCTTGGTAGAGCCGAGGTGACATACCTGAGCAAGTCAGCCCAGGCCCTCACCAGAGCACCCCTTCCTCATCCTTCCTCTTGCATATTGGTATTTATCTTACTCCACGGAGTCTCGCTGTGTTGCCCAGGCTGGAGTGCAGTGGCGTGATCTCGGCTCACTGCAACCTCTGCCTCCCTGGTTCAAATGATTCTCGTGCCTCAGCCTCCCAAGTAACTGGGATTACAGGCATGCGCCACCACCCCCAGCTAACTTTGTATTTTCAGTAGAGACGGGGTTTCTCCATGTTGGTCAGGCTGGTCTTGAACTCCCAACCTCAGGTGATCTGCCCATCTCGACTTCCCAAAGTGCTGGGATTATAGGCATGAGCCACCGCGCCCGGCCCAGAAATTCTTATTTCTTCACACGTTAAAGGAGATATGCCATCAATATAGAGACTGATCCAGAAGACAGCAACAGATTCCAAATTGTTCTTTTTTTTTTTTTTTTTTCCTTGAGATAGAGCCTTTCTCTGTCGCCCAGACTGGAGTGCAGTGGCGCAATGTCAGCTCACTTCAACCTCTGCTTCCCGGGTTCAAGCCATTCTCCTGCCTCAGCCTCCCAAGTAGCTGGGATTACAGGCACATGCACAGCTAATTTTTTTTTCTTTTCTTTTTTTTTTTTTTTTTTTTTTTTTTAGTAAGAGACGGGGTTTTGCCATGTTGGCCAGGCTGTTCTCCAACTCCTGACCTCAGGTGATCCGCCCGCCTCGGCCTCCTGAAGTGCTGGGATTACAGGCGTGAGCCACCGTGCCTGGCCCCACATTCATTTTTGTGGGATATTTGTTCTTTAATTGCATGTTGAATGTAGCAAGTTTCCATCCTAAGTTGGGTTTGTCTTGTGCTGAGACACTGGCTTCCTCTGAGCACCCCATGCCAGATGGCAGAGACCAGGAAGTCTGGGAAGCAGTTTCTTCACTAGTGGGTAGGCCACACACACATAATCAAGAAGCAAATGTTCAGACTCATCAGGCTAAATACTTATGGTGCCTACAAACAGAGTGAGAAGTGGAAAGTACCTCTCCTCTCCTTGCCCAGATAAATGGAACAACTAGACCAATTAGACCCTGGTTTCCCTCCAGGCTATGCCAAGATTTGAAGGATTCACATCTTCACTGCTGCTGTCTAGCACGGTGTATCTGCCTGAGAGGTTGTCTCTCATTTCCTCCCTCTACTGCCCAGGCAGGTCTGGTCCTGCTGATGGATGCTCCGTCAAGTCTGAACATAATAATGGCCCTTCCTAGACTGCTGCATAGGGACACAACTCCCAGCCCACTACCTTCAGGCAGCTGGAAAATCAGGTCTTCAGCTTCCCCAGCAAGTCATCTCAAGGTGATAGAAATAGGGGCCATGTATTGGCTGGGCATGGTGGCTTATGCCTGTAATCCCAGCACTTTGGAAGGCTGAGGTGGGTGGATCATCTGAGGTCTGAGGTCAGGAATTCGAGACCAGACTGGCCAACATGATGAAACCCTGTCTCTACTAAAAATACAAAAATTAGCCGGGCATGGTGACATGTGCCCATAGTCCCAGCTACTTAGGAGGCTGAGGCAGGAGGATCACTTGAAACTGGGAGGCGGTTGGAGTGAGCCGAGATCACGCCACTGCACTCCAGCCTGGGCGACAGAGCAAGACTCCATCTCCAAAAACAAAAAAGAAATAGGGGGCTGGGCACAGTGGCTCACACCTGTAATCCCAGCACTTCGGGAGGCCGAAGCGGGCAGATCACCTGAGGTCAGGAGTTCAAAACCAGCCTGGCCAACATGGTGAAACCCCATCTCTACTAAAAATACAAAAATTAGCCAGGTGTGGTGGCAGATGCCTGTAATCCCAGTTACTTGGGAGGCTGAGACAGGAGAATTGCTTGAACCCGGGAGGCGGAGGTTGCAGGGAGCCAAGATCACGCCATTGCACTCCAGCCTGGGTGACAAAAGTGAAACTCCGTCTCAAAAAAAAAAAAAGAAAGAAAGAAAGAGCCAGGCACAGTGGCTCACACCTGTAACCCCAAATCCCAGCACTTTGGGAGGCCGAGATGGGCAGATCACGAGATCAGGAGATAGAGACCATCCTGGCTAACACGGTGAAACCCCGTCTCTACTAAAAATACAAAAAATTAGCCGGGCGTGGTGGCAGCATCTGTAGTCCCAGCTACTTGGGAGGCTGAGGCAGGAGAATGGCGTGAACCCCGGAGGTGGAGCTTGCAGTGAGCCGAGATGGCGCGGCGCCACTGCACTCCAGCCTGGGCGACAGAGCGAGACTCCGTGAAAAAAAAGAAAGAAAGGAAAGAAAGAAAGAAAGAGAAAAAGAGAGAGAGAGAAAGACGAAAGAAAAAGAAAGAAAGGAAGGAAGGAAGGAAGGAAGGAAGGAAAGAAAGAAAGAAAGAAGAAAGAAAGAGAAAGAAAGAAAGAAAGAAGAAGGAAAGAAAGAAAGAAAAAAGAAAGAAAGAGAAAGAAAGAAAGAAAGAGAAAAGAAAGAAGGAAAGAAGGAAGGAAGGAAGGAAGGAAGGAAATAAATAGCGGCCATGTATGGGGAGAGCACTGCCTAGAAAACTGGGTTCTTGTCCTAACTCAACCTTTATCCCAACCCACCTTTCTAGGCCAACCATGCAGCATCCCTTCAAAACCCAGCTCACACATCACCTCTGTGTATTCAATTCTTCCCCAGGCAGAGATGGCCCCTCCTCTTCTCCCTGTCACTCCTGCACTCTGCACAAAACTGACATTATAGTACTTACTTATCCCATTGTATATAACTAGTGGCAGACTTGTTTGTCTCCTAGACCTGTGAGCTTCTCAAGGGAAGAAAATTGTCTTGGCCATCTCATTTTTCTATTTATGGCGCATGGCAGGTATTCAATATATAAACAAATAATTATGGAATCTCTCCAAAACAAGAGGGTGGGGCAGGGTGATTTTTTTTTTCTTTCCTTTTTTTTTTTTTTTTCTTTGAGATAGAGTTTCACTCTGGTTGCCCAGGCTACAGTGCAATGGCACGGTCTCAGCTCACTGCAACCTCCGCCTCCCGGGTTCAAGCGATTCTCTTTCCTCAGCCTCCCGAGTAGCTGGGATTACAGGCGCCTGTGACCACACCCAGCTAATTTTTGTATTTTAGCAGAGACGGGATTTCACCATGTTGGCCAGGCTGGTTGCAAACTCCTGACCTGAGGTAATCCACCCATCTCGGCCTCCCAAAGTGCTGGGATTACAGGCATGAGCCATGGCGCCTGGACTTTTTTTGTTTTTTGAGACAGTTTCTCTCTTGTTGCCCAGGCTGGAGTACAATGGCACAATCTCGGCTCACCGCAACCTCCGCCTCCTGGGTTCAAGCGATTCTCCTGCCTCAGCCTCCCAAGTAGCTGGGATTGCAAGCATGTGCCACCACGCCCAGCTAATTTTGTATTTTTAGTAGAGACAGGGTTTCTCCATGTTGGTCAGGCTGGTCTCGAACTCCTCACCTCAGGCGATTCACCCACTTTGGCCTCCCAAAGTGCAGCGATTACAGGTGTAAGCCACTGCGCCCGGTGGGGCTGGGTGATCTTAAAGGTCGCCTTCCTCACCTAAGAGTCTATGATGACCCCAATCTCATTTCCAGTATTGATGACCCAAATCTCACTTTCAGTCACAGAGAAATGAAAGACCCAAGATTCCCAAACCCTCATATCAAGTGTGTTTGATCCACATGTCCCAACCTAGTTTGGCTCTGGGACATAAAGAAATTATGTCTATACATTTTGTACACGGGTATGTGAGTGTCCAGTAGAAAGGATGGGGCGGGGGGTTAGAGGTGCCTCTCTTCCTTCTATGAGCATGTATCAGTCATCTAAAAGCATTTTGGGGTCTGTCATGACAGTGTCCCTATAAGTTGGTGTTTCTCTGATAGGTAAGATGATGGAGGGATTCTCCAAAGGAATGGGGATGGAGGCAAAACATATCTTGAGGGGGTGAGTGATTTGCTAAACCACGCATACGTTGAGGAGTGATGGAGGTTCTCAGCTAGTATTCTCAAATCCCCCCCTTAGTCATTCTGACCCAAGAAGGTCTTGACTAGGCTAAGGTTTACAATCTGCCACAATGGGGGCAACTGGTCATTTCCTCTCTCTTTTATTTGAGGGCAGAGCAGGAATCTAGGAAGAGCTAGTTTTGAGGGACTTTCAAGTAAAGGATCCTCCTTGATGTGGTTTGAAACATTGCCACTGTGTGTTTGGATAATGGCTAAATTAGCCCTCCATAAAGACTGGGAATGAAGAGATGTCTAAATATAACTTGAGGGACACAGACTGAGAAAAGCCTGTGGGTAGAGTGGAAGAACCCAGCCCAAGGTATAAGACAGTAGAAAATCAAATCAAACGCTCTTCGCCACTTTCCAGCTTAGGGTACTTTTTTTTTTTTTTTTTTTTTTTTTGAGACAGAGTCTTGCTCTGTCGCCCAAGCTGGAGTGCAGTGGCGTGACCTCAGCTCACTGCAACCTCCACTGCCCAGGTTCAAGCAATTCTCCTGCCTCAGCCTCCTGAGTAGCTGGGATTACAGGCGCCTGCCATCACACCTGGCTGATTTTTGTGTTTTCAATAGAGACGGGGTTTCACTATGTTGGCCAGGCTTGTCTTGAATCCCTAACCTCAAGTGATCCACCTGCCTTGGCCTCCCAAAGTGCTGGGATTACAGGCGTGAGCCACAGTGGCCGGCCCCAGCTTGGGGTGTTTTTTAAAGACAGAGAAAAAACACAGCAGTAGGTTGGGGTTTATTATTCTCATTGGCTGCGGTAGATGAGGTATTTTTAGGCCTTACCTAATTCATCTGTAAAAAATAAGTTAATGTTTTTTGAATGCCTGCTACTGGGGCCGAGGGTTAGACGTAGCTCATCTCAGTGTCCTCTACCACCTTACAGGGAGAGAATACCGTTTGCAAATAGGGGCCCAAAAAGATCACTGTGCTGGCCCAAAGTCACACAGCTGATAAGTGGCAGGGCAGAGGCCTCATTGTGCCTCCCAGTACAAAGATAGCAGTCTCTTCCTGCATTACAGAATTGTGAGAATGAGAAGATAATGAACCAGAAAGCACATCTTAAGACACAAAGTGCTCCACGAATGTAAAAAATGATCCTGGCCAGGCGTGGTGGCTCACGCCTGTAATCCCAGCACTTTGGGAGGCCAAGGCAGGCGGATCACGAGGTCAGGAGATCGAAACCAGCCTGGCTAACACAGTGAAACCCCATCTCTACTAAAAAAATACAAAAAACTAGCCGGGCATGGTGGCGGGCGCCTGTAGTCCCAGCTACTCGGGAGGCTGAGGCAGGAGAATGGCGTGAACCCAGAAGGCGGAGATTGCAGTGAGCCGAGATTGGTGACTCCATCTTGAATAGGGGCTGGGTAGAATGAGGCTGAGACCTACTGGGCTGCATTCCCAGATGGCTAAGGCATTCTAAGATTCTAAGTCACAGGATGAGATAGGAGGTTGGCACAAGATGTGGGTCACAAAGACCTTGCTGGCTGGGCACGTTGGTTCATGCCTGTAATCCCAGCACTTTGGGAGGCCAAGGCAGGCAGATTACCTGAGGTCAGGAGTTTGAGACCAGCTTGGCCAACATGGTGAAACCCTGTCTCTACTGAAAATACAAAAAGTAGCCAGGCGTGGTGGCAGACACCTGTAATCCCAGCTACTTGGGAGGCAGGAGAATCACTTGAACCCAGTAGGCAGAGGTTGCAGTGAGCCGAGATGGCACCACTGCACTCCAGCCTGGGTGACAGAGCGGGACTCCATCTCAAAAAAAAAAAAAGACCTTGCTGATAAAACAGGTTGCGGTAAAGAAGCCGGCCAAAACCCACCAAAACCAAGATGGCCACGAGAGTGACCTCTGGTGGTCCTCACTGCTATACTCCCACCAGCGCCATGACAGTTTACAAATACCATGGCAACGTCAGGAAGTTACCCTCTATGGTCTAAAAAGGGGAGGCACGAATAATCTACCCCTTGTTTAGCACAGCATCAAGAAATAACCATAAAAATGGGTAACCAGCAGTGCTCGGGGCTGCTCTGTCTATAGAGTAGCCATTCTTTTATTTCTTTATTTTCCTAATAAATTTGCTTTCACTTTACAGTCTCGCCCCGAATTCCTTCTTACACGAGATCCAAGAATACTCTCTTGAGGTTTGGATCAAGACCCCTTTCTGGTAACAGTTTGACCCAGGAGCATGGAGCCACCTGAAGGACCCTTGGAAATGTAGTCCTGATGGGTGACCCACAGGACTGAGTCTCACTGGAGAAAACAAATCTGTGTAGAGACCACAAGAGCCACCCAAGCGCCTGCAGTAAAGCAATTTTAGAAACATAGAGAAGGGCCCAAGAGAAGTGGGATCAAACCAGGTCTCTGGGCATTTCTGCCCCTTCCAGATGCCATAGAAAAAAATGCCATTGTCTGTATGTGTGTGGGGAGTGTGGGTGGAGTGAAGTCTGGAGCTGCCAGGCGGCCAATGTCTGGCAAGGTTGTACAGGTGATTTGTGGAGCCAATGGGTGGGAGCCCCACACTCTGGGCCCGTGGAGAGCAGCTTTTATTAGAAACCTTCCATTTTTCTGGCATTTCCCTAATGTAGCCAAGCCACTCTTGGCGCGCGCGCACACACACACACACACACACACGCACACTTCTAGATGTCCTTAGCCCCAGAGTGGATTTGATTTGAGGTAGGATAGTAGAGTGTTGGAGAAAGGGCACAGGGCTAGGAGACACAAACGTGGCTCGAATAAGTCAGCCCCCGTCTCTGGGCCTCGGTTTCCTCATCAGCAAAGCACACAGGGTGACTCATGAGCTCTTAGACCCGGCTGAGCCACAGGATGTCAGATCCTATGATTCTCCGATTGGCTCTTAAGGGGCAAGGGAACTGTCAGCCCTGGACGGAGGAGTCGCTCTCAGACGCCAGCTAAGGCAGCTGAGGGGACGCCCGGCTGAAGCTGTCGGAGCCCCATCCCCTTCTGGGGCCCCCAGGTTGCCTACTCTCAAGTGCCCGCGCCCCAGTGAGCGAGTGTCGGGAGCCGACGCAGAAGGCTCCCTCCTACAGCGAGCGGCGGGCAGGGGCCGGCGGGGCACAGTGCTCCGGGCGCCCGGGGACGGGACGTGGCGCCTAACGAGGCGTGGCCGGGGTTGGGCTGGGGCTGCCGCCGGTCGCCGGTTCCCCGCCGTGGGGCGACTCGTCCTTCCTGAACGTGCCACGCTCCGCGGTCGCTCGGCCACAAACAAGGAAGCTTGGGGGACGCCCGGCGGGCGCCGAGGCCCGTGCGAGGCCGGGGCTCCGCGGGGAGGGCGGCCGGGGCAGCCGCGTGGGCCGGGAGGGGACGCGAGGGCGGCATTGCTCTGCTCGCTCAGCGGCCCGGCCCCCGCCCCCGACGTCTGAATAGCTGCTGTGTCGCGGCGGATCCGATTGTTTCACTCTGAGACTGGCTGGCTCTGTGGAATTTCCAGACGCCCCTGTGGGACAGGTCCCGGGGGCGGGGGAGGAATCTGTTTTCAGGAAAAGCCAGGCACCAATCCTCGTTGCCTCTCCTCGTTTGATCCTCTTAGGCCGTCCTGGCCTGCGGGTTTGGCAGGGACAATGCCCCATCTTACAGATAGCGAAACTGAGGGGAGATACGTCCAGCAGAAAGGAGAGGAGAATTCCCATCTGCCCGCAGTCCCGGCCTGGAAAGCCCTCCGTTGCTGGGCTCAGAATGTGACGGGACCGTCGCCCTCTTTCTCTGGCTGCAGCTTCTGCTAAGGGGATGGCAGATGTCAAGGATCTCCAGACCACGGGGGAGGGAGACCCTGGATCCTGTTCTGGGCTCCCCTGGCTTCCTTTTGCGAGGTGACTCCACCCTCCCCTTCCTGCCTTTTTCCCCTACCCCTCAGTGCACAGGCCTGGGTGAAAAAAAAAAAAAAAAAAAAAAAACATAAAAAACACAAAAAACCGAGGGCTGTAGTCCTGGCAGGGCCACAGCTTCCAGTGAGAGCTCCATTTCCTCGCTGCACCCCATCAGGACTGGAGGCTAAGGACCAGCACTCCTGTTTTCTCATTAATAAAGCTAACTAAGGCCGGACGCAGTGGCTCACGCCTATAATCCCAGCAGTTTGGGAAACTGAGGTGGGTGATCACCTGAGGTCAGGAGTTCAAGACCAGCCTGGCCAACATGGTGAACGCTGTCTTTACTGAAAATACAAAAATTAGCTGGGCATGGTGGTGCACACCTGTAGTTACCACTACTTGGGAGGCTGAGGCAGGAGGATCGCTTGAACCTGGGAGGCAGAAGTTGCGGTGAGCCAAGAAGGCCACTGCCTCCAGCCTGGGTGATAGAGCAAAACTCCCTCTCAAAAAAATAAATAAGTAATAAAGAAATCTAACTAAAGGCCACTGAGTGTTCCAATTTGTGTACCTTGGGCAAGCCCCTTCCCCATTCTGGGCCTCAGTTTCCCCATCTATATCACGAATATTCTGGGATTCCCATTCAAATACATCCTCTGCAGGCAACAGCCTCCCATAGGGAGTTAACCTTTTTCTTTTGCTGTATTACTCACCTCCCCAGCACCTGTGTACATAGTAGGTACACAATAAAAGGTTAGCAAAGTATAATAGGGCCTGGCACCGTGGCTCACACTCGTAATCCCAGCACTTTGGGAGGCCGAGGTGGGTGGGTCACCTGAGGTCAGGAGTTCGAGACCAGCTTGGCCAACATAGTCAAACCCCATCTCTACTAAAAATACAAAAAAATTAGCCAGGCATGGTGGCATGTGCCTCTACAGTCCCAGCTACTCAGGAGGCTGAGGCAGGAGAACTGCTTGAACCCGGAGGGCGGAGGTTGCAGTGAGATGAGATCACATCACTGCACTCCAGCCTGGGAGACAGAATGAGACTCTGTCTCAAGATAATAATAATAATAAGTATAATGGTATCTTTACCTGTCCCCTCTCTGTCAACAAATTCCTAATGATGACCAAAAACAAGGAGAGAAAAATAAGGGGTTTATCAGCCGTATTATCTCTGCATCACCACAGTGACTAGAGTTGACTCCCACTTCCTGAAGCTGGTGGGGCAGCAGAAATTTTTCCACTCAGAAGCTAGGTTTGGGCCTGGCACAGTGGCTCATGCCTATAATCCTGGTACTTTGAGAAGCCAAGGCAAGAACATTGAATCCAGGAACTTGAGACCAGCCTGGGCAACATAGTGAGACCCGTCTCTAAGAAATAAAAATAAAAAATTAGCTGGGCGTGGTGGTGCCTGCCTGTGGTACCAGCTACTGGGGAGGCTAAGGTGGGAGAATCGCTTGAGCCTGTGAGATCGAGGCTGCAGTGAGTTGTGATCATGCCATTGCACTCAGCCTGGGTGACAAGAGTGAGACCCTGACTCAAAAAAAAAAAAAGGCCAGGCATGGTGGCTCATGCCTGTAATCCCAGCACTTTCGGAGGCCGAGGTGGGTGGATCACCTGAGGTCAGGAGTTTGAGACCAGCCTGGCCAACATGGTGAAACCCCATCTCTACTAAAAATACAAAAATCAGCTGGGTGTGGTGGCACACGCCTGTAATCCCAGCTACTCAGGAGGCTGAGGCAGGAGAATCACTTGAACCCGGGAAGCAGAAGTTGCAGTGAGCCAAGATTGTGCCACTGCACTCCAGCCTGAGCGACAGAGCAAGACTCCATCTCAAAAAAAAAAAAAGGAAAGATGCTAGGTTTAAATTTGATCTCTGCTCCTTCTTTACAGCTTCTGGCCTCATAGCCACTTTGACCCCTTGATTCTGACATGTCCTCTGGCTCATGGGTATGTCAGAAATAATGGCACCCATTTTACAGGTGCAAAACCAAAGGAAAAAAGTGAAGTGGCCAATGGCACACCACAAAATACAAGATGGTAAGATGGTAGACACAAGACTGCTTTCTTCATTGGTTCAATGAAGATGGTGATAATAGCAATAGAGCCTGTTTTACAGGATTGCAGGAAGCTCAGCTGCAACAGAGGGAACACCGTTTAGAAGCTGCGAACTGCTAGTCGTTGGTGGAGCAGAAGCCACAGTAACACAGATGCCTGGCGAGGGGCTGGGAGTAGCCTTCCTTCCAAAGGTGTTTGCCTCCAGTTCATAAACAGGGCTGGGCTTAGGCACTGGACGCACAAGGATGAACAAGACACGGTCCCTGCCTTGGTGGAATTGACACTGTGGGGGTAGGGCACAGACGAATACACAGGTAGCACAACATATCCAGGCAGTTTTTATAAGGTATACAGCCAGCGTTGTGGGAGCTCAGGTGGCCTCCTGGGTGTATTGGGTTTGTTTGTTTGTGTTTTGTTTTAACATCTCTGCCATCTTCGGCAGCTCCCGTAAGAGAAACATGGACAGTTTGGGACCTGCCACCCTTTAGCCAGCTTGGATGCCACACCTGAGGGAGAGACTGATTGGGTGACGCCTCCCCTTTTTCCTTGAGTCTCTGGGTGACCCTGTGTGACCAGAGCTGGGCAGCAGTGCATGCAATTCCCAAAGGCCTCAGGAACAAGCTTGCTGGCTTTCCTGTGGGTCAATCAGTCCAGGGAGGTCATGGCAGGTGGTCATGTTTGTGGTGTTTGTTTTTTTGTTGTTGTTGTTTTTTGTTTTTTGTGGGTTTTTTTTTTTTTTTTTTTGAGATGGAGTTTCACTTGTTGCCCAGGCTGGAGGGCAATGGTGTGATCTCGGCTCACTGCAACGTCTGCCTCCCAGGTTCAAATGATTCTCCTGCCTCAGCCTCCCGAGTAGCTGGGATTACAGGTGCCTGCCACCATGCCTGGCTAATTTTTTTGTATTTTTAGTAGAGATGGGGTTTCACCATGTTGGCCAGGCTGGTCTCAAACTCCAGACCTCAGGTGACCCACCCGCCTCAGCCTCCCAAAGTGCGAGGATTACAGGCGTGAGCCACCATGCCCTGTGGCGTTTTTTTACACCTTGGATTTGAATAATGTGCCAAATGTTTTTAGTTATTTATTTTTTTTCAAGTAAATGTACTTTTTTTTTTTTTTTTGAGACAGTCTTGCTCTGTTGCTCAGGCTGGAATGCAGTGGTGTGATCTTGGCTCACTGCAACCTCCGCCTCCCAGGTTCAAACAGTTCTTCTGCCTCAGCCTCCTATCTGGGATTATAGGCGCCTGCCACCATGCCTGGCTAATTATTTTCTTTTTCTTTTTTTTTTTTTTTTTTTTGAGACAGAGTCTCACTCTGTTGCCCAGGCTGGAGTGCAGTCGTGCGATCTCAGCTCACTGCAACCTCTGCCTCCCAGGTTCAAGCGATTCTCCTGCCTCAGCCTTCTGAGTAGCTGGGATTACAGGTGCCTGCCACCACATCTGGCTAATTTTTGTGTTTTAGTAGAGCGAGGTTTCACCATGTTGGCCAGGCTGGTCACTAACTCCTGACCTTAGGTGATCCACCCACCTCGTCCTCCCAAAGTGCTGGGATTACAGGCATGAGCCACCGCGCCCGGCCAAATAAATGTGCCTTTATTTATAATTGCAAATGGGTCAAAGATTCAGTATGTCGTACAAAACTCAAAAGGTACAAAAAAGAACACGGTGAAAAGTAAGTCTTCCTCCCTCCTCTGCTCTCAGCTTCCCAATTCTCCTCCTCCTCGGAGGTAAACACTCTTATTAGTTTCTTCTCTATCCTTCCAGAAATCAAATATTCTCTTCTAGGAATTTTTTAAAAAGCATTGTTTATCAAGATGTGGTCTACAGACCCCCTCAGTCAGAATCGCCCACATCACAAACATTCAAGTTGGAGAACACTGCTTTGAAGAATTTGCCGGGTATCATCCTGTGATGGGAAGGATATTTCCAGATGGCCTTATTTCCTCACATGATCTCGGCTCGCCGCAACCTCTGCCTCCCAGGTTCCAGCGATTCTCCTGCCTCACCCTCCAGACTAGCTGGGATTATAGGCACGTGCCACCATGCCTGGCTAATTTTTGTATTTTTAGTAGAGACGGGGTTTCACCATGTTGGTCAGGCTGGTCTTGAGGTCCTGATCTCGTGATCCGCCCACCTCGGCCTCCCAAAGTGCTGGGATTACAGGCTTGAGCCACCGCACCTGGCCCAGATGACCTTATTTCTAAGAGAGGAGACTAAGGCTGAACCTGGTCAAATTCATGCCAGGTCTAGAACTAGTTTTCAACACTTTCTGCCACACTAGTGTTTTGCAGAACCTGTGAGTACGTGTGCGTGAGTGTGCATGTGTGTGTGCGTGTGTGTGTCCTTAGGAGCAAATCCTTTCTCCAAATAAAATAATACCTAGAAACACACACACACACACACACACACAGAGGCAAAATAAAAGCAGAACTCCTCGTGTTGAAGTGGGGGTGGGGTGAACACGGACCTCACTGAGCCTTCCTTGCCTTATTGTAGGCCCTGTGGCACCTCCTTGGGACCCAAGAGTGGAAAGACCACAGTCTCATCTTAGGTGACATCCTAGAAGTGACAGGAATTTGGTATTCAGATGGTCAAATCCAAGGTGGGAGAAGAGGAATTGGAAATCCCACCTCAAATCCATTGCTAGGAACCGTGGATGTCCCCATTGTCCCCAGTGCCTGCTCCTCTCAGTCAGCCCCCCTCTGCGTTCCTCAAGCTCATGCTAAGCTGATGAATGGAGAAAGCTGGAGCCCAAGTGTCCCCAAGAAAAGAGGTGGCCTCAGCCAGGAGCGGTGGCTCACACCTGTAATCCCAGCACTTTGGGAGGCCGAGGTGGGCAGATCACTTGAGGTCAGAAGTTCAAGACCGGCCTGGCTAACATGGTGAAACCCTGTCTCTACTAATAATACAAAAAAAAAAAATTAGCATAGTGGCACAGGCCTGTAATCCCAGCTACTCGGGAGGCTGAGGCAGGAGAATCACTTGAACCTGGGAGATGGAGGTTGCAATGAGCTGAGATTGTGCTAGTGCACTCCGGCCTGGGTGACACAGCAAGACTCTGTCTCAAAAAAAAAAAAAAAAAAAAAAAGAGTTGGCCTCGTTTGAACATTCACATTCCTGACCGCTTTAAGTGTATTTATCAAGACTTCTAATGTGCCAAGCACTATAAACTCCAAGAAATCTAAAACTAGTCCTCACTCGCCAGTTACTCTCAGTTTAGCTGGAGAGAGAAGATATAAAAAGAAGTGATAATGGCCAGGCGCGGTGGCTCACGCCTGTAATCCCAGCACTTTGAGAGGCCAAGGCAGGAGGATCTCTTGAGCCCAGAAGTTTGAGACCAGCTCTGGCAACCTAGTGAGACCCCATCTCTGAAAAAAGTAAAAGAATTAGCCTGGCATGGTAGTGCCTGCCCGTGGTTCCAGCTACTTGGAAGGCTGAGATGGGAAGACTGCTGGAGCCCAGGTGGTCGAGGCTGCAGTGAGCTGAGGTGGCGCCATTGCACTCCAGCCTGGGCAAGAAGAGCAAAACTCCATCTCAAAAATAAATAAATAAATAGGAAGTGAAGTGATAACGACATTAAGCAGGGGTGTGCTGACTGCCAAGTGAGGGGCACAGGCAAGTGGGCAGATGGGCAGGCAGGTGTCTCCAGGGATGTGAGGAAGTGGGAGATCAGTTTAGGGGGAAAGGCCAGAGCTGGGCAGAAAGAAATTGCAGGCAACACTGCCTTCCAGGGGAAGCCTGGCCACTGTGAGATGCAGTCAGAGCTGAAGAAGCAGCAAATTGGGCCCTGAAGCCCCGAACTTTTTTTTTTTTTTTTAAGACAGGGTCTTACTCTGTTGCGTAGTGGCAGGATCACAGCTCACTGCAACCTCAAATGGATGGACTCAAGTGATCTTTCTACCTTAGCCTCCTGAGTAGCTGGGATTACAGGTGTATGCCACCACGCCTGACTAATTTTTGTATTTTTTTGTAGAAATGGGGTATTGCTGTATTGCCCAGGCTGGTCTTGAACTCTTGGGCTCAAGTAATTCACCTGCCTTGGCCTCCCAAAGTGCTAGGATTACAGGCATGAGCCACCACGCCCAGTCAGGCCCTGAACTCTAATCCTAGCTTAACTGGCTTGAGGGACTTGGGTTGGAGTTGAGAAAGGTTTTTTTTTGTTTTGTTTTGTTTTTTTGAGACCGAGTTTCACTCTTGTTGCCCCGGCTGGAGTGCAATGGTGCGATCTCAGCTCACTGTAAACTCCACCTCCCGTGCTCAAGTGATTCTCCTGCCTCAGCAACCTGAGTAGCTGGGATTACAAGCATGCCACCACATCTGGCTAATTTTTGTATTTTTGGTAGAGACGGGCTTTCACCAGGCTGACCAGGCTGGTCACGAACTCCTGACCTCAGGTGATCCAGCCACCTCGGCCTCCCAAAGTCCTGGGATTACAGGCATGAGCCACTGCGTCCGGCCAAAGTTAAAGAAGATTCTAACAGCAGACTTCCATCCTTCAAACCCGCTTCACCATAAATCACAACTCTATCCTTTGAGTGGCTCCACCTGGCTCACGCCACTGCAGCCTCACGCTGGCCTCCTAACTGCTGTTTGAACACACCAAGATCACTCTCACCTGAGTACTTGCTGGTCTCTCTGCTGGAAGGCTCTTCCCCCAGGCACTTGTATGGCTGGATCCCTCATTTCTTTCCTTCACTGGGCTCAACACCTGATCAGGGAGGCATTCTCCAACTGCCCTTTGTTAAACAGCACCCTTTCCGCTCTCAACACACCTTCCCTTCTTTATGTTCTTCATAGCATCTATCATCATATGGCATTCTATATATTTACCTGTTGGCTGCCGCTCCCATTAAGTGTGAGTTCCATGCGGGCAACACTGTTCGTGCCCCTGGTGCCTAGAACAGCACCAGACACATAGTAGGTATTACAACATAAGCATTCATTGAATAAGTCAGTACATGAGTAACTCCCTCTCTTTTTTTTTTTCTTTCTCACCCCCGTGATTGCCTGGAGAGAGTAGCTCCCTCTCAATGATTCTCACAGAATCCTCTCTAGGATGGAGGCGGGTGCTCACCTTGGCCTGGAACTTTGATCTCATGGACAGCAGAGGTCCTGGTGCAACTTTACCATGCCACAAGCAGTTGTAGCAGTGCAATTGTAAATCTCACCAGAAGGTGACAGTTGCCAAGGTGACAGCTTCTCATGGTACGTGATAAGGAACTGGGTGGAGAGGAGACCTAGCCTTGGAAAGGGAGCACCATAGGAGTTGGTGGGAGCAGGTGAAAGGCTTGGTTCCTTGCTCCCTGCCTGGTGCCTGGTCACTGCAGACACTGAGTCAGGGACCAAGGGGAGGAGGGAGGCAGTCATCGTCATGACAGGAGCATCAGTGAAACTGCTGGCCTGGTATCGCCTCCTGGGCCTGGACTCCATGTCCTTTGTCTGTCCTTGGTACCCCAGATGAGTCAGCAAGATCCAGCCTCTGAGGTTCATTGCAGCACTTCCCCTGGAGGCAGATTAGAGGATGTTGCAGGACATTAAGTAATACATCTGGAGCAGGCGCGGTGGCTCAAGCCTATAATCCCAGCACTTTGGGAGGTCAAGGCGGGCGGATCACCTGAGGTCAGGAGTTTGAGACCAGCCTGGCCAACATGCTGAAACTCTGTCTCTACTAAAAATACAAAAATTAGCCAGGCGTGGTGGTGCACGCCTGTAATCCCAGCTACTCAGGAGGCTGAGGCAGGAGAAGCTCTTGAACCTGGGAGGCAAAGTTTGCAGTGAGCCGAGATTGCGCCACAACACTCCAGCCTGGGCGACACAGCCAGGCTCTGTCTCAAATAAATAAACAAACAAACAAATAAATAAATAAATAATACATCTGGTAGGGAAGGAGGCTGGGAAAGCCAGCTTGCAGCCTGGGGATAAGGGTCATCTGGACTGAACTTGTCTCTGTATGGAACCCTACAGTCCAGGAAACAGATGGGGCTGGGAACTGAGGTGGGGCTTCCCTAGCCTCAGCTGAAAATCAGCATTTTAGCCGGGCGCGGTGGCTCATGCCTGTAATCCCAGCACTTTGGGAGGCCGAGGTGGGCGGATCACAAGGTCAGGAGACCGAGACCATCCTGGCTAACACGGTGAAACTCCATCTCTACTAAAAATACAAAAAATACAAAAAATTAGCCGGGCCTGGTGGCGGGTGCCTGTAGTCCCAGCTACTCGGGAGCCTGAGGCAGGAGAATGGCGTGAACCCGGGAGGCGGAGCTGGCAGTGAGCCAAGATGGTGCCACTGCACTCCAGCCTGGGCGACAGAGCAAGACTCCGTCTCAAAAAAAAAAAAAAAAAAGGAAATCAGCATTTTAGCTACAAGCAGGTGATAAAAGACAGTTTCAAAGCAGCAAATCCTCACAGAAAATGAATGTAGGCGTGCCTTGCTTTAAGCCATTCCTTATAGAAAAACTGAATCTCTCCCAAGAATAAACAATAAAGGGGGTAATTCTTCATTAGAAAGAGGGATGCTCCTTGGAGACACAGGTGAGTTTCCCTTGTGAACTGGAATCATTGCCTTTATAAATATTCAGTTTCCTCATAACTTGAAATGTTACACTTTCTGATTTATAAAACTACCTTCAAATACAGGAATACTTTCACACATATAAAATCTCATCAGATTTTTTTTTTTTTTTTTGAGTCTCACTCTGTCGCTCAGGCTGGAATGCAGTGGCACAATCTTGGCTCACTGCAACCTCCACCTCCCCAGTTTCAAGCAATTCTCCTGCCTCAGCCTCCCAAGTAGCTGGGATTAAAGGCGTGACCACCACACCCTGCTAATTTTTGTATTTTTAGTAGAGATGAGATTTTACCATGTTGGTCCGGCTGGTCTGGAACTCCTGACCTCAAGTGATCCACCCACCTCAGCCTCCCAAAGTGCTGGGATTACAGGCGTGAGTCACCAAACCCAGCTGATCATCTCATCAGATTATCAGAGGAACCTATGAGGTATCTATCATTATACCCCCTCCCCGGCTTTTTTTTTTTTTTTTTTTTTTAGAGACAGGGTCTTGCTCTGTTGCCCAGGCTGGAGCTTTTTGTTTATTTTAGAGACAGGGTCTTGCTCTGTTGCCTGGGCCGGAGTGCAGTGGTGCAACCTTCACTCATTGCAGCCTAGACCTCAAGAGATCCTCCTGCCTCAGCCTCCTGGGACTACAGGTGCGCACCACCACACCTGGCTAATTTTTTTAATTTTTGGTAGAGATGGGGTCTCGCCACGTTGCCCAGGCTGGTCTCCAACTCCTGGGCTCAAGCAATTCTCCTGCCTCGGCCTCCCAAAGTGCTGGGATGACAGGCGTGAGCCACCACACCTGACCAATTATCTCCATTTTGCGAGCGAGGAAACAGGCTTAGAGCGGATAAGTCACATAGTTCAGGCAGGCCTTCGTGCTTGACGCTCTTCCCAGCACATCACACCTGTCCCCATGTGATTCTGACACAGCTCTTGGGAGGCTGGTACAGAGCAACAGACTATGATCCCATGTGAGAGATGAGAAAACTGAGCCCCAGGGAGGAGAAGGGCTCCAAATAGATTCCCTGACTGAGTCTAGGCTCTAGAGTCAGACACACCCAGGTTCAAGTCCTAGGTCTACCACTCACCAATTCTCCTTGGCAAGTACTTGACCTCTTGGTGCCTCGGTTTCTACATCTATAAAATGGGGATGATAATAACTAACTCGTGGGAGCTGGGAGGGTGAACTGAAGTGATGTATGTTATTGTTGAGAGTGCTGCCTGACACACGGCTGCTTGTCATTCTTGTTATTTTGTATGCCTGTCATTCTTGTTATTTTCAGAGTATTTCACACTTCTATGAAATATCCACAGAGGCGTGTAATGGAGAGTCTCCTCTGGGGGCAGGCAAGATGTCAGCCAACCCTCATCCTAGCCCTTCCCTCCCCTCACCACCCTCAACCTTTCTTGAAGGTCACACTAGGCTGGTTCTCTCCCAGCCCCCAAGAAACTCCCTGCCACTGCCTGGCCCCACCTTGAAGCTGCCCGGTGGCCCTGGCAGATGAATTGCATCTCCTGGGGCCGCACCCGGCATGTGGTCATCCTGCCTCTGCCTGCGGCAGGGCCTGGAGCCCGGACATGCCTGGCAGGCTTCCAGGGCTTCTTTGGTAGGACGCCCCGCCACTCCCTCTGGGCCCCTCTATTCTGGGAGCTGTAATTTAGACAGCCTTCTCCGCCCCAATTGCTATCTGTGACAGCAGTCCCTGTTCCCCAGGGCCCTGCCCACCCCTCCTTGCCTGCCTTTTCATAAACAGCTCCCGGGCTGCCCTGTTATCTTGGGCACTGTGGCTCTGGGGAGGAGGCCCTGCCACCCTGAAGATACAACGAATCCCTCCATCCCAGGGAGAAGCTGACCCAATGCAGACAGAGGTGGGATAAAGCCCTCACCCACCAAAGCCCAATATAGCAGCCCTCAGAACCTGACCCTGAAGTCTGCTGGATGGGGTGGGGTGCAGAGAAGAGGATAGGCTGTCATTATTCCCCCAACACCCTGGGGACTGGGTCAGCCGGGGCTATGGTCTCCCTAAAGGCCCCTGCCTCAGCCATGCATGTTCAGCCACAGGCCACAAAATGTGTGTGTGTGTCTGTGTGTTGAGGGTATCAATAATAGCAACAAAAGTGATGTTTCTAAAATGCAAATGTGCCGATGTTTCTAAAATGCAAATATGCCAATGTTTCTAAAATGCAAATGTGCCTGGGGAGGCTAAGGGGAGAGCATCTCTTGGGACCAGGAGTTCAAGACCAGCCTGGGCAACATAGCAAGACTCCATCTCTACAAAAAAAAATTAAAAATTAGCTGGGTATGGTGACCAATTAGACCTAGCTACTTGGGAGGCTGAGGTGAGAAGACTGCTTGAGCCAGGGAGGTCAAGGCTGCAGTGAGCTGAGATCATGCCACCGCACTCCAACTTGGGCAACAGAGCCAGACCCTGTCTCCAAAATAAAATAAAATAAAACATAGGCCAGGTGCGGTGGCTCACACCTGTAATCCTAGCACTTTGGGAGGCCGAGGTGGGTGGATCACTTGAGGTCAGGAGTTCAAGAGCAGCCTGGGCAATGTGGTGAAATCCCATCTCTACTAAAAATACAAACAAATTAGCCTGGCGTGGTGGCAGGCACCTGTAATCTCAGCTACTTGGGAGGCTGAGGCAGGAGGATCACTTGAACCCAGGAGGCGGAGGCTGCAGTGAGCTGAGATCCTGCTTCTACTGCACTCCAGCTTGGGTGACAGAGGGAGACTCCGACTCAAAAAAATCAAAATCAAAATAAAATAAAATGCAAATGAGATTGTGTCACTCCCTGACTCCAAACCTTCAGTGTTTCCCCACAGCCCTTACAGATGAAGCTCAAAAGACCCTCCAAGCTCTGCCTTTTCTACCACTTCTCTCACCTCAGTGCCTTGGCACGAGCTTCCCCGGCCCCTGCCTGGACATCGTTCTCCTCTTCACCTAACTCCTGTTCATCCTGCAGGTCTCAGCTTATAAGTTATTGCTCATGGAACCCTCCTGTGACATCACAGACACTCCCTCCCTGGTCCTCCCTTTGGACTGGGATGGGTGTCCCTCCTGAGTTCACCAGAAGCACCACGCCCTTGTCTGTGCACTGGTCTACTTGCTGCCAGCTATAAGTGCTCCCAGGGCCGAAGCTTCCTCTTATCGTTATTTTTTAGTCGCTAGCCTGGTCCTGGCACACAGTAGGTTTTCCAAATATATTTGTTGGAAGAATGTGCAAATGAATACATGAATGACTCCTCTGGCCCTCCAGGATGTATGGGTGTCTTGAGAGGTATTTGACTACTTTGTGCCTTCCATTTTCTTTTTTGTTTGTTTGTTTTTTGAGGCAGAGTCTCCCTCTGTCACTCAGGCTGGAGTATAGTGACACAATCTCGGCTCACTGCAACCTCTGCCTCCTGGGTTCAAGTGACTCTCCTGACTCAGCCTCCTGAGTAGCTGGGACTACAGACATGCGCCACCCCGCCCGGCTAATTTTTGTATTTTTAGTAGAGACGGGGTCTCGCCATGTTAGCCAGGCTGGTCTTGACCCCAAGTGATCTGCCCGCCTCAGCCTCCCAAAGTGCTGGGCTTACAGGTGTGAGCCACAGAACCCGGCCATGCCTTCCATTTTCTTTTTTTTTCTTTTTTTTGAGATGGAGTCTTGCTTTGTCACCCAGGTTGGAGTGCAGTGGTGTGATCTTGGCTCACTGCAACCTCCATCTCCTGGGTTCATGCAATTCTCCTGCCTCAGCCTCCCTAGTGGCTGGGATTACAGGCATGCACCACCACGCCTGGCTAATTTTTGTATTTTTAGTAGAGACAGGATTTCACCATATTGGTCAGGCTGGTCTTGAACTCCTGACCTCAAGTGATCCACCACCTCAGCCTCCCAAAGTGCTGGGATTACAGGCGTGAGCCACCACGCCCGGCCATGCCTTCCATTTTCTAGGAAAGCCCAGATGTCCCTTCATCCTCTAAGTATAACTTCAGGCTTGCTGCACTGTCTGTCCATCTTGATTTGGTCAATATGGTAGCTATGGCCATGGGTCTGCTGGCGGGGAGCCCCAGCAGGCTCTAAGGATGCACTCTAGGACAAAGCAGGCATCCTTGGGTTGAGGGGGAGAAGGGCATAGGAGGAGGGCGTCCTCAGGCCGTGGGTCACTTATGAGCAACAAGTCTGTTACCAGGAGGAAAGACAAGCCAAATGGACAGGTCAAGTCCTTATTTTGGCATTTTCTGCTGTGCTATGGAGACACACTTTGTATGTTGCTTGCTCCAAAGAGGGAAACCAGAAATAACAACCTACAACTACAGCCACTAAGCTGGAGTTAGATTGTTTACCGGTTATCCCAATAACTATTGGAAGACCTCTGAAATGTCAGTATTCCTGCATGCAAATTGCAATTCCTGTGGTGCCAGCTACTCAGGAGGCTGAGGCAGGAGAATCACTTGAACCTGGGAGGCAGAGGTTGCAGTGAGCCAAGATTGCACCACTGCACTCCAGCCTGGGCAACTGAGTAAGATTCCATCTCAAAAAATAAAGATAAAAATAAATAAAAAATTCGCTCCGCATGGTGGCGTGTGCCTGCAGTCCCAGATATTTGGGGAGCTGAGGCAGGAGAGGATGGCTTAAGCCTGGGAGGTGGAGGGTGCAGTGAGCCAAGATTCAGCCACTGCACTTCAGCCTGGGTGACAAAGTAAGACCCTGTCTCAAAAAAAACAATAAATAAATAAATAAAGCCTCTCTCATGTCTACCCCATTTCCCTGCTTTAATTTTCTCCAAAGCACTTACTGCTCTCTAATACACTGGGATTTTTGTGGGGTTTGTTTGTTTTTTTTTTTCCAAGATGGAGTCTTGCTGTGTCACCCAGGCTGGAGTGAAGTGGCGTGATCTCGGCTCACTGCAACCTCCGCCTCCCAGGTTGAAGCAATTCTCCTACCTCAGCCTCCTAAGTAGCTGGGATTACAGATGCCTGCCACAACGCCCAGCTAATTTTTGTATGCTAATTTTCGTATTTTTAGTAGAGATTGGATTTCACCATGTTGGCCAGGCTGGTCTTAAACTCCTGACCTGATCTTCCTGCCTCAGCCTCCCAAAGTGTTGGGATTACAGGCGTGAGCCACTGTGCCTGGTCAAGGGTTTTGTTTTGATTTTTTGAGATGGAGTTTTGCTCTTGTTGCCCAGGCTGGAGTGCAATGGCGTAATCTTGGCTCACCGCAACCTCTGCCTCCCGGGTTCAAGTGATTCTCCTGCCTCAGTTTCCCGGATTACAGGCATGCACCACCATGCCTGGCTAATTTTGTATTTTTAGTAGAGATGGGGTTTCTCCACGTTGGGTCAGGTTGGTCTCAAACTCCTGACCTCAGGTGATCTGCCCACCTCGGCCTCCCAAAGTGCTGGGATTACAGGCGTGAGCCACCGCACCCGGCCAGGTTTTTTTTTAAACTTAATTCTTGTGTTTACTGTCTGCGTCCTCCATAGAATGTAAGAGCCCTGTCAATTTTGTTTACTGATATATCCCTGATTTAGTTCTTTTTCTTTTTCTTTTCTTTTTTTTCTTTTTGAGACAGAGTTTTGCTCTTGTCGCCCAGGCTGGAGTGCAGTGGCGTGAGCTCCACCTCCTGGGTTCAAGTGATTCTCCTGCCTCAGCCTCCTGGGTAGCCTGCCACCACACCCAGCTAAATTTTGTATTTTCAGTAAAGACGAGGTTTCACCATGTTGGCCAGGCTGGTCTCAACCTCCTGACCTCAGGTGATCCACTCGCCTCGGCCTCCCAAAGTGCTGGGGTTACAGGCGTGAGCCACTGTGTCCGGTCTGCCCTCCTAATTTTAAAAAAATTTTTTTACAGAGATGGAGGGTCTCACTATGTTGCCCAACCTGGTCTCAAGCTCCTGGGCTTAAGTGATCCTCTAGCCTCAGTCTCTCAAAGTGCTGGGATTTGGGAACTCACAGGCACGAGCGACCACACCTGGCTAGTTTTCTATTTCTGTGTAACGAATTACCCTCATAACTTAGCAGCCTACAACACTAAGCATTTATTGTCTCCCAGTTTCTGCAAGCAGGGTCCTCATGAGGTTGCAGTCATCTCAAGGCCTGACCAGGGCTGGAGGGTTGACCTGGCTGTGTCCAGGCTCACACGTTGACCTGACCAGGGCTGGAGCCTGACCAGGCTGTGTCCAGGGTCACCCATGTGGTGCTTGGCAGACCCAAGTTCCTCACTGGCTATTGGCAGGGGCTTTGGCTCCTTCCCATGTGGGTCTCTCTATAGGGCTGCTTACACTGTGGCAGCTTGTTTGCCCCAGAGCGGGCAAGCAAAGAAGAGGGAGGGCAAGAGAGTGAGAGAGCATCCAAGGCAGGAGCCGCAGTCTCTCATAACCTAATGTTGGAAGTGATGGTCCTTTGCTTCCTGGTCCTGCTGGCAGGGGACTACCCAAGGGTGCAGACATCAGGAGGTGGGCAACATCAGGCTATCTTGGAAGCTGGTCACCACAGTCCCCAACACATACCTGGCACTTAGAAGATTCTCAAGAAATATTGCCAGGTACGGTGGCTCACACCTGTAATCCCAGCACTTTGGGAGGCCAAGGCGGGCGGATCACTTGGGGTCAGAAGTTTGAGACCAGCCTGGCCAACATGGTGAAACCCCATCTCTACTAAAAATGCAAAAAAATTAGCCAGGCATGGTGGCATGCGCCTGTAATCCTAGCTACTCGGGAGGCTGAGGCAGGAGAATCATTTGAACCCGGGAGGCAGAGGTTGCAGTGAGCCGAGATCGTGCCATTGCACTCCAGCCTGGGCAACAGAGCAAGACTCTGTCTCAAAAACAAAACAAAACAAAACAAAAACAAAAACAAGAAATAGCGGTAGAATGAAAGAATGAAGACAAGAATGATTTTGGCACAGTGAATAGTCGGGTCCATCCCTGAAGGATCTTAAACACATTCAGGTTTCTTCACACCCCCCACTGACCCCCACAATGCTCTCTTATTCACCTCCATCTCTTCCCAGCCATGTGAATGGGGCAAGTTCCAAACCTCACAGGCCTGTTGTGGGGATTAAAAGACATGAGGGGGCTGGTCGTTGTGGCTCAGGGCTGTAATCCCAGCACTTTAGGAGGCCGAGGCGGGCACATCACCTGAGGTCAGGAGTTCAAGACCAGTCTAACCAACATGGTGAAACCCCGTCTCCACCAAAAATACAAAAATAGCCAGGCATGGTGGTGCATGCCTGTAATCGCCAGCTACTTGAGAGGCTGAGGCGGGAGAATAGCTTGAACCCGGGAGGTGGAGATTGCAGTGAGCTGAGATTGTGCCATTGCACTCCAGCCTAGGCAACAAGAGCAAAACTCCATCTCAAAAAATATATATATATAAAAGACACGAGAGCCCAGGCTTGGTGGTTCATACAGGTAATCCCAGCACTTTGGGAGGCCAAGACAGGTGAATTACTTGAGGCCAGGAGTTAGAGACCAGCCTGGCTAACATGGGGAAACCTGTCTCTACTAAAAATTCAAAAAAATTAGCTGGGCATGGTGGCGTTCACCTGTAGTCCTAGCTACTCAAAGGCTGAAATGGGAGAATTGCTTCAACCCAGGAGGCAGAGGTTGCAGTGAGCCACCAACGCACCACTGCACTCCAACCTGGGCGACAGAGTGAGACTCTGTCTCAAAAGAAAAACAAACAAAAAAACATTTAGAAACTTGAGAGCAAGTTAGTACTAGTATGGACACTCTTAATTTAAAAAAAAAAAGAAATAGAAAAAATAAGACATGAAGGTGTAAGGATCATAGGATCTGACACACACAAGCCTTCAATATGTAGCCATCACGGGCTGGGCACAGTGGCTCATGCCTGTATTCCGAGCACTTTGGGAGGCCAAGGCAGGCAGATCACTTGAGGTCAGGAGTTCAAAACCAGCCTGGCCAAAATGGTGAAACCTCATCTCTAATCTCTACTAAAAATACAAAAACTAGCCAGGCATGGTGGGATGAACCTGTAGTCCCAGCTACTCAGAAGGCTGAGACAAGAGAATCCCTTGACCCAGAAGGGAGGTTGCAGTGAGCCGAGATCATGCCACTGCACTCCAGCCTGGGTAACACAGCAAGACTCCGACTCAAAAAAAAAAAAAAAATATATATATATATATATATAGCCATCATGGGCAGTGCTATGTGTCACTAACACTGCAGAGAAAGAGAAAGATCAAGGGAATGGAAGAGCATTTGCAAAATTATGACTGAAACAGTAAAAGAGATCTAAATTACTCAACTCTACCTTGCTCTTTTTTTTTTTTTTTTTTTTGAGATGGAGTTTCGCTCTTGTTTTGTCCAGATTGGAGTGCAATGGTGCGATCTCGGCTAATTTTGTATTTTTAGTAGAGATGGGGTTTCTCCATGTTGGTCAAGCTGGTCTCGAACTCCCCACCTCAGGTGATCCACCCGCCTCGGCCTCCCAAAGTGCTGGGATTACAGGCGTGAGCCACCGCGCCCGGCCAACTCCATCTTGCTTCTAACCTCCAAGCTGTCCTTGTTCATTCCTGGGCATAGGCTGAACTAACTTTGGGAGAAACTCAGTTCATAGTTTATAGTTGAAAACAAAGATGATAACAGCCCTTTCCCAAAGCAGATCTCCTTCTTGCTTGGGGACTAGATTGCCTTTGTAGGACTAACATTAGCCACGAGATTAGAAATTATGGTTCAGGAGTCATGCCGCTGGAGGCTACAAAGTTCTGACCCTCCCTAAACTGCTCCTAAGATCAGTGCTTGAGATACTTTGCAGACCCTGCACTTGATGGATCAGCTGGCACCACCCAGGTAGATAAATGAGCTCATCTGATCTTGTGGCCCCCATTGGGGAACTGACTAAGAGCAAGAAGACAGCTTCGACTGCCTATGATTTCATCCCTGACCAATCAGCACTCCTGGCTCACTGGCTTCACCCCCGCAACCCCCCCTCAAAAGTTGTCCTTAAAAACTCTGCTCCCCAAATGCTCAAGGAGACTGATTTGAGTAATAATGAAACTCCGGTCTCCTGCATAACTGTCTCTGTGTGGATTACTCTTTCCTTATTGCAATTTCCCTGTTTTGAGGAATCGGCTCTGTCTAGGCAATGGGCAAGGCGAACCCATTAGATGGTTACAGGATCTCTCTGGATTCAAGAGCAGTTGTGAATCTGGGGGTGTTGGAGTCAGTGCATGTGCGTGTGTGTGTGTGTGTGTGTGTGTGTGTGTATTTCTATGTGTTTGATCTTCTGAGAGGAGCTGTCACAGGTCAGCAGTGCCGTGGATGGGTCATGAGGTGCGGACACCCAGGTTATCACTTGGGCCAGAGATGGTCACATGCTGGGGCCTCAGTCACCCAAACAGGCAGGAGATACTGATGAGTACATGGGCTGCCATCTGTTTACACTGCATAGCATTCGTTATACCAGCAGTTCTTAACCTTTTTGCAATGAAGGGAGGTCAGGGGACAGGGTGTCATGGAACCCTCTGAAAGTTTGCAAGTTCAATGCTCTGCCAAGCAATTAAAAAAGAAAAAAAGAAAGTTTGCAAGAAAAATGCACATATGTACATAAACACTAAAATATATATAAAATCAGCTGGGCGTGGTGGCTCATGCCTGTAATGCCAGCACTTGGGGAGGCCTAGGCGGGTGGATCAAGAGGTCAGGAGTTCAAGACCAGCCTGGCCAAGGTGGTAAAACCCATCTCTACTAAAAATACAAAAATTAGCCGGGCTACTTTTTACAGGTAGGTGCCTGTAATCCCAGCTACTCGGGAGGCTGAGGCAGAAGAATTGCTTGAAACCGGGAGGCATAGGTTGCAGTGAGCCGAGATTGTGCCACTGCACTGCAGCCGGGGCGATAGAGTGGGACTCCGTCTCAAAAATAATCATAATAGTAAAATACAGATATAATAATATAAATATATAAAAATAATATAAATATAATACTATAATAAAAAATAATAAAATAAAAAATAATAAAACATAAACATATATTTTATAGTTTATATTTATATATATAGTTTATAAAATATAGTATATACATTTTATAGCTTGAGGTCAGGAGTTCAAGACAAGCCTGGCCAACATGGCGAAACCCCGTCTCCACTAAAATAAATAAATATATATATATATATATATATATACACACACAATCATTTCAGACCATTACCAGACCTTAGATTCAAAATGCCAAACTGAGACTTTGGCCTCCTTGAAGGCAATGACTGGAGCTTATATCTCCTAAACAAATTAGTGAATGAATGAATGAATGAATGAATGAAAAAAAAGAATCAAACAACTGCCAAAAAGCCCAGAATCTGAGAATCTTTGCTGGTTGGCACATCCCCTGCAGAAAACCAGCTGGTTTCACAAGACTTCAAGTGTTGCCTTAGCCACCTTCCTAACTGTATGACCTTGGACTTGTCACCTCATCTCCCTAAGTCTCATTTTCCTTATCAGAAAAATAGTGAGAATGACAAAGGGTGTTTTGTGGGCTACACAACCCATTAAAAACATAAAGGTCTCCACTGGGAGCCGTGGCTCATGCCTATAATCCCAGCATTTTGGAAGGCTGAGGTGGGCAGATCAGTTGAGGTCAGGAGTTCGAGACCAGCCATGGCCAACATGGTGAAACCCTGTCTCTACTAAAAATACAAAAAAAAAAAAAAAATATATATATATATATATATATATATATATATATATATATATAGACAGGTGTGGTGTCACGCACCTGTAGTCCCAGCTACTTAGGAGGCTGAGGCAGGAGAATAACTTGAGCCCAGGAGGCAAAAGTTGCAGTGAGCGGAGATCGTGCCACTATACTCCAGCCTGGGCGACAGAATAAGACTCCATCTTAAAAAAAAAAAAATCCAAAAAAAAAGGTCTCTTATTTTGGAAGAAGCTTCTGAAGTTAGGCAGAAGGAATTGAGTGATCAGATCAACCAGTCCTCTGGCCTCTAGCCCCATCAACACAGACCTGCCTTAGGGCTGGGAAGATTGCTGGTGGGGGAGCTTGCTCCAGGGAAGGAATGGAAGAAATGCTGGAGGCTAAGCCTGTCATTTGTTAGCATATTCATAGTCAGATGGCCAAATTAGGACACAACCAAGGTTGGGCCAGCTTGCTTTGGTCTGGTTCCAGGTCTAAGACAACAGCCTATACAAGTTGACTAGATTGAGAATCCTACAGACATTCAAGCAACAAATATTTATCTGTGCAGCTACTATGGGCCAAGGCCTGTGCTAGGCACCGGGGATTCTATGAGAACAAAGCTACTGCGATCGCTGTCCTCTCAAAGCTGACAGGAGGAAGACATTAATTAATCACCCAGGAGAAGTGTAAAGGTGCTGTGGAGCTGTGTAATGTGGGAGCTCCTGATCCTGGGGTGGGGAGGGACAGGGAGAGCAGGACAAGCTTCCTTGTAGCTCAGCCCTGAGCTCAGTGAGGAGCCATGGATGGGTTGGGAAATACCCTGGGCAGAGGCTATAGCAAGTGCAAAGGGCCTGTGGTTTTCTTTTGAAACTAGGAAAGAGGCTGGGCATGGTGGCTCACGCCTTTAATCCCAGCACTTTGGGAGGCCGAGGCGGGTGGATCACTTGAGGTCAGGAGTTTGAGACCCACCTGGCCAACATGATAAAACCCTGTCTCTACTAAAAATACAGAAATTAGCCAGGCATGGTCATGGGCACCTGTAATCCCAGCTACACGAGAGGCTGAGGCAGGAGAATCGCTTGAACTTGGGAGGTGGAGGTTGCAGTGAGCCGAGATCGCGCCGCTGCACTCCAGCCTGGGCAATAGAGTGAGACTCAGTCTCAAAAAAAAAAATAAAATAAAATTGGAAAGAAGGCGTGTGTGGTTAAAGGGCAGAGTGAGGGGGACTGGGACACAGACATGGTTAGAGAATTAACACAAGGCAGGCAGAGACCAAGTTACCTTGTTCTCTTTAATGTGACATTTGCAAAGACAGAAGAAACCAGAGAGGCAGATTTCAAGTCTCTGAATAGTTGTTACACAGAAGAAGGCTGTCTCAGAAACAAAATGAGGGGAACTCCTCCAGCAAGTGGGACTGGAGTCAGATAGGAAGGACTTTCCAGCAGAGAAGGGTGTCTGTGGGACTGCTTTCTCTCCTTCACCTGTTGTGGGTATCTGCTGGATGACAGAAAATGGGTTCGTTTGTTTGTTCACTCACTTCTCTGTCCTGTTTCCCCTGCCATGGTCCCCCCATTATTGCTGCTAAGTGAGGAGGACAGTGGACAGCTCTGTCAGGGTGAGTCTGTTGTAGGGAGAGGGGCCTGGGATTGGGGAAGGCAGGGAAGGAGGGATGTAGATGGGGTATCATCTCTAAGCTGCCAAGGGCAGGTGGAGGGGTGAGAGGAGGGGACCGCCCACAGCAACCAATAACAAGAAGTGGATGGGACAATCCAGGTGCGGTGGCTCACGCCTGTAATCCCAGCACTTTGGGAGGCCAAGGCAGGCAGATCACCTAAGGTCAGGAGTTAGAGACCAGCCTGGCCAACATGGTGAAACCCTGTCTCTACTAAAAATACAAAAATTAGCTGGGCATGATGGTGGGCACCTGTAATCCCAGCTACTCGGGAAGGTGAGGCATGAGAATTGCTTGAACCCAGGAGGCGGAGATTGCAGTGAGCCAAGATTGCGCCACTGCACTCCAGCCTGGGCGACGGAGTGAGATTCTGTCTCAAAAAAAAAAAAAAAAAAGATGAGACAGGACAGAATTCCCCTGGTGGGCACAGCAGATCTGCCAGTTGTTTGGAAAGGGCTTGTTTGGAAGCCCCTCACGCTTGTTTGGAAAGGGCTGTTTGCTTGCCAGGTCTCTTCTCTAGACTATAAACTTCTGAGGCCAGGCAAGGTGGCTCACACCTGTAATCTCAGCACTTTGGGAGGCCAAGGTAGGAGGAGCCTGGGAGTTCAAGATCATCCTGGGCAACATGGCGAAACCCCATCTACAAAAAATACAAACAAATTTTTATCAGACATAGTGATGCACATCTGTAGTCCCAGCTACTCGGGAGGCCGAGGTATGAGAATAGCTTGAGTCTTTCGAGGCTGCAGTGAGCCATGACTGCACGCGCCTCTGAACTCCAGCCTGGGCAACAGAGTGAGATCCTGTCAGAAAAAAAAAAAGAAAAAAAAAAAAGGCTCCTAGAGGGCAGGATCTATGTCTTGTTCAATATCATATTTCCCAGGGCCGGATGCAGTTAATTTCATTATATTCATTGAATGAATGAGAGCACAAGCAAATGAATGCCATGTTGCAGGGATGCCTGGGAGGGCAGGAGAATATAGACTGTCCACCACTACCTGCAGGATCTGGCTCCAAAGATCTGAGCCTTGGCTGGGTGGATGGCTCACACCTATAATCCCAGCACTTTGGGAGGCCAAGGTGGGCAGATCACTTGAGGTCAGGAGTTCAAGACAAGCCTGGCCAACATGGCAAAACCCCATCTCTACTAAAAATAAAAAAAATTAGCCAGGCCTGGTGGCAGGCACCTGTAATCCCAGCTACTCAGGAGGCTGAGGCAGGAGAATCACTTGAACCCAGGAGGCAGAGGTTGCAGTGAGCCAAGATTGCACCACTGCACTCCAGCCTGAGGGACAAGAGCGAGACTCCATCTCAAAAAAAAAGAAAAAAGAAAAAAAAGATCTAAGCCTTGATCTATATCATTGCCCGAATCTTCCCAGGATGGGGTGGGGTGGGGTAGCACATTTAGAGCAATTAAAGGTCAATTCAAAACTCAGGTTTAGCAGGCTAGCCAGAGCCACAGGGTGATACGTGAGCCAGTTACTAGACTTTGGAGGACCAATTCACAGCCCAGGGTTGGAAAATAAAACTAAGCCTTACTCTAGGGGGAAGTGGATGGGAGGCAGATTTGGTGAATGCCCGAGTGCCACAGGGGAAGCAGACAGGTTTCTGCGCGTTTGAGTGAACTCTAGGACACAGGCCAGAATATTTCAAAAGTGTTTATTACAGAGCCGTCCTTGGGCTGGGGACCCAGGTGACCAGGCAGGCTGCTGCCTGTGCAGAGAAGGGAGCAGAGATGTTTCTGCCCCCAGCTCCTCCTGTACTTCCTGAGATCCCTCTAGCCCCTGTCCCTGCTCTAGCCTTGCCCTTTGGACCTCTTCTGGGGCTCTGAGGAGAGGAAACGCTCAGGCTAGCTCTGGTTTGGAAATGAGGGTTCTTGGAGGCAGTTTTGCTTCTACTATGCTGTGGAGCAGGGGGAGCCAACCAAGACTCCCTCTCTAGTCTCTTTAAATAACAAAGGATCCTCAAAACCAGTCAGATCTTGACAAGCTTCTGCCCAAGTAGGGAGATGAGGTCCAAAGGGGAGCAACTTGTCTATGGCTGGGTGTGGTGGCTCACACCTGTAATCCCAGCACTTTGGGAGGCCGAGTCAAGCGGGTCACCTGAGTTCAGGGGTTCAAGACCAGCCTGGCCAACACATGAAACCTCATCTCTACTAAAATATATATATATATATATATATATATATATATATATATATATATACAAAAATTAGCTGGGTGTGGTGGTGCACCCCTGTAATCCCAGCTACTCAGGAGGCTGAGACATGAGAATGGCTTGAACCTGGGAGGCGGAGGTTGCAATGAGCCAGGATCACGCCACTGCACTCCAGCCTGGGTGACAGAGTGAGACTCTGTCTAAATAAACAAATAACACAAACAAGAGCATCTTGTTTCAAGTCACACAAGTTCAAACTCAGCTACCCTGATTGCAAGTCAGACTGTTCTCTAAGCCAAAACTCAAGGAATTCTCAACCTTAGTAGGTCAAAAGGTGCGATCCCTAAAGAAAATACTTAATTTAAGAACACAAACCTTTCTCCTCCTTCCTTTCCCCTAGGGCATCACCTTGCCTAGCAGGAGGCAGGAACACTTTCTCTAGAGCAGGTCTTGTGATGTTTTGCTTAAGAATGCAGTTTCTTAGCTGAATGCCTGGGTTCAAGTCTGGCTTCAGCCACCTCTTGGCTCTGTGACCTTGGGCAAGTTACATACATCCTGTTCCTCCTGTTTCTCATCTGTAAAATGGGAGAATGAGTAGATTACAGGGCTGATGTGAGAATGAAGTAAGTGGAGCCTCTTAGTGCTGAGCATGCAGTATGTGCTTTTCGTTGTCTTGGAAGGGAACTGTGAAGCCAAGAAAGGGGTCTAGTCAGCCCTGGTCACTAACCCCCAGCACAAGGTTTTAGTCGCAGAATGCCCTGCAACACATCTTGCAGAATTGCCAGCACGAGGACACCCTCGGTGGCCTCTTCCTCCTGAGCCCACCCTCATCAGTCCTCAGATCACTGAGGGCCCTGTCCTTCTGCTTTTGGGGGGCAGATAGAGCAGTGCAGACCTGCACCCACCATCCAGCCTGACCACCACTTGCCACACGGAGCCCTTGGGCAAGACGCTTTCTTTGTTTTTTGTTTGTTTGTTTTTGTCTTTCAGCTTTTATTTTAGATTCCAGGGATACACATGCAGATTATAAAGGTATATAGGGAGCTGAGATCACCCCACTGCACTCCAGCCTGGGAACTGAGCGAGACTCTGTCTCAAAAACAGCAACAACAACAACAAACAACAACAACACATAGCTATATTGTGTTATGCTGAGGTCTGGAGTATGACTAAACCTGTCACTCAGGAAGTGAGCACACAGTACCCAATACATGGGTTTTCAACCTTGGCCCCTCCTCCCTGCTCCCCGCAAGGCGCTTTCTTAATGTCCCAGAGCTTCTGCTTTTTTCATGTGTGAAAATGGGAATGCTGGCCGGGCGCGGTGGCTCACGCCTGTAATCTCAGCACTTTGGGAGGCCGAGGCGGGCGAATCACGAGGTCAGGAGACCGAGACCATCCTGGCTAACACGGTGAAACCCCGTCTCTACTAAAAAATACAAAAAATTAGCCGGGCGTGGTGGCGGCCGCCTGTAGTCCCAGCTACTTGGGAGGCTGAGGCAGGAGAATGGCGTGAACCCGGGAGGCGGAGCTTGCAGTGAGCGGAGATCGTGCCACTGCACTCCAGCCTGGGCGACAGAAAGAGACTCCGTCTCAAAAAAAAGAAAAAAGAAAATGGGAATGCTGCGCTTAAACCCTATTTCCAGGGTGGTGGGGGGATCATGTGCCTGGTACCTAGTTGATTCCCAAAACTCGTTCATCCTTCCCAGGTGGAGTGTGCGGGTTGAACTCATGCCCATCTGCCCCTCCCTCCCACCTTTGCATCTCCCACCACCAGGAAGGAGGCCAGCTGGAGAGCACGAGGCCACATTCTTGGACTCTTGGCCTCTTTGGCTCTAACACTGAAACCTTGGGCAAGTGACACACCCTCTTTTGAAGACCAGGTGGATTGAGCTGTCCCTGGCAGCCTGAGTCAGGGTTCACCAGGAACTCAAGTGAGCCCTATTGAAACCACCTTTGCAAAAATCATAACTGAGAAAATTATGATAGTAAAAGATATCAGACCTAACTGACCCCATCTTGTTTCTAACTTCTCAACTGTCCTTGTTCATTCCTAAGCGTAGGCCGAACTAGCTTTGGAAAGAAATTTAGTGTATAGTTTATATAATAGCCCTTCCCAAATGGCTAAACTGTTCTGGTAAAACTAATGAAAGGCCACCAGCCACCAAGTCAAGATGAAAGGGGCTGGAATTCTAAATATTACCAGCCATTATTCCGGAGGTTATAAGATTTGCAACTTCCCTAAATTACTCTTGAAGGTAACATCACTATTGTGAACCTAAGATCGGCCTTTCGAGATGTCTTTTCAGGTTTTTCCATTTCTAACAACCAGAGGGCCCCACCTGGACCTGCCAACCAGTTCTGTGGCCCCCCACCCAGGAACTGACTCAGCAGAAGAGAACAGCTTCCACTCCCTATGATTTCATCCCTGAGCCAACCAATCAGCACTCCCGATTCACTGGCCACTACCCACCAAATTATCCTTAAAAACTCGGATCCCCGAGTTTTTGGGGAGACAGATTTGAGTAATAATAAAAGAGTTTTGAGGGAGACTGATTTGAGTAATAATAAAACTCCAGTCTCCAGCACAGCTGGCTCTGCATGAATTATTCTTTCTCTATTACAATTACCCTGTCTTGATAAATCGGCTATCCTAGGCAGCAGACAAGGCGAACCCCTTGGGCGGTTACACTGTCACCTAAGATGACTCCTGTTCACAAGATCTCTGCCAGGTTGGCTGACTTGAGTCCTAAGGTGAAACTCACATGAGGAGAAGAGGATCTACAGCCCATGTGCTGGGCAGAGGTCTTAACCGAATGGGGGATGGGTTTCCCATTCCCTTTCTATCCCCATGTTTAGGTACCTGACTGATCATCCAACTCACTGGTACAAGGAAAAGGGAAAGTAAAGAAAGCTGAAAGAGAGGTAGAATTGTGTCCTGATGCTTTTGGCATTTAGGAGTTTTTTTGGGTTTTTTTCCCCCCTGAGACGGAGTCTTGCTCTGTTGCCCAGACTGGAGTGCAGTGGCATGATCTCTGCTCACTGCAACCTCCGCCTCCCAGGTTCAAGCAATTCTCCTGCCTCAGCCTCCCAAATAGCTGGGATTATAGGTGCATGACACTATGCCCAGCTAATTTTTGTATTTTTAGTAGAGACGAGGTTTCACCATGTTGGCCAGGCTGGTCTTGAACTCCTGACCTCAAGATCCGCCCACCTTGGCCTCCCAAAGTGCTGGGATTACAGGCGTGAGCCACCACGCCCAGCTGGCTTTTAGGAGTTTCTACAGCTTTTTCACAAAGGCGGTTTCTAGGTAGCACCCACGAGCTTTGGCACTCCCACCACCTGGCTGAAGGCAGAACTCCGCAGTAAAAACTTGAAGCCACCAGTGGCCAAAGGAAGTTATCTGCCTACCCTCCCTAACCCCATCAGTGAATTAGGAAACCAGGCTGAAACTGCTGCTAATTGCCTCAAAAGGTTAGGATTTGAATCAGTTGCCTCCAGGGCACTTGTGTGACCTTGAACAAGTCCTTTTATCTCTGAGTCTCAATTTCTTTATAAAATGGGGATGGATAAACTGGGTGTGGTGGCTCACGCCTGTAATCCCAGCACTTTGGGAGGCCAAGGTGGGTGGATCACCTGAGGCTGTGAGTTTGAAACCAACCTGACCAACATGTACTAAAAATACAAAATTAACTGGGTGTGGTGGCACATGCCTGTAATCCCAGCTATTCCGGAGGCCGAGGCAGGAGAATCATTTGAACCAGGGAGGCCGAGGTTGTGGTGAGCCGGAGATCGCGCCATTGCACTCCAGCCTGGGCAACAAGAGCAAAACTCCATCTCAAAAAAAAAAAAAAAAAAAAAGAGGAGGGGGAGGGGATGGATAGGCTGGACACAGTGGCTCACACCTGTAATCCCAACATCCCAACATTTTGGTAGGCCAAGGAGTGTTGAACACCTGAGGTCAGGAGTTCAAGACCAGCCTGGCCAACATGGTAAAACCCCGTCTCTACTAAAAACACAAAAATTAGCTGGGCATGGGAGCAGGTGCCCGTAATCCCAGCTACTTGGGAGACTGAGGCAGGAGAATCGCTTGAACCCAAGAGGCAGAGGTTGCAGTGAGCCGAGATCACGCCACTGCACTCCAGCCTGGGAGACACAGCGAGACTCTGTCTCAAAAATAAATAAAATAAAATAACATGGGGATAACACTGGAACAATCTGTTATTGTGAAGACAAAGTGAAGGAACACAAATGGAGCACTAACCTAGAGCTAAACACAGCAGGGGACTTGTTTCATTCAACATCTTTTTTTTTTTTTTTTTTTTTTTTTTTGAGATGGAGTGTTGCTCTGTCGCCCAGGCTGGAGTGCAGCATGATCTTGGCTCACTGCAACCTCTGCCTCCCGGGTTCAAGTGATTCTCCTGCCTCAGCCTCCCGAGTAGCTGGGATTACCAGTGCATGCCACCATGCCTGGCTATTTTTTTTTTTTTTCTATTTTTAGTAGTGATGGGGTTTCACCATGTTGGCCAGGCTGGTCTCAAACTCCTGACCTCTAATGATCCACCCGCCTCAGCCTCCCAAAGTGCTGAGATTACAGGCATGAGCCACTGCACCTGGCCTCACTCAACAAACATCTATAAGGCCCACTGTGCACCAGCCAGGCTGCCTATGCTAGGGGATGGGGGTACATCAATAAGACAAACATGGTCCTCATGTTGCTTACAGGAGAGGAGGGATGACAGACAATGAGAGGGACAGTATGATACCCCAGCCCTACCAGCTGGGTGACCCCAGACAAGCTCACTCTTTTTTGTTGTTGTTTTATTTTGTTTTGTTTTGAGACAGGGTCTCACTCTTTCGCCTAGGCTAGAGTGTGGTGGTGTGATCACAGTTTACTGCAGCCTTCACCTCCCAGGCTCAAGCTATCCTCCCACCTCAGCCTCCCGAGTAGAGCTGGGACTACAGGTACATGCCACAATGCCTAGCTAATTTCTTAATTTTTTGTAGAGATGGGGTCTCCCTATGTTGTCCAGGCTGGTCTCGAACTCCGGGGCTCAAGCGATCCTCCCACCTTGGCCTCCCAAAGTGCATTCTCCCCACCTACACACCCCTTTGTGACCCAATGGAGTCAGGTGTGTCCGGGTTTGAACGGCTAGGCAAATAATTTCTCGAGTGTTGTGAACATTCAGCCATAAACGCAGCGACCTAGCTCGAATGCCCGGTTCATAGTATGTTCTCAGTAAATACTAGTTTCACGTCTTTCCTCTCGAAACACTATCTTCTCTCCTTCTCTTCACTAGCAGGCTTTGAGGGCCAAAAGGAGGAGATTAGGGTGGGGGAGAAACACACTCTTAGGAAGCAGGGGAGAAAGTGCGTTTTTTATTTATAGGGCCATCTGCAAAAGGGGCAAACTGTCTGTCACCACCCGCTCCACCAACTTTACGGGCGGGGGTGGGGGTAGGGAGTCATTCCTCCCGCCAACCCCCGCAATCCTCAGTAACCTATAATCTGGGGAAAAGGGTCCCGAGGGCTGGGTCATCCCGTGCCTCCCACTGGGTTTAGGACGCGACAGCGGAATGGGCAGGAGGTGGAGGTGCACTTCTGCAAATCTCAAGAACCGAAGCCCTGGAGGCGGCGGATGAGAAAGTCCACAGCCCTAGCAATTTTGGGTGTGTAGGCAGGGATTTAGCGTATGTCCACAGCCGCTCTAGTGAGGGTGCCCCCACCCACGTTCCTCGGAAGGGCAGCGCTCCATCCCCACCCTGCTACCCTTTCCCCGAGAGCCTAATCCCACCTTAGCTGGCGCTCCCGGAGCCTCCGGGGCAGGAGGGAGGCGTGGCCTCGGGCGGCCCGCCCCTTTGATGTGCGCCGGCACCGCTGCGATTGGACAGTCGCTTGTGACGTTGGGGACTGCGGTGGGCTCCGCTGCTGCAGCAGCCGCAGCGCCGGCCGCGGCTCCGGCTCCGGCTCCGGCTCCCGGGCATTTAAAGGGGACGCGGCGGCTGCCCGGGGGGGATGAGGGGCAAGTGGAGGGGACGGCTCAGACGCACATCATCCTCAGTCCCTCGGGACTGGAGGGACTCGTGAGCCGGAGCCCAGAAATCCGGGGGTGGATAAGACACCGCGTCCCCTCCAATTCCCGTAAGCACCCCTTGCTCCATCCTGCGCCCCAATACCTCAGCTAGCCCCCTTCCCCACTTCTTACACTCCAAACTCAGCCGGGACAGACCTCTGCTGCCGCCGCCCCCACGTGAGTCCTGGGCTCCGGGAGATAGGGGAGGGCTGGGGTCCCGGCGCGGGGTGGGGGCTGTGGAGTTTGAAGGCGCTCCTTCACGCGCGTGGCACTGGGGGAGTTCTGGAGCTCAGGAGTGAGTCCCCTTCTCTCTCCTACCCAGGAACATAGTGCTGGGGTATCCCTCCGTCCCCGACTCTGACAAAGCCAAGGAATTGGTGTCCCCTTGCTCCCTGCCACCCACAATACCCCTCCCCGAGCCGCGCACCCCCCGCCCGCATTGGAGCCCAGCGCCCGCCAGCCGGGGGTGCGCCAGAGTGCTGGCTTCCTAGTCACCTCTAAAAATATCTCTCCCCCAACCCTACCGGCAGCTGCCACCTCCCTGCCCCTGCCCCTGCCCCTAGGATCCCCTCCCAGCTTGTCCTCCCACCCAGGGAGTGCCCAGAGGTGACTGCTAGACCCAGACGCCTCACTGGCACCAGGGCGCAGGGCCACCACCGCCAGCTGGTCAGGACCGCAAGCTCCCTGCCCACTGGAGTCTCCAGGGCCAAGGGGGGAGCTCCAGCTGCAATTCTCCCAAGAGGCGCCAGAGACTCCTGAGTTCTAATCGCGGTTCCGATGCTGTGTGACCCCTAGGATGTTAGCCTGACCTCTCTGGGCCTCTGTTTTTCCTATCTGCTGCTCGGGCGTGGTGAGCAAGGAAGATGGTCATGTTTGGGAGCACTGTCTGGGAAAGGGAGGGAATTCTAGCTTAGTTGTTGGATCTGATTTCTAGTGATTGATACAAGGAGACTTGTTTTTGGACAGAGAGGGCTTGTTACTGTGGTCTTTCTGGAGTCCTCGCCTCCCCATCCTCATTCTGCACATTTCCTTTGGAAAACTATCCCAAAACTTTTCTAGGAACTCCATCTGCCCAGTAAGAGGGGAATTTGAAACTTAGGGCCTGTATCAGAGAGGGGCCTGTTTCCCTCCCACCCCCTTCCCACAGATTTAATCTAAGAGCATTTGTGTGAAAGGCGGGAGAAGCAGGCAGGGATCTGTGACCCGGTGCAGAATTAAGGAGGCAGGCACTGCTTTTAGGTGGGACTAGAATATGGACTCCCTGCAACCCCCCAGAAGCCCTTCTCCCTGCTCTGGCCTGTGAGAGAAGCTCAGATCCTGCCCCCTACTCTGAGGGACTCTGTTTGGTGACCACAAAAGGATTTGATGACTCAGAACAAAGGTGTCAGAGGTGAGAGACCTTTTGGAGCATCACAGGAGCCAAATTCCAACTGGGGAAGGGGTTCCTCTGACTCCTGTGGGGTGGGGACGAGGTGTCACAGCATGGCCTTCTCAGTTTTCTGGGGAAGAAACCCAAGATGCCTGACTTTCTGCCTTGGAGACTGAAAGAAACAAGGGCAACTCACCAAACAATAAGTGTTTAACTGAATCCCCTAGATACTATTATTAGCAGAAAAATGTAACTGTATTTTATGATGAGAAATGAGGAGTTTTGTGTGTGTGTGTGTGTGTGTGTGTGTGTTGGGGATGGGGTTACTCCCTCTGTCACCCAGGCTGGAGTGCAGTGGTACCATTACAGCTCACTGCAACCTCTGTCTCCTGGGTTTAAGTGATCCTCGTGCCTCAGCCTCCCAAGTAGCTGGGACTATGGGCACAAGCTACCATACCCAGCTAATTTTTTTTTTTTTTTTTTTTTTTGAGACGGAGTCTCGCTGTCGCCCAGGCTGGAATGCAATGGCGCAATCTCGGCTCACTGCAAGTTCCGCCTCCCGGGTTCACGCCATTCTCCTGCCTCAGCCTCCCGAGTAGCTGGGACTACAGGCGCCCGCCACCACACCCAGCTAATTTTTTGTATTTTTAGTAGAGACAGGGTTTCACCATGTTAGCCAGGATGGTCTCGATCTTCTGACCTCGTGATTCGCCTGCCTCGGCCTCCCAAAGTGCTGGGATTACAGGCATGAGCCACCACGCCCGGCCTTAATTTTTGTTTTTAAAGAGACAGGGTTTTGCCATGTCACCCAGTCTGGTCTCAAACTCCTAGACTTAAGTGATCTGCCTGCCTCGCCTCCCAAAGTGTTGGGATTACAGGCTTAAGCCACCCTGCCTGGCTGAAAAAATGAGAAGTTTTGACCATAATTAATGATCAATAGAATAGAAAAAAGGAAGGAAGGAAGGAAGGAAGGAAGGAGGAAGGAAGGAAGGAAGGAAGGAAGGAAGGAAGGAAGGAAGGAAGGAAGGAGAGAGACAGGAAGGAAGGAAGGGCAAAGTAATGAGACCCTTCTCTATAGGATGAAAGCTGGTCTCTGGGTAGCTGTTGGTGACCCCTTGGAATCTTTGTATCTACCCCTTGCTTCTCCAGATGCTGCATGTTTGCTTTTACAAGGGGAGTGGCATCCCTGACCTTTCTCTTATAAATCGCCTGGCTGAGGTTGGACATGTGATATCAGCTGGGAATCTGGAAGGTTGGAAGTCCCTCCAGATAGGGACTGGGGACAGCTCCAACCCATGCCATTTCCTTGTCCCTCATGCAACCCTCCCCTTCTCTCCCACCTCCTCCTTGACCTGTCTTCTCTCCCATCCCTCACCCTCTCTTTGCCCACTGCTTCATTCAGCTTTGACCACCTCTCCTAATTCCTAGATTAGAAGTTCTTGGAAAAAACTGAGAGCCGCATTCCATCCCTGCAGAAGGATTTAACACATGTGTGGTCTGGTTGTTGTGAGGGAGGGAGTACCGCAAGATGGATATTGCTAGAGCCTGTACCCTGCTCCTGGGATGTCCCCGTCTCTGTCCTGGGGCGATTGCTTCTCCCTCCTGAATAGTCAGGGGAGAGTGTCACCTTGACAGAGGGGTTTACAGTGTCACCATTGTCACCACCAGAGGGCAGCAGCCAGCCAGACCTCTGCTTCTCTCAAGGTCTTGTCTCCTGGCTCTCTTTATCTTTCCAAATCTTGTCCCAGCTGCTTCTGGTCTCATTCAACCCCAGGAGCACAGGTGGGAGAGTAGAGAGGCACTGGAAGCTGTAGGTGGTGTCCTTTGCCACTGTCTTGGTGAAGTCCCCAAGAGGTTAAACCCAGTTCCCAAAGCCACACCAAAGTCTTGCCAAGATTTCAACCTGACTCTTCTGTGTGACTGCCGGACCCCTGAGAGCAACAGGGAGGCCATTCCCAGATCATCTGTGAGACCTGGCTGGGGGTCCCAGACCCCAGCTATGGTATAGTAAGCTTTGGTCAGCTCCTTCCTTTTTGAGGGCATGAGGAAGGCAAAGCTGCAGTCAAGCGTTCATGAAGCAGTCTATGCCCCATGTAAACAGCGTGGCTGGTTAGTTAACCTCTCTGAGCCCTTCTCATTGGCTGAATTCATGACTGATGAGTAGTGAGAGAATATGAGTGAAGGTGATTTGTAAACTATGATGTGTCAAACACATTTAAGGGACAATGATGATACTAGAGAAAAAACACTGGACTCAGGCTCAGATGTGGGTTTGAGATCTGTCTGCCATTTACAGTGGGTGACTTTTGGGAAAGTCAGTTAACTTCTCTGGGTCTCCAATACCATCTGAAACCTCTCTAGAGTTGTAGGCACTGGGCCTATTTGAGGGGTTGTTTTTGCTAAGACCCTGGGAATGCCTCCTGTAGCTCAGCAGAAGGACCAGGGCCAGGTGGGTATTCCTGGTGGAAGCAAAGTCAGCTGACTGGGCACCCTCAAATGAACTTTTGTGGTTGTCAGGAACGTGTGACGACGGCTGGAGGCCAACAGAGTCCCTACAGGTGGTGCTCACGGTAATGCACCGACAATGAGTGGCTGTTTTCCAGTTTCTGGCCTCCGCTGCCTATCTAGGGTAAGTGGGTCCCTCCAGGGGTCTCCTAGGATGAGGCCTCAGCCCCCAGTTTCCCATCACCTTTCCATAGGGCCTTGGGAGAGGCCCTATCCAGCCCGTTTTAGGTTTACCCTCACCTCTACTGGGGCTTCATTAATTCCTAGAAGCTTCCATCCCAGGTGTGGGGTCCTGATGCTTTATATCTGCAATTTGAAGGATCCTGGGCCACTGAAATGCCCACTGGATGTTGATGAGACCAGAGGGTGACTCTAGGGATGAGGTGGAAGGGACAGCTTGGTTAGGGAGGCAGATAGCCAATCGAAATCCCAGCTCCGAAATGAGGAGCTTGGGTTTCTGTTTCACAAGGTGTGCCAGGCCATAAGCACACCAGGAATATGAGAGAGGGGCTTAGGAAGAAACCAGAAAGAGAAACAATCCCATCTCAATTAACTGGGGTGGGAGCTGGGCGGGAGAAAAGCAGTGTGTGGGTATCTGGAAGCTGCATGTCACCTGCTCACTGCCCCTCTGCGCCTCTCACACACTGGCAGGCAAAGGTGATGGAAACTTGCTGCCAAGGGCTCTTGCTGCCTCCATTGCTTGCCTTTCCTTGTGCCCAGACATGTCCCCTCTTGTCCTCTGTCCTCTCCCATGCTGCCTACCACCCTCCCCTCCAACAAGAATCTGGCCCAAGGTCTCCGCTTCCTGGAACTCCCTTATCCCTACCCCTACTCTGTCTTCCTGTCCAGCAGTCTGTCTCCAAGATCCCCTAGAATGACCTCCTCTCAGCCCTCTCCTCCACACCCCCCAAGTCCCCACTACCTGGCCCCTCCCACTCCTCTGCCTTTTCAGCCACTGCTGCTCTCTTCTCTTCTCCCTTACCTGTCTCCCAGGTGTGTCATGGCCTGGTGCGGGAGGCTCTTACCTCCCCAAGCCCCACTGCTTCTCCTGCTGCCCGCTTGCTTCGGACTCTGGCAGAAACCCCACCTGCTGACACGTTCCTCCTGGGGAATTGGCAAGTGATTAGTGATGAGCTGTCAGCACAGGGCCCTAAAACTCCCCGAAGAAGCTGTGCCCCATCCCTAGACCCCTGTTCAGTGCCATTGGGCTAGAAGCAGCTCCCAGAGAGCCATAGATTCCCCATGGCCCAAAAGGAGAATGAGGAAACTGGTCCAGTTGGGTGGATGGGTGGTTGGTTTCCCTTGACTCTACCTCAGGGAATGAGGGAGGGGAGAGTTCCCACCACCCTTTCTTGATCCACACCAACAACAGGGGCCACTGGAAGTCTCCAAAACAGTCCAGTCCAGAAACCTCCCCAAAGTGGTGATCCTTGGAAGCTGCTCTTCCCTTCTTTTGACCCTTGTTAAGCCCCATTGGCCCTCGATGAGAGTAGGGGAAACAGGTGCCGAGAAGCCCTCTGGGCATAAACCCCACTGCAGTTAACTAAGAGGTGCCACTGGAGTAGTCAGGGAAGGCTGGGGATAGAGGTGGTGGCATTGGGTACTCCTCCCAGCTTAACCAGACTTGGGTCCTCCTCAGGTGTTGGATGTGCCAGCGCCTCTGGCCGTGGCCCGCTAACCAGCCTCTCCCGGGCGGGCTCCTGCCGCGCCCCCTCTCGCTTGCCCCCTCCTCCTCCTCCTCCTGCTGCTCTCCCCCCTGCTCCCAGGACGGCAGGATGGCCGCGCAGGGCGCGCCGCGCTTCCTCCTGACCTTCGACTTCGACGAGACTATCGTGGACGAAAACAGCGACGATTCGATCGTGCGCGCCGCGCCGGGCCAGCGGCTCCCGGAGAGCCTGCGAGCCACCTACCGCGAGGGCTTCTACAACGAGTACATGCAGCGCGTCTTCAAGTACCTGGGCGAGCAGGGCGTGCGGCCGCGGGACCTGAGCGCCATCTACGAAGCCATCCCTTTGTCGCCAGGCATGAGCGACCTGCTGCAGTTTGTGGCAAAACAGGGCGCCTGCTTCGAGGTGATTCTCATCTCCGATGCCAACACCTTTGGCGTGGAGAGCTCGCTGCGCGCCGCCGGCCACCACAGCCTGTTCCGCCGCATCCTCAGCAACCCGTCGGGGCCGGATGCGCGGGGACTGCTGGCTCTGCGGCCGTTCCACACACACAGCTGCGCGCGCTGCCCCGCCAACATGTGCAAGCACAAGGTGCTCAGCGACTACCTGCGCGAGCGGGCCCACGACGGCGTGCACTTCGAGCGCCTCTTCTACGTGGGCGACGGCGCCAACGACTTCTGCCCCATGGGGCTGCTGGCGGGCGGCGACGTGGCCTTCCCGCGCCGCGGCTACCCCATGCACCGCCTCATTCAGGAGGCCCAGAAGGCCGAGCCCAGCTCGTTCCGCGCCAGCGTGGTGCCCTGGGAAACGGCTGCAGATGTGCGCCTCCACCTGCAACAGGTGCTGAAGTCGTGCTGAGTCTGGCCGCCTGCAGGGGGGTACCCGGGCCAACGGCGGAGGGGGCGGGGAAGGGAGATTCGGCAAAGACAGCTTTACTACTCCCTTTTCCCTTTGGCTTTGTTATGTCCCTCTGGGAATTTCTGGAATCTCGTATTTGGGGGCTTGGGGAAGGGGGCTCAGAGCCGTCCCTATCTATTCAGTTAACCCACCTCGGCTGCCTCCCCCACTCCACTGTGCACGGTTGAGTTCTGGAGTCTGACCCATCGCGGGGTGGCGCGCAAACCTTGGAAGGCAGCAGTATTTCCTGGTCCTCCCAACTGGGAGGAAGGGGCCCCCCCGGCAGGTGAGAGAAGGAACATCTCCCGCCGCTGTAACTTGTTGCCTCGGGCTGCGTGACCGCCCCTCCTCCAGTCTACTGTGGAGGGAACCCAGGATCCTGAAATTCTCCTGGCCGCAAGAACTCCCCACAGAGGCAGAAGAGGGTCTCCACCTATGGCCCCAGGCCTTTGCGATCTTGCTTCACCCACCGCGACCCCACACTATTTCTGTGCTGTCCACACTCTCTTGCCTCCCGACCCCCGCACTCCCTTCTAGCACCCCCAAAGGAAAAGCCAGAGGAACAATCGCCTCCTGGTGGTGGTACGAGGTAGCGCACCGTCCGGCTCGGGTCCGGACAGCCAGTAACCTCGCAGAGAGTGACGGTGTCTCCTTGCATCCCAGCCTCGTCTATGCAGCAAGAGACCAGGGACTTCACCAAAGTCACCCTCGCGGGCTGGGCCTTCCACGCATCCCCCCCACCCCCCATGGAACAGAAAGCCATGTTTTTAAGCAGAACCAGCGAAACCCAAGCCCCTCCTTCCTCTGGTGTTTTACAACTATAAAGGAGGTGAAGGGGGAAGAAATGACTGAGATCTCTCTCGCGACAGTCTCAGAGTTGACAGTGAGGTGCTCTCGGAGAGCCCCGCTTAAGTCATGGAGATCGTTCCCACTCTTGGGCAAGTGCCCAGCCACATATGAACACACCACACACACAGCAAGCAATGGGCAAAAGAACAAGTTGCAGTCAATGGCTGCAGAGGGGTGTCTGGGGTCCAATGTGGGCTGCACTTTGTGGGTACTGAGGAAATGGGAAGATGCTGCTTCTAGGTCAGCTGGTGGGTTGGAGGTTGGGGGCTGTAATTAGCAGCAGCCTTAGAACTGGGATGCCTTTCAATCCCTCCTGGCCCCTTATCTCTGTGGGGCAGTCACAGGACATCATCTGTTTTATTCAAAGTTGGGACTTGCAGCAGGAGACCCTGTCCTGCATGGAGTAGGGGTCCTCTGTTGACAAACTTCTTGGTTTCCAGCTCTTCCCCATCTGCAGCAGGCCTCTGGATAAATTCTCTCTCCCCAGGACCCCTTCTCCCTCCGATGGGAGGAAGGACAGAACACAGCTCACAGCCCAAGAGGTGGGCAGACCCAGTCCAGCTGTGACTGGAGCTGGTTTTGGCTTGGGGCTCATGAAACCCACTCAGTGCAGACATCAGCTGCCCAGAGAGCCCTGGGCTGTCAGCAGCTGGGCTCCACATAGTTCCCAGGGAAGAATCCAGTCCCCTCTGAGCTGACGCCCTCGCACCAGCCATCGGAGTAGCGGCGAGTGACACAGATGACAGTGCCCTCAGAGAAGGAGAGCTCATTGTCCTTCTGGCTGGTGTATGGGTACAGTGTCACCACTGCAGGGCAAGAGAAGAGGGTGCCGTGAGATAATGCCTCTTGCCCTCTCCCCCTCACCCCCCACCACCATGGGGATGCACGGTCTCAAGTACTAGACTCTAGGGGCCATCTTGGGGGCCTTCTTGCAAGCCTTCAGGACCCCTCCCCAGCTTAGTTAATATTTAATACCAGGCCAGCTGCCCTCTCCCCAGTTCTGTCAGTTCGTCAGAAAAATTGTGTGGGGGGCCCGGGGGATAGATTCACACCTTTGCAGAGGGAGGAGAATGGGGATCAGGGCAACAGAGGAAGTGGGATCCGGTGCCCCTCAGTCCCAGAAGTCAGGTACCTTTCTCCAAGTATGAGGCAGGCACCCAGCTGGGCTCATCAGGCCCAAATCCTGGTGGGGGTGGAGGCAGCCCCAATTCATCTCCATCCAGGGGTGGAGGAGGAGGCAGGTCCAGTGGCAGGGGCAGCTCTTCGTCTTGGGGGAAAAGCAGAAAGGCTGTAAGTGTGGCACAGGAAGCTCCTTCAGTGTGTCAGGGAACTGCTCAAGAGCTGGACCCCAGAATCCACCCATCTCAGCGAGGCACGTTGGGAGGCCAAGGCGGGCAGATCACCTGAGGCCAGGAGTTCGAGACCAGCCTGGCCAACATGGTGAAACCCTGTCTCTACTAAAAATACAAAAATTAGCCGGGCATGGTGGCACACGCCTGTAATTCCAGCTACTCGGGAGACTGAGGCAGGAGAATGGCTTAACCCAGGAGGTGGAGGTTGCAGTGAGCTGAGATCTTGCCAACACACTCCATCCAGCCTGGATGACAGAGTGAGACTCCATCTCAAAAGAAAAAAAGAATGCACCCATTTCATGCAATCTTCCTCCAGCCCTCTCCTGTCCTGGTCTTCCCACAGTGCTGCTAGCACATAGTTAAGTGCTCAGTAAACCCTGAAAGATCCAGCAGTAGAGGACGGTCAGACTCTGCCTCTTATTAGCTGGGTGGCTCTTGGGCAAGTCACTGAACCTCAGCGTCAGTGGCTTCATCTGTTAACGGAGAGTGGTAAAGACCCTCTCAGGATTAAGTTTATTTTGTTTTATTTTTTTTTGAGACCGAGTCTCGCTGTGTCGCCCAGGCTGGATTGCAGTGGCACGATCTCGGCTCACTGCAAGCCCCACCTCCCGGGTTCACGCCATTCTCCTGCCTCAGCCTCCCGAGTAGCTGGGACTACAGGCGCCCGCCACCACGCCCGGCTAATTTTTTTGTATTTTTAGTAGAGACAGGGTTTCACCATGTTAGCCAGGATGGTCTCGATCTCCTGACCTCGTGATCCGCCCACCTCAGCCTCCCAAAGTGCTGGGATTACAGGCGTGAGCCACCACACCCGGCCTTTATTTTATTTTTTTGAGAGGGAATCTCCCTCTGTCACCCAGGCTGGAGTGCAGTGTGGTGATCTCGGCTCACTGCAGCCTCTGCCTCCTGGGTTCAAGTGATCCTCCTGCCTCAGCCTCCTGAGTAGCTGGAATTACAGGCACGCACCACCACGCCAGGCTAATTTTTGTATTTTTAGTCATGTTGGCCAGGTTGGTCTCAAACTCCTGACCTCAAGTGATCCGCCCTCCACAGCCCCCCAAAGTGCCGGGATTACGGCCGTGAGCCACCCCGCCTGGCCCTTAGGATTAAGTTTATTATTATTATTATTATTATTATTATTATTATTATTATTATTATTTTGAGATGGAGTTTCGCTCTTGTTGCCCAGGCTGGAGTGCAATGGCGCGATCTCGGCTCACTGCAAACTCCGCCTCCCAGGTTCAAGCGATTCTCCTGCCTCAGCCTCCCGAGTAGCTGGTATTACAGGCTTGCGCCACCACGCCCGGTCAATTTTGTATTTTTAGTAGAGACCGGATTTCTCCATTTTGGTCAGGCTGGTCTCGAACTCCCGACCTCAGGTGATCCGCGCGCCTCGGCCACCCAAACTGCTGGGATTACAGGGGTGAGCCACCGCGCCCGGCCAGGATTAAGTTCAAATGAGAAAATGGATGAGAATCTTCGAACACAGGGTCTGGTATACAGCAGGCGCTAAGTTATGTTAGTTCACTTCCTCTGTCTCCTTTCGCCCCTGTGCTGCGCTCCTTGGAGGAGGCATTCACTGAGGCTGGCCGGGGCAGATCCAAGAGAGGTGGGCTGGGGAGTGGCAGGAGGCAGAAAAGCGACCCCACGGTTGGGAAGAAGAGGGTGGACCTCCTTACCCGGTGGGGGTGGGGACAACTCCTCCAGCGTGGGAGGCCGCTGGAACACCTCGACGGCTGCTGGTGGAGGAGGTGGGTCCAAGGAGCTGGGGAGAGGTGGGGCTGGAGGTGCTGCCTGCCCCTTGGGCGTGGGGGCCCCACCGACACCTTCGGCGCTGCTGAACACCAGAGAGCCCGGTTGGCGGACACGCCTTCCCTAATGCAGCATCCCCAACTGGCCCCACCCCTCCAATCCTGACCCCAGCCCTGCACGTGTGACCCAGGAGTAACTGGGTCCTTTCAAGCCCAGGAGTCACTATGACCACTGGCAGGTGGCCCCTCTCAAAAGCCACTTCCCACCCCCCACCCACCCACGTGGGCTTGTAGGTCTCACCCGGCCGAGGCCAGGGAAAACGCAGAGGAGGCGGCGGAGAGTCTGCCGTCGGGCACCACCGGCAGGTGCACTGGCTCGGGAATCCGGGGTGGTCTCCTGGCGGGGGGCAGGGAGTGGGTATTAGGAGGAAGGAGGAAGGCTTCTGGCCAGCAGGGGTCGGGTGCGAGCAGGAAGGGCAGGTGGCCGAGGGGGAGGTTTGGCGCCAGGCATCCAGCATGACGGCCTGAGCACCCGGGGGCGCCAGGGGTGGGTGGCGAGGCTGGGGGAGGAGAGTTTCAGGGTCGCGCGGGGCAGGGCTAGGCTAGTTGGCGTCGCGGCGAGGCCTCACCCCAAGGTGGCGGAGGCGGGTGTGGCAGGGGCCTTGATGCTCTTTCGAGACAGGGTGCCTGTTCTTGACAGCTGCGTGCTGAGGTCCTGCGAGGGAGCGGGAGGTAGGGCTTACATTTGGGGTGAGGGGCCTCCCTCCACCCTCATCCCCAAGAGGAAATGGAGGAGGGGCGGACGGGAACCGGGAGGGAGAGCCCGGCATAGCCAGTTCCCACTTCCACTTCTCAGGCCCCTCTCCTACACTTCCCCCACCCCACCCCCTTGTCATTGCCTGGGTTCTGGGACTCAGTTCTACCAAAGCCCACAGCCACTTCCTCTGCACAGCCACAGCGGGTTGAGTGGGCCCAGCACCCCTGTCCCTCCCCCAGACCATCTCAGAGCCCAGGAAGCTGGGGCCCTGGCTTGGTGGTCCCTAACTTTGATCGGGCTGAGGAGGGGGCGGAGAAAGGAGAGGACACATCACACTTAGAAGTGTCCCACCTTTCATTTTCGAAGATTTGTGGAACTGGCTTTGGGGAGTTAGGGCAGAGAGGAGCAAGACCCAGGCCACTTAGAGGGGATGCGCAAATGACAGGGTGCACGCCTACATGAAAGAGGGAACTGCTGTTACCAATGGGACTTCCCCAAGGGGTGGGTACAGTGTTACCCCATGGGCTTCACCAGGGGCAAGACAAAAGAGATTTGAGCTGAAGCACAAAGAATATAAGTTGGGCCGCGAGTGGTGGCTCACACCTGTAATCCCAGAACTTTGGGTGGCTCAGGCAAGAGGATCACCTGAGTTCAGGAGTTCAAGACCAGCCTGGCCACCATGGAGAAACCCTATCTCTACTAAAAATACAAAAAAAAAAAAAAAAAATTAGCCGGGCATGGTGGCGGGCGCCTGTAATCCCAGCTACTTGGGAGGCTGAGGCAGGAGAATCACTTGAACCTGGGAGGCGGAAGTTGCAGTGAGCCAAGATCGTGCCATTGCACTCCAACCTGGACAACAAGAGCGAAACTCCATCTCAAAAAAAAAAAATATAAGTTGGACAACAGAGAACTACTGGTGGGAAGGAGGCCTGGTGGTTGAAGGGGAGAATGTCGTTTCCCCTTTAAGGGGGGCTGATAAGTTAAGGATATCAAGGGGCTCATTTTGATACAGAAATGTTAAGGTGTGGAGACAGGAATTGAAGGTGGGACGGGTGTGAGTGCGTGCCCTTTCTGACCTCGCAGAAGGACATAGGCTGAGAAGACGCCAGCGCCATGCTCCCCTCCCTTCACCAAGTCCCCTTTGTGTGGCTGTATCCCCGCTTCTTCTCACCAACAGCAGCTCTGGGGTGACTGCTCAGTGCAGTGACCTCAAACCCCCAGACAGAGGAAGTTGCTGTTCTCATGTGGCTGGGAGCCATTCTCATGCACACCCTGACATCCTCCCTTCCCCCTCTTCCCCTTCCCACACGCCCGGTGCCCACAGGGGCAGGGCGGGGGGGCGAGGGGTGCTCAGGATCTCACACTCAGCAGATCCTCCGAGGATGGTACAGACCAGTTTTGGAGGGAGGGATTACAAAATCTAGGGAGAGGGAGAAGAGCTCAGAGTGGTGGTTTCAGGGAGCGGGGAAAGAAAGGAGTGGCAAGTGGGGACAAAACTTGCAGAACTGGGGTTCTGGAGGGAAAGGGGCCACAAGGCACGAGAGGGTGGGTTGGAGGGAAAGAGGAGGGCCCCTCTCTCTACCTTGATCCCATGGCCAATGTCGTCCAGGCAGCCAAAGTTGAGGGGTCTCCTGCAGTAGGGCGTGAGAGGGGGTAGGTTCTCTGGGGCGATGACCTTCTGGCCGGGGGGCAGCCGCTGGACAGTGGCTAAGGTGCCGATCTCCCTTCGGGCCACCTTCTCCATATGCATGTTCACCATCTGCATGACAGGGTTCAAGGTGACAGAGAGGGGTGGTCTGTGTCCAGCACCCTTCCCCCTAAGGAGGAAGAAGATAAAGACTGGGCTGGGGGGGGGAGGCAGCCAGGTCTAGAAAAAGAGGGCCCTGCCCCCCGCCCCCCGCCCCCCACCAGGCTACATAGCAATTGGGAAAAGTAGCAGGAAAGGATGGAGCCACTTTGGAGCAACTTCCTGGTGGAAAGAGAGTATGGGTTATTATTAGCTGTGCAGGAACAGGAGGAAAAGAGAAAACACAACATCCCTAGGGATGCTGGGAGGAGACAAGCACCCGGCTGACTTCGGAGCAGAGGGGGAGAATATGGAGGTGGCAGAGAATGGTGGCTGGATCAGCTCTCCCCTTTGGGGGACAAATAAGTAAATTGACTTCCTCTCAGAATGTTCCATGGAGAAAGCCTACAGTTCGAAAGGGTGGGAACTCTGGTCTGCGGCGGGGGAGGAAAAGACACACCCCACCCACTGAACATGTGGGTGATGTACAGGCCAGGCCAAATGTGTGGCTGGGTCTGTGCATGTGCTTTATGGGGCAATTCCTCGGTCAAGGATCCAGGAAGGAAGGAGGAGGGTGTGTGCGCTAGAACACTGTGGCGGGGTGGAGGGTGTATACTGTATAGTGGTGGCTGTGCTTCCAGGGCTGAAGATGACCTTGTCAAGCTAGCACCCTGGGTCTGGGATATTTATGAGGGCACTGCTTGTATTTAGATGCAAACAGGGTTCATTTGCTTCTTTCCTGTATAGGGCGCTGCTGTGATTGGTAGATAACACTTTCTCATGTCCAGGATATAATTCCGAGAAAGAAAAAGCTCTGCCTTCGGGGAATTTGTAGCGTAGCCACAGAGATAAGGAGGTCCAAAAAGCTTGGGAAGTGCCAACCTTCTGCTGTAGAGTTGGGCATTTGGACATGGAGGAAAGCAGGAAGGAACTTTTGATGTAGAAAATGTCTGAGTCGGGCTGAAGAGTTGAGGCCTGACACAAGATGCCTTCCCACGCCCCACGCCCCTTACCTGGCCCAGCGTGCTTACACGGGCTTCCACCTGCCGCAGGGCGGCCCCCTGCAGGTCCAACATGCGCAGAGTGTGCCCGGCCAGGTTGCCCACCTGGTAGGCCACGCTGGCCAGTGCCTGGGTAGTGAAGGCCATGGTCTCCTCCAGCGCCTTCCGCTTGTCTGTGGCCTGAAATACACACAGCCCTGGCCTAAGGGCCAGCATCTTCCACTGGGTCCTTGGCTGGCTGGGGTGGGATGGGAGAGGATATAGGGAAAGTAGGGGCTGGATTGGGAGAGAGCAGCAACCCTTAGATGTTTGAGGTGGCTCCCAGCAGAATGATGTAGCAAGAGGAACTTGCTACAACATCACTTTAAATTCACTTTAAAAAAGTGAATCTGCAGCCTTGGGGAATGGATGCAAAGGGAGGGAAAGATACCCATTCTCAAATAGTTAAGCTGAGGACTGAGTACAGATGATAGTACAACCCTCCTGAAGACTTCAGTAACAGGCTGTCCTTTTAGGGGTTGGAGTGGGGGTGAATAGTAGAAAGGAAAGAGGAAGGCAACACTGGCTAGAGCAGACATTCTTTTTTTTTTTTTTTTTCTGAGATGGAGTTTCACTCTTGTTGCCCAGGCTGGAGTGCAGTGGTGCGATCTCGGCTCACCACAACCTCCGCCTTCCGAGTTCAAGCGATTCTCCTGCCTCAGCCTCCCAAGTAGTTGGGATTACAAGCATGTGCCACCACGCCCAGCTTATTTTGTAATTTTTTTTTTTTAGTAGAGACAGGGTTTCTCCATGTTAGTCAGGCTGGTCTCAAACTCCCGACCTCAGGTGATTTGCCTGCCTCAGCCTCCCAAACTGCTGGGATTACAGGCGTGAGCCACCGTGCCCAGCCGACATTTTTAAACACAACAAACCATGTCAGGCACGGTGGCTTACACCTGTAATCCCACTACTTTGGGAGGCCCAGGCGGGCAAATCACTTGAGGTCGGGAGTTTGAGACCAGCCTGGCTACAATGGCAAAACCTCGTCTCTACTAAAAATACAAAAATTAGCCAGGCATGGTGGTGCCTGCCTGTAATCCCAGCTACTCAGGAGGCTGAGGCATGAGAATCACTTGAACCCGGGAGGCGGAGGTTGCAGTGAGCCAAAATCACATCACTGCACTCCAGCCTGCGTGACAGAGTGAGACCCTGTCTCAAAATCAAACCAAAAAAAAAAGCTTTCCATGTGACTGTTTAGCTCCAGTCTGCAGATTGGTGTCTGGGAACTCAAATAAGGAAACTGAGGCCCAGAACAGAGGGACTTTATTCATTCATTCCCTCTAATAGCTTTCCAATACCCTGAGGATAAAATTCAAGCTTCTAACCGTGGCCTACGTACAGCCCCTCCAGGTCTGGCTCCTGCCTTTCTCTTCACCTTCATCCCCTTTAATCCAACTTCACCACTCCCCCTCTCACACACTCCCCTTCAGCCACATTGGCCATTGGGCTTCTGTTCCTGAACAAGCTGAACTGTTTCTGCCTCGGGGCCTTGGCATGTGCTGTACTTATTTTCAGAATCCTTATTAGCAGGCCTCAGCTTCTCAGAGACACCTTCCTTCACCACACTAAGATTTCCCCCAGCCCACGCCTTCACTGCCTCTTTATCATATTTACCTTGTTCTCTTTTCTTCATGGTATTTAGCAGTATCAAACATTCTCTATGTATTTTTTTCGTTATCTACGCCCCCTTGCCTTAAACGGAAGTGTCATGAGAGCAGGGAGCTTGTCTGTTTCATCCTGTATCCCGTCATGGAATCACACCCAACACGCAAAAGATTCTTCATAAATATGCACTCGTGAGTTAATTAGCAGGTCGAATGGGAACCCAAACATTCTCTGGGCACATTCCCACTGTATTCTAGGCACTGTGCCAGGCACTGGCCAGGGTCACACTGCCAGTCAGTGCAGGAGGAGTAAGCAGGCAGTGGCTGAAGGCAAGAAGTTTTTTTTGTTTGTTTTTCGAGACAGAGTTTTGCTCTTGTTGCCCAGGCTGGAGTGCAATGGCACAATCTCAGCTCACCCCAACCTCCGCCTCCTGGGTTCAAGCGATTCTCCTGCCTCAGCCTTCCGAGTAGCTGGGATTACAGGCATGCACCGCCACGCCCAGCTAATTTTTTGTATTTTTAGTAGAGATGCGGTTTCTCCATGCTGGTCAGGCTGATCTTCAACTCCTGACCTCAGGTGATCTGCCTGCCTTGGCCTCCCAAAGTGCTGGGATTACAGGCGTGAGCCACTGCGCCTGGCCAAGAAATTTTTTTTTGTTGGTCCCAGATCAGGCAGTGGGGGCTAGGGCAAAACTTCTCCGGTCTTTTGGTTCCCCGGGCAGCTTCCTCATCTCTGGTCGGGTCATGGAGTTGCCATACTCTAGCCTGTACCTTTCTAAGGCAGGTAGGGGGCAAGTCCAGGGTGAATGTGGAGTAGGGCCAGTGGGCCAACAGGCAAGGCTGCACACTGGGGTCCCCTTGCTTGAGCCCTCGGGTGCCCCTCAGGGCCTGTCAATGGAGAACAGACCTACAAACTCTCAGAGCAAGGTCTGAGACACCTGGGAGCCTCTAATGGAGCCTGAGCCAGAACCTTCTGGGCAGCCCATGCGATGGCTCTCTCCTCCTTGTCTTTCTTTTCCAACAGCAGGAAAGAGATGCTCATTTGCATGTCATTTACATCTCATTAGCATATGCACCAAAACTTACATCTCCTCAGCATAGGTCACCAAGAAGATTGAATAGGCAAAGAAATCAACCCAGGATATTAACACCAGACAGGAGAGCAGATTTTGATTTAGTTCAGGACCTTCCTTTACTAAATGAGGAAACAGGCCCAGAACTGAGCAGTGACTGCTCCTTCATCTCCACCCAGATTTCTTAGCTTGCCTGCCTTCTTCTGTACAGTTTCCTCCCCAAACGAACATGTGGAATTGTTGGCCCAAACAGGAAAAGTGTCTGCTTGGGCCCAGCTCTGGGCATCTGCAGCCTGAACACCTACCGACCCCTGGCTTTGCTCTTAGCCCAAAGTTAGGTCCGCAGGGACAGGTGTCTGAGATCCATCTCTGCGGCTGAGTGCTTGTTCATCATGCAAATTACCGTGTCTGTAAACTCAGTCAACCCTGGCTGAGAACTCTGCAGGTGACCCTGGTCTGCCTTCCCTAATTCCCCATGGGTTTCCTAGCATCTGGGTGGTGTGGGGAGAGAGGGGCTGCAGGTGGGGTTGGAGGGTAGGGGAATCAGGCCTTAGGTAACAGAAGTTCTGAGATCCAGAACCTTCCTAGGCATTTGCCTAGATAAAGATCCTCAGAAAGGCCAGGAAAGGTAACAAGTTGTGTGTTCTAGTAGTTAGTACTCTGCACGAAGGAAGCAGGAGTCCAAGGATTCCAACTTGGGTCAGGGCTTCTCATGCCCTGCATATTTTTGCAAGGACAGCTTCTCCTCCCTAGAACTGATTCTTATTATCCATCCTTCCAATGAATGGTAGTGATGGTCATTGTAAGAGCTGCCATTTATCCTGCTCTTCTGAAGGGGCTGGCACTAGGCTGAATGCTTTGATACATTTTTATATTGAATCCATGGAGCCACCACTGAAGGCAGGCATGAGAATCAGAGGAGAAACTTGCCACAGTTCCTGTAGTTGGTAGGTGGCAGAACTGGAAATTTGACTTAGGTCTTTGCGACCCCAAATTGTGTGTGCACACTGTGTGTGCAAATGAGAGCCCTGTGGAAGCTCTTTGAGGTGTGCAGAAGTTATGGAAGGAATGGAAAGGACTGCTTGGATCCTTGTCCATAGAGGAAACATGCCTTTCCATGCTAGGAGAATGAGCTGGTTTGCAAGCCTCATTCTGTCTCATCTGCAGGTGGTCACTCAACATCTACACAGACCGAAATGATACCCAGAGTAGCATTTTCAGTTAGTGGCATAGGGAGTGGGCTCTGGAATCAGATTTCTGCGTTTGAATTCAGGCTCTGACACTAGCTAGGAGACTTCTGGGAAAGTGACTTAACCTTTCCAAACCTCAGCTTCCTCACTGTGAAGTGGGCATGGGACTCGCCTCACCGGACTTCAGATGAGGATGAAGGGAGGCCATGCTGGTAACATGCCTGGCCCAAAAGAAGGGTCCAGAGCATTTTAACTGCTGTCATTACTGACTGTCTTTAATCTGCCATTTCCCATGAGCACTTGTTACTCATTTACTTCTTTTTTCAACATTCTTACTATGCTACAAGGTCCCTGTGCCTGTTCTCATAGTTTGGTTAGTACAGGTTAGAAAAATAAAGTTTTGCCCAAGGGGTAACAAGGTTAGTCTGCAGCTCTTCAGGGAGCAGAGGAAACCGGGGACAGAGAGTGCTAATAAACTGTCGTAAAGTCACATAGCGTGTAGGGAGGCAGAAAGATGGAGAGGAAAGAGCTTGGCATCAGGATTCAGGGAAGCCCAAATGTGGTGGCTTATGCCTGTAATCCCAGCACTTTGGGAGGCCAAGGTGGGCAGATCACTTGAGGCCAGGAGTTCAAGACCAGCCTGGGCTACATATGGAGACCCTGTCTTTACAAAAAAATTTAAAAAATTAGCCAGGCATGGTGGCATGCACCTGTAGCCCCAGCTACTCAGAAGGCTGAGGTGGGAGGATTGCTTGAACCTAGGAGTTCAAGGCTTCAGTGAAGCTACGTGAGCTATGATCATGCCACAGCACTCCAGCCTGGGTGACAGAGGAGACCCCGTCAAAAAAAAAAAAAGGCTGGCTGGGCACAGTGGCTCACTCCTGTAATCCCAGAACTTTGGGAGGCCAAGGCGGGTGGATCACCTGAGGTGTCAGGAGTTCGAGACCAGCCTTACCAACATGGCGAAACCCTGTCTCTACTAAAAATATAAAATTAGTCGGGCATGGTGGTGCATGCCTGTAATTCCAGCTACTCAGGAGGCTGAGGCAGGAGAATTTCTTGAACCCGGAAGGCGGAGGTTGTAGTGAGCCAAGATCGAGCCATTGCACTCCAGCCTGGACAACAAGAGCGAAAAAAAAGGAATGCCTGGCTCTGCTGTTTGGAGCTGTGTGGCCTTAGACAAGTCACCTCACCTCCCTGAGCTACTGTTTCCACATCTGTAAAATAGGAATTATAATACATGTCTCACAAGGTAGTTGTACAGATTAATGAAATAACAGAAGTGATTTCCATCATGGCTCAGTTGCCTTGCCTCTCCTCCCTGAATCCAGGAATCTATGTTCTCAGCCCCAGGACAACCACACAATTTAAAACCTGTTCTACAATGCCACCTCCCTATCTGTTGCTAGAAGCCTGCTCCCAGCAGTTATGTGGGCCATCCCCCTGCCTCTGCATGAGATCCCCTCTCTTTAGCCCAGCCTACTCTGCCTTATCCCCACTCTCCCTTTCCCAAACTCAGGGAAAGAGCCCCTTTCCCTTGTCCATCTCAGGTTCACTGTGCTGTTTGGGAAGTTCTTCTGAAGCCTCACCCAGAGCCGGCCTGGAAATAGAATGATCGCCAGCATCTGTGTGAGGACGGAGGCTTTGGGTCTCTGGATTGACCCGTGGGAACTCAGAAGGATGAACCTGAGGTGACACCTGAGAACAGGATGGAATCGCACTGTCTGTCCCAGGCATCTCTGAGGCTCTGAGAGACAGAAGGGGCACAGTGGGGGCTTGGGTAGTATGGGGTCAGGGTTAAGTATTGGGGTCTGGGATGAAGCCGAAGCCTGGAATGGGAGGATTTCTCAGCCAAGGCCCAGGACAAGCACTGTCAGGATGGGTCCCAGGGCCCCACTTGGGGCAGGGCTCAGGGTCCCCCCTCCGGGGGCTGGGGTGTCAGGCTTCCGCCCGCTCTACCTACCTGCACATAGTTGTCCTCGCAGTAGTCAGCGACCCGCAGCAGGGCACTGTGGTTGCCCCTCAGAGCCTCCCGGCCAGTGGGGATCTCAAACTCCTGCAGCTGCTGTAGCTCCGCCATCACCCCCAGCCTCTGTCTGGCTCCCCAGGGAGCCCGCTCGTTTTGAGTCTCACCCTGCCCTTGATTGGTTGCTCTGCCTTCCCTCCCTCTTATTGCTTTTGGTTTCCTCTGCGTGAGACCCAAACCTGCTTGCAAAGGGCAGGCATGCTCATTCCGGGACAAGAGGAAGTCAGTCCTGCTCCCCGAGCCTGTGTCTCTCTGTCCCCTGCCCAGAGGAAGGGGGAAGCCAGGGGCCCATTTGGGGGCCCAGCCCCCAATCCCACCCAGCAGAGGAAGCCAAGGTCGGGGCAGCTGTGATTGCTCCCTGGTCCTGGAGAGGAAACTGGTCGGCTGGGGGATGGGGTCGGAGACTGGGGAGGAAGGGGGCTGGCCTGCTATAGGGGGCGGAGGTGGATTTTCCACTCATGGAAGGCGGGAGGAAAGGGCAGAGGGTGGGGGCTTCCTTGGGAAGCTCAGGGATGAGTCACCAAGGGACAGGGGAGTGGAGGGTGGATAGGATATGGAGATCCGTCATACCAGAGGACTGTGGGGCAGCAGCACAGCAAAAATAGAAAACAGCCGATGCGGCAGCAAGAGGGGTCAGGGTTGGACACCGGGAAGACATGACCAGAGAGGTTGCCAGAGGGGTGTTAGCAAGCCTGCGAAGGGTTGTGTGTGATGAAGATCTGCCCTACACGCTCTGTGCAGATGAAGGCAGGACAAGATGAAATTGACCAAGCGTAATGTGAGGGACTCAGATTAGACAACAGGAAGGACTTGGATTTGAGAAGCACCAGGTTCAAATTTCAGATCAACTTGCGGTTTTAGGAAGCAGCGGTGGACAGAGCACTGAGCCTGCCTAGGAGGTATGGGCTGTGGTTCACGCATTAACAGGACAGTTGTACCAGACAACCTCCAGGATCCTGTTCTGATTTCAAATTCTTAGAGCTCCCAGCTGAGAGTTGGACTGGGTCCTGGAGCACGGAAGTTAGGATGGACGGCGGGCCTCCTCTCTGCCCCTCCCACCACCAAGCCTGTCATCCTAGAGACAGGAGAATAAGAGGACCTCCCATTGACCATATTGGTCCCTTAACTTTTGCTCCTCCAGCGGGTCCCTTGTCATTGGATGGGTGTCAACCAGAGCAGGAGCTCAATGTCTGTTAAATGGCATAGCCCTTGGGTGGTCCTGGGGGGACAGCAAGAAAAAAACCAGGATGTGGGTTCTGTGCTCAGGAACCCACATTCAGGGCTCAGAGGGAGGCATGGCAGCAAAGAAGCTTGAACAGAGGCATTAGAGGTGGCCACGCCCCAAGTACTAAGTGGCACAGCTTGGTGAGCAAGGACATTTTTATTGAATGAGTGGATGAAGAGTGAGCTAGGAGAACTTCGTAAGGTGAAACTGTGGGGATCCAATGGGCAACACAAAGCATCTTGGTTAAGGAGGTTAGGGGCCGGTCTAGGACTTGCCTCAGGAGGAAGGACAGCCTCAGAGCATGCTCAGAGGTGGGAAGGGAAGGAGGAGAAAGCAGGCGAAGCGGGGTAAGTGGGGCTGCAGGGTGGAGGTGGAGAAATAGAAGCGCTGCGGGCTCTAAGCTAGTGAGGTCACCAAAAGTGTGAGGCTAACGCAAGGCAAGGTGGTGAAAAGGTGGCTTCTGTTTTCGCGTTTGTTTTTGTGGGGAGAATGTCTGTCTCTCTGCTCTGCTGTAGTGAGGGCTTGAAGGCTCAAGCGGGTGATGGGCTTAGAACTTTGAGCCTATGATCAGCTTAGGCATCAGAGATTTTGGTTTCCAGGCCATCTGCTTTATCTGAAGATTTTCAGCTGATGAAGAACTAGGAGGCTCAAACACTATCTTACCTGAGTCCAGGACAAGTGACTTGGAGAGTGTGCTCTTCTGTGGCAGGTGAGAGGGGCTGAGGTTGCACTGGGCTGGGATCTACTCTTAGTATCACTGGGGCTAGGCACCAGGAAGGCCTTCCTGATAACCCTGCAGTGATAATAATAACAATAGCATTATTAGTGATAATAATAAGTGTATTAAGTGTTCATTATGTGCCAGGTAGTATATTATAATATTTTATAGACATTATTTTCTTAGTACCCACAATAATTGCATGTGGTAGGTTTTTTTAATACCCATTTGCAGCTGGGGAAACTAATACTCAAAGAGGTTGAGTGACTTCCCTAAGGCCACACTGAGAAAGCAGTAAGGAAGCAGCAGATCAGAGTTGGAGTCTGGTAAGCTCCAGACCCCCTTGTCTCTCTCTCTCTCTTTTTTTTTTTTTTGAGATGGAGTCTCACTCTTGTCGCCTAAGCTGGAGTGCAGTGGTGTGATCTCGGCTCACTGCAACCTCCGTCTTCTGGGTTCAAGTGATTCTCCTGCCTCAGCCCGCTGAGTAGCTGGGATTACAGGTGCCCGCCACCACGCCTGCCTAATTTTTGTATTTTTAGTAGAGATGGGGTTTCACCATGTTGGCGAGGCTAGTCTCGAACCCTCAACCTCAGGTGATCTGCCTGTCTCAGCCTCCCAAAGTGCTGGGATTACAGGCATGAGCCACAGTGCCTGGGATCTTTTTTTATTTTTTGAAACAGTTGTTCTCTGTTACCCAGGCTGGAGTGCAGTGGCATGATCTCAGCTCACTGCAACCTTCGCCTCCCAGGTTCAAGCAATTCTCATATCTCAGCCTCCCGAGTAGCTGGGATTATAGGCACTCACCATCACCCCGGCTAATTTTTCTATCTTTTGTAGAGACGAGGTTTCGCCATGTTGGCCAGGCTGATCTTGAACTCCTGGGCTCAAGCGATCCTCCCACTTTGGCCTCCCAAAGTGCTGGGATTATAGGGGTGAGCCACCGCGCCCAGCCAAGACCCCCTTCTCTTGACCATTATTGTATACTCTCCCTTGCTGGACCTGGAGAGAAAGAGGAAAACTCTGAGTCACTATATGAAACAATAACGTTGCTTCCCAGATCTTCCTCTCTGAAAGAAACTCCTTTTTCTTTCTTCTCTGTTTCCTCTGTAGACAGACAGACAGATGCCTCTATAGACAGACAATCCAAATTTCCTCCATAGACAGACAATCCAAAGGCAAAAATGGTGCCTCCCCCATCAGACTGGGAGCTTCCTCCCCTCCTGAGCCCAGACTCTTGAAGAAGCAGGGCATGCAAGGATGGAGTGAATATCTGTTGAATGATGAGGGGCCTGAACTGAGGGATATGGCAGGGAAGATGCTAGAAGTCGAGGTGTGGAGGGAGCTGGAAGAGCTGATGAGATTTATGATCCTGGCTGCTGAATCCTTTCCAGGATCAGGTCTGTCTAGGGCAGGATGGCCCAGGATCTCAGCGAGAAGGACCTGTTGAAGATGGAGGTGGAGCAGCTGAAGAAAGAAGTGAAAAACACAAGAATTCCGGTGAGCCTCCTCGCCCCGTCCCTGCTCTTCCCTTCCTGTTCCTGATGAGCCCCGGGAAGGAGGAAGTGACCAGAAAGGGTGGTGGGACTGTTCCAGGGCTGCAGAAGCAGCAGGAGGTACCTCTGGGATGGGGTAGGATGCAGAGAAAGGCTGGGGTTGACCCTGTGAAGGTGCCAGCCTCCCTGAGCACAGGAGAGAGCTTCAGGGCCTTGGAGAGCTCAGCGTGTCCAGCCCTGTGTCTGGGCTGGCTCTGGCCAAGCAGCCCATGAAGGTCAGGGTCAGTGTTGTGGGTCAGATCAAGGAACTCACACCCCCGAACACCTGTCTGTCCTCTGTGTCTTTCTCCTCTTTGGCCCCTGTCTCTGCCCTGCCCAGAAGCCTGTTTTTCTGGCACTGACCAAATCATGGACCCAGAGACAGTAACAAGGACCTAAAACATTTTTTGTGTTCTCGCAGATTTCCAAAGCGGGAAAGGAAATCAAGGAGTACGTGGAGGCCCAAGCAGGAAACGATCCTTTTCTCAAAGGCATCCCTGAGGACAAGAATCCCTTCAAGGAGAAAGGTGGCTGTCTGATAAGCTGATGGCATGGAGCCCTGCCCTGAGTGTCTGTCCCTCTTCAGCCAAGCCCAAGTCTCCTAGACCCCCAGGGAGCCAGTGAACTGTCACCTTCTCTTCATCACAGAATGAGTAAAGATCCCTGAACAAATGCATTGTGAACCCATTCCCCACTCCCACCTTCAACTCTTTTCTCCCATTATTTCCTCCACCTGCTGGGTCTCTGCTGACCTTGCTGGGAACACTCTGAGGACAGTGTGGCTGGCCGAGCGGTTGGCCCCATGGGTGGTGGGGTGTGAGAAGCCTGCAATACCCCAAGACCCCAGAGGGCAGTCCTTAGGAAGCACTTACACCACCTGGGAACCCCTCCGTCTTTTCCCTCTACTCTCATCCTAGGAATAAAGCATTTCCACGCCAGAGTAGTTTGGGCTGGGGGCCAGGGTTGGGTGGTCCTGTCCCTCCATATCATGTCCTACCCTATGGTCCTGTTCCTAGTCATTTAGATCACCCCAGATGGCCTGATGACAACAAGAGTTTGTGAAGTTATGATTTCATGATTTCTTTAATATTGTCAAGTAGTCTGTTAGTGCTGGGCACTATGGATGGAAGAGTGTGCAAGACGAACATGGCTCCTATTTTCATGGAATTTAGTGGAGAAGACATGAAACAATTTACAATTAAGTCCATAAATGCTACAATGGGGAGAGTCAAGGGCAGTGTAGGAACACACAGCCGAGAGACATTCAGGGCAATGAACAATGTCAATGTAAATGCCGTCGAGGGGTGCAGAATGGGGGCTGGAAAAGCATGAGGCTAGAGAGGGAGATTGGGGTCAAGTCTTGAAGGACCTTTCGGTGAACTCAGTTAGGAACTTTCTTCTTTATCCTAAGGGCAATAGGAAGCCTAGGACGGTATTTAAGCAGATTCTGGTTAGCAGAAGGGAGGCTGGATCCTGCTAAGGACTGGGAATGTAGTGATGGATCAGACCAATTCCTGGGCCTTGTCAGCAAGGAAAGGACTGAAAGAGCCGCAGACAAACCAGCACTCACAATACAATACACTCAGTGCAACAGCGGAGAGGTCTGCGAGGGCTATGATGGAATCCCATAGGAGGGCTACCTAATCTTGCTGAAGGGGTGCGTTGAGTCCTGGGAAGGAAGACAGGAAAGGCCTTTAGAAGGAGGTGATATCCAGAGCTGAGTTCTAAAGGGTTAAGTTGTCAGTGGGTGGATGGATGGCACTTCTGGTGGGCCAGTATAAACAAAGGCATGATATGAGAAAGGACCATGGTTTGAATGGGAGCACCAATCAGGTTGGAGTGGGAATGTCAAAAGCTCTAGATCCTTAGGATCTGCTGCTAGAGAGGGCTTGGAGGTGATTAGAGGGGTCTTGTTTGCTGAACTAAACAAACTTATTTGCTGGGAATGACTTGGTAATGTTAGAAGGAAATTTGCTTTTTTGGGGGAGAGGGTGACAAAGTCTTGCTCTGTCGCCCAGGTTGGAGTGCAGGGGTGCAATCATGGCTCACTGCACCCTCTGCCTCCTGGGCTCAAGCAATCCTCCCACCTCAGCCTCCCAAGTAGCTGGAACTACAGGTGTGTGCCACCATGCTTAGCTAATTTTTAAATTTTTTTGTAGAGACAGGGTCTCACTACATTGCACAGGCTGATCTCGAACTCCTGGCCTCAAGCAATCCTCCTGCCTCGGTCTCCCAAATTGCTGGGATTATAGGCATGAGCTACCAAGCCTGGCTGGAAATTTGCTTTTTACAAGATTGAACAGGGAAAGAGTAAAGGCAGAGTGGCAGTTAAGGAGGTGATTTTTCCATCAGGGGTTAGGTGAGGAAGGCCTGAATTAGGGCAGTGGCCATAAGTCTCGGGGGCGGTAGGTAAGCTGATGAGTTCTTTGGGAAATAAAGTTTTCAGATCTTGACACTTCTTTGAGTTATGAGTGAGGGAGAATGAGTTGTCAAGGATGGCATCCAAGTTTCTGGCTTGTAGGGTTTACTAGATAGAAATGAAAGCAAGTCTCTGAAAACAAACCTAATCTAATAGTCATCCTACATACTACAGCTGCAGCCTCCCTTCCCCAGCTGGTCACAGCCCAAATGCCAAGGGTGAGGTCACAGGGCCTCTGTGGTCAAAATCCAGGATCTCCACTTCCCAATTCCATCCTGACTCCATCTCACCATTCTGCAAGCTGGTGTCAATTCAACCACCCTCCATATACTCTGCTCAAGAGAAGGAAAAGATGAGGAATGAGAAAGGAAAAACATTAAAGACAGTAATTCTTCCTTCAAAAAATGGGGAAAGGTAAATATTCCATAGGGCTCTGGCAGTAAGGAAGGGAAAAAAGATGGGAGGCCAGTCATGCAGCCATCGGCCATGTGGCTACAGCTTCCTTCTTCCACCTGCCCAGTCCTTATTCTCCTGTCTTCAGGCAGGCTCTCACTGGTTGGGGTTCTGGATCCAGAGCGGCAACTCTAACCTCTGTTCCTGAGGCTCTTCAACCCTTGGTGGGACTCTGATTAGAGTAGCAGCTTCTTCAGCCCACCGTTCCGCGGGGCATTGTGCCCCAGGTGTTCTCTGGTTCCTCCTGTACCTTTCCTGGCCACACCAGGGTGTGGTAACAATCACAGGACACCCTGAGTCTCAGGGTCGGTCATCAGCCTGACATTCTGACCCCCTTTTCTGTCTCTTCCTAATGCCACAGGGAGCCTCAAATGGCACGGTAGAAATCTCAGCTTCTAAAGGGATTATGACATTGTGCCCTGTGGCTTCCTTCCCTCCTTTCTTTCCTTCTTTCCTTCCTTCCTTCCTTCCTTCCTTCCTTCCTTCCTTCCTTCCTTCTTTCCTTCCTTTCTTTCTTCTTTTTTTCTGAGACACAGTTTTGCTCTTGTTGCCCAGGCTGGTGTACAATGGCCTGATCTTGGCTCACTGCAACCTCTGCCTCCTGGGTTCAAGTGATTCTCCTGCCTCAGTCTTCCCAAGTAGCTGGGATAACAGGCATGCACCATCACGCCCAGCTAATTTTATATTTTTAGTAAAGATGGGGTTTCTGCATGTTGGTCAGGCTAGTCTCGAACTCCCGACTTCAGGTGATCCGACTGCCTTGGCCTCCCAAATTGCTGGGATTACAGGTGTGAGCCACCGTGCCCAGCGGGCAGCATTCCTTTCTTGCATGCCCAGACCTTCACACTGTTGATTAGGAGGACAAGAATGATAATTCTAAGAGTGGGTCATTGATGCCATCTGAGCCATCCTTTCCCTCCTCTAGCCTATAGATCCTTGAGTTTTTTAGCCATGAAGGGAAAACACTGTAAGTTGTTTCTGGTTCCATTCATAGCACAGCCAGCAACCTTCCTGACATCACTTAGTCTTTGCAAAGTGGTGTCCACCTACCTGGCACCACCCTGGGTCTTTACTAGGACAGCCTATCACTCAGCCACTTGCTTCTAGATAACAGACACATGGTGAGATCAGCAAATCCTGTGGACAGTAGCCCCAACCTTATTTCTTTGTGTTTCTTTGGTAGTTTTATTTTGAAGAATTTTAGATTTACAGAGGCATTGCAAAGTTAGTACAGAGAGTTCCCATATACCCTTAACCTGGCTTCCCCTAATGTTAACATCTTCATAACCATGGTACTTTTAAAATTAAAAAATTAACATTTGTATAACACTGTTAACGGAACTCCAGACTTTATTTGGATTTTCCTAGCTTTTTCACTAATGCCATTTTTCTGTTCCAGGACCCACATTTAACGCCTTACTTCTTTTGCTGGGAAGAGCTTCTTGGTTGGAGCTAACCTGGTCTAGGACACCGTAGCTGCCTAGAAGACATCACATGAATCCATAGATGGTGGTGTTGGCAGGGAATACAAACTCAATTCCTGAATAAGTGCCTATTCCAGTGAGGACAATTCTGTGTCCCTTCCATTGACCTGCCACCAGAGAACTGGATGGTTGCCTTGAGGTCTGGTACTGTATGAGGGGCTCAGGGTTTCACCATTGCAAGCTCATTGGGCAGTAGTGGACCTACACTGGCCTTGATGAAGAGAAGTCCATGCTGTTCCATCCAGGCATAGCCTCTATTCCTGCTTCTCTGTTTGCTTTGTTTCATGAGCTCTAGACAGCCCCTTGGTCATCCTGTCTATGGCTTGTGAAAAGCCTCTTTTGCAGGGAGCCTTCTGGTAAACCTGTTTGTGACATGTATTTTCAGTTTCCAGGCTCACCCAAAGAGGTCCAGCCACAAAGCTCTCCCCAGATCTCCTTGTTTTCAATTCACTTATGCTTCAAGACCTTGATCACCTGACTCAAACCTTAATTGCTTCCCAAGAATCAGAGAGGAAGAAATTCCTTTCTCTGCTGACTTTCAGGGCCACCCTCAGAAGGTCAGTTTCCAGAGAAAGGAGAATCACTATGATCCAGCCACCCAACGTGATTAGGAACTGAATTGGGGAGGAAGGGTAAGAATGGAGAGCAGATGAACTGGAGAGGTAGTGAAGAAGTAGAATTTTCAGGGCCTAGAGATTGATTGAATGTTGGAAGGATGGAGAAGAAATTATCAAGGATGACTTCTGGTTTCCTCCATGGATGACTAGGTGAATGGCGGTGTCACCAGTTGGAAAGCCTTCCCCACCAGGTGATCCCACGTGACTCCACAGGCTTTTCCTCCTCCCTTTGCACACCTGTTGAGGATCACTGAGAGGTAGTAGCTGATACAACAAAAGTGGGTGAGATTGACCAAGAGGACTGTGTGGATTGAAAGGAGGGCCAAGAATAGAGTTTGGAGTAACTCCAGAAACTCAGGCTGGGGTGGGGGAAGAGGAGTGTGAAGAAGACCAAGCACAGAGGGTCAGACGTGTGAGACTGCCGGTAGAAACCACATAAGTGAGATTCTAATGGTCCTGAGCAGTAAAAGGATGCCAAGCCAGGAAAAGGGAGTAAGCGGAAGGGAATGCTCTTGAACGCCTTGATTTCCTGGTCAAGTAACATGGAACTGAATCATTCTAAGTGTCCAGTTCTGTATCACTCTCCTTCCACACTGCACCAGAGACTTCCAGGACGGGATTCCTCGGCCTTAGAAGGCAGGGAGGGGGAACAGCTGACTGGCTAATGTGGCCTCAGCTCCTGGAGCTGGTAGCAGCTAGAAATCCTTCCTAGTAGGTTAGACAGCCCAGCCCCGCCCACCCTTGGGCCTTCCGGATCTTACCCATGAAGCCAGCAAGGAGTGAGATGGGGACAGGGATTACCCCACCATGACCTCAGCACCTCTGGAAAAGTAAGTCACAGCCTCTTGCCTCCCAACCCCACCCAATTACCTACTTGACCTTAAGGCCTGGGGACAGAACCAGCTTTATGGGCCTTCGACCTCTGCTGTCACACAGGGTCCCCTGCTTAGAAGGGTGCATGCTAGGTTTAACACTCTGCTGTCCTCATCTTGAAATTCTTAATAATTTTTGAACAAGACCTACACATTTTCATTTTACACTGCGCTCCACGCATTCCATGGCTGATCCTGTGTAGGGAGACAGAGGCCCTGGTCTGATGGAGGAGGCAGGATATTCATGCAGGCGCAGAGTTGCAGGCAGGGTTTGAATTAAGCACCAAAAGGATCTCGCTCCCTGCCCTCCTCTCCCTTCTCCCTCATTTCCCACAGAAGCTGAGGTAGGAGAGGGGCAGAGAGGTGACTTTGGAGTAGTTACTCAACGTCCCCTTGGCCCCTCTGATTTTCTTATTCTCTACCAGACCACAGAAATGGGAGAGGTGGGGGACTCATCGCCTGTAGTATCAGAGCTGAGGAAGCAGGGACCAGGGAAGCCGGGAGAGGATAGAGAAGGAAGAAGAACCATGCACACACGGCCTTGCCGCTCCCCTGCTCCCCCGCAGCAGCCCATCTAATCACGCTAATTCCTAAGCAAGCTAATTCCTGATGGAGCCACCCTCTAAAGCTCTCACATGTTCATCTGTTTATCGCTTTACTCCCTCTGCCTAGTCCTCAGTTAAAGCTTGGTCACCTTTTACCCTGATGATTCCACAGTCTCCTGCAGAACTCCCCACCTTCCTAGCCCGGCTGCAGCCCACTCTGCTCTCGGCTGCTAGTGGGTTCTCTGTAGCTCCCTTGCTTAATACCCTTCTTCACTGGCCACTTCCTGTGAGACCAAATCTAGACTCCTGGGCACCAAAGCCACCAAGGCCCTTCCGCATGAGGGGCCCTTATTACCTCTGGGGCCTCAGCTCTGCCTCCTATTCACCCCCAACCCCTACCCTGGCCCCCTAGGCTCCACGCATCAATATGGAGCTTCTTTTATTCCTTGACTAGTTCATGCAGGGCTTGAAACACCCCTAGCCTGCTGCCGCTTCTTCATCTAGCTAATCTGGATAGTAAGTCACAACTAGGTTTAAACATTACTTCAAGCTTTCTCTGGCTTCTTGAGTTCCTAGAGACTTTGTGACTGAATGAAGAAGTAATGAAAAATTAGGGGGTTCAAAATTCAAGAGGTGTAAAAGGGTATACAGTGAACAGTCTCTTCCTCCTTTTCTCTCCCTGGTTTCATTCCTGGAGAAATCAATGTTCCAGTTTCTCATGCAGCCTTGCAGAGATATTTTATGCACACACAAGCCATATAAATGTTCTCCCCTTTTTACACGAACGGTAGCACTCCCATGCTATTCCGAGTTTTCGTCTGGATTTCTTTTTTTACCTTACCTACACCTATATTTTACTTACATTTCATCCACATATACTCCCGAGCCTTGCTTTTCATTTTACAACGTACTTTAGCCTTTGATTTATTGGTCAAGATTTCAAGCTACTTGAGGGCAGGGAGCAAGTCTTTTTTTTTATTATTATTATTTTTTTTTTGAGACAGTCTCACTCTGTCGCCCAGGCTGGGGTGCAATGGCAAGATCTTGGCTCACTGCAACCTCCGCCTCCCAGGTTCAAGCGATTCTCCTGCCTCAGCCTCCTGAGTAGCTGGGATTACTGGCATGCGCCACCACACCCGGCTAATTTTTGTATTTTTAATAGTGATGGGGTTTCAACATGTTGGCCAGGCTGGTCTTGAACCCCTGACCTCAAGTGACCTGCCAACCTCGGCCTCCCAAAGAGCTGGGATAACAGGTGTGAGCCACCGCACCCTGCTAAGTCTTTTTTAAATTTTGTATTTCTAGCACCAAGAACATGGTACGTATTAAAAGACTATGTGTGGGCCAGGCGCAGTGGCTCATGCCTGTAATCCCAGCACTTTCGGAGGCCAAGGCTGGCAGATCGCTTGAGCCCAGGAGCTCAAGACCAGCCTGGGCAACATAGCGAAATCCCATCTCTACAAAAAATATAAAACTTAGCCGGATGTGGTGGCGCATGCCTGTGGTCCCAGCTACTTGGGAGGCTGAGGTGGGAGGGTCGATTGAACCCAGGAGGTCAAGGCTGCAGTGAGCTGTGATCGCATCACTGTACTCCAGCTTGGGCATTGGAGTGAGATCCTGTCTCAAAAAAAAAAAAAAAAAAAAAAGACTGTACGTATTTTATAACTTACAGGCTTACACAGGACACAGTGGTCTGTACCTGTAGTCCTAGCTGCTCAGGAGGCTGAGGCAGGAGGATCACGTGAACCCAGAAATGTGGGGCTACAGTGTGCTATGCCCCGGGCCCCTTCACCAGAATAAAACCATTGGAGAGGCTTTCAGACTGCTGTGAGGAGAAAGAGATGTTCTTCCTAAGCTACTGGGCATAGAAAGAGACGGACATGTAGAGGAGGTCTTAGAGAAACTGGAGCTAGGAGAAGAAGGCCAGCTGGGATGGTAGTGAGTGTCTAAGTGTTTTATCAATTACAGGTTCTAGAATCAAGTTAGTAGATTGTGACCAGTTTAACAAAAATAAAATACATAGAAAATATCAGAGGCTGGGTGTGGTGGCTCATGCCTGCAATCCCAGCACTTTGGGAGGCCGAGACCGGCGGATCACCTGAGGTCAGGAGTTCAAGACCAGACTGGCCAACATGGTGAAACCCTGCCTCTACTAAAAATACAAAAATTAGCCAGGTGTGGTGACCCACACCTGTAGTCCCAGCTCCTGGAGAGGCTGAGGTGAGAGGATCATTTGATCATGACACTGCACTCCAGCCTGGGCAACAGAGTGAGACCTTGTCTCAAAAGAAAAAAAAAAAAGGAAAGAAAAGAAAAAATATCAGAGTATACTTTTACATGTGAATATTATTTCTTTATATTTAATTGAGACAGGGTCTTGCTGTGTCACCCAGGTTGGAGTGCAGTGGCCTGATCACAGCTTACTGCAGCTTCAACCTATGGGGCCCAAGTGATCCTCTTCCCTCAGCCTCCTGAGTCACCGTGACTAGAGGAGCATGTGCCACCAAGCTTGGCTAATTTTTAAATTTTTTGTAAAGATGAGATCTCACTACATTGCACAGACTGGTCTCAAATTCCTGGGCTCAAGTATCCTCCCACCTCAGCTCCCCCAAAGTGCTGGGATTATAGATATGAGCCATCACGCCAAGCCAAATATTATTTTTGTTTAATTTATTTTTTTTTTTGGTTTGTTTTTAAAAGGTTAGTCAAGTGAAGCAATGGGAGTGGAGTACATGTTATTTCTTAAACCTTTATTTCAGTTTTGTGCATGTGTGTATGTGTACACTGGTTTCTGATGAAAAACAGATATCTTACTGAGGGTCTTAGTACAAACAAAAAATGGTGAAAGCCATAGGAGAAATAATGAAAAAGCTCATGGTGAGTAAAGTCCTAAACTGGGAATGAGGATTCACAGACGAACCAAACCTCAGAGAGGAAGGCAGGGTACATTTTGTGGAGCCCAGTCTCCATCTGAGTGCAGAAATCTTCCTACACTCACAACTGACAAAGAGCTTTGAGCCTCCCTGGAAGACTTCAGGCACCAGCAGCTCAGTATTTCTCAAGCCTGTTGAAACCACCTTTATAAAGATTCTGACAGTGAGAGAAATCTGACATGGCTGACTCCATCTTGCTTCTAGCCTCACAGACTGGCTGTCTTCAGCTCACTCCTGCACCTACGGAGGCCAAGCTAAACATGGGAGGAATCTGGTTTATAGTTTAACTTGAAAGCAAGGATGATAATAGTCCCTCCCTAAAACCAACCTCCTCCTTGCTCAGGGACCAAAAATGTAGGCATAATTTCTATAATCCTTTACTGTTCCGAGGTCATGTGGCCAGAGGTCACAAGATTTGTGATTTGTGCCCCCTGTAGATAACATCACTATTGTAAAACCTAGGCTTGGTCTTTTGAGATGCATTCTGGCAACTGACAGACCCCACCTAGATCAGTGATTCATGACTCAACCGGGCCTGCGGCCCCACCCAGAGGCAGATTCAGCACAGAAAGACTGTTTTCCACACCCCTATGATTTAATCCCTAATCAGTCAGCAGTGTCCATTCCCTAGCCCCCTGCTCATCAAATTGTTCATAAAAACCCCAACTTCTGAGCCTTCAGGGAGACTGATTTGAGTAATAATTCCATCTCCAGGCTGGGCGCGGTGGCTCACACCTGTAATCCCAGCACATTGGGAGGCTGAGGCGGGCAGATCACCTGAGGTCAGGAGTTCAAGACCAGCCTGGCCAACATGGCAAAACCCCATCTCTACTAAAAATACAAAAATTAGCCGGGTGTGGTGGTGCATGCCTGTAGTCCCAGCTACTTGGGAGGCTAAGCCAGGAGAAATGCTTGAACCCAGGAGGCAGAGATTGCAGTGAGCCAAGATCATACCACTGCACTCCAGCCTGGATGACAAAACGAGACTCTGTCTAAAAAAATAAAATAAAATAACTCCATCTCCCATGTGGCAGACCTAGTGTCAATTGAACTCTTTCTTTAATGCAATGCTGAGGTCTTGGTGAATTGATTTGGTTTGTGCAGCCGGCAGGAAGAACCCCCTGGGTGAATACACTGTTCTGCCAATGGACTGCTCAAGTTGTTAGAAAGTTCATCCTCTTTGCCCCTCTAACTTCCACCCATGACTTCTAATTCTCTGCCTCTGTTGTAATCCAGACTAGGAACAAATAAGCAAATAAACTAAGAAAGCTATCTTGTGACCTCTAAGTTTCGTCTTCCTCCTGGTGTAAGTATTTGTGTTTCTCAAGTATCTGAGCTTCCATAGACTTCACTATTCTAGTTGTTTCTCTAGCAGCTACCATTCTTGACTATATTACGGATCAGATATAGATATAAAGACTTTACATTTCTATTTTACTAATTCTCACAACACTGCTATGCAAAAGGTACTACTATTATCCTTTTGCATATGAGGCTCAGAATACTTAAATTGCTTACCCAAATTACCCAGCCAGTTAGTGGCAGGATGAAATTTACCAATGTCTTTGTGTGATACCCAGAATTGATCTCAATCCTCCAGATGTGGTTTGACTGGCCCAAAGTAGAAAATCTTTATCCTGACTTCCCGTTGGTGGACAAAGTTTTCTTTTATTTAAAATAGAGATGGGGTCTCACTATGTTGCCCAAGCTGGTCTCAAACTCCTGGCCTCAAGTGATCCTCCTGCCTCGGCCTCCCAAAGTGCTAGAATTGCAGGCATGTGCCACCTTGCCCAGCCTAACATTCTTATGTATGTCTCTAGGTGCACATATGCACACATTTCTGTGAATATATGGGCAAGAGTGAAATTGCTATATCATAGGGTCTAGCATTTCCAACTATAGTAATGTCAAACTGTTTTCCACCAATTTACACTTCTACAAAGGTTCACATTATTCCATATTCTTAACATCAGCACTGGCATTCTGGTGAGTGTGTAGTGGTATCTGATTGAGTTTTTAATTTGCGTTCGCGTGATGACTAATGATCTCTTGCATCTTTTCATATGTATATCAGTTATTTTCAGTTTCCTTTTTCAGTGAAGTGCCCGTTCAAGCCTTTTGTTATTTTTCTATTAGATTGTCTTTTCTTATTGATTTTTAGGATTTTTTTTTTAAACCCAAACTGACTATGTATTTTCCCTACTTTATTTTATTTTTGACACAGGATCTTGCTCTGTCACCAAGGCTGGAGTGCAGTGGTGCAATCATGGCTCACTAAAGCTTTGACCCCAAGGGCTCAAGCCATCCTCCTGCCTCAGCCTCCTGAGTAGCTGGGACCACAGGTCTGTGCCACCATACTCAGCCAATTTGTGTATTTTTAGTAGAGATGGGTATTTGCCATATTGCTCAGGCTGGTCTCCAACTCCTGGGCTGAAGTAATGCCTGCCTCAGCCTCCCAAAGTGTTAGGATAACAGGTGTGAGCCACCACTCCTGGCTGGATTTTTCTATTGTAATCTATATTTAAGTTATTTGTCAGTTATGCATTACAAATGTCTTTTCCTGGCTGGGCAAGGTGGCTAACACCTGTAATCCCAGCACTTTGGGAGGTGGAGGTGGACAGATCGCTTGAGCTCAGGAGTTCGAGACCAGTCTGGGCAACATGGTGAAACCCTGTCTCTACTAAAGATACAAAAATTAGGCCGGGCGCAGTGACTCATACCTGTAATCCTAACACTTTGGGAGGCTGAGGCGGGTGGATCACTTGAGGTCAGGAGTTCGAGACCAGCCTGGCCAACATGCCAAAGCCCCGTCTCTACTAAAAGTACAAAAATTAGCTGGAGGCCTCTAATCCCAGCTACTCAGGAGGCTTGAGGCAGGATAATCGCTTGAACCTGGGAGGTTGAGGCTGCAGTGAGCTGAGATTACACCACTGCATTCAAGCCTGGGGGATAAAGTGAGATTCTATCTCAAAACACAAAACAAACAAACAAAAAAACCCAATTATCTTTTCCTATTCTGTGGCTGACCTTGTCATTTTATTATTGGGGTCTTTTGACAAGGAGAACATATAGTATCACATTAATATGGTGAAGTATATCAACATTTTAGAACGTTTTTTGTCTTTTTTGGGAAGACTTTCCTTACCTTGAGGTCATGAAGATAGTCTCCTATGTTGTCTTCCAGAAGCTTTATTGTTTTTTCTTCACATTGAAGTCTACAATTCACATGGAATTTATTTCTCTGTTTAATATAAGTTAGGGAGGAATTCGATTTCGTATTTTTCCATATGGACACTCAATTGTCCCAGAACAATTTATCGAAAAGTAGGCCCTAGCTGGGCATGGTGGCACGTGCCTGCCATCCCAGCTACTTAGGAGGCTGAGGGGGGAGGATCATTTGAGTCCAGGAGTTCGAGGTTGCAGTAAGTTGTGATTGTGCCACTGCACTCCAGCCTGGGCGACAGAGCAACACCCTGTCAAAAAGAAGAAAAAAAGAGAAGGAGGAGGGGGAGAGGAGGAATGGGGAGTAGGAGGGGGAGGAGGAGAAAGAGGAGGAGAAAAAAGAGAGAAAGAATAAAAGGAAAAGAAAGTTCTTTTACCCACTCCTCTGTTGTGCCACCTTTGTCATAAATCAATTGTCCAGATACTTGTGGGGCTGAATCTGGGTTCCCTATTCTGTTGCGTTGGCATGTTTTCCCATCCTTGCACCAGTACTGAACTACCTCAATTTCTATAGCTTGCAGTTGATAATAAGCTTTACGCTCTGGTGGAGCAAATCCTCCCACGTCTCATGGCTAGGTATTTTTGAGGCTGGGATTGCTCATACACACAGATCCATTCAACCATTTAGGGAGACTGTGGGGTGGGGTGGGGAGAACGGGTGCTCAGGGGAGAGGTGGGAGAGCAGCGGGAGGATCCTCTGTGTTTCCATGGCATCCTCCCAAGGGGCGGGAACATATAACCACAGTGCCAATCACCCTGTGGGGAGATCATAAATGCGTCAGCGGACTCCCTTGTTACTTATCCTAGAGGGACAGGCACCTCTCAAAACCGAGATGCTGATCCAAAGAAGCTGCTTCACGCAGGTCTCTCCCATACAATCCTAAAGGTACGCCCTTTCCTGCAAAGCACGTGCCCCTGCTCGGCACCCTAAACACGGATCCTGGACAGATTCGCCCAGAGAGACGCGCTCAATCCGTCTGAAGACTCGCTTAAGACGCCCTGGCGGGCTGAAGAACCGGTCCCTTAGCCAAGGGACTGTTTTTCTTTTTCTTCTTTCTTTCTCTTCTCTTCCCCTCCCCCCCCTCACCCTCTCTCTCTCTCTCTTTCTCCCCTCTTCTCTCTCTGTCTCTCTCCCTCTCCTTTCCTCTTTCACCAGCTACAGCATCTAAGGGACTGTTTTCTTTCTTTCTTTCTTTCTTTTAATCTCTTCTCTCTTTCACCAACTACAGCATCTAGGGACTGTTTTTTTGTTTGTTTTTTGTTTTTTTGTTTTTTTGTTTTTTTTTTTTTTTGAGATGACGTCTTTCTCTGTCTCCCAGGCTGGAGTACACAGGCACGATCTCGGCTCACTGCAACCTCCACTTCCCGGGTTCAAGCCATTCTCCTGCCTCAGCCTCCCCAGTAGCTGAGATTACAGGGGCGCGTCACCACGCCCGGCTAATTCTTGTATTCTTAGTTGAGACGAGGGTTCACCATGTTGGCCAGGCTGGTCTCGAACTCCTGACTTCAGGTGATCCGCCCGCCTCGGCCTCCCAAAGTGCTGGGATTACAGGCGTGAGCCACCGCATACAGCCTAAGGGCCTGTTTTCTGACTGACAGACACAGACAACCTCACTGAGCACCGGACAACCAAGACAAACACACTAGGGTGCGTTCCAGACCCCAAAAACACACCCCTCTGGGGAGCGCAGCCTCGTTATTGTTCGTGACCAATTGGAGTCCCGCAGGCGCCGTTTCCCCGCCCCTTGGTTCTGTCGCGCCACTTCATTGGCGGCTCAGGCAGCAGTAACGTATCGCGCTTGCTCAGTAGCCAATAAGAAGCATGACGGCACCCTCGGCAACCTGGGACCTCCTAGACCGGCCGACCTAGCTATGCCCCGCCCGAAGCAGCATCCTCCTGATCCTTCGGGTTCTTTCGGAAGCTGCCCTCCAGGGTGAAGTCGCGTTCGCTCTCCCATCAACACATTTATTTTTCTGCCCGACTCTCGCGCGTGCGCACTGACACCCCCAGAACGGCCCTGAAATGAAAACATCTTGAGAGAGGGGGAGGGACCCCAAGCCGCTGTAGGCCAGGTCAGTGAGGCTACCCACACAGCCCGAGGTGGCTGCTGCCGGAAGCGGTCTCCAAAACAGGAATTGTAGGACCAAAAAGTCTCGTGAGGTCCCACCGAGATTTGAACTCGGATCGCTGGATTCAAAGTCCAGAGTGCTAACCATTACACCATGGGACCTGCTGGCTTCTTAAGGCGGCCGCGAGTCTCCTCAAGCTAGGAGGGCTCTGGGCGGCCTTTCCAGAGCGGCAGCGGTGTCCGTGTTTGAGGGACTGGGCCCTGGACCGGGGCCCCACGGGCGGCGTGGCGAGGGCTTCTGCGTCCTTCGTGTTCCCGGCGTTTCTGGTCCCGGGGATATCATGTCTTCCTGCGCTCCTCCGGGGGCTGGGAGGTCGGAAAGGCAGCAGGCTGGCGGGGTTGGCGATGTGGGGCCGGACTGGGTCCAGGGAAAGCCTGCTCCAACCCCAGCTCCAGGGCAGGAGGCGCGGCGCACGGAGCCTGGGTTGTTTATTTATTTATTTACGTGGGGAGTGCCTTAGAAAAGGTATTTTGGCCAAGCGGGAAGGGAAGCGGACTAGCATGTGGGGAACAACGGTTCAAACCCCAGGCGCCCCAGGGACGCGCGTAACGGAGACTTTGAAATTGCGCCCCCAGCCTGACTGCGTCGGTGCGAGTCCTACTGTTTCACGTGGCTGGAGCTCACGAGAAAACCGTTCTAAAGTTTCGCCTCCACATGCGTGTGTGCCTAATTAAAAACCACCAGGTGGGACTGCTGAGATAACACTCAGATACCCTTCCTTGCTGGGCGATTATCCTTAACTTTAGGATTAAATCAGATCAGTGGAAAAGACACTCCCCTCTGGGCTCTCTCCCCCATTTTAGTGAGCGTGTATGTAAACGGAAGTTTCTGCAGGTCAATCTGGCTACATTAAATTTTTACACGCCATTTGACTCAGCAGTTTCATCTTTGAGACTTTAACCTACGGAAACACCAAGGCAAGTGCCAAGACGTATGTTCCAGGATGTTCTCAGCTGTGTGGTTTATAATAGTAAAAAACAGAAAATAAACGTCCAAGTGAAAATTGGTAATAACAATATCTACACAATAAATATTGTGCAAGAATTTAGGGAATAACTTATTGTAATAATATAAAAAGCCAAAACAAAAAAGCCACTTGCCAATTATTATGTATGATAATAATAAAATCGACTTACCAATTAGTATGTATACATACCAATTAGTATGTATAACAATATGATAATAGTAGGTAAAATCTACTTACCAATTTGTATGTATAATAGTGTTGTACCAATTAGTGTGTATAATAATATATATTAATTATATATAACATTAATTATATATAAATAAAATACATCATTTAATAATATATACTAATAATATCTAATTCATATATACTATGTACTAACAATATATAGTAATATGTATAATACCCCATGACTTATAAACAAACAGAAAAGTTCTACATGTGTGTAATGAACATTTACCATTTATTTGACGTGTGACATCTGACTTCCTTTCTTGAGGGCGCCAACACTGTGTGGATCTGAGTGACAGCAGCTGTGCTCCAAGGTGGATATACTCACTCTCCAGCAGTCAGAATGAGATGTAGCTTGGCCAATTAGACTTAAAATCCAGAGACTGATGCCCAGAAACGGGCATTTTAGAACTCGTTCTGCTACTAGTGGTGGCTGTGACACCCAGTGTCCCAGGGGCAGTGGGGGCAGCCAGGCCATGCCCACTGGCAGCAGAACTGGCATCCTAACCACACGGCCCAGGATCCTGACCTTGCCTGAGGTCCTGGCTGCCCAGTTCCCCTTTGGCTCTGCCCACCTTCCGAAGTTTGCTTTTCCAGCCTCTCTCTGGTGCTCTGAGCTATCTCACATCCCTCCAATAAGTCTCTTTTCTTGCTTAATGTACCCAGTCCTTTTCCGTTGCATGCAGTCAAGAGCGTGGTAGCCCAAATCTGAAATGCTCTGTTGATGATTTATCTCTGGGGAGTAAATTTATAAGGACTTTTCTGTTTTTCCATATGGCTTGACAAAAGAATAACTCTTGTATATTGTCAGAAGAAACAGTAAAGATTTTCCATTTTGGGAAACAAGCCAATCTCCCCTTAAGCTCCTATGACTTAAGGGTGAGCTATTAAAGCTGAAGTTGAATGACTTCAGCATCTTTGGACCTCAGCTTTCCTGTTTATTTCTTCCTTACGCGGGTTCTGTGAGCACCAGTGAGAGTGCATTGAAATTAATTTCTCAAAAGCTACTTTAGAAACCCTAAAGGGCCATGATGATATTCTTTGACAATGCATAGGAGATAGTTCCTTCTGTCCAGTGTGAGGGTAAAGGTGACTCCACCTTCCTACTTCCACTTCTCCCTACTCCCATTCTCTAGCTTTTTCTTTTCTTTTCTTTTCTTTCTTCTTTCTTTTTGGAGATGGAGTCTGGCTTTTTTGCCCAGGCTAGAGTGTAGTGGCGTGATCTCCGCTCACTGCAACCTCTTCCTCCCAGGTTCAAGCGATTCTCCTGCCTCAGCCTCCCGAGTAATTGGAACTACAGTGCACCACCATCACGCCCAGCTAATTTTTGTGTTTTTAGTAGAGACGGAGTTTCGCCATGTTGGCCAGGCTGGTCTCAAACTCCTGGCCTCAAGTAATCCACCTGCCTCTGCCTCTCAAAGTGCTGGGATTACAGGCCTGAGCCACTGTGCCTGGCCACATTTACTAATTTTTTAATGATAAGAGAGAAAAGGGAGACAGGATGTAATCTTCCTTCCCCAGAATAACTAGTTTCTATTAACATAAAGCCACAGTTCATGACATTGTAAAGATGGCAACCCATGGCATCTTTGAGAACAGACCCAGCCTCCTCAAGTGGCTCCTGAAGCATGGGAGAGTCCTAGGTTCTGCTAGAGGTGGGGTCAGTGTGGCTTCAGCCCTGGCACTGAGACTGAGGGCTGAATCAGGCAGAGGGGGAGAACAGTGAGGCCAGGGGTTAGGAAGGACCTGAAGGAAGGCTGGGCACGGTGGCTCACACCTGTAATCCCAGCACTTTGGGAGGTCCAGGTGAGTGGATCACCTGAGGTCGGGAGTTCCAGACCAGCCTGACCAACATGGAGAAACCCCGTCTCTACTAAAAATACAAAATTAGCCAGGTGTATTGGCGCGTGCCTGTAATCCCAGCTACTCAGGAGGCTGAGGAAGGAGAATCGCTTGAAACCAGGAGGCGGAGGTTGTGGTGAGCTGAGATTGTGCCACTGCACTCCAGCCTGGGCAACGAGAGCGAAACTCTGTCTCAAAAAAAAAACTTGAAGGCAAGGATTAGGGACTTCAAGTTTTTTGTAAGCCTGTAAATATGTAGTGGATGGAATAACAGGTGCTTTGAGTAGTTAAATGGAAAGTATTCCTGTTCACTGTCATAGCCATATTCAGTCCATTTCCTTTGTCCATTCTGAAGCTTCTCACAGTTAGCTGGGATAGAATCTGTCTTGCTCTGTGTCCTCATCACCCAGCTTAGGTGATACCTGCCACGAATCCCCTACTTTACCTTGGGATCCCCGGCTGAGCCAGACAAGCTGCCAGCACCTCCTTGTGCAGTGTGAGGAGGGATGCCCTGAGTCTCTGGGCTTGCCCCTTCTGCCCCAAGCCCTATTGCCCAGAAGGATCTGGCATTCCTGAACAAAATACAAAATGAGGCTGGGTGCGGTGGCTCATGCCTGTAATCCCAGCACTTTGGGAGGCCGAGGCTGGTGGATCACCTGAGGTCAGGAGTTCCAGACCAGCCTGACCAACATGGAGAAGCCCCTTCTCCACTAAAAATATAAAATTAGCCGGGCATGGTGGCGCATGCCTGTAATACCAGCTACTTGGAAGGCTGAGGGAGGAGAATCGCTTGAACCCGGGAGGCAGAGGTTGCCATGAGCCAAGATTGTGCCATTGCACTCCAGCCTGAGCAAAAAGAGCAAAACTCCGTCTAAAAAATAAATAAATAAAACCCAACAAATATACATGTATATGAATATGAATATTCCTTTTCTCTTTTCTTGTGTAGAGACAGAGTCTTGCTATGTTGCCCAGGCTAGTCTCAAACTCCTGGGCTCAAGTGATCCTCCTGCCTTGGCCTACCAAAGTGACAAGATTACAGATGTGAGCAACTGAACCCAGCACATATTCTTTTTCTTAGAAAAAATCAAAACACTGTTCTGCACCTTGTTTTATTAGCACCATATGTTGCATATGTTGAAGATTGTTCAATAACAGAATATATAAAATTTATCTCATTTTTTAAAATAGAGACAGGAATCTTGCTGTGTTGCCCAGGCTGGTCTTGCATCCCTGGCCTTAAGTGATCCTCCTGCCTTGGCTTCCCAAATTGCTGGATTACAGGAATGAGCCACTGCCCCCAGCCTTATCCCTTTAAATGACATGTAATTGAATTGTTATTTATATAATGGAAAATGCACAAATCGTAACTGGAGAAACCAATACTTTTTTTTTACACAAATGTATACGCCTGTGTCACCATCACCTAGATCAAGATATAAAGCATTTCCATCACCCCAGAAAGTTCTCTGGTACTCTTTTCAAGCCATTACCTCCTACCTCCCTGGAATCACTGTACTGGTTTCTATCACCATAAATTACTTTTGGCTGCTCTTAAATTTTACATATATGAAACTCACTTATCTGTAGTGTATTTTGTGTCTGGTTTCTTTTGCCAGACACAAAATCAATCAACAAAATTAAATCAATAATTTTGAAGGCCGGGCAGGGTGGCTCACGCCTGTAATCCCAGCACTTTGGGAGGCCGAGGCAGGCAGATCACAAGATCAGGAGTTTGAGACCAGCCTAGCCAATATGGTGAAACCCAGTCTCTAGTAAAAATGCAAAAAAATTAGCTGGGCGTGGTGGTGCATGCCTATAATCCCAGCTACTCGGGAGGCTGAGGCAGGAGAATTGCTTGAACCTGGGAGGCAGAGGTTGCAGTGAGCCAAGATAGCGCCACTGCCCTCCAGCCTGGGAGAGAGAGTGAGACTCCCTCTCAGATAAATAAACAAATAAATAAATAAATAACAATTTTGAGACTCATCCTTGTCATTTTATATATCGGTAGTACATTCTTTCATTGCTGAGTAATATTGCATTGTATGACTATACCACGATTTGTTGATCCATTCTCCAGTTGATGGACATTTGGGTTGTTTACAGTTTGGGGCTAGTATAAATAAATCTGCTATGACCACTCTTGTACAACTCTTTTTTGTTCTTGGGTATAAACCTAAGAATAGAATTGCTGGGCTATAGGCTATGTGTATACTTAAGTTTATTAGGAACTGCCAAACAGTTTTCCAAGGTTCTTGTACTATTTTATACTCCCACCAGCAGTGTTTGGGAGAGTTCCAGTTCTACATCTTTGTTAGTAGGTGGCATTGTTAGTCTCTTAAATTTTAGCCATTCTGGTGGGTGTATAATGATCTCTTTATGGTTTTAATTTGTATTTCCCTGATGGTTATGATGTTGAACATCTATTTTACATGCTTACTAGCTGTTTAGATATGTTCTTTTCTAAGTGCTGTTTCAAGTATTTTATTCATTAAGAAAATGTTTTTCCTGGCCTGGGCAACATGGCAAGACCCCATCTCTACAAAAAATTAAAAAATTAGCTGGGCTGGTTGTGCCACTGCACTCCAGCCTGGGCAACAGAGCAAGACCCTGTCTCACACAAAAAAATTTCTTATTAATTTACAGGAATTCTTTATATATCCTGATATGAATCCTTTATCAAATATATGTATGTTGAACATTTTCTCCCAGTCTGTGGCTTGCCTTTTCACTTTCTTTTTTTTTTCTTTTTTTTTTTCTTTTTTAAGACAGAGTCTCACTCTGTCACCCAGGCTGGAGTGCAGTGGCACAATCTCTGCAACCTCTGACTCCTGGGTTCAAGTAAGTCTTGTGCCTCAGCCTCCTGAGTAGCTGGGATTACAGGTGCTTACCAGCATGCCTGGCTAATGTTTGTATTTTTAGTAGAGACGGGGTTTCACCATGTTGGCCAGTTTGGTCTTGAACTCCTAACCTCAAGTGATCTGCCCACCTCAGCCTCCCAAAGTGCTGGGATTATAGGTGCAAGCCACTGTGGCCAGCTGCCTTTTCACTTTCTTAATAGTGTCTATATTAGCCCGTTTGCACACTGCTGATAAAGACATAGCTGAGACTGGGAAGAAAAAGAGGTTTAATGGACTTACAGTTCCACGTGGCTGTGGAGATCTCACAATCATGATGGAAGGTGAAAGGCATGTCTCACATGGCGGCAGACAAGAGAAGAGTGCTTGTGCAGGGAACTCCCCTTTTTAAAACCATCAGATCTCGTGAGACTTATTCACTATCATGAGAACAGCATGGGAAAGACCTGCCTTCATGATTCAGTTACCTCCCACTGGGTCCCTCCCACAACACATGGAAATTCAAGATGAGATTTGGGTGGGGACACAGCCAAACCATGTCGTTCTGCCCCAGTCCCTCCCAAATCTCATGTCCTCACATTTCAAAACCATTCATGCCTTCCCAACAGTCCCCCAAAGTCTTAACTCATTTCAGCATTAACTCAAAAGTCAACAGTCCAATGTCTCATCCGAGACAAGGCAAGTCCCTTCTGCCTATGAGCCTGTAAAATCAAAAGCAAATACAATGGGGGTACAGGCATTGGGTAAATACAGCTGTTTCAAATGGGAAAAAAATGGCCAAAACAAAGGGGCTACAGGCCCCATGCAAGTCCGAAATTCAGTGAGGCAGTCAAATCTTAAAGCTCCAAAATAATCTCCTTTGACCCTGTGTCTCACATCCAGATCACGCTGATGTAAAAGGTGGGTTCCTGTGGTCTTGGGCAGCACCCCCCTGTGGCTTTGCAGGGTACAGCCTCCCTCCTGGCTGCTTTCACAGGCTGGCATTGAGTGCACAGTGCAAGCTGTTGGTGGATCTACCTTTCTGGGCTCTGGAGAATGGTGGCCCTCTTCTCACAGCTCCACTAGGTATTGCCCTAGTAGGGACTCTGTGTGGGGGCTCTGACCCCACATTTACCTTCCTCACTCCCCTCGCAGAGGTTATCCATGAGGGCCCCACCCCTGGAGCAAACTTCTGCCTGGGCATCCAGACATTTCCATACATCCTCTGAAATCTAGGTGGAGGTTCCCAAATCTCAATTCTTGACTTCTGTGAACCTGCAGGCTCAACACCATGTAGAAGCTGCCAAGGCTTGGGGCTTACACCCTCTGAAGCTACAGCCCAAGCTCTATGTTGGCTCCTTTCAGCCTCAGCTGGAGCAGCTGGGATGCAGAGCACCAAATCCCTAGGGTGGACTCAGCACAAGGACCCTGGACCAGGCCAATGAAACCATATTTTCCTTCTAGGCCTCCAGGCCTGTGATGGGAGGGGCTGCCGTGAAGACCTCTGACATGCCCTGGAGACATTTTCCCCATTGTCTTGGCGATTAACATTGGCTCCTCATTACTTATGCAAATTTCTGCAGCTGGCTTGAATTTCTCCTCAGAAAATGGGATTTTCTTTTCTTTTCTTTTCTTTTTTTTTGAGATGGTGTTTTGCTCAGTCACCCAGGCTGTAATGCAGTGGTGCAATCTTGGCTTACTGCAACCTCCACCTTCTGGGTTCAAGTGATTCTCCTGCCTCAGCCTCCCGAGTAGCTGGGATTACAGGCACACAACACCATGCCTGGCTGATTTTTGTATTTTTAGTAGAGACAGGGTTTCATCATGTTGGACAGGCTGGTCTCAAACTCCTGACCTCAAGTGATCTGCCTGCCTCAGCCTCCCAAAGTGTTGGGATTACAGGTATGAGACCAGACAGATTTGAGAAAGTTTTGAAGACTGAAAGCCACCATGCCCAGCCAGGATTTTCTTTTCTATTGTGTTGTCAGGCTGTGAATTTTCCAAACTTTTGTGCTGTTTCCCTTTTAAAACTGAATGCCTTTAACAGCACCCAAGTCACCTCTTGAATGCTTTAAGGCTTAGAAATTTCTTCCACCAGATATCCTAAATCATCTCTCAAGTTCAAAGTTCCACAAATCTCTAGGGCAGGGGCAAAATGCTGCCAGTCTCTTTGCTAAAATGTAACAAGAGTCACCTTTGCTCCAGTTCCCAACAAGTACCTCATCCCCATCTGAGACCACCTCAGCCTGGATTTCATTGTCCATATCATTATCAGCATTTTGGTTGAATCCATTCAACAAGTCTCTAGGGAGTTCCAAACTTTAACACATTTTCCCGTTTGCTTCTGAGCCCTCCAAACTGTTCAACCCTTTGCCTGTTACCCCGTTCCAAAGTCACTGCCACATTTTTGAGTATCTTTTCAGCAGCACCTCACTCTCAATACCAATGATGGCAGTGGCTGCTGCCATCCTGCCAGCTGCATCAGGGAGGCATGGCTAGGGCTGCACACTCCATGGAGCCAGTGGGAGACCTGCCCTTTCTGAGTTGGGACGGGGGTGCCCCATGCCACTGTAGCTGCCCAAACTGTAGCTGCAGACCCAGCCCTCCTGCTCTACAGAGCAGGCAGAAGCCTCACCCTCCTGGGGCTATGCAAACTGCAGCTATGGATCTGAGCCTCCCTGTGCTCTTGGGGGAGCTAGGTGCAGGCAGGATTGTCCTCCTGGGTGCAGCGGCAGCTGCCAGACCCGCAACTGCAGACCTGGGCCTCGCACTCCATGAAGCAAGCAGGAGCCAGGGACAAGAAGGAGGCCTGCCTCTTCCAAGTTAGCGGGGTAGGAGCTCCCAGGTGCAGCTGCGGCTGCCCTCCCAGGTGCAGGACCTAGGCGTCTCTGCACCCTGCACCCTCGGGTGCCCCAGAAAGGACCCCCTCCCCCACCCCATCCCTGCAAGCTCAGAGGTGTCTGCTCCCACTGCCTGGCCTCTCTGCACTCCTGGCACACACTCCCATCTCAGAGCAGGGTTAAGGCCAAGCCCCAGAGCCATGAATAGTAGCAGGAGGCAGACAGTCCTGGGCAGAAGTGGGTGGGGTCCCTAGTAAGGCCCCACCGTCAGGCCAAGGAGGGCCTGAGGGCTGGGGGCTGGGGGCTGGGCTGCCAGTCCCACAGACTGGAGTGCAGACTCGTGGTACCTCTTCCGGCCTGCCCATGGCTGCTCATGGACCAATCGGCATGCACTTCCTCCTCTTTGAGGTCCATAAAAGCCCTGGGCTCAGCCAGAGCAGGCAGAGGATGGCCAGAGGACAAAGAGGGCAGGGAGACAGGACAGGACAGGACGAACAGCTGCAGAGAGGAGGAGTACCATCTACTCCAGCTCTGGAGAGGAGTACCATCTATGGGACAGGGCAACCAGCTGCAGAGAGGAATACCCTCTCTGCTGAGAACTGCAGAGATGAGGGACCAGCAGAGAGGGTACTTCTCTCTGCTGAGAGCTTCAGAGACCTACCGAGACATCTGAATGACTTGGCTGAGGAGAGGAACTATCCTCTCCAGGGCCTCCTCTCTGCTAAGAGCTAAACACTTGACTGGACGACCTGCCTGCAGAGAGGAGGTACCCACTCCTCTGAGCTGTCCTAACACTAAATAAAACTCTTCATCACCTTTTACTTGTCTGCATACCTCATTCTTCCGGATGCAGGACAAGAACTCAGGCAAAGGCACTGTGGCTACAGAGATTTCCAGCCAGAAAAATTGACCCCCAGTAACACCAACTTTCTGTATTAGTCCGTTTTCATGCTGCTGATAACGATGTACCTGAGACTGGGAAGAAAAAGAGGTTTAATGGACTTACAGTTCCATGTGGCTGGGGAGGCCTCACAATCATGGCAGAAGGCAAAAGGCATGTCTCACATGGTGGCAGACAAGAAGAGAGCTTGTGCAGGGAAACTCCCCTTTTATTTATTTATTTACTTATTTATTTATTTGAGATAGAGTCTTGCTTTGTCACCCAGGCTGGAGTGAAGTGGCATGATCTCAGCTCACTGCAGCCTCCACCTCCTGGGTTCAAGCGATTCTCCTGCCTCAGTCTCCCAAGTAGCTGGGATTACAGGCATGCACCATCACACCCGGCTCATTTTTGTATTTTTAGTAGAGACAGGGTTTCACCATGTTGGCCAGGCTGGTCTTGAACTCCTGACCTCAGGTTATCAGCCTGCCTCGGCCTCCAAATTGCTGGGATTACAGGCATGAGCCACCATACTCGGCTGAAACTCCCCTTTTTAAAACCATCAGATCTTGTGAGACTTATTCACTGTCACAGAACAGCATGGGAAAGACCTGCCCCCATGATTCAATTACCTCCCACCAGGTCCCTCCCACAAGACGTGGAAATCAAGATGAGATTTGGGTGGGGACACAGCCAAACCATGTCAATGTCTTTTGATGAGCAGAAGGTTTAAATTTTGATGGATAAAGTCAAATGTATCTTTTTTTTTCTTTTATGATGAATGCGTTTTGTGTCCTTTGCATGTGGAGAGCTGGGATCTTTACAAGCACAATGGTATAGGAGAGAGGCATATACAGTTATATAGATTACTCAGTTACATGAGGAACATCTTGATAATCCCTTGGTAAAATTTAAAGATGAGGGAATTAGAATTTATATTCTAATTTGAATATAACTTGAATTGAACTTGTTTGAAACTGAAGGGCATAAAGGAAGCAGGAGCATCCAAGCAAAGGAATAAGAAAAAGAAAAGCTGTGTGTTAACTTGAACCCTCTGTCAAGACAGATGCAGGGTTGAGTGGAAGAGGTAGGGTGGAGAGCAGGCACCTCTTCAAAATTTAATGATCCTGAAATTGGTGCTGGTGTCTGGAACACAGACTATGTGCCTATCAGGACTGTAGAATTAGGGGAAATGGTAGGAAAAAATTGGAATGCTGGCAGGAGTTAGTGATTTCATGCAGTCTTCAGGTCCTATAAGAGACATCTTTTAGGCTGAAGGTGCCCTGTTTTAAGTTTTCAGTTTTGCTTAGAGTGGCTTGCAATCCAAGTTTACCGGAAATCCTACAACTTGGAGTGTTACAGGACTGGAAAAGCTGAATTCTGTACCCCAAGTGAAAGTTAGCATCCACAGAGACAGGGGACTTAGCAGGACACTGATTTGGGCAAGAGACCAGCTTGCTGCATCACAGTGCTTTAAACATTTTCTGCCCACGAAGAGGAAAAACTGGGGCAAAGAGCAGATTATAGATGGTCCCTCTGTACTAGAGACGACTATTGTGAATAGCCTCAAGGCAGAAGCCATTTAACTGAGCGCCAGAGGCCTGGGTGGTGGCCTGTGGTTACAAGAATAGGTTCCCCAGTCTCAAAGATATGTCTAGACGAGATGTCTGGAAGTGACTGGAAGTGACAGGAAACCTGTAAGTTTTAAGGAACTGCCAATCAGATTTCATTGGCAATTCAGTTTCCTTAAAACCCTGACTGTTAACAGCTAATGAGTTTTTACTCCTAAGGCCATGCCCACACCTGTGAACACCACTAACAGGAAGTGAGCAGTTAAAGCTGTGTGTAGGTTTCAGAAAGGTCAACCTGCCCACTGCCCACCAGATGTAGATCTGGAAGGTAAAGGACAGGGGTGCTTCTCCTAGAGCAGGCTGGTCCAATCTGTGGCCCAGGACGGCTTTTAATGCGGGCCAACACAAATTTGTAAACCTTCTTAAACCATTATGAGATTTTTGGCCAGGTGTGGTGGCACACGCCTGTAATCCCAGCATTTTGGGAGGCCGAGGCGGGCGGATCACAAGGTCAAGAGATCAAGACCATCCTGGCCAACATGGTGAAACCCCGTCTCTACTAAAAATACAAAAATAAAAAAAAAATTAGCTGGGCATGGTGGCACACGCCTGTAGTCCCAGCTACTCGGGATGCTGAAGCAGGAGAATTGCTGGAACCCGGGAGGCAGAGGTTGCAGTGAGCCAAGATCACACCACCGCACTCCACCCTGAGCGACAGAACAAGACTCCATCTCAAAAAAAAAAAAAAAAAAAAAAAATCAAAAACCTTCCTAAGAGTGGAGAAGAAGCCAGCTGACCTCAGACCCAATTTCTACTTCAGCCGCAGGAAATAGACACACCTATGCAGGCAAGAAAAAGACCAGTAGCCCAGTAGCCAATAAGATCCGTCCTCTCCAAAAGCACAGCCGCAGTTTTCCTTTCCTGGGTTAAGCGGGTGGGGAAGAAGTAAAGGAAACAGAGAGGGCAGGCTTGAGCGCCCCCTGGAGGCCCATGCAATTATTTGGCTATTTGTACCCAGCTTTCCTGAAATTTGGAGTTTAGCAGAAAATATCAGGGGGATACTCAGTGTCCTGGAAGGATAGCTTTGTCATTGGTTTGGTCCAGGCTCTTTGGTTGTGTCTGAAACTCAAGGCTGGAGGAAAGCCTATGTGGCTGGTATTGTCTGTGACCTGGTTTTTGCTTCCAAACTGCCCGAAGGAGAAAACTTTTTATTTATGTATGCCTTTCTGTTTTGGAAACAGGCAGTTGTACAGCATGGTTGTATTATTTAGGACACTTTGTTTATAAGTAACAGGAACCAACTCAAATTAGGTTAAGCAAGCCAGGCGTGGTGGCTGAAGCCTGTAATCCCAGCATTTTGGGAGGCTGAGGTGGGAGGATTGCTTGAGCCCAGGTATTTGAGACCAGCCTGCCAACATGGTGAAACCCCATCTCTACAAAAAATACTAAAATTAGCTGGGCATGGTGATGCATGCCTGTAGTCCCAGCTACTTGGGTGGCTGAAGTACAAGAATCACTTGAATCCGAGATCGCGCCATTGCACTCCAACCTGGGCAACAGAGTGAGACTCTGTCTCTAAAGATTAAAAAAAAGAGTACATATGAAAACCAACATCCTTATGTGTAAATATTTAAAGCTATAAAAAATGAAGCTAGCAAAGTGTTTAATGTTCTATCCTCTTACCTTGACAAAGATGTCATTATAGTGGCAAAATTAAAAAGAATTGTAAAGTGGTGGTGGTTTTGTTTGTTTGGGGTTTTTTTTTTTTAAATATGTTTTGCTCTGTTGACCAGGCTGGAGTGCAGTGGCATGATCTCACCTCACTGCAACCTCTGCCTCCCATGTTCAAGCGATTCTCGTGCCTCAGCTTCCCGAGTAGCTGGGATTACAGGCACATGCCACATGCTGAGCTAATTTTTTGTATTTTTAGTAGAGATAGAGTTTCACCATGTTGGCCAGGCTGGTTTCCAACTCCTGACCTCAGGTGATCAGCCCGCCTCAGCCTCCCAAACTGCTGGGATTACAGGTGTGAGCCACCGCACTGAGCCATTTGTTCTTACTCGTCCAAACATCAACAATCCATCAACTGAACACCAAGGTATGTATAATAATAATAATTAAATTGGCTGGGCATGGTGGCTCATTCCTGTAATCCCAGCACTTTGAGAGGCTGAGGTGGGCGGATCACCTGAGGTCGGGAGTTTGAGACCAACATGGAGAAACCCTGTCTCTACTAAAAATACAAAATTAGCCGGGTGTGGTGGCACATGCCTGTAATCCCAGCTACTCAGGAGGCTGAGGCAAGAGAATCGCTTGAATGTCGGAGGCGGAGGTTGTAGTGAGTCGAGATCGCGCCATTGCACTCCAGTCTGGGTGACAAGAGCAAAACTCTGTCTCAAAATAATAATAATAATAATAAACAAATAAATAAATTCCATTGCTTTGATATGTTGCCTACTCTTAGTTGTTCAAAAAAACCACCACTTGACTGGGTGCAGTGGCTCACGGCTATAATTCCAGCACTTTGGGAGGCCAAGGTGGGCAGATCACTTGAGATCAGGAGTTCAAGATGAGCCTGGTCAACATGGTGAAACTTCCTTTCTACAAAAAATACAAAAATTGGCTGGGCATGGTAGTGGGTGCCTGTAATCTCAGCTACTAGAGAGACTGAGGCATGAGAATTGCTTGAACTTGGGAGGCGGATGTTGCAGTGAGCCAAGATCACAACACTGCACTCCAGCCTGGGCAACAGAGTGAGACTCTGTCTCAAAAACAAACAAAAAAACAAAGACACATACACATATATATAATTTGTAAATTATCGTATATTTATCCCACATAATTTAATTTTCTTGCTTTTATTTCAACAAAATCACTAATTATGCTTTTATAATCAAGATTGTTCACATAATTTGTACTCTAAGAACAGTTTTAAGTAAAGCAGCAAACTACAGCCAAGGGCTAAATGCAGCCTATGGCTTGTTTTTGAATGGCCCCTTAAGCCCTCAGTATGGCTTTTACAGTTTTAAAGAGTTATCTTTTTAAAAGAATATGTAACAGAGACCTTATGTGGATTACAAAACTTAAGATATTTACTATCTAGTCCTTTACAAAAATGTTTGCTGATCACTAATCTAAAGCAATTCTATTCAAAGTGTGCTCTGAGGCCTGGTCTGGGAGCTCTTTGTTGTCAGCCTGCAATGAGATAAGGGCTTGTGTCAGAATTCCTAAGCACAAGGTTTTAGTTGAGCTGACGTTTTTTCATGGCAAGACTTTAATTTTTTTTTTTTTTTTTACTTAAAAAAAGTTTTAAATATAGAGACAGGGTCTCACTATGTTGCCAATGCTGGTCTTGAACTCCTGGGTTTAAGTGATCCTCCCGCCTCTGCCTCCCAAAGTGCTGGGATTATAGGCATGACCCACTGTGCCTGACCAACACTTTCTTTTCTTTCTTTTTTTCTGAGACAGGGTCTCACTCTGTTGCCCAGGCTGCTGGAGAGCCGTGGCATGATCACAGCTCACTGCAACCTCCGCCTCTGGGTTCAAGCAATTCTCCTGTCTCAGCCTCCCAAGTCGCTGGGGATTACAAGCATGTGCTACCACACCCGACTAATTTTTGTATTTTTAGTAGAGACAGGGTTTTAACCATGTTGGCCAGCCTGGTCTCAAACTCCTGAATTCAAATGATCCACCCACCTCAGCCTCCCAAAGTGCTGGGATTACAGGCTTGAGCCACTGTGCCCGGCAGAATCTGGCAAATTTTAAAATTTGTCTTTTCCTTTTACCTAAGCACGTTGCAGCCAAAATCCTATCAGTACTCCAAAGCGCTGTCCACAAACTTTCGTTGCATTTGGATGCAATTGTCTTTTGATGACACAAGGCAAGAGATGTGGAGAAGTATAGAAGTATTTTCCTGGGGCCTGAATAGCATTAGTCCCAAGAACGGATGTTTAGGGTTACCAGTCACGCTGTACTAGTGCCAAGCACTGGATCCTAAGTGACAGAGATGCCCTGGGCTTTGTCAGTAAGTGCACGTTTGTGACATGCAAGGTACTCTAGAGCACAAGGTCCAGGTAGGTGCTCTTCTTGCTTGGAACTAAGGGGAGTCATATGGGACTGCATTGGGATGGGACAATGCAATGTTGTTTTCCTATATATCTATGCTTGTTTATCTTATTTTTTTCTTCCAATCAAAGGCTGCCTATGTTCGTCTTTTTTTTTTTTTTTTACTAGAGATGGGGTCTTGCTATGTTGCCTGGGCTGGCCTCAAACTCCTGAGGCTCAAGCAAGTTTCCTGCCATGGCTTCCAAAAGTGCTGGGATTACAGGTGTGAACCGCCATGCCTGGCCTATAGCTATGTTACTATACAAAAAAAGTTATAGCAATATAATCTTTATGACATACAATGAATGAGGTGTGTGCTCAGTTCTGTTTTGGGAGAATAAAAAATGACTGCTTGTCTCTAACTGTACTTCAGAAATGCTGAATTAAACAAAGTTAAAGAGATTTCCTTACTTCAGGTCTTCTCAGAGGCTTTACTACACTAATGTGAACTGCAACCTTACAAGAAGGAGACATAGCATGCAATATTTTTCAAAATTATTTGAGTACCAAAATCAATTTTGCTGTAAGTCCATTTTTCAGGAATTTTTATTAATATATCACAGAACACATTTTTAGTGATCCTGAACTACCCTAGGCCACAGGAAGAAAAAGTTTACAGGTAAACAGAAACTGTAAAGGCAGGGCTGAAGTGGTCATAGAATCTGCTGTTGGGAACAGGCCCCCAAATCTGGCCATAAACTGGCCATAAATAAAATCTCTGCAGCACTGTGACATGTTCATGATGGCCATGATGCACACACTGAAGGTTGTGGATTTACTGGAATGAGGGCAAGGAACACCTGTCCCACCCAGGGGGGAAAACCTCTTAAGGTGTTCCTAAGCCACAAACAATAGCATGAGCGAGCTGTGCCTTAAGGACGTGGCAGATAACTAGCCAGAGCCCATCCCTTTGTTTCAGTCCATCCCTTTGTTTCCCATAAGGAATACTTTTAGTTAATCTATAATCTTTAGAAACAATGCTTATCACTGGCTTGCTGTCAATAAACATGTGAGTCAAACTCTGTTCGGGGCTTTCAGCTCTGAAGGCTGTGAGTCCCCTGATTTCCCACTCCACACTCTATATTTCTGTGTGTGTGTCTTTAATTCCTCTAGCGCCGCTGGGTTAGGGTCTCCAAGACCGAGCTGGTGTCGGCAAGTGGCGCCCAACGTGGGGCTTGAACCCCAGTTGAAGGGTCGCTGGAGTGATGGTTGGAGAATGTGGAACTAAGCTGGAGGACACCCGAGTACCCTTAAGCAATCCCCATGGTGAGTAAGAAGGGGAGCTCGGAAACATCAGGGTAACAATGGGACAAGTGTGGGCTCTGGTGCGTTCCACCTTAGAACCTTTTCACACTAATGATGAGAAGGAAGGAAAGTATAACAAAGTAACAGAAGAGATGACACAGCAGGTTTGTTTGCTGGCTGAAGCTAAAGCGGCAAATGAGGAAGAGGTTTGTCCCTACTCTTCTTCACCCCCTCATTATTTTGAAGAAAAAGAGTGACCTGACCCTACAGATCTTTCTTTTCCAGAGGACACTGGGTGAAAAGTAGTTGCCCCAGTGACTGTTCTAGCAGTGCCTCGAGTGACTGCTCTCAGTTCTATTCAGGCAGGAATTGAGCCAGCTAGACGAGAGGGTGATATAGAGGCTTGGCAGTTCCCTGTTAGGATATACCCCCCAGATCAACAGGGAAATATTATAGCTCACTCCCTCACCCCTGTACAATGTCTGTCCCCCACGACAGCCAGTAGTGCCACAGTAGATTTATACTGCACAAAAGCTGTGAGCCTTATGCTTGGGGAATCCCCACAAAAAGTTCCAATAGGGGTCTGTGGATGCTTGCCGGGGGGATGATAGGATTACTTCTAGGTAGATCTAGTTTAAATTTAAAAGGAGTGCAAGTACATACAGGAGTCATTGATTCAGATTACAATGGGGAAATTCAAATTGTTATATTTACTTCTTTTCCTTGGAAAGCAGAGCCAGGAAAGCGTATAGCACAACTTCTGATTGTGCCGTATGTGGAAATGGGGAAAAGTGAAATTAAACGAATAGGAGAATTTGGAAGCACAAATAAACAAGACAAAGCAGCTTATTGGGTGAATCAAATTACTGATAAACATCCTACCTGTGAAATAACTATTCAGGGAAAGAAATTTAAAGGTTTGGTAGATACAGGAGCAGACATTTCAATCATTTCTCTACAGCACTGGCTGTCCACGTGGCAAATTCAACCCACTCAATTTAACATAGTTGGAGTTGGTAAAGCCCCTGAAGTATATCAAAGTAATTATATTTTGCATTGTGAGGGGCCCGATGGACAACATGGGACTATTCAACCAATTATAACTTCTGTACCTATACATTTATGGGAAAGAGATTTGTTACAACAATGGATAGCACAAGTTCTAATTCTAGAGCAATTGTATAGCCCTCAAAGTCAACGTATGGTGCATGAAATGGGGTATGTCCCTGGTATGGGACTAGGAAAAAATTTGCAAGATTTGAAGGAACCACTTCAAGCGGAAAGACAAAGTTCCTGCCAAGGTTTAGGATATCATTTTTGATGGCAGCCATTGTTAAGCTTCCAGAACCTATACCTTTAAAATGGTTAACAGATGAGCCAATTTGGATAGAACAATGACTGCTAAGTAAAGAGAAACTGGAGGCTCAGAGGACTTAGTTACTGAACAATTAGAAAAAGGACACATAGCTCCAACATTTTCCCCTTGGAACTCTCCAGTTTTTATAATTAAGAAAAAATCAGGTACATGGAGACTGTTAACTGACTTAAGAGCCATTAATTCAGTTATACAACCTATGGGGACATTGCAGCCAGGACTGCCTTCTCCTGCTATGATTCCAAAGAATTGGCCTTTAATAGTCATAGATTTAAAAGACTGTTTCTTTACTATCCCCTTAGCTGAGCAGGACTGTGAATGGTTTGCATTTACAATTCCTGCAGTAAACAACCTGCAGCCTGCTAAGCATTTTCACTGGAAACTGTTGCCACAAGGCATGTTAAACAGTCCAACAATTTGCCAGACTTATGTAGGGCAAACAATTGAACCTACTCATAAAAAATTTTCACAGTGTTACATTATTCATTATATGGACGATATACTTTGTGCTGCCCCCCACTCGAGAAATATTACTCCAATGTTATGATCACTTGCAAAATTTGATTTCTCATGCTGGTTTAATTATAGCTCCTGACAAAATTCAGACTGCTACTCCTTACTCCTACTTGGAGACTTCAGTAAATGACACTATCATTGTGCCACAGAAAGTAACCATATGTAGGGATCAACTGAAAACATTAAATGACTTTCAAAAATTACCAGGGGACATTAATTGGATATGACCTACTCTAGGCATTCCTACCTATGCCATTTTCTAACCTTAGAGGAGATGCTAGTCTCATAGCCCTCGGCAATTAACAAAAGAAGCTGATGCAGAGCTGCAGCTCATCAAAAAGCAAGTCCATAAAGCTCAAATAAATATAATAGATCCAGAAAAGACTCTAGATTTGCTAATTTTTTCAACTCGGCATTCACCTACTGGTGTTATTGTTCAAGAGCAAGATCTTGTAGAGCGGCTTTTTCTTCCACATACTAATTCACGGACTCTAACTCCTTATTTGGATCAAATCGCTACTATGATAGGAAATGGGAGAACTCAGATTGTTAAATTACATGGATATGGTCCTGGAAAAATTATTGTCCTTCTCATGAAGGCACAAATAGAGCAAGCTTTTATAAATAGTCTTACCTGGCAAACCCATTTAGCTGACTTTGTGGGTATTCTTGATAATCATTTTCCCAAAACAAAATTGTTTCAATTTTTGAAATTAACTAATTGGATTCTCCCTAAAATAACTAAATTCAAACCACTTGAAGGTGCTGAAAATGTCTTCACAGATGGGTCTAGTAATGGTAAAGCTTCTAACTCTGGCTTGAAAAGTAAGGGCTTCAGATGCCCTATACTTCAGTTCAAAAAGCAGAGCTTATAGCTGTAATTGAGGTATTGACTGCTTTTAATAGGCCTATCAATGTGATTTCTGATTCTTCATACATGATTCATTCCACACAATTAATTGAAAATGCTCAACTACGATTCCACACAGATGAGCAACTGATGGCTTTATTTACCCAATTGCAAACAGCAGTCAGGAGTAGAATGCATCCTTTTTACATCACTCACATTAGGGCTCATACACCTCTTCCAGGACCTTTAACTGAAGGGAATCAAATGGCTGATCACCTAGTTGCTAATGCAATATCTAACGCTAGACACTTTCACAATTTAACCTATGTTAATGCCTCTGGTCTCAAACACAGATACGGCATTACCTGGAAAGAAGCTAAAGCTATTATCCAGCGATGCCCAACTTGCCAAATGGTGCATTCCTCATCTTTTACAGGAGGAGTTAATCCTCAAGGATTGGAACCTAATTCTCTTTGGCAAATGGATGTCACACATGTTCCCTCGTTTGGGAGACTAGCTTATGTACATGTATGTGTGGACACCTTTTCTCACTTTGTCTGGGCTACATGCCAATCAGGAGAGTCTTCTGCCTGTGTTAAACGTCACCTTTTGCAGTGTTTTGCGGTGATGGGCATTCCAGCTTCTATTAAAACAGATAATGCCCCAGGCTGTACTAGCCAAGCTCTAGCTACATTTTTCTCTATATGGAATATTAAACACATTACTGGCATCCCATATAATTCTCAAGGACAAGCCATAGTAGAAAGAATGAATCTCTCCCTGAAACAGCAGTTGCAAAAGCAAAAGGGGAGAAGCAGGGACTACGGGACACCCCATATGCAATTGATTCTAGCATTATTGACTTTAAATTTTTTGAGCCTGCTTAAAGGCCAGCAGCTGAACAGCATCTACAGAAACCAGCTGCAAAGACAGAAGCAGAACAACTGGTTTGGTGGAGAGATACAATAACAAAAAGTTGGGAAATAGGTAAAATAATAACTTGGGGTAGAGGTTATGCTTGTGTTTCTCCAGGACCGAATCAATAGCCAATTTGGGTGCCATCAAGACACCTGAAACCTTGCCACGAGCCAGATGCTGAGGAAGAGATTCCAGGAGGATCCCGAGGATCCCCTGGTTGCAGCCATGTCAAGACTGATGCTGAGGAGGACCCCAACTATCATGAGCAACAGCTGTCGAACACAGCCACCTACCTGGGGACAGATCAAGAAGCTGTCACAGATGGTGGAAGAAAACCTGAGGAAAGTGGGACAACCAGTCACAATGAGTAATTTAATGATAGATATGATAGTGGTGATCACCATTGCCATGAGTATTCCTTCAACAAGGAACAACACAGAGAACAGTTATACTTATTGGGCATATTTATCAATCTTGGCTGGCAATAATGCCTGGATGTAATCACTGTGTGACACAGTTACACATGCTTTCTGCTCTTAATATTTACCATAATAAATCTGCTCCTATAATTGAGGCAAAGCAAAGGCAGCTCAAAACCTATTTGTAAATAGAATTAGACCTGGCCAGAAATAATGAATGTACTTGTTTGGGAAGATTGCATTGCAGAACAGGTAGAGGTGCTGCACAACGATTCCTATGGAATCATTATTGATTGGTCCCCTAAGGGGATGTTTAGCTTAAATTACACCTCTCAGTCTGTGTGCCACAGCCACACTATGTTCAGCTGGTCTAAACAAAACAGTCAGATGGTAGAAATGGTAAGAAATACAGCAAGAGTTCCCATTATCTGGAAACGTGGCGGTATAGTGGCACCTCAACCTCAAATGATATGGTCCACTGTAGAAGCTAAACATAAGGATTTGTGGAAACTATTAATGTCTGTTAATAAGATCAAAATTTGGGAAAGAATAAAAAAGCATCTAGAAGGACACTCTACAAACTTGTCTTTGCATATTGCAAAATTAAAAGAACAAATATTTAAAGCATCCCAGGCACACTTGACCTTAATGCCAGGAACTGGAGTGCTTGAAGGAGCTGCAGACAGATTAGCAGATATTAACCCATTAAAGTGGATAAAGACACTTGGAAGCTCTGTGATTTCAATGATGATTGTGCTTTTAATCTGTGTTGTTTGTCTTTGTATAGTCTGCAGGTGCGGATCCTGACTCCTGTGAGAATTAGCTCACCATGACAAAGCTGCCTTTGCTTTTATCACTTTGGAAAACAAAAAGGGGAACGTGTTGGGAACAGGCCCCCAAATCTGGCCATAAACTGGCCCCAAAACTGGCCATAAACAAAATCTCTGCAGTACTGTGACATGTTCATGATGGCCATGATGCCCAAACTGAAGGTTGTGGGTTTATCAGAATAAGGGCAAGGAACACCTGGCCCACCCAGGGTGGAAAACCGCTTAAAGCATTCCTAAGCCACAAATAATAGTATGAGCTATCTGTGCTTTAAGGACATGTTCCTGCTGCAGATAACTAGCCAGAGCCCATCCCTTTGTTTCGGCCCATCCCTTTGTTTCCTGTAAGGAATACTTTTAGTTTATCTATAATCTATAGAAACAATGCTTATCACTGGCTTGCTGTCAATAAATATGTGGGTCAAACTCCGTTCAGGGCTCTCAGCTCTGAAGTCTGTGAGTCCCCTGATTTCCCACTCCACACTCTATATTTCTATGTGTGTGTCTTTAATTCCTCTAGCACCACTGGGTTAGGGTCTCCATGACCAAGCTGGTCTCGGCAATCTGCCAACCCCCAGGCAACAGAAAGAGGCTTATCCAACAACAGAGTGATGGAACCACTCTGTAAATGACATGAGTTTTGAGTGACCAGCAACTGGCCTCAGGTCCCTGGAGTTTAGTGGCTTGTCACCACACTCACACTGTCTGTTCACCATCATGCCTTGGCATGGGCTCTGAGTTCAATCCCTGGCATTCTGGAACAGGTCTGGAGTGAGTCTGATGCCAGGGCAGCCTTTGTTCTGGTGGACAGTGGGATGGCCCCAGGGCCCTCCTACCCTCTCTGATGCCTGAATGTCTGCTTTCAGGCTCCTAACAAGTTCACTCCACGGAGTCTTCCTCCACCACCTGGGACCTGGTGACCCCTTCCCTTCTCTGATCCTCTGACCCCGGCTGCCTAATTCTGTGATTGGACTGAACTGAACCAGGCTGCAAACCTCCTCAAGGCAAGGACCCTGGAATGTTCACATTTTTTGAGTCTACAAGATAGAACCTAATAAAAATATAGGGATGACAGTGATGCTGGATCCGATGCTTCTGACTGTGACAGAATTTCCACCAAACAACTATCAAGGACCAGGCAGCTGTTCTTTTGACTGAGGACACCAACCAATGTCATCTTTGTGTGATATCAGATGAGATGATGTGAGATACTGCCCATGCAAATGCTTCAAAAAAGGCAGGGCATTGTACAAATCATCATTGCTATTAATACAGTCTCCATTGCCCTGGTCAGTGACTGGTTCATTTCCAGTGACCCTTCACCTTTGATTGGTACTTCCAGTAACTGAGCCATTTCCCTTTTCCCTACCCACCAGCTGGTTTGGTACAACGTTCACCTATCAGGAGTCCAGTTTTTGGTGGCCTGCTATAGATACCATAACCAGCCAGCCTAGTGTTTCTCCTATGCCCTCACACCTTTATGCGGCACATTGGAGATGGTTCTTGAAGTAGTGGAGGGCCAGCTTGAACTGGACCCGGGTGAGGGTGTTGGACCGGTATGTATTGTAGGTCTTCTCTAGGGCAGCCAGTTCTGAGTCCACCACTGGAGACCGAGACTGGTGACCTATAATCACTTCTGGGCATGACCCCACGAGTAGGGTCCCTAGCCCATCAATGAAGAATTCTGCAAAGAGAGGGAGAGCAGAAGGAAGTGGGAGCTGCGGTCAGAAAAGTGGGCACTATTCTAGGTCTGGTGGGGGAGAGTCCCAGGGAGAGGACACAGTTCATACACTGGGGAGGTTCAGCCCCACGTGAAGCCACACCCTTAACTCTAGGAGCCTGTCCCTGCTGATGAGTTGGAAGGAAATAAATAAGCTCATTTCTCAGGCAGAGATATGGGCACAGAGGCAGAGTGGCACAGATTGGCTTTCAAACTGGACAGAACTGCGGACTCCAGGGCTGATGGAGTAAGAGGGAAAGAGAGAGCAGTTAATAGGAAAGGATTTCTGAAAAAATAGAATATGAAGCAGCATGGGAAAGGAGGAAGAAGACAGAGCTGTAGGGAAAGGAAGGGGAAGGAAAAGAAGGGCAGCCTACAGGAGACACAGAAGTCAAAGAGACGTGAGGAGGGAGGTAAGAGAGATCAAGAGCTCCCTAGTCTGGGGAGAAAGGGGAAAGGGGAAAGGGATGTACTGCTACTGGGCAAGCGACTATGATCAGCCAGCCGGGTACAGCCCTTGGAAAGAACAAACTTCTGCAGCTAATTCCCAGCCCAGCTCCCTCCCTCACTCTTTCAGCCTTCCCACCTGAGTGAGCCACTCGTTGCAGGCGGGGATCAAAGCCAACTCTTTGGAGTCGCTCCGTGTGGGCCAGGAAGAAGTTGACCACGCCACTGGTCACCACGCAGCTGGGGAAGCCATCCAGGGGTTGGAAAAATCCCATCCTCTTGTGAAGGCAGGCCCCATTCTCACTCTGTTCCAGCAACAACTTAAACTGGAACACATTTCCCAGCACACTGCCGCCTACCTAGCCAGCAGGCAGAGAAATCCATGTTAGAGTGCAGATCAATATTCATCCTGCCTCTTCCAGGAAGACTCGCTGGACTGCACCTCGGTTATAACAAGAATTGTTATTTCTCTGTCTATCCTTCAAATTATCCCTCAGTTACTCCCTCGTTGCTGCTGTGGCCATGGCTTTCACTATACCACTGTTGGGTCCCTGGGCTCTTTCATTTCCTGCCTACCCCAGAAAATCTCCTTGGCATGAGTAACCCTTACCCAAGACCAAAGAAGGTTATCTTTCCAGAAGAAGATAACTCACTCCCTTCCACTGGGAGAGGAGTACTGCAGTACAGGTAAGAGGCAGCCTGTGTGCACTGGTCCATTTGCGGAGTTTCCACTTGCTAGATTTCTTGCAGGGAGCTGTTTGTCTCGAGCTGTCTTCCTAGTATTTTCTGCTCCTGGCTTACCTCTTGGAGCTGCCTATCCATGCACTCATGGAAGAGATGTGCATTTTCATGTTTGAGCCTGAGCACAACAGATGAGCAAGTACATCTATTTCTGAAAGAATCATAATCCTCTAAGGGTGATGTGGTAAAGTCTGCTCATTGTCCCCCATCACCCGTTCTTTCCCTCTTCCTTTTAATAAATGACCCTTCTGAGTTTCACGACATAGTCAACTAGTCAGCTAAAGACTGCATTTCTGGGAGCTAAACAATGGGTACATGCAGGCATACGGTGTGGAATAATAGACACTGGAGAATACAAAAGGTAGGAGGTTAAGAGTGGTTGAGGGTTAGGCTGGGCGTGGTGGCTCACACCAGTAATCCCAGCACTTTGGGAGGCTGAGGTGGGTGGATCACCTGAGGTCAGGAGTTCGAGAGCAGCCTGGCCAATATGGTGAGACCCTGTCTCTACTAAAAATACAAAAATCAGCCGGGCATGGTGGCATGTGCCTATGGTCCCAGTTACTCAGGAGGCTGAGGCAAGAGAATCCCTTGAACCTGGGAGACAGAGGCTGCAGTGAGCCAGGATTGCGCCACTGCACTCCAGCCTAAGTGACAGAGCGAGACTCTGTCTCAAAAAAAAAAAAAAAAAAAGAGTAGGTGAGGGTTGAAAAATTACCTGTGGGGTACAATGTTCGTTATGCAGGTAATGGGTACACTAAAAGCCCAGACTTCACCACTACGTAATACATGTGTATAAGCTATCTGCACTTGGGCCCCCTCAATCTATAAAAATAAAAAACAAAGCCCATTTATTATTTAAAGAAAAAAAAGATTGCATTTCCCCACCTCCCTTGCAGCAACGTTTCACTGTGTGACAAAGTTTTGGCTGAAGGGGTATGATTTAGAACCGATGCGAGAAACGTTTACATCACATCCTTAAAAGAAACCTGCTCTCCCTTCACTTCCTCTTCCCCTCTTCCTCCTGGCCATGCAGCCAGGGACCAAAGGATTGAGGAGCAACAAGAAAAAGAAGCTGATCCAGGATAATCCTGGAGCCAACTCAGCTGCCAGTGTGGTTGTTACATGAGCTGGAACATCTTCTCTCTTAAGTTATCGTGATCTGGTCTCTGTAAGAGTTGCCAAGAGATGTCTTTGCTGATCTAGGTGTTTTGGGGATTGTCCACTTGCAGTAGAGTTAACTGTGATCACGACACCACTTACCTTCTCATCCATGCCCCTTTTTCTTTTCTACAGTGAATTTACTTTTGATGTTTTTATTATTTTCTTTTTTTGAGACAGGTGTCACTCTGTCGTCCAGGCTGGAGTGCAGTGACATAATCTCAGCTCACTGCATCCTTGACCTCCTGGGCTCAGGTGATCCTCCCACCTCAGCCTCCTGAGTAGCTTGGACTACAGATGCACACCACCATCCCTGGCTAATTTTTTGTATTTCTTTATACAGATGAGGTTTTGCCATGTTGCCCAGGCTGGTCTTGAACTCCTGGGCTCAAGCGATCCTCCTGCTTCAGCCTCCCAAAGTGCTGGGACTACAGGTGTAAGCCATCACACCTAGGCTGTTTTTATTATTCTCTTCTTATTCTTTTTTAGAATGTCATTAGTGCCGTGTGTGCTTTTAAAGCTTTGTACCATTTATACTGTTTTTAATGTTGTGTGATAGAACCAGAATGCTCCTGTCTTTAATCTCATACTAGTCAACGGAGGGAGTTAGAAATGCTGCATAAACACACAATTTTAAAAGAAAACAATTGCAAATGAGGGAGGAGGTGTAATTTACTCAAAGAAAAGTCAGTATGGAGGCGTGAGCTGGTGCAGCACTCTCCACCTGGGTTGCACTGGCCTATTCACCTCCTGCACCAGCCCCTCTCCCTCCCCTCCCTCCCCTCCCTCCCCCTCCTCTTCTCTTATATATTTCTTCCCGCTCTCTTCTCCCCTCTTCTCCATCTCTACAGATTGTGGCTGGGTGAAACTGGCAACTGTCCCTTACCACGTCCAGTTCTGTTTTCTCCAGGACATCCACCAGCACCTCAATCTTGGTCTCCTCGTTGAAGAGAAAATCATCGTCCACCCAGAGAACGTATTTGGTGGTGACCTGAGATATGGCCAGGTTCCTACCAGCAAACCAACCCTGTAGATGAAATGAGGTTAAAGGAGTGGTTGCCCATATTACATATTAGAATCACCTGGGGAGCTTTCTAAATTCCCAACAGCCAGGCTGCATGCACTCCAGACAAATTCCATTAGAATTGGTGCGAGCGAATCCAGTGTGCAGCCAAGGCTGTGAACCACAGGGTTGAAGGAAGTCCATGTCTCAGAGAAAGTCTGGAAGGGACAGTGACTGTGTGGATCAAAGACTGAGACAAAGAAAGGCTAGAAAGTCATTCCTTGGCTCTGTGGCCTATATAAATTGGCTGAAGTCCCTTTTCACCTGACAGTTTCTATGGCTCTCCTTTTGTCTCCTGTAAGATGTCAAGTTTGAAGGACATCTGGTATGTATAATATTCGTTTCCTCCTTTGTCCTTGGAGGAAGGAAGGGGGAGAGAGAGGGAGGAAGAAAATGAGAGAGGGAAAGAGTAGCAAGGAGAGAGAGAGGTGGGGGGAAAGAGAGAGGAAGGGTGGGAAGAAGAGAGGGAGAGAGAAAGAGAGAGTGGGGAGGGAGAGAGAAAGGTGAGGGGAGAGAAGGAGGGTGGGAAGAAGAGAGGGAGAGAGAAGGAGAGAGTGGGGAGTGAGAGAGACAGTGGGGGGAAGAGGGAGGGTGGGAAGAAGAGAGGGAGAGAAAGAGAGAGTGGGGAGTGAGAGAGAGGTGGGAGGAGAGAGAGAGGTGGGGGAGAGAGGGAGGGTGGGAAGAAGAGAGAAAGAGAGAGTGGAGAGGAAGAAAGGTAGGGGAGAGAGGGAAGGTGGGAAGAAGAGAGGGAGAAGGAGAGAGAAAGAGAGAGTGGGGAGGGAGAGAGAGTCAAGGAGAAAGAGGGAGAGAGGGAAAGAGGAGAGAGAGACCAAGACCCTAGCTCTGGTAGAATCATGGAGATGACAGATTTCTCTACATGTCAGGAATCTTTGAGATGTCAGAGACCTCAAGTCGCTTATAAGGACCCCAATCGATTTCCACATCGGAAATGAGGAAAGATGGGAGCAGTGTACAGTGGCTCACGCCTGTAATCCCAGCACTTTGGGAAGCCTAGGTGAAAGGATCTCTTGAGCCCAGGAGTTCGAGACCAACCTGGCCAACACAGTGAGACCCCATCTCTACAAAAAAATTTAAAAAATTAGCCTGGCATTATGGTGCATGCCTGTAGTCCCAGCTACTAGGGAGGCAGAGGTGAGAGAATCACTTGAGCCTTTAAGGTTGAGGCTGCCATGATCACTGTGATTGCACCACTGCACTCCAGCCTAGGTGACAGAGCAAGACTCCATCTCAAAAAAAATGAAAAATAAAAAAATAGAAATGAGAGGCTGGGTGTGATGGCTCACATCTGTAAACTTTGGGAGGCCAAGATAGGCGGATCACCTAAGGACAAGAGTTTGAGACCAACCTGCCCAACACGGTGAACCCTGCCTCTACTAAAAATACAAAAAATAGCCGGGTGTGGTGGTGCATGCTGGTAATCCCACCTACTCAGGAGGCTAAGGCAGGAGAATCACTTGAACCCAGGAGGTGGAGGTTGCAGTGAGCTGAGATCATGCCACGGCACTCCAGCCTGAGCGACAGAGCAAGACTCCATCTCAAAAAAAAAAAAAAAAAAATGAGGAAAGGTGGAATAACCACCTCATGAATGCAGAGAAGTGAGGGTGACCAATTTCTCTGTGAATCAGCAATGGGACTCAGAGGACAGCCCTCACCCACTCCCACTCCTGGACTCTGCTTTCTTGGGAAGACCCTTGAGGAAGCGGCCCCATCCAGGGTAGAACCTGACCCTGGGGCCCTCTTGTCCTGGAATGCAGGTGCCACCCAATCTGAGAGGGACATACCTTCCCAAAGGGCATAGTGTAATACTCCACGTGATTGTCTTTAATTTCCAGGGGCTTCTGGCTGTCATCAGCCACTATTACGGTCAAGTCTGGGTAATACTCTCGAATACTCCGGAGCATGATCATGAGCTTGTGGGGGCGGAGGAAAGTCTTGGTAGCAATGGTAACCAGGTTTCTGAGCTTCCTCTCTGGGCAGAAAACAGTGGGTGTCAGAGCTCTGTCCTGTAGGAAGCTTCACTGTCTTTTCCTGCTTTGATCTGATGGCTTCTTTCTGCCATAACCTGTCAGTGTCTGTGGGTCTCATGCCTCTTGTACCCAGGAGGTGCTTAATAAGAGTTTGTTAGTTGCATTAGAAAATAAAGACATTTACAACATACCCAATTTGTTGCATTTCCTGGTTCTGTTGGCTCCACTATGTCATTTCCCAACTGTCTGTCTGAATGCTTCATTTTACACCTCCTGCCTGTTAGCACTTTGCTTATGTCCTGCTTTCTTCCTTTTTTTTTTTTTTTTTTTTTTGATACGGAGTTTTGCCTCTGTTGCCCAGGCTGGAGTGCAATGGTGCAATGTCGGCTCACTGCAACCTCCGCCTCCCAGGTTCAAGTGATTCTCCTGCCTCAGCCTCCCAAGTAGCTGGGATTATAGGCATGCACCATCACACCCAGCTAATTTTTGTATTTTTAGTAGAGATGGGGTTTCACTATGTTGGCCAGGCTGGTCTCAAACTCCTGACCTCAGGTGATCCACCTGCCTCGGCCTCCTAAAGTGCTGGGATTATGGGCATGAGCCACTGCTTCTGGCCTTCATCTTAATATTAGGAGTTGAAATGCACAGAGCTTTGCCCATCTAAGGGTTCAATATGGAGGGTCATGAAGCCCAGGAAGAGGAGAAAATATCTACAAATCTTGAGACTTGCTTCTACCATCATCTGCAACTCCTAGAGAAAAGCTTACCTGATCTCTATCCTCAGGAAGACATGGTTAGAAATGTCTCCAAATACTTGGAGATCACAAGGCCTGGACAGAATTGTCCATCTTAAGGCATGTGACGTATAAGAGACTGGAGAGGGGACAGCTTTCCTAAGGAAAAGACCCCGTGATGCCACAACTGGAGCTGCAGATGTGTTTGGGATTCAGCCACTAAACGGAGAACTGGCATCTGACTGTGCAGTTGCCATGTCTGCATGGCATGGGGCCAGCTGGAGTTAATGCATGCTGGAAGCCACAACCCTACCTGTTTGTGGGTGAGTGCACAGAGCCACTTTCCCAGAATGACAAAAATCAGAAGTCGTTTGGACAGAAGTTGTTCCAGAACCCTCCCCCTGTGCCACCCTCTTGCCCTTTTTTTTTTTTTTTTTTTTTTTGAGACAGTTTCTGGCTCTGTCACCCAGACTGGAGTGCAATGGCATGATCTCGGCTCACTGCAACCTCCACCTCCCAGGTTCAAGCGATTCTCCTGCCTCAGCCTCCCAAGTAGCAGGGACTACAGACGTGCACCACCATGCCTGATTTTGGATTTTTTGGATTTTTAGTAGAGATGGGTTTTCACCATGTTGGCCAGGCTGATCTTGAACTCCTGACCTCAAGTGATCTGCTCACCTCGGCCTCCCAAAGTGCTGGGATTACAGGTGTGAGCCACTGAGCCCAGCCCATTCTGTTTTTTGTCATTGCAAACAGCGCTGCAATCGAACAAATGTCATTTCACACAGATATAAATATCTGTAGGATAATTTCTAGAAGTGGAATTGCTGGCCTAAAGGATATACACATTTAAAATGTTGATAGGAACTGCCAAATTGCCTCCCGAGAGGTGCCAATTTACATTCCTAACCACAGTTGATATGCTGTTTTTCCAGCCCTGTCCAAAACCTTTTGATGTGAAAGTAGTTTTCATATGCACTTTTCTCAGTGTGAGAGTGGGCATATATTTTAATGGCTAAAAGTGTTACTGAATTTAATTTTTTCTGAACTGTGCATTTTTCCATTATTGGGTGTTCTTTTCTTATTGAGTCATAGATGCTCTTAAGTAAAATTAGACCTTTGTCTTTAATGTGAATCGAAGATTTTTTTCCCAATTTGTCCTTTGTTATTTGACTTTACTTATTAAAATTTGCTAATTTGATTAGCCGGGCATGGTGGCGGGCGCCTGTAGTCCCAGCTACTTGGGAGGCTGACGCAGGAGAATGGTGTGAGCCCGGGAGGTGGAGCTTGCAGTGAGCGGAGATCGTGCCACTGCACTCCAGCCTGGGCAACAGAGCAAGACTCCGTCTCAAAAAGAAAAAAATTTGCTAATTTTAATATATAAAATTTTATATATTTTATATTTTTAATTTTTTCTTTATGGTCTCTGAGTTTTGTGTCATGCCTTATACCCTAAGAATGTTTTTTGAAACTACAAGTTTTTTTGTTTTTTTGTTTTTGAGACGGAGTCTTGCCCTGTTGCTCAGGCTGGAGTGCAGTGGCAGGATCTCGGCTCACTGCAACCTCCGCCTTCAGGGTTCAAATGATACTCCTGCCTCAGCCTCCCCAGTAGCTGGGATTACAGGTGCATGCCACCATACCCAGCTAATTAAAAATTAACTACAGGTTTTTTTTCTAGTACTTTAAAATGTATTTAGATATCTGATCAATTTGAATTTATCTTGGTATGAACTGTGGCATATATTCAAGTTTTACTTCTAATTTAAAAGTTATTTTTCATTGTTAATTTTTTTTGAGACAGGGTCTTGCTCTGTTGCACAGGCTGGAGTATAGTGGTGATCCTGGCTCACTGCAGCTTTGACCTCCCAGGCTCAAGCGATCCTCCCATCTCCGCCTCCTGAGTAGCTGAGATTAGAGGTGTGAGCTGGATTACAGGTGCAGGCCATCACACTTGGATCCAACTTTTTATCTTTCATATAGCTACACCATTATCTCACGTGATTTTTTGAAAAGCCAATTTTTAATTTGTTCATTTGTCCTCCTTTAATTTGACAAGCTGTCTCTCTCTTTTTTTTTTTTTCAAGACAGAGTCTTGCTCTGTTGCCCAGGCTGGAGTGCAGTGGCGCAATCTTGGCTCACTGAAACCTCCACCTCCTGGGTTCAAGTGATTCTCCTGCCTCAGCCTCCAGAGTAGCAGGGATTACAGGTGCCTGCCACCACGCCCAGCTAATTTGTGTATTTTTAGTAGAGATGGGGTTTCACCATATTGGCTAGACTAGTCTTGAACTCCTGACCTCAGGTGATCTGCCCACCTAGGCCTCCCAAAGTGTTGAGATTACAGGCATGAGTCACTGCGCCCGGCCAGACAAGATGTCTTTATCACACAGTGAAATTCCAACATGTATTGGGTTTATATCAGGATTTCCAATTTGATTCAATACCATTCTTTTTATTATTATTACTTACTAAAATGTTATAATTTTTTAGCTTTTTTCCCCAAAATTAGCACACAACCACATAATAAGTTAAATATAATTAAGCAATTTTAGGGGATTGTGTCTTAGAGTTTTTTTCCTCCAAACGAAGCTTGTCAGGGAGCATATCAGAGCTGTCATTTTGATCAATTCTCCTCCGTCTCAGAGGTGATCCCTTCTGAATTTCACCAATAGCTTCACAGGGTTGCCACCACGGAGCCCCAAGGACAAGGGCCTTACCTGGTCCAGGGTCGTATAGCTTGGGTATGACAGGATGGCGGATGGTCACTGGAAACTTGGCCACTGAGGACCTGGACTCCAGACTCACTGGAGGGAGAAATAAGATAATGGCACAGGGAGTATCATGTCTGGATTAAACTCCATGCCACCCCGGGAAGCCACCATGACAGGCGAGTACAGGTTTGGTGGGGAGAGTCCTGGTTGGGATGAGATCAAGGACCCCATAGAGTCTCTGGCATTCAGGCTTCTGCCTTGCTGTGTCCCTGGGGCAACGTGCTGAATGACTCCTAAGTTCACATTTCTTCCCCTGTGAGAATGTGTTAGGGTGGAGTGGGCTTGAAACCAGAGGGTCTGGGCTAAGTTTGACTTTACCATTTACTATCTGATTTTTTTATCTGTCTGCAAAACCAGGATAAAAATACCCACCCTATTTTATCTCACAGGGTAATCTTATGAAGAGGAATGTTTGAAAATCTGAAGGTAGGGAGAACTATCTCTTTAGCTAGTGGTCATGAATATCATCTGTAACCGTGTTACATTTTTTTCTGTTGATGTCCTGGGAATGCATCCTGTGTATCCGGTCAAAAGAGAAAAGGGTGCTTTTAACTCATCCAGAAGGAAACTCAGGCTGCCCTGAGAGTGGCAGGGATTGTTCTCCCTAGAATTTCTTGGTGGGAGGGAAGGAGGGGAGAGACAAAGCCCTTGGAATGGGGAGTTCTCCCAGTTCTTTCCTATTAGTGCCCAAGACAAGATGCTGAGGCACAGGCTGGCTCCCTCCTCTACTGCAGTGGAAATCTTCAGCTTTGAGAGCTGCAGAGGACTGGGAAAAGAACTGAATGGTTCTCACCAGGTGCAAAGCGCACAGCATGATTTGTTCTCTCCTCGAGTGGCTCTATGGGGTCAATGGCAATGTGGGGATAGTACTGGGTACAGTAATTATGAAATTATGTGTCTGGGATTAGAAAGAGGAAAGAGGGAAGGAATCTTAAAAGCAGGCAGGCAGGCCAGACGCTGTAGCTCACGCCTGTAATCCCAGCACTTTGGGAGGCTGAGGCAGGTGGATCACGAGGTCAGGAGTTCAAGACCAGCCTGGCCAAGATGGTGAAACCCTGTCTCTATTCAAAATACAAAAATTAGCCGGGCATGGTGGCAGGTGCCTGTAATCCCAGCTACTTGGGAGGTTGAGGCAGGAGAATAACTTGAACCTGGGAGGCGGAGGTTGCAGTGAGCAGAGATCACAGAACTGCACTCCAGCCTGGGTGACAGAGTGAGACTCCGTCTCAAAAAACAAAACAAAACAAAACAAACAAACACACACAAAACACAAAAAACAGGAAGGCTTCCTGAAGGAGGAAGACTTTGAAAGGGCCCAGAGGTATCTTCTGGATCCCTAAGCATTTTGCACTCCAAGGACAGGCTCTCACCTATGTCTACCTTCTGGTGCTGGTACCCCGTGCTGGTGTATGTCACGTGCTGAAGAATGAACTTCAACAGCTTCCGGTCACTGGTAGAAATGATCAGCTGCTTCTGGCCTCTGCCCTGCACCACACTGTCTGGGACATCAGCAAGGGTGTTCAGTGTCCCCAGAGAAGCTGTCAGGGTGACCTAGGGTGGGTGAGGTAGAATGATGCTCAATGCAGGGATTGGAAAATATCTCCCTGGAAAGATACATACATACCCAGGCCAGGAGCCAGGGCAGAGCACATAAGGGTGAGGGGAGAAGCACCAGGGTGCCCTTGACAGTGTAGGGCTGGCTCTGCAGGGAGTCACTGTGCTAGCGCCCCCGCCCCCAATCCCCCAAGTCCTAGGGCCCCAAGGATGAAAGGACCCATTTCTGGAAACATTCCCATCTCTCAGCTCGCAGGGTTCCGTTCTTCTTGGCTTCTTATTCCACCCACAGCCTTTTTTGACCTCTCTTTGACAACTCCTCTTCCTCTCTCTATATATCTCCAAATGGAGTTTTTCAGACCTTGATCTGGATTCCTTTTTTTTTTTTTTTTTTTTTGAGATGGAGTCTTGCTCTGTCACCCAGGCTGGAGTGCAGTGCATGATCTCAGCTCACTGCAACCTCCACCTCCCAGGTTAAAGCAATTATCCTGCCTCAGCCTCCTGAGTAGCTGGGATTACAGGCATGAGCCACCACACGTGGCTAATTTGTTTTTGTATGTTTAGTAGAGACGGGCTTTCGCCGTGTTTGCCAGGCTGGTCTCAAACTCCAATCCTAGACTCTTTTCCCTTCTTACTCCACACCTTCCTGCTAGATTTCATCTGTTTCCATGGTTTAAAACCCGTTCTTTTGCAGATGGGGTCACATTGTAGTAAGTCTCAGCTCACCTTTCTGAGATCCAACTGCTGGGACCTTTCACAAGCAACTCAAACTTGTTGTCTTCAAAATGGAACTACTGATTTTCCTCTAAAAACCTGTTTCCTCCCACCCTCACCTCCATTCCCTCTGCCTTGTGGATGGCACCTCCATCCACTCAGTTGTTCCAGGCCCCAAGGGAAGTCCTCCTTGCTCTACCCTTTTCTGCACACAGACAGCCCATCTGGCGGCAAGTCCTCTCAGCTCTGCCTCCAAAATGCAGCTAGAACTGGCTTACTCCTCTCCACCCCATTGCTACCCCCACAGCCACTCTCTTCTCTTGCCTTCTGTGAGTCATCGCAGTTATCTATTAAAGGAAATTGAATAGTGTCACTCCCGACACTGTTGATACTAGTCAGTCAACAGACACTTTCTAAAAACCGAGTTACAGGCACTGGGAAAACAGCAGTAAATTCCTTCGTGAAGCTTGTATTCCAGCGTGGAAGAGAGATGATAAGCATGGAACTACGCGCAGCAGGGAATTCAGGTCCAGAGCAGGACTACGAAGAAGACAATATAGCCAGGCACGATGGCTCACGCCTGTAATCCCACTGCTTTGGGAGACCGAGGTGGGAGGATCATTTGAGCGCAGGAGTTCAAAACCAGCCTGGGCAACATGGCAAGACCACAACTCTACTAAAAATAAAAAATAAGTAACCAGGGGCCAGACACGGTGGCTCATGCCTGTAATCCCAGCACTTTGGGAGGTCAAGATGGATCACTTAAGGTCAGGAGTTCGAGACCAGCCTGGCCAACATGGTGAAACCCTGTCTCTACTAAAAATACAAAAAATTAGCTGGGTGTAGTGGTGCATGCCTGTAGTCCCAGCTACTTGGGAGGCTGAGGCAGGAGACTCGATTGAACTCGGGAGGTGGAGGTTGCAGTGAGCAGAGATTGCACCACTGCACTCCAGGCTAGGTGACAGAGTGAGACTCCATCTCAAAAAAAAAAAATTAACCAGGTTTGTTGGTGCGTGCCTGCAGTCCCAGCTACTCACAGGCTGATGCGGGAGGATTGCTTGAGCCCAGGAGGTCAAGCCTGCAGTGAGCCATGATTGCGGCACTGCACTCCAGACTGGGTGACAGAGTGAGACCCTGTCTCAAAAAAAGAAGACAACATAGAGAAACAAGAACTCCATGGTGACAGGTGGTGGAGGCCTTGCCGATCTGCTCACTCATCACCCATTCCAACCTCTGACCAACATGTAAAGGTGGGAAAACTAAAACCACACTTCCCAGATTCCTCTTGGTTAGGGTTCTGGGCACAATTTGCATCCCACTGATCAGATATAGCACCATAAGATCTTGATGTGGAGCTGCATAAAGTGGGGAAAGGAAGGCAGGGCACAAGCACCGTCTGTCCTGCCAGCCCTAACCCTGACAGAGGCCACGCAGTGCCAGAGCCCATGGCTGTAGTGGCCGCTTCCTCTTGCACCAGAAGCAGCAGCAGCCAGTGGGTCCCATTCTTCAGTGTGGTCTGGGAAGTCCTCTCTGGAACTCCAGCCACTCCCAAGGCTAGAAGTTAAGTTTTCTACACACCCTTCCATCCCCTCCCTCCTTGGGCTCATGTCTGACCTTGAATCTGGACAGGGGCTCCGTCAAAGGCTGAGAGCAGCCACAGTTGAGGGAATGAGGACAGGACACCAAGTGCAAAGAGGGGCTGGGAGAAGGACTCACCTCATAGACGGGGGCATCGGGTCCTTCAAACTGGAGGCCTGGAGGACACAGGGAAAAGGAAAGAAAACTGCTCATGAAAGACATCGCAGCTCCCCGCTGCTCTCGCCAACCTCATGGACTCCTGCACATCCTTGAGAGCTCCTTCAAGTGTCACCTCCCGCCCAGAGTGTTTGCTGACACGTGCGCCTCTCCCCAGGGCTCTGTTAAGTGGTGTTTCGTGGTCTTTCTCAAACCCCAACGGTTCTAAAACCTCTGATGCCCGTCCTCAGTTTTGGAGGCTGTGAATTAATTCAGTTCCTTCAGGGAATCTCTGTCACTGAAGGGGAGGAAGCAATGGATGAATAATGAATCATCTTGTATAAGGCACCTGGAGTAGCCAAACCCATAGAGACAGAAAGCAGAACGGTGGTTGCCAGGGGCCAGGGAGAGGGACAGTGGGGAATTCAGTTGGATGGGTACAGAGTTTCAGTTGGGAATGATGGAAAAGTTCTGGTGGTGACTGATGGTTGCACAACAACATGAATATACTTCATGTCACTGAAGTATACACTTTAAAATGGTTAAAATAGTTAATTTTGGCTGGGCGCGGTGGCTCAAGCCTGTAATCTCAGTGCTTTGGGAGGCCGAGGCGGGCGGATCACGAGGTCAGGAGATCGAGATCATCCTGGCTAACACGGTGAAACCTCGTCTCTACTAAAAACACACAAAAAAAAATTGGCCGGGCATGGTGGCGGGTGCCTGTAGTCCCGGCTACTCAGGAGGCTGAGCGGGAGAATGGCGTGAACCCGGGAGGCGGAGCTTGCAGTGAGCCGAGATCTCGACACTGCACTCCAGCCTGGGCGACAGAGCAAGACTGCGTCTCAAAAAACAAAAACAAAAACAAAAAAAAGTTGTTGATTTTATGTTTAAATATTATATATTATAAATAATAATATATATGTTTTTATATAACATTAATATAATATATATGTTTCTATATTTTATATATATACATTTTTTTTTGAGATGGGGTCTCACTCTGTCGCTCAGGCTGGAGTGCAGTGGCGCAATCTCAACTCTCTGTAACCTCTACCTCCCAAGTTCAAGTGATTCTCCTGCCTCAGCCTCCCGAGTAGCTGGGACTACAGGTGTGAGCCACCACATTCGACAAATTTTCGATTTTTAGTGGAGATGGGGTTTCACCATGTTGGTCAGGCTGGTTTCAAACTCCTGACCTCAAATGATCCAACAGCCTCAGCCTCCCAAAGTGCTGGGATTACAGGTGTGAGCCACTGCACCAGTCCTTTTTTTTTTTTTTTTTTTTTTTGAGACTGAATCTCACTCTGTCATCCAGGCTGGAGTGCAGTGGTGTGATCTCAGCTCACTGCAAACTCCGCCTCCCAGGATCAAGCAATTCTCCTCACGAGTACTGGGACCACAGGCATGTACCACCATGCCTGGCTAATTTTTGTATTTTTAGTAGAGACAAGGTTTCACTATGTTGGCCAGGCTGGTTTCAAACTCCTGACCTCAAGTGATCCATCCGCCTCAGCCCCCAAAGTGGTGGGATTACAGGCAAGAGCCACTGCACCCAGCCCATTATATATATTTTATCACAATAAGAAATGAATCATCCAAAATGAAAAACAGTTTTTAAGATGGCTATTCAAGAACACTAGTGCTTGACCCCAAATGCATTTACTTTAGAATCTATCTCTGTTCTCATAGTAGGACTAATTCAAATTTGAATTCAAGTACATCCTCTCTATGTGGCCTTTGATAACTTACTAAACTCTCATCTCTGCTTCCCTGTCCCCTTTGTCCCCTGTCTGGGACCTTGCCCTTCCTTCTGTGTGGGACATGCCATCTGTTGATGTCCTGCATCCCCCTCTGTCTCAGGCAGTCATTCTCATCTCACCTGTTTGAGATGTGGTTTGTGAAATTCAGGTATCTGTCATGCTCCTCAGTGCTGGACCTGGAGAGAGCTCGGCTGGGTCCATGAGATATGTCAGATCCCCAGGTGTCACCACACCGAGACCTTACTTGGAGGTCTTTTCTGGGGCTTGCAGGTTTCGGGGGGCTGTTTGCCTCCAGAAGCCATGAGCCCACAAGCAGAAGAAGACTTCACTGGACAGACCCACAGAATCCAACATCTCTGCACTGGGAGGGGACATCTGTGCCTGCAGGCTCATCCTTCTGGTCCCTCTGATAATATTCAACTTTATTCTGATGAGGAATGTGATGCTGAACTAGAGGGGTGTGTAAAAATCCATCATGGAGGGCAGTTTTAACCAACATAAATATTCTTTTCACAATGCACTCCCGGCCAGGCTCAGTGGCTCATGCCTGTAATCCTAGCACTTTGGGAGGCCAACGCAGGTGGATCACCTGAGGTCAGGAGTTCGAGACCAGTTTGGCCAACATGGTGAAACCCCATCTCTACTAAAAATACAAAAATTAGCCAGGTGTGGTGGGCACTTGTAATCCCAACTACTTGGGAGGCTGAGGCAGGAGAATGGCTTGAACCCAGGAGGAGGAGGTTGCAGTGAGCCGAGATCATGCCATTGCACTCTAACCTGGGTGACAGCAAGACTCCGTCCCCAAAAAAAAAAAAGCACTTTTTACAGAGTGGCTTATGTTTTGCCTGTTCCCATGATGATGGAGGACATTGAAAAGCCAATTATGTCCTAAGATTCTTTGAGGCACACAGATTTCTGTCCTCTCCTGTGTTATCTTGGAGCCCCAGGAGGTCATGGCTACTAAAGGAGATTCCCAGTTGTGGATACAATAAGGCTAACATGAAATGAAATCACATCAAGCCAGGCGCGGTGGCTCATGCCTGTAGTCCCAGCACTTTGGGAGGCCGAGGTGAGGAGATCACTTGAGGTCAGGAATTCGAGACTAGCCTGGCCAACATGGTGAAAACCCGTCTCTACTAAAAATACAAAAAATTAGCCAGGCATGGTGGCAGATGCCTGTCATCTCAGCTACTTGGGAGGCTGAGGCAGGAGGATCATTTGAACCCGGGAGGTGGAGGTTGCAGTGACCCGAGATCATGCTACTGCACTCTAGCCTGAGAGATGGAGCAAGACTCCGTCGCAATAAAAAAAAAAAAAATCACATCAAGCTTCTTGCCTTGTGCTGAGTACACAGCAGGTACCAATGAATGTCTGCTCCATACTTTTATTTATTTATTTTTTATCTATTTTTGAGACAGGATCTCACTTTGTCACCCAGGCTGAAGTGCAGTGGCACAATCTCTGCTCACTGCAGCCTCGGCCTCCCAGGTTCAAGCAACCCTTCTGCTTCAACCCCACAAGTAGTTGGGACTACAGTTGCCCACCGCCACATCCAGCTAATTTTTCTATTTTTTGTAGAGACAGGGTTTTGCCATATTGCCCAGGCTGGTCTCAAACTCCTGAGCTCAAGCAGTCCACCCACCTCAGCCTCCCAAAGTGCTGGGATTATAGGCAGGCGTGAGCACAGCACCCGGCCCCTTTTATGTTGTTGTTTTTTTAAGAGACAGCGGGGTCTCACTCTGTCACCCAGGCTGGAGTGTATTGGCAAGATGATAGCTCACTGCAGTCTTGAACTCCTGCTTTGGACTCCCAAAGTGCTGGAATTACAGGCATGAGCCACTGCACCCGACCTCTCCCTCCTTTTGCCTTAGAAGAGTGAGAATGTTGTCTGGGGTCTCTTGGTATGTGGATGTACTTACCTGGGATGGGAACCGTGTGCAGGGGCATCACCTCCACTCCGTGGACTGGGTACCCAAAGGGGAGGTTGGGCTGGACCAGCAGGGGCAGTGGGCGGGGCAGCCCTTCTCTGCAGGAAGGAGAACAGAAACGTCAGCAGCTGCCCTGATGCTGGTCCCTGGTTCGTTCTCAAAGTGGTGCCTGTGCACAGAGCCTTGCCCTGACAATATGGAGAAATCAAAATTGGGTTGTCCCTGTCTCCCTCCATTCTCGTCACCCAGGCTGGAGTGCAATAGTGCGATCTCGGCTCACTGCAAGCTCCGCCTCCCGGGCTCAAGCGATTCTCCTGCCTCAGCCTACCTAGTAGCTGGGATTATAGGAGTGCGCCTCCACGCCCGGCTAATTTTGTTGTATTTTTAGTAGAGACAGGGTTTCACCATGTTAGCTAGGCTGGTCTTGAACTCCTGACCTCAAGTGATCCACCTGCCTTGGCCTCCCAAAGTGCTGGGATTACAGGCGTGAGCCACCGCACCTGGCTGCATTTTTGTTTTTGAGACAGGGTTTCACTTTGTCACCCTGGCTGGAGTACAGTGGCACAATCACGGCTCGCAGCAGTCTTGACCTCCCTGGCTCAGGCAGTCCTCCCATCTCAGCCTTTTCATAGCTGGGACTACAGGTACATGCCACCAAGCCCAGCTAATTTTTAAAATTTTTTTGTAGAGATAGGGTCTCACTATGTTGCCCAGGCTGGTCTCCAACCGCTGGGCTCAAGCAATCCTCCTGCCTCAGCTGTCAGAGAAGCCAGGACTATAGGAGAGAGCCACCATGCCTGGCTAACAAAGCATATTTTTTTTAAAAAAAACCATGACCAGCATAGAAGAAGGAAATTATCAGACGGTAGGGGCCCACCCAGCTGCAGCAGCTAAACACCAAAGTCACATCTGAACTTCGTGGGAACCAGGATAAAAGCGATTGACAATCATCACATGGTCCTTAATATCCAAAGGAAGAAGTAGACCAATTCCTGAAGGGAGGTGGAACTTCTCCTACCGCTGAAATAATAAATAAACTAAATCACAAGAAAGTGTATATGGGAGTAATTGTTGTCACAATATTTTTAGAGGAAACAGAGTAACTATTTTTATGGTTTTTTTGGTTGTTGATAACGATTTTTTTTTTTTTTTTGTGACAGAGTCTCGCTAGGTTGCCAGGCTGGAGTTCAGTGGTGCGATCTCAGCTCACTGCAACCTCTGCCTCCTGGGTTCAAGTGATTCTCCTGCCTCAGCCTCCTTAGTAGCTGGGACTACAAGCACACACCACCATGCCCGGCTAATTTTTGTATTTTTAGTAGAGACGGGGTTTCACCATGTTGGCCAGGATGGTCTTGATCTCTTGATCTTATGATCCGCATGCCTTGGCCTCCCAAAGTGCTGGGATTACAAATGTTAGCCACCACACCCGGCCAATAACAATCTTTAGTCAAAAGCAAGCACATAGCACCATCCAGCAAGATTAGCTTTTTTTTTTTTTTTTTTTTTTTTTTTTTTTTTTTTTTTGAGACGGAGTCTCGCTCTGTCGCCCAGGCTGGAGTGCAGTGGCGGGATCTCGGCTCACTGCAAGCTCCGCCTCCCGGGTTCACGCCATTCTCCTGCCTCAGCCTCCCAAGTAGCTGGGACTACAGGCGCCCGCCACTACGCCCGGCTAATTTTTTGTATTTTTAGTAGAGACGGGGTTTCACCGTTTTAGCCGGGATGGTCTCGATCTCCTGACCTCGTGATCCGCCCGCCTCGGCCTCCCAAAGTGCTGGGATTACAGGCGTGAGCCACCGCGCCCGGCCTAAGATTAGCTTTTTGAGGAACTACGGTACAATGGTTGAAATGTTAGCCTTCGGGACCCAGTTTAAGCAGGAGATCATTTAATTACCTTGAAAAAAAAGATTAGATCATCATAGTGAATACTTACGGTAATATGAAAAAGGCAAAATTTTTATTTTTTATTATTATTTTTTTAATTGATCATTCTTGGGTGTTTCTCGCAGAGGGGGATTTGGCAGGTTCACAGGACAATAGTGGAGGGAAGGTCAGCGGATAAACAAGTGAACAAAGGTCTCTGGTTTTCCTAGGCAGAGGACCCTGCGGCCTTCCGCAGTGTTTGTGTCCCTGGGTACTTGAGATTAGGGAGTGGTGATGACTCTTAACGAGCATGCTGCCGTCAAGCATCTGTTTAACAAAGCACATCTTGCACCGCCCTTAATCCATTTAACCCTGAGTGGACACAGCACATGTTTCAGAGAGCACAGGGTTGGGGGTAAGGTCACAGATCAACAGGATCCCAAGGCAGAAGAATTTTTCTTAGTACAGAACAAAATGAAAAGTCTCCCACGTCTACCTCTTTCTACACAGACACGGCAACCATCCGATTTCTCAATCTTTTCCCCACCCTTCCCCGCTTTCTATTCCACAAAACCGCCATTGTCATCATGGCCCGTTCTCAATGAGCTGTTGGGTACACCTCCCAGACGGGGTGGTGGCCAGGCAGAGGGGCTCCTCACTTCCCAGTAGGGGTGGCCAGGCAGAGGCGCCCCTCACCTCCCGGACGGGGCTGCTGGCCAGGCGGGGGGGGCTGACCCCCCCCACCTCCCTCCCAGACGGGGCGGCTGGCCGGGCGGGGGGCTGACCCCCCCACCTCCCTCCCGGACGGGGCGGCTGGCCGGGCGGGGGGCTGACCCCCCCACCTCCCTCCCGGACGGGGCGGCTGGCCGGACAGAGGGGCTCCTCACTTCCCAGTAGGGGCGGCCGGGCAGAGGCGCCCCTCACCTCCTGGACGGGGCGGCTGGCCAGGTGGGGGGCTGACCCCCCCCGACCTCCAAAATTTTTAAATGGTAAAGAACATAAACAGGTAATTAACGGAAGAGGAAATACAAATGGCAATGAACATATGGAACATACTCAGCTTCAATCAGGGAAATGTGAATTAAAAAAAACATGGAATACCTTTTTCATTAAAGTTTGAAAATGTGATGATAGCAAACGTTAGTTAGGTGTATGTAAGGTGCAACACTTACCCACTCTTCATGAAAGTGTGAGTTCACACAAGCCCTCTTGAGGGAAATTTGGCAATATCTATCAAAAATAAAAAAGGCACACCCTGGGATCTAGCAAGTAAGATGCTAGGTGAAAGGAGAAATGCTTGCATGTGTAAGCAATAAGACAAGCACAAGAATGTTCATTTCAGCATTGTTTGAAATGAACATCCTTATACGTGTATTTTTCTTTTTTCTGAGACGAAGTCTCACTCACTCTGTCACCCAGGCAAGATGCAGTGGTGTGATCTCGGCTCACTGCAAACTCCACCTCCCGGGTTCAAGCGATTTTCCTGCCTCAGCCTCCTGACTAGCTGGGATTACAGGCATACACCACCATGTCCAGCTAATTTTTGTATTTTTTTGTAGAGATGGGGTTTCACCATGTTGGCCAGGCTGGTATCGAACTCCTGGCCTCAAGTGATCCGCCCACCTCAGCCTCCCAAAGTGTTGGGATTACAGGTGTGAGCCACCGCGCCTGGCCCTTATACATGTCTTAATGAAAAAGGAAATAATGTAAATATAATGTAATATTATTGTAAATAATGTAAATGTAAACATGAAGGTTTTTCAACAATCTAAATACCTTTCAATAGGGAAGTGGCTTAGTAAAATGCAGCATATTCATATTCATAGCTATATTGCAATTCAGAGGGATGAACTAGATATACACATAGCTCTTAAAAACATTTCATACTCCTTTCCAGTTCTGGCCCCAGACCCTGCAGCCACCGAGATGTTGATGCCTAAGAAGAACGGGAATGCATTTATCAACTCCTTTTTTTTTTTTTTTGAGACAAGGTCTCGCTCTGTCGCCAGACTGGAATTCAGTGGCACGATCTCGGCTTATTGCAACCTCCACCGCCCAGGTTCAGACGATTCTCCTGCCTCAGCCTCCCAAGTAGCTGGGACTACAGGCACATGCCACCACGCCCAGCTAATTTTTGTATTTTTAATAGAGACGGGGTTTCTCCATGTTGGCCAGGATGGTCTTGATCTCTTGACCTCGTGATCCGCCTGCCTCGGCCTCCCAAAGTGCCGGGATTACAGGTGTGAGCTACCGCACCCAGCCCTATGAACTCCTTTTAAAGGAGGGAGTCACGGTGGCCAAGAAGGATGTCCACATGCCTAAGCACCTGGAGCTGGCAGACAAGAAGGTGCCCGACCTTCATGTCATGAAGGTTGTGCAGTCTCTCAAGTCCGGAGGCTTTGTGCAGGAACGGTTTGCCTGGAGACATTTCTACGCGTACCTTACCAACAAGGGTATCCAGTATCTCCATGATGACCTCCATCTGCCCCCAGAGATTGTGCTTGCCACCTTATGCCACAGCTGTCCAGAGACTGGCAGGTCTCTGCCTGAAGGTCTGGAGGGTGAGCCACCTGCAAGACCCACAAGTGGGGAAGCCCACAGCCTGCTGCCAACAAGAATGCCGAGGCTGAGGCTGTGTCAACAACCAAATTCCAGTAAGAGGCAGATTTGGTTGTGGATGTGGTCAGCCACCTCAGTAAAATTGGAGAGGACTTTTGTTTTGTTTTTATTTTTTTTTCGAGACAGGATCTCACTCTGTCGCCCAGGCTGGAGTGCAGCGGCACGATCTTAGCTCACTGCCACTGCCACCTCCCAGGTTCAAGTGATTGTCCTGCCTCAGCCTCCTGGGTAGCTGGGATTACAGGCGCCCACCATCACGCTCGACTAATTTTTGTATTTTTAGTAGAGACAGGGTTTCACCATGTTGGCCAGGCTGGGCTTCTGACCTCAGGTGATCCACCTGCCTCAGCCTCCCAAAGTGCTAGGATTACTGGCATGAGCCACCACACCCACCCAGAGGATTATTTTGCATTGAATAAACTTATAATCTGAAATATATATATATATATATAATTGAATAAAAAAACAAATTTCAGAGTGATTTGTTTTTATGGTACCAAGTACACTAAAATACACAAAAAACCAACAGTATATGTTTATATGGATATATATACACACACACACACACATATATATATAACATACATGTATATAACAGTATTTAAAAATAGTGTGGAATAATACATACCAAATTCATAATGGCAGACTCCTTAGCTAGGTTTACAAGGGAACCTATCATTTAAGAAAGGGACGAGAATAGCAGTGGTAGTGGTCAGGGGAGTGGGTTAAAATGGACTTTTTCTGGCCAGGCATGGTGGCTCACGCCTGTATTCCCAGCACTTTGGGAGGCTGAGACAGCTGGATTGCTTGAGCTCAGGAGTTTGAGACAAGCCTGGGCAACATGGCAAAACCCCATATCTACAAAAAAACACAAAAATTAGCCAGGCATGGTAGCATGCACCTGTAGTCCCAGCTATTTGGGAGGCTGAGGTGGGAGGATCCCTTGAGCCCAGAAAGTGGAGGTTGCAGTGGGTAGAGATTGCACCACTGCACTCCAGCCTGGGCAGCAGAGCCAGACCTTGTCTCAAAAAAAAAAAAAAGAAAGAAAGAAAAGAAAAGAATAAAGAAAAAGAAAACAAGAAAAGAAGAGGAAAAAAATGAACTTTTTCTTAGAGGAGCATTACACATGCTGCTTTTTAATGGAAGTATAATGTAGCACTAACACACAGGATCAGATTGACCAATCAGCCTCAACTGAGTCAGAGATCTCATCCAGTATCAAGCTCTATTTGTAATTTCAAGGATACAGACAAGAGGCACAAACATCCTCTTAATTAGTCATCCTATATGGATCCCCGGGTCATTCCTTCCACATCAGTCATGCATTCTCCGGAGGATAACAGATGTGGTCTCTAAATGCAATTTTGCCAGATTACCTCATCCAACATGTAACGAAGAATGTAAATTAAGAAACATCTCCTGTATATACTCCAGAGATTTATATAGCTTATGTGACATTGGCCAGGGAGCAAATGATTCTGGGTTATTTATCATATGTAATTTCATTAGCTGAAGACATCCTGCAAGAGCAGTGCCAACCTTCAGGGAATCCCTAATCTAAGGAAGGAGAGAGAGCCCAATCTTAGAAGTACCAGTCTAAGGGAGGAGACATAGCCCTTGTAATCATGAACCTTCCAGTCTGATGGAGGACAGTTTAGCTCTCATAGAGGCCTTGGACTGATGGGAAAACTACATTCCCACCTTAAGGAGCCCTCAATCAGACAGGAATGTTTAGACACATGGCTTAGCTAGAATTTGAGGATCCCTATGGAGTAGTCAGCAATGGAAATTAAGAAAAGACAGTGTTGGGCCAGGCATGGTGGCTCACGCCTGTAATCCCAGCACTTTGGGAGGCCAAGGTGGGTGGATCACTTGAGGCTAGGAGTTCAAAACCAGCCTCGGCAACATGGGGAAACCCCATCTCCATAAAAAATACAAAAATTAACAGGGAGTGGTGGCGTGCACCTTTAATCCCAACTACTCGGGTGGCTAAGCCAGAAGAATTGCTTGAGCCTGGGAGGTGGAGGTTGCAGTTAGCTGAGATCGTGCCATTGCGCTCCAGCCTGGGCAACAAGAACAAAACTCCATCTTGAAAAAAAAGAAGAAGAAGAAGTGCGGCAATGGATTCATGCTCATGGAATTCACTGGTCTTACCATGTTCCCCATCATCCTGAAGCAGCTGGATTGATAGAACGGTGGAATGGCCTTTTGAAGTCACAATTATAATGCCAACTAGGTGACAATACTTTGCAGGGCTGAGGCAAAGTTCTCCAGAAGGCCATGTATGCTCTGAATCAGTGTCCAATATATGGTACTGATTCTCCCATGGCCAGGATTCACGGGTCCAGGAATCAAAGAGGGGAAGTAGCACTACTCACCATCACCCCTAGTGATCCACTAGCAAAATTTTTGCTTCCTGTTCCCGCAACATTATGTTCTGCTGGCCTAGAGGTCTTAGTTCCAGAGGGAGGAACGCTGCCACCAGTGTACACAACAACAATTCCATTAAAGTGGAAGTTAATATTGCCACCTGGACACTTTGGACTCCTCCTACCTTTATGTCAACAGGCTAAGAAGGAAGTTACTGTGTTAGCTGGGGTGATTGACCCGGGCTATCAAGATAAAATCAGTCTACTACTCCACAATGGAGGTAAGGAAGAGTGCACATGGAATACAGGAGATCCATTAGGGTGTCTCTTAGTATTACCATGCCCTGTGATTAAGGTCAATGGGAAACTACAATAGCCCAATCCAGGCAGGGCTACAAATGACCCAGACCCTTCAGGAATGAAGGTTTGGGTCACTCCACCAGGAAAAAAAACATTACCTGCTGAGGTGCTTGCTGAAGGCAAGGGGAATACAGAATGGGTAGTAAAAGAAGATAATCAATACCAGCTACGACCATGTGACCAGCTGCAGAAATGAGGACTGTAATTGTCATGAGTATTTCCTCTTTCTTTTGTTAAAAACATGTTTGTGCATATACACACTTGTACTAAGAAAATATCTTCATTTTATTTCCTTTTCCTTTATCATGTGACGTAAGATTTATTGACTTCATATCAGCATCTAAGTATTGTTAACTTTATGTAATAGTATTTGGGTTGGGGATTGGTGCGTTTCTGGTCGTACAAAAGATAGTTGTATTATGTTAGGCATAATTATAACCTTATTATTGTCTTTATTTGAAGATTATGTATGATCTCAGGAGATGTGTATGGGTTCAAGTTGACAAGGGGTGGACTTGTGCTGGTTAATACTAAATGTCAATTCGATTGGATTGAAGGATGCAATATTGATCCAGGGTGTGTCTGTGAGGGTGTTGCCAAAGGAGACTGATATTTGAGTCAGTGGGCTGGGGAAGGCAGACCCACCCTTAATTGGGTGGGCACCATCTAATCAGACGCCATCGAATATAAAGCAGACAGAAAAACGTGAAGCAATGAGATGAGCCTAGCCTCCCAGCCTACATCTTTCTCCAGTGCTGGGTGCTTCCTGCCCTCGAACATTGGACTCCAGCTTCTTCAGTTTTGGAACTTGGACTGGCTCTCTTTGCTCCTCAGCTTGCAGACAGCCTGTTGTGGGACCTTGTGATCATGTAAGTTAATACTTAATAAATTCTCTCTCTCGCTTTCTCTCTCTCTCCCCCCTGTTAGTTCTGTCCCTCTAAGAAAACCCTGACTAATACATGGGGTTTCACCATGTTGGCTAGGCTGGTCTCAAACTCCTGACCTCAGGTGATCTGCCTGTCTTGGCCTCCCAAAGTGCTGGTATTACAGGCGTGAGCCACCATGCCCAACTGGAGCTAGGTGTTATTAGCATCCTCATTTTACAGAGATTAAGCAGCTTGCCCAAGATCACCTAGCTGGCAGATAGAGGATGCAGGACCTGAATGCAGCCAGTCAGCTTCCCGCGGCAGCACTGTTAACTACCAAGACCAGTTGCTCCTCACATAGCTAGGTGCACCAGGGTTGAAATCCATGCCAGCATCACCTGTGTATTCCACTGGCTGTCCAGCTTTCAACACCTCCTGATGGAGACGGTGCCTCCATCTGTCTTCTGGGGAGCCTTCCACTTGCATGTAATTTGGAGGGTAGTGGCTACTATGGTTTGAATGTGTTCCCCAAATTTCATGTGTTAGAAACTTAATTCCCAAATTCATATGTTGTTTGGAGGTAGGGGCCTTTAGGAAGTAATTAGGATAAGGTCATCAGGTAGGGACCCCATGATGGGACTGGTGGTTTTTGTTATTGTTGTTGTTGTTTTGAGATGGAGTCTCACTCTGTCACCCAGACTGGAGTGAGTGCAGCGGTCTGATCTCAGCTCACTGCAACCTCCACCTCCCAGGTTCAAGTGAGTCTCCTGCCTCAGCCTCCTGAGTAGCTGGGACTACAGGCACTCACCACCACAGCCTGGCTAATTTTTATATTTTTAGTAGAGATGGAGTTTCGCCATGTTGCCCAGGCTGGCCTCGAACTCCTGACCTCAGGTGGTTCACCTGTCTTGGCCTCCCAAAGTGCTGAAATTACAGGCGTGAGCCACCATGCCCAACCAAGGGACTGGTAGTTTTATAAGAAGAGGAAGAGAGACCTCAGCTGATGCATGTGCTCTTGCCCTGTCAATATGTGGTACCCTCCACCATGTTATGATGTAGCAAGAAGCCTTCACCAGATGCCAGCACCGTGCTGTTAGACTTCTCAGCCTCCAGAATCGTAAGCTAAATAAACTTACCTTTTCTTTATAAATTACCCAGTCTGCAGTATTCTGCTATAGTAACAGAAAACGGACTAAGACAGTGGCTAGCTTCAAAAGTCAAACCTGGAGGGGTCTGATGCACCCTTTCCCTTCCTTTTGATTCATGAGTTAGGCTCAGTTAATTGAGCACTAAGGCAGTAACCTGGGGACAGTTCATTGCAGAAGCAACAACAATATGGGGACCAGATGGCCCTGGAGCCTGACCAGTTCTTCAGTGCTCCGTTAGTTCTTACCTGATTTCCTAGCCTGGACATCCTACCACCTATGGATTTGGTAAGGCCCCAGCATCCTTCTAACAAGTTCCCTTTTGATACAAGCCAGGCAGAATCAAGTTCAGCCCTTTTCTTGTTTTTTGTTTTTTTGTTTTTGTTGTTGTTGTTGTTTGTTTGTTTGTTTTTTCTCTTTTCTTTTTTTTGAGATGGAGTCTTGCTCTGTTGCTCAGGTTGGAGGGCAGTGGCACAATCTCAGCTCACTACAACCTCCACCTCCTGGGTTCAAGTGATTCTCCTGCCTCAGCCTCCCAAGTAGCTGGGATTACAAGCGTGCGTCACCATGCCTAGCTAATTTTTGTATTTTTAGTAGAGATGGGGTTTCACCATGTTGGCCAGGCTGGTCTCGAACTCCTGACCTCAAGTGATCCGCCCACCTCAGTCTCCCAAAGTGTTGGGATTACAGGCGTGAGCCACCGCGCCCAGCCAAATTCTGCCTTTTTCAACCAACAACCCTGGTTGATACACCTGAGTGTTGACACCCCTTGTAATTTAAAACAAAGGGATACACTCCTTGCATATAGCACAGGGTAGTATGCTCTCAACATATAAATGAATAAAATAGGGCACCTTGGTGATGACTACAAAATCACCTGCTATGATGGCCTGGGTGCATGGAGGATGTACCACCAGATGTTTCAAACTATCTCCATTCCTTTTGTTTTTTTTGTTTTTGTTTTTGTTTTTGTTTTTGCTTTTGTTGGAGACACAGTTTCAATCTGTTGCCCAAGCTGGAGTGCAGTGGTGTGATCCTGGCTCATTGCAGCTTCAACTTCCTGGGCTCAAGTGATCCTCTCACTTCAGCCTACTGAGTAGCTGGGACTACAGGCATGTACCATCATGCCTGGCTAATTTTAAAAATGTTTTGTAGAGATGGGGGTCTCACTATATTGCCCAAGCTGGTCTCAAACTCCTGGGCTCAAGCTATCCTCCCATCTTGACCTCCCAAAGTGCTAGAATGACAGACATGTGTCACCAATCCCAGCTTTTTGTTGTTGTTGTTGTTGTTATGAAATGTTTTGTACATACAAAGTTTTGTAAATCTTCATTTAAGGATGATTTCCTCGATTCCTTCTTTGTTTCATTCCTAATAGTTCCTCCCAGGGACCCTTGCAAGAGAGAGAATTCCTTCCTGCTTTTTCTCTTAAGATTCACAACCTCAGGACATAGGGAGGGCTTTTGTTCCATCTCAGAACCCAAGGGCCTTCATGACCCGCATTACCTCCTCTGAAAGTGTTCAAATTCAGCCTGTCTCCTCGCTTTCACCGCTGGGAGGTCGCTCTGGCCATAGGCATCCTGAAAGTTGTAACCTCCCTGCTCTTTGTTGGCTTCACATTTGCACTGATTTTTCGGGAACAGCCTGAAACAAGCAAGAGGACTGTAAACATGGATTGGGTGGGTAGGCTGGTGGGTGAGAGGAAACCGGAGTCCTAATCCAGTGTGTAGTTTACCCTGAAAATCTTCTTTCCTACACCCAACTGTTCTGAGATGATGAGACCCTGGAGTCCCCTGCACTGGCCCCTCACAGAGACAAGGGGACAAAGGGAGGGAAGCAGGGACAGAGGAAGGCTGAAGACTTTTCCTCTCTTGAATTGTCCCCTGCACCTAACTTCTTTAAATCTGAGAGCCACGTGACTGTCAGTTGTATCTCACCCCACCATAAAAGGAGGGCAGAGAGACAGAGAAGCAGCATCTTTTCTGCAGTTTTGATAAAAAAAAACTACATGCTCTCGAAAGTTTTAAGGGATTTTGCTGGATGCTATAGAGAACATAGACTGGATCGTACAGACCAAGCCCCATCCTGGCTTGCAGTCACTTGTGCATTCAGCACAGGCTTAGGAAAGCAAGGGAACCATCTGTACAATGGGCACAGTAGGGCATGGTACTTGAGGAGGAGCAAGGAAGATGTGTGCATTAAGGTGAAAGAAAGAACACGCAGTCTCTCACCAGATTCCATCGTAGGAAAAGAGGTTCCTGAGACGTTCCTCAGGCAGAAGCTTCAGCTTCTGGACACCCGGGGCAGGACTTGGGAGTTCTGGCTTGGGGCTGCTGAACACTGCTTGAAGGAACATGCTTCCGAACATAAATCCAACAATGCCAAGTACCAGGATTATGACCAATATCTTGAGGAGCCACAGAAATCTCGAGCTGTTGGGACACAAAAGAACAGATTATGTTAAAATCTTTTTTCTTGATTATGTAATGTATATGAGACTGATAATTTCAGGAAAAATGTAAGCTAAGCACATAGCTTATATTGGTCACTAAAATCGATTTCTGATAAACAGAGGAGGAAAGAATCAAGTTGCAACAAAGGGACTTAGAAAAATTACAAATAAAAGGATGGCAAAAAAATCCAGAAAAAAAAAAAGGTTAGAGGCTGGGCACGGTGGCTCACACCTGTAATCCCAGCATTTTGGGAGGCCGAGGCAGGCGGATCACGCGGTCAAGAAATCAAGACCATCCTGGCCAACATGGTGAAACCCAGCCTCTACTAAAAATACAAAAATTAGCTGGGCATGGTGGCGTGTGCCTGTAGTGCCAGCTACTTGGGAGGCTGAGACAGGAGAATCGCTTGAACCCGGGAGGCGGAGGTTGCAGTGAGCCAAGATCACGCCACTGCACTCCAGCCTGGCGACAGAGCGAGACTCCTCAAAAAAAAAAAAAAAGGTTAGTAATGTTAATGTCAGCATAGCTAAATTCAAGGCAATAAAAAAGAGTATTAAATAGGACAGAAAGACCACTTATAGTGATCAATGCATGATACCAAAACAGATAGCCGTGAACTTTTATCCACTAATAATAGCATTAAAGTATACAAAGTAAAAAATGGCAGGATATGAAAGAAGGATTAGAAATACAAAGATAGTTAGAGATGCTGACATGTCTCACTTGATCAAGTCTCAAAAATATTTTAAAGCAGCAGAACAACAAAATGATATAATTTGTATTCTGTTAAAGAGCTCTTAAAACATTTATAAAAATTGGCCACATATGCCGGGTGTGGTGGCTCATGCCTGTAATCCCAGCACTTCGGGAGGCCAAGGCGGGTGGATCACGAGGTCAGGAGATCGAGACCATCCTGGCTAACATGGTGAAACCCCATCTCTACTAAAAATACAAAAAATTAGTCGGGTGTTGTGGCGGACGCCTGTAGTCCCAGCTACTCGGGAGGCTGAGGCAGGAGAATGGTGTGAACCTGGGAGGCGGAGGTCGCAGTGAGCTGAGATCACGCCACTGCACTCCAGCCTGGGCAAGAGAGAGAGATTCTGTCTCAAAAAAAAAAAAGAAAGAAAATCCTGTTTTGCTTTTATTCACGTGGTTATTATAAATTATATTATATTATATTTATAAATTAATATAGGGCAAAGTTACATCTCTACAAAATTGAGCTATTCTAGTCAAGAATAAAAAGAAGGTATCTCAATCTATTCATATATATTTCCCTAATACAGTGGTAATTTGAGACTCTGTCTCAAAAAAAAAAAAGTTGGCCACGTATTAGGACACAAAGAAAACTGTAATAAAGTAGAAATCGTTCAGATCATACGTTCTGACAATGCAATTCAAATGTAACCTCGCCGGGCATAGTGGCTCATGCCCATAATCTGAGCACTTTGGGAGACCTAGGCAGGAGGATCACTTGAAGCCAGGAGTTCAGGACCGTCCTGGGCAACAAAACAAGACCCTGTATCTACAAAAAATTGAAAAATAGCCAAGCACCGTGGCATGTGCCTATAGTCCTAACTACTGAGGAGGCTAAGTCAGGAGAATCCCTTGAGCCCAGGAGTTCAAGGCTGTAGTGAGCTATGATCGCACTACTGCATTACAGCCTGGGCAACTGAGACCCCATCTCTAAAAACATAATAGGCTGGGCATGGTGTCTCACGCCTGTAATCCCAGCACTTTGGGGGGCCGAGGCAGGCGGATCGCTTGAGCTCAGGAGTTTGAGACCAGCAACATGGTGAATGTCTCTACTGAAAAAAAAAATAGCTGGGCATGGTGGCCCAGGCCTGTGGTCCCAGCTACTTGGGAGGCTGAGGTGGGACGATCACTTGAGCCCGGAGGGCGAAGGATATAGTGAGTCAAAACTGCACCACTGCACTCCAGCCTCGGTGTCAGAGGGAGACTCTGTCTCCAAAAAAAAAACAAAAACGCCCACTGCTATTATCTAACATTGTCATGGAAGTGCTAATCAATGCAGTAAGATTAGCTTATAGAATAAAACATAAATAACGAAAAGGGAAATAAAAAGTATTATTTACAGGTGAAATGATTACATATTCAGAAAACTAAAATGTATGAGGTGAGAAGCTATTAGTAAGATTTTAATAGGGTACCTGGTGACAAAATATAGTAAAAAAATTAATAATAATAATTGTCTAATGACCACTTAGTATGTTCTAGACCCCCTGCCAAGAGCTTTGTGTGCATTATCTCATTTAATCCTCACAACAGCATAACAAGAGAAGTTTTATTTTTTGTTTTTCTTTTGTTGTTGTTTGTTTTGTTTTGTTTGAGACAGAGTCTCGCTTTGTCACCCAGGCTGGAGTGCAGTGGCACAATCTCAGCTCACTGCAACCTCCACCTCCTGGGTTCAAATGATTCTCCTGCCTCAGCCTCCTGAATAGCTGGGATTACAGGCGCCCACCACCACACCCGGCTATTCTTTGTATTTTTAGTGGAGACGGGGTTTCACCATGTTGGCCAGGCTGGTCTCAAATACTGACCTCAGGTGATCTGCCTGCCTCGGCCTCCCAAACTGATGGGATTACACGCATGAGCCACCAAGGCTGGCTGAGAGAAGTTTGATTACTCCACGCAATGATCAGATGAGATAGCTGAAGCTAAATAGGAAAAGTAACCTGCTTTCTCGGTTATGACAGATGCAGAATTCAAAAGCAGACCACACTTTTAACCACTACCCTACAAAGGTTTCTATAAGCCAACAAGTCAGAAAACATAATGAAAGCAGAAATCTGCTTCAAATTAACAACATAACACAAAATGACCCAGGCAGGCAGATACTTAAGAAGAAACATGTGGGACTTATGTGGCAGACTCTTAGGTGGCCCATATGATCTTGATCTCTTGGGCGCTTAGCAAAAGATTCTTGGTTTTTAGCATTTAAGATGTGCCTATGGTTGGTACCAACCGACATTTCCTGAAATCATGCAGTCTTGAGTTATAAATCTTTAAGTCTATTGCCATGCTAGAATCTTATTAATATATAGGAAATTTAGAGAGATTAAGTGCCTAAATGGCCTGCCCAATACTTGTATATTTTTAGTATCACACAGAACTAAAATCCCCGGAACTAGGAACACTCTAGACCTTACATGGTTTATTCCTCCTGTCATTTCAAACATTGAAAGTGGGGCCTATCTGATTATTTGCCTGCTCACTTTATGTTTATATCTACTGCATTTGTACCAATATACATCAGGTTTGTGCAACCACTGATTTTTGTTGGATTTTAATCAGGTCTCACAGTGATCATTTAACATCTTCCTCTAAGTCTCATCTTGTGCTGTTATGGATTTTCATTTTGAAAATCTACACTGTATGGAAGCACATGTCTTTAATATCTCCAGACATTACATTTCATCGAATGCTTAAATTTTAGTGGGTAACTTAACAGGGGCCTCCCTGTTAAGTTCTGAAAAAGAATGGGAGGGAACAATTAAATATTTTTGGTAAAATGTGTTTTTTTCTTGTGCAGAATATGTAGAACATACATTTTAATTTAGTAAATACATTTTAAAAGGAAACAATGCTCTGTTATCACACTGCCTTGGTCTGGTTTGTACGGTTTTGTGCTGCTATAACAGAATACCTGAGACTGGGTAATTTACAGGGAACAGAAGTTTATGTTCTGGAGGCTGGCAAATCCAAGATCCAGGGGCCACATCTGGGGACCTTCTTGCTGCATCATCCCATGGTGGAAGGTGGAAAAACAAGTGAGTGCATGTGAGAGACACAGCAAGAGGGGGCTGAATTTGTCCTTTTATGAGGAATCCACTCCTACTATAACGAACCCACTCCCATGATAATGGCATTAATCCATTCATGAGCGCAGAGCCCTTCCGGCCTCATCACCTCTTATAAGGCCCCATTTCTTAACATTGTCTAATTGGGGATGAAGTTTCCAACACATGAACTCTGAGGGGCACATTCAAACCATATTATATAACTAAAGCAATTTTTAATCATAAAATTTCTGAACAGCTTGTAATTTTTAAAATACCTATTGGAAGTTGTTTACAGTTATTTTGTTTAAGTGTGAATTTTTTCCTTTTCTTGTCAATCTCTCTTTGGGGAAAAAAAAAAGTGGGTTTCTGGTAATGAACTGAGCAGACATCTGATATATTACATGCCTTTTAAGCTGTGTAACTTAATATTTGTATACTTGATAATTTGTTTTACTATGTAATTGATAAAATTGTGATGTGTATTGATATTAGTTTAATGTGTAAGAATGTATGCTTGTAGTTCTCTGGGAGAAACAATTTGCCAAGTGTTCACCAGCTTGTAAAACTCTAATGTGAGGCTGGGCCCGGTGGTTCACGCCTGTAATCCCAGCACTTTGGGAGGCCGAGACAGGCAGATCACCTGAGGTCAGGAATTCGAGACCAGCCTGGCCAACATGGTGAAACCCCGTCTCCACTAAAAATACAAAAATTAGCTGAGTGTAGTGGCAGGCACCTGTAATCCCAGCTACTTGGAAGGCTGAGATATAAGAATCACTTGAACCCAGGAGGTGGAGGTTGCAGTGGGCTGAGATCGCGCCACTGTGCTCCAGCCTGGGTGACAAGAGGGAAACTCCATCTCAAAAATAAATAAATAAATAAATAAATAAATAAATAAATAAATAAACTCTAATGTGAGAGCTTAAACATCTAAGTAAATAAAGGCACCTTTTAAAAAAATCAAATTACTGAATATACATAAAATATAAAATCTGCGCCCTTAAAAAATTAAAACTTTATTCGATTGTATGCCTGAAATGACACACATCAAGTTCTTAATTGTGATCTGCACTATTAAATGAACATGTTTCTATAGTCTCTTTTTTCTTTCTTTTTTAGTAATGATCAAGAATTAATTTTGTCACTGAACAAATAAAGAATTAAGCAAATTACCACTGTATTAGGGAAATATATATATGAATAGATTGAGATACCTTCTTTTTATTCTTGACTAGAATAGCTCAATTTTGTAGAGATGTAACTTTGCTCTATAGTAATTTATAAATTTAATATAATAACCACATGAATAAAAGCAAAACAGGATTTTCTTTTTTTTTTTTTTTGATCCAGAGTCTCGCTCTGTTGCCCAGGCTGGAGTGCAGTGGCGTGATCTCAGCTCACTGCGAGCTCCACCTCCCAGGTTCACGCCATTCTCCTGCCTCAGCCTCCCAAGTAGCTGGGACTACAGGCACGCACCTCCACACCTGGCTAATTTTTATTTTATTTTATTTTATTTTTGTATTTTTAGTAGAGACGGAGTTTCGCCGTGTTAGCCAGGATGGTCTAGATCTTCTGACCTCGTGATCCGCCCGCCTCGGCCTCCCAAAATGCTGGGATTACAGGCGTGAGCCACCATGCCGGGCCAGGATTTTCCTTTTTTAGAGCCAGGCTCTCACTATGTTGCCCTGGCTGGTCCCAAACTCCTGGGCTCAGGTAATCCTCCTGCCTCAGCTTTCTGAGTAGCTGGGACTATAGGCACACACCACAGAGGCTAACAGAACAGATTTTTTATTGGTCAAAATGACTCTAAAATTTATTAGAAGTAACACATAAGAATAGCAAGGAAGATATTAAAAATAAGAAGGATGGGCCGGGCGCGGTGGCTCACGCCTGTAATCCCAGCACTTTGGGAGGCCGAGGCGGGTGGATCATGAGATCAGGAGATCAAGACCATCCTAGCTAACATGGTGAAACTCCATCTTAGGCGGGCATGGTGGCACGCACCTGTAGAGGCAGGAGAATCGCTTGAACCTGGGAGGCGGAGGTTGCAAAGTGAAACTCCGTCAAAAAAAAAAAAAAGAAGGATAGCTATATTACTACTAAAGAGCAAAGTTATGATAAGGCCACAGTTATTAAAAGCATGTTACCAATTCAGGAATAAGCAAATAAGTGAATGGAACAAACCGAAGCTCAGAAATACTCTGTGTGTGTATGTGTAATTTGAGTTTGCACTATCTTTGTCACATATTTCTGTAACATCTTAACTTCTAAATTTTCTAAAATGGTACCCAGAAAAATAAATACATTTAAACTATTCGAGTTATAGAAACTGTCTTAATCCATTTTGTGCTGCCATTACAAAATACCACAGGTATACCACAGAGTAATTTATACAGAAAAATTTATTTGGCTCACGGTCCTGAACACTAGGAAGTCCAAGGGCATGGTTACACAGTTTCAGCTAGATAGCAGAAATGCCTTTCAGTGTTTTGTAACATTGTAGGATGAACATAGTTACAATAATATATAGTATCAGGCTGGGCACTGTGGCTCATGTCTGTACTCCCAGCACTTTGGGAGGCTGAGGCGGGTGGATCATTTGAGGTCAGGAGTTCGGGACTAGCTTGGCCAACATGATGAGACCCTGTCTCTACTAAAAATACAAAAGAAATTAGCAGGGCGTGGTGGCGTGCGCCTGTAATTTCGGCTACTCTGGAGGCTGAGGCAGGGGAATTGCTTGAACCATGGAGGTGGAGGTTGCAGTGAGCCGAGATTGCGCCACTGCACTCCAGCCTGGGCCACAGAGCTAGACTCTGTCTAAAAAAAATAAAATAAAATAACAAAAATTAGTTGGGCATGGTGGCGCGCGTGCGCACGCCTGTAATCCCAGCTATTCGGGAGGCTGAGGTGGAAGAATCACTTGAGCTCGGGAGGGAAAGATTGCAGTGAGCCGAGATCGCATCACTGCACTCCAGCCTGGGTGATGGAGCAAGACTGCATCTCAAAATAATGATAATAATATAGTTTCAAATAGCTAGGAGGAAGATATTGAATGTTTGCTCCCAACACAAAGAAATGATAAACGTTTGAGAAGACGTATATGCTAATTATCCTGATCTTATCACTATGGTATGTGTTTATCACTACATGTATCAAAATATCACTATGTACCTCATGAATATGTACGATTATTATTTGTCAATTAAAAAGAAACTGCAGACCTTTTATGCATGATTCCACAGGTGGAGGAAAAGTCAAATTTGCCGAGGATTTGCCAGCTTTAAATTTATCCGCATCAGTATCAGGCCTCCCAGCTTCCTCCTTTTCAGTCACCCATGAAGGATTGTGGAGTGGGGGAAGTTGGGGAAGGGGAACGCTGGAATGAAAGCCTTAGCCAAGGACGTGGATGGATGCAAAGCCGCCTTCCTTTCCCCCATTCCGCCAATCCTCTATTCAACGTGTGTTGCTGCTTTTTGTTTGTTTGTTTGTTTGTTTTGTTTGTTTGTTTGTTTTTGAGACAGAGTCTCCCTCTGTCGCCCAGGCTGGAGTGCAATGGAGCAATCTCGGCTCACTGCAACCTCTGCTTCCAGGTTCAAGTCATTCTCCTGCTTCGGCCTCCCAAGTAGCTGGGATTACAGGCACTTGCCACCACACCCGGCTAATTTTTGTATTTTTAGTAGAGACGGGGTTTCACCATGTTGGCCAGGCTGGTCTTGAACTCCTGACCTCAAGTGATCCGCCCACCTCGGCCTCCCAAAGTGCTGGGATTACAGATGAGAGCCACTGCGCCCGGCCAAACGTGTTCTTTTTCATGCTTACAAGATGTCATGTCACAAACATGTTATTGCATTTTTGTGAGATGACTTCTTTGTCAATGTTTAGCGATTGTTTTAGAGTTTTGGAAAATACAAACAAAATAAACTTTGCGGATAAAAGAATACCAAATGTATGTCTGATCCTTCTTCGTAGCTTATAAAAATTAATTTAGACTTTCAAATGTACTTTACCCCGTTAATTATTATATCACTCCGTAGAGGCTCTTTAGCACGCGGGGCCACACAACCGCAGCTCACTCTGCCCTGCGGTGGGCGCCTGGATTTGAAAACCGACTTTTCCCTGACTCCGCGCGGACTGTGGAGGAGACCAAGCCGCCGGGCTCCCCGACTGTCCACAGCCCGCAGTCCCCGCGCCCGGGCACTCACATACCCCTGACGGCGGCTCCTCCCGTGGGCAGCAAACGGGCCCCAGGCTGGGTCAGCGCCTCTGAGTTCCAAGCAGAGAGCCCCGAAGCCCGCACTCCCGAGCCGATTCCCACACTCGGGCGTCCCCGAGACACATTCCCGGCCGCGAGAGGCCACTTCCACGTGGAATTTTCCCACGGAAAAGCCAGCGCTCCCCATTCCTGGGGGTGCAGAGTTCGTTCCGCACGCGCCGTCACCTCGCCTCTGCAGCCACCTATGCGGGGAACCGGTTGGACTTAAGACTCCAACCGCCCGCTCCCTGGCTCCGGCGTCTGCGTCCCCAGCACCTGCCCGCTCTGCAGACGCCAGAAAGGACCCGCGGCGCTCCCTGCTCCCGAAGTTTCACCTCTCGCTCTGCTCTGCCCCGGGGACACTCACCCGCCCGAAGTCATCCCGAATCCCGCCGCCCTCAGACTGCCGGATGTCACGGAGCCTAGCAGCCAGGCCGCCGACTGCCCCGCCCTGGCACCGACCCGGGCAAATTCTCGGCGAGTAGGGCAGGTGCAGGACGCTTGGGACGGCCCCCGCCCTTCTCTCCTGACCGCCCCCACACCAGCGCCCCCATCTCTACCCTGGACTTTTCTCCTCCGCTGCCGGTGATCGGGCTTCTCTCTCCCGCTTAAAGAAAAACACAATCCCCGCGTCCACCCCTAGTCTATCACCACGGTCCCTACCGTTCCTTCCTCGCTATGCTGTGTCCCCGTGCCCTCCAACCTCGCGGCCTTGACCCACCCGCAGCTCATGCTGGGGGTCCCTAAATTCGGCCTTGGTCCCACCTCCACCCTCCACTTCACCACGCACTCCACACCTACTGTCCTGGCAAAAGACCCCAGGAACTGGAAAGCTGGGGTGTGGCTGAATCCTTCTAACGGGCAGGGACCCGTGCGGCCACATAACGCCTGTGTGCCTGGAAGAAAGAGTCTGTTGAACTTCAGATGAAATTAGATTTGCAGGACCTTTTTCATAAGCCAGGCTCAGTGTTTCCCATGGCTCCTCTCACGCATGATTATATTGTATTCTAATGACCCAGCTGCCACAAATACAAGAATTTATTTTTTGAAACTGTCACCCAGCCTGGAGTGCAATAGTGTAATCATAGCTCATAGCCTCGACCTCCAGCGCTCAAATGATTCTCCCACCTCAGCCATCCGAGTAGCTAGGACTACAGGCACCCACGACCGCACCTGGCTAATTAAAAAATAATAATAATAATTTGTAGAGAGGAGGTCTCACTCTGTTGCCCAGGCTGGCCTTGAACTCCTAAGCTCAAGCAATCGTCCTGTCTCGGCCTCCCAAAGTGCTAGGATTACGGGTGTGAGCCACCACGACCGGCAAGAATCTTTAAATATGGCGTGCAAAATGCATGCAAAATGGGGCCGGGTGCGGTGTCTCATGTGTGTAATCCCAGCACTTTGGGAAACTGAGGCAAGTGGATCACTTGAGGCCAGGAGTTTGAGACCAGCCTGGGCAACATAGTGAAACCCCATCTCTACTAAAAATACAAAAATTAGCCCGGGGTGATTGCACACACCTGTAATCCCAGCTACTTGGGAGGCTAAGGCACGAGAACACGAGAATCTCTTGAACCCAGGTGGCAGAGGTTGCAGTGAGCCGGGATCATGGCACTGCACTCCAGTCTAGGTGACAGAGAGTGACTCCATCTCAAAAAAAGGGAAAAAAAGAAAAATGGCCAGTGCTTTTTTTTTTTTTTTTTTTTTTTTTCGGAGTCTGGGAAAGTGAGTCTTGGAAAAGAGTAGAAGGAAATGCCAGCGTGATCTACAACTTTGATGCAGGTGAGTCCCAAGTTCAGGTCTGAGCTCCTTGGCAGCCAGCAGAGAAAGGGAGTCTCTCAGAAGGGAGTTTTAATGTAACAAATGTAGATAACTATTTTCTAGCTCCAGACTGGAAAAGAGATCCTCTTTGACAAGACCAATCAGAAAAGTGTTGTACCGACTACGTGCATGTAGGGGGGTAAAAAAAGACATTTGTATAACACCTCCTTGCTTACAAAGAGCTTCCATATTCATTCCCGTCCTTCATTCAGCTCTTGTAATAACACTGTCAGGCACTTCTCAGATGTGAAGACTGAGCCTATGAGATCTTTCATGACTCATTCAAGCTTATGTGGCCAGTAATGGGGCTAGGATTTTCACCTAGGAGTTGTGTCTCTAAAGCCAGTGCTGGCTCCCTCAAACCCCCTGTATCACCAGCTGTTCTGTGAAAGGGTTGTATACACAAAGAGACCCCCAAATGCTGAAGAAGATGAGAAACCAAAGGAGGAGGTAGACAAATCCAGTTTGTTGGTATTGGGTGATTTATTAAGGGAACTTAGAAGTGTGGTCCTGGACACCACAAGGCAGGTAGATCTCTATACTACAACCCCTCAACCCAGAGCATATATCTTGGGCAAAAAGCATATGTACCCTAGAAGGAATACATAGGGGCTACAGGCAGAAACTATGGTTTCTGCAACAATAAGAAGAAAACTTACAATGAATAAGTGTTCATACATAAAGAGTAATACACAACTAGACATTTTTTTCTTTGAAGATGGAGTCTCACTCTATTGCCCAAGCTGGAGTGCAGTGGTGTGATCTTGGCTCACTGCAACCTCTGCCTCCCGGGTTCAAGCAATTCTCCTGCCCCTGCCTCCTAAGTAGCTGGGATTATAGGCATGCACCACCACACCTGGCTAATTTTGTATTTTTAGTAGAGACGAGGGTTTCACCATGTTGGTCAGGCTGGTCTTGAACTCCTGACCTCAGGTGATCCACCCACCTCAGCCTCCCAAAGTGCTGGGATTACAGGCATTAGCCACTGGGCCTGGCCCAACTAGACATTTTAGAGGCACTCCTGGGACTTGGGGTTAACCAGGCAGATTCGCATTCGAAATAAAGTGGCTCTTTTCCCCACACCAGCTCTATTTAAGTAGGAAAGCTCTTTTCCATCAGATCTGTGGTTTGGAAGCAGGGAAGAGGATAGTTCAGGCATAACTCTTGCTTCACATTAGTGTTGTGATTGGTGATTGTGGTTCCAAGGTGAACCCTCTATGGTTGTAGATCCTCTCTCCCTGCTCTAGGGATGACTGCAGGAAGGCAGAGTGGATTAAAGGAGAATATTTACTCTTTTTCAGCTTGATCAGGGTTTCTGCCTGGCAGAGCTAGCTGTGGTCCCTGACTGTCTAGACCACAGCCAAGCAGCTGCCCTGCTGCTACCCTGAGTGACAGACAGGAGCATCACCATCTTGGACAAGCACCACCATTTTAAAGTTCACCTTGATCAAAAACCACCTAAATCCAAAGGGCATCAGCCTAATGGCTAAGGTTAGCATGACCATAAACCACAAATGACATCTCGGACCAGAAACATTCCAACCATAAGATAAATCCCTCCCCAACCAGAGACATGCCAGCCCTGAGATAACCTCTCCTCTGACCAGAGACATTCCAACCCTGCAATAAACTTCCCCCCCCACACAGAAATATTCCAAGCTTGTGATAAGCTGTCTCACCCTAAAACCAATAAATACTCCTAGTCTGTAAGACAGAATGCTTCTGACCAAAAAATCGGCCAGAAGCCCCTCTCAGGTTTATTCTCCAAAATAAACCTTTGACTGTTGAGCCACTTTTTGTGTTTCTTTCCTCTTTCTTTAACTCTTACATTTGGTGCTGAAAGCCAGGATGGGTGTTGGGGATAGAGGCTCTCTTGCAACCAAGGAAGCAGTGGACAGCAGCTGCTCATCCCACTGGATCCTGAGAGTCTCTGGCCACCCATCCCATCTTGTCTCTCACTTTACTTTTTGAGCAATTTGCATGAGGAGGACAACTAACCTGAAAGGGCCTGCAAGGCTCGGGCTGGGGCTACTCTCCAGTGAGCCCTCAAAACCCTCAGGTCTCAGGAATCCACCTCTGACTGCCTGCAATGGGTATCAGGTATTTCGCTTTCTCCCCTCCTCCTCCCTCATCCTCCTCTCTATCTCTCTCTCTCTCTCTCTGTCTCTCTCTTTCTCTCCCCACCACCCCACTTCTTGTGGCTCCAGTCCAAGAGGCCCTTTGCCAATTCCAGCTGGAACATCCAACATCAGACACTAATCCAGCTAACTGGTAAGATCTGCCTTCCCCTTTCTTTCTCATGGTACTCGGGACAGTCAGGTCTGCCATCCCGGTCTTCAGAGAACCAGTGGGACTAAGCTAGAAGAAATCTTGGGGATGCCCAGTTTCTTCTCAACTTGACCATCCTCTTTATAAAGAGGATTCTGGGTCTCTGCCTTTTGACTGGGGATGCCTAGAACTAAAACAGACACCCTTGGCTTCCTCTTACCAGTCCACATGGGTACCAAACAATCCTGCATTCCCACATCCTCTCCACTGGGCTGTCTCCTTCACAACCTCACCAACTTGGCTTACAGGAAATATAAAGCCAAAGTGTTCAGATTTTTATTGCAACATGGCCTGGCCCGGGTACAAATTAAATAATGGCAAGTTAAAATTTCGAGCCGAAGGCCCAAATATGGCACCTTTTACTTTCAAATTCTCAGGGACAATGACAACTTTATAACCAGGAATGGCAAACGCCAAGAGGTTCTCTCTATTCAGGCCAGGCTTTCTTCTACTTTAGATCCCGACCCTCTCTGTCTCAAGCTTGCACCCTTCATGAAATCCTTCTTAATGAAAACCTTCCCCAGGTCTCTCCTTCCCCTGAAACTCCTTCCTTCAAAACTCCTTCCTCCAAAACTCCTTTTGACCCTGCAGATGAACCCCCTCTGCATTCTCATCCCTCTGCATCTGCTCCTCACCCATCTGAACCCTCTGCCCTGGCAGCCCCTCCTGCCCGCAAGCCTTCAGCCCCAAACCCCGCTTCCCCTCCTTCTCCACCTGTGACCCGTTCAAAAACTGCTCCATCCAGTCAAATCATCTCTGCCATTCTCCCTCTCTGGAAAGTGGCTGGGGGTGAAGGCATTGCTTGTGTTTATGCCCTTTCTCCATGTCTGATTTGTTGCAAATCAAACATACCTAGGATCTTTCTATGAAAATCCCTCTCATTACCGCAGGGAATTCCCGCACATAACCCAATCCTTTAACCTGGCCTGACATTTATATAATTCTAACCTTCACCCTCACCCCTGATAAAAAAAAGAGTGCTCAGCTTAATTAAAATGGATATCCAAGCTATGAGTATATTCAAAAGGCCTTTATGTTTTGTCTCTTCATAAATCTTATTTTCCTAGGAAAGGTTTTCTCCCAATCAACTGAATTACTTTTCTCCACTCTGTCTTGCCATTCTTGGTGCATATATGAAAGACCCTAAAATGACTTCTGGTGGCCTGGGACTCCTTGGGAAAACAAAAAGGCACCATGAATCCCGTTTTGGGAAAAATCTGTTTTCCTTATGGAACCCCTAGAATTAGAGGTGAATAAGTGCTTCTCAAAATCTGTCTTTGTCTTCCAGCTATGCTTGTTTATTAGGCCCTGGAAACTGTTTTCCTAGTCCTGTTTTTAAAGGGCCTCACCAGAAGGCCATTAATCCAATAGGGAAATTTTTTTTTTTAAATCTTATAATTACTGGATCTTCTTCTGGTTGTCTGTGTGGCTATATATGTGTTATGTGTGCAATATCTATTTTAAAAGCTCTAATTAATTGGCCTAAGAAAAATAAGCACTTAAACATTTTTAAGGACAAAGTAAAAGTTGTGGGACCTTCAGTTCACATGACTTTAATCTTTAAAACTTACTGGTACAGTAAGATTAGAAATGTCTTAAGAGTTGCCAGGATACATTTTTGTTTGCATTTATTAATCAAGCAATTTCATACTTATCTCTGCCAAATGCTATAAGGTGTCAAAATTTGGCATAGAGGCTATAAAACTGTAACTCAGCCCAAACAGAATAATCTTTGCTTGTGTAATTTTTTGATAAAGGAACATTAATATTGGTTTAATAAAGATAGCTACACCTTGAACTGTTTAGTGAAATACCTAACTTCTAATCTTGAAATTAAAGAAAAGGTAATTTATATAAAAAAGAATCTTATATGGTAAATTCTTGTCCTGAAGTAAATTAACTGGTTGTTTAAAGAAAGGAATGTTTACAACAAGTCAGCAAGTTGAGGCACATCAGAAATTGTCTGTGTAAGTCATAAAAAATTTTATAAAAGGGAATTTATGCAAGAAAGGTACAATTTAGGCCGGACACAGTGGCTCATGCCTGTAATCCCAGCACTTTGGGAGGCCAAGGCGGGTGGTTCACCTGAGGTCAGGAGCTCGAGACCAGCCTGACTAATATGGTGAAACTCTGTCTCTACTGAAAACACAAAAGTTAATTTAGCTGGGCGTAGTGGCACGTACCTATAGTCCCAGCTATTCAGGAGGTTGAGTAGCTTGAGAATTGCTTGAACCCAGGAGGTGGAGACTGCAGTGAGAATTGCTTGAACCCAGGAGGTGGAGACTGCAATGAGCCGAGATTGCACCAATATAACCAACGTACTCCAGCCTGGGGTGACAGAGCAAGACTGCATCTCAAAAAAAAAAAAAAAAAAGAAAGAAAGAAAAAAAAAGAAATGTACGATTTAAAAGTGATTAGGCCTCCTGAATGCTTTATACAATGCCACTATAACTCTTAGCTGTACAACTGGCCTTCACTGAAGCTAGGTAAGTCCTAGGACACACGGAGTTTGTTTTTTTTTTTTTTTTATTGATCATTCTTGGGTGTTTCTCACAGAGGGGGATTTGGCAGGGTCATAGGACAATAGTGGAGGGAAGGTCAGCAGATAAACAAGTGAACAAAGGTCTCTGGTTTTCCTAGGCAGAGCACCCTGCAGCCTTCCGCAGTGTTTGTGTCCCTGGGTACTTGAGATTAGGGAGTGGTGGTGACTCTTAACGAGCATGCTGCCGTCAAGCATCTGTTTAACAAAGCACATCTTGCACCGCCCTTAATCCATTTAACCCTGAGTGGACACAGCACATGTTTCAGAGAGCACAGGGTTGGGGGTAAGGTCATAGATCAACAGGATCCCAAGGCCGAAGAATTTTTCTTAGTACAGAACAAAATGAAAAGTTTCCCATGTCTACTTCTTTCTACACAGACACGGCAACCATCCGATTTCTCAATCTTTTCCCCACCTTTCCCCCCTTTCTATTCCACAAAACCGCCATTGTCATCATGGCCCACTCTCAATGAGCTGCTGGGCACACCTCCCAGACGGGGTGGCGGCCGGGCAGAGGGGCTCCTCACTTCCCAGTAGGGGCGGTCGGGCAGAGGCACCCCTCACCTCCCAGACGGTGCGGCTGGTCGGGCAGGGGGCCGACCCCCCCACCTCCCTCCCGGACGGGGTGGCTGGCCGGGCAGAGGGGCTCCTCACTTCCCAGTAGGGGCGGCCGGGCAGAGGTGCCCCTCACCTCCCGGACGGGGCGGCCGGACGGGCGGGGGGCTGACCCCCCCACCTCCCTCCGGGACGGGGCGGCCGGCCCGGCGGGGGCCGACCCCCACCTCCCTCCCAGACGGGGCGGCCACAGGGCGGAGACGCTCCTCACCCCCCAGACGGGGCCGCGGCCGGGCAGAGGCGCTCCCCACATCCCAGACGACGGGCAGCCGGGCAGAGATGCTCCTCACCTCCCAGACCGGATGGCGGCGACACACGGAGTTAAATGCTGGGATAAGTCAGACCTTATCTGCACTTCTGTCTAGGTCCTAGGCTCTACACCTAGTGCATAATTAAAATCCCAAGCTTGGCCAGGAACAGTGGCTCATGTCTGTAATCCCAGCACTTTGGGAGGCCAAGTCGGGAGGATCACCTGAGGTCAGGAGTTCGAGATCAGCCTGGCCAACATGGTGAAACCCCGTCTCTATTAAAAATACAAAAATTAGCCAGGAATGGTGGCGCTCGCCTGTAATCCCAGCTACTCGGGAGGCTGAGGCAGGAGAATCGCTTGAACCCAGGAAGTGGAGGTTGCAGTGAGTCAAGATTGCACCATTGCACTCCAGCCTAGGTGGCAAGAGTGAAACTCCATCTCAAAAATAAATAAATAAAAATAAAATAAAATCCCAAACTCACCAACAAAAGTAAAGGTTGCTAAAAGTTAAGTGTAACATGTATTTAAGACTATTAAAAAAAGTTTACATATAGTTTTGGTAAAAAGATTATAAGGAGGCATGAAAATGTAATGTGGTTTTTTACCTAGATTAAAAGGTTAAAGAATTGTTTTTAGTTGAATAAAATAAAAATGAAGGTTTAAGCAATTTTTGGAAGGTTAATTGTAAAGGAAATTCTGTGTGTAAACATATTGGCTAAAGTTGAAGGGGTATCATCCAGTTTTTCTGTAAATTGAGCATTAAAATAAAAGCACAACAGGTTTCTCTTAAAGCACTAACCTGCTCTTAGCAAAAATTATAATGGGTCTATAGACTATTTTTAAAGATTTTTATAAAAATCTTTACTTTATGGTCAAACATTAAAATTCGGTAAATTTGTCTACAAGGTTTTATTAAAAATTGAGCTTAACATTAATAGCACTAATATAATGGTAAAATTTGGTATAAAATCATACAGGAAGCAATGTCAAATAGAAAATGGTGTTTGGCTTTCTTTGGACTATATTTGTATAAATATGTTATTGGTATGTGTTCCAAAGTTATGGGAGACTCCTATAATTCTGATATATCTTAGTGTATGTTATCAGTAGTAATTATAATTGTTATGTTAAAACTATTGTGTGCCACAAAGGTAACAGATATCCTTGTCAATTGTGACTTTAACTATGGCTACCCTAAAACTTTTTGTCATCCATAAACAATTGTTGTCTTGTTTTGGTCCTCTTTAGAAGGTAGTCTTATAATCAGCTATAAAGCTCTAACAGGTGCTCTTGAATGCAGCTTTTTGATAACTTTGGAGATTGTGACATCAGAATAGAGGAAAAACGTTCAGGACTCTCGAAGAGCTAAAACGTTCATTAATATCAAGCAGGACAGAAATTAACTGCATTAACTGAACTAATAGGAGACTGAAGTGATCTTTTTGACGTTTTGCTGAAAATATTGCTAATCCTTTGTTTTGCTTTTCAAAGTCAAAGAAACTTTTCTTTTGAGCTATTGACAGCTTTTAACAATTTAGTATACTCCCATGAACAAAATTTGGAGCATACTTGTTTCTCTCTACCTGATTTTCTCCAGAATTTGGAAACTGTGAGTATTCTTAAGTTGTGGCAATATAGTTATTTGCATAAGTGCAATAAGAATCTGTTTTCTTTTGTAACAGGACACAATTGGAAAAACTGGTTATTTTACCAAGGCTTTGGCTGGAATGGTGTGCTTTCCTTTAAGGAATCAAACCTGACTTATGAAGCCAAGAAAGCTCTTGGGAAATTGGCCTCACGTTTTGTGTACACAGTCCCTGTACAGGGTTTCTGATCTGTGGTAAGTAAAGAATGTCACTTTCTGATAGGCCAGGAACCCCAAGTTATTTTGGAATCTCAAGGGGAAACTCATAGGTATTTAATGGTATAATTCCATGGCTGGGCTCAGCTTTAAAAAGTCTTATCTGAGATTCCTTCTATGGAACAAAGTTCCATCAATGCCAATTTAAAAGGCCTATGTAACAAATAATTATTCTTGCTGCACTGTATGCAAATAATTAAGCCAAGTATAATAAAACAAGCCATTCCTACCATGATTTGTCTTTTAATAAAAATGGGAAATTGGAGAAAGGAAATTATGTTTCAAAAACTATAGCACACCTGTTATTAAATTCTAGTGTTGCCAAATGTTTTTCAATTTTTATTATTTTCTACAGTTTAAATTAAATTCTAACTTTTCTGGCTACAAGTTTCCAAATAAGCTGTGCTTTCTTAAAGCCCTATGAACTGAAAACTAGCTGTTTGAGCAGGTGCTGCCTATAAGCCTCCAACCATGACAGGAGGAAATCTCTTCACTGCTGGCACTGACAACTAATAACTGAGGGTGCCCAGAATCCTTTGCCCCCACGTCTAGTGAGTCCAGGGAATCCAGGGCAATTGAGACAGTATCTGTTACAGGAATCAACTCCTGGATACATCACACTCAAGTCAAAGCCTGGAAAGCTGAGGAAGCAACCCCTGACAGCCCAAAGGAACATCCTAAATATCAATGTAAAGAAATAGGAAATCTTAAGCTGAAAATCATAAAAAATAAGTAACTAAGTGAGAACTAGTCATCTTACTCAGTCTCACCCCTACTTCACCAAATACTTTTTGTCGTTCCTACCTCTCCTTCTCAGCCAAATATTAAAACCTTTTAATGGAAATTTTCGACTATGCCACCCTGTGGGAACTGCTTTACTCACTCTACTATTTGCAGTAGGACTATATGCTGTAGCAGCCTCGGGGTGGAATATCAGACAGAGAATCTCAGTTACTGTAGCATTTTGCTTAATTATTATCCTCATAGCAGGAAAAATGGTTACTAACAAAAAGTAACACACGGGCCTTTCCAAACATGTGCCTCTGCATCTCATTAGGTAAGGAATGTTGTTTCTATCTCAACCAGTTGGGCCTAGTAAGAGACACTGCTGAAAAATTTAAAGAAAGGGCTGAAAAGGTAAGGGAATACCAAAACAACCAAATAGATTATTGGTTTGGGAACAAAATCATAGCATGGGTCATCCCATTTCTGGGCCTTCTCTTCTAATAATATGCCTAGGACTAATGTTCTTACCCTGCCTAATTAACCTTTTTCAAATATTTTTAACTGACAGGATCATGGCCATTTCACAGACAACTACCCAAAAACATCTACAGACGACATTACTCCTACAGTCAATCTGAGACCAGAAAACTCTCTGTCCTCCCATCAGCAGGAAGTAGCTAGAAAGAACATGCCACCTCTCTTCCTTTTTATAACTATAGGGTCTGGATTGACAGAGCAGGAGCATCACCATCTTGGACAAGCACCACCATTTTTAAGTTCACCTTGATCAAAAGCCGCCTAAATCCAAAGGGCATCAGCCTAATGGCTAAGGTCAGCATGACCATAAACCACAAATGACATCTCCGACCAGAAACATTCCAACCATAAGATAAATCCCTCCCCGACCAGAGACATGCCAGCCCTGAGATAACCTCTCCTCCGACCAGAGACACTCCAACCCGCAATAAATTTCTCCCCCACACACAGAAACATTCCAAGCCTGTGATAAGCTTTCTCACCCTAAAACCAATACTCTTAGTCTGTAAGAGAGAGCACTCCTGACAGAAATTGGCCAGAAGCCCCTCTCAGGTTTATTCTCCAAAATAAACCTGACTTTAACTGTTGAGCCATTTTTCGTGTTTCTTTCCTCTTTCTTTAATTCTTACACTGAGGACTAAAGAAGAGATGGCTGTCCAAGTCCACCTGGAGCCCTGATAGCTGTCCAGCCTGTGTGCATCACACTGCAGGCCCTGTCTGGGGTCAGTCTGAGGATAGCTTCCCCCAATGGTGACCCCAGGCTTTTTCACTGTGGTGGGTCCATTTTACTACTGTTACAGGACTTCCTCTTCTCCCTGGCTGTGGACCCATTTCCAGCTATCACCTTTGACAAATTGGCAAATTCTTAAGTAACCTGAATCTCCTCTGTATTTGGTCATTCCAGCTACTCCCAGTGCCCAGTATACCCACCTCTGGCACTGGTCTTGCGGGGCCAAAGGACAAACTCTTTTTACCTTTCACCATCAAGCCCCTGTCTACTCGTCCCTTATGGGAGAAGCTTCAAGTGGTCCACATGGGACCAGATTCAGCCAACAGATTCTAGTGCCATAACTGAGTTTTCTGAAAGTTGTTCCTGAAAGACTGATTAAGCTACCTTTGCATCTTGGCCCAGTTAAAACAGCAATTCCTACCAAGAGGAGTGCTCAGGTAAGAAGAAAGTAGAACAATTTGAGCCACCCCAAAAAGGTGGTGATGCCAGTTAGCAACTGCTTGACTCTAGAGAAATGAGACCATGTCTTATTCCTTGCTCTGCTCCCAGAGCCTTGCGCAGGCCTGGCTCAGAGTAGGCACCATTCATTGACTGAATGAACTATTCCCATGAGTGCTGGGAGTGTTTTCCCACCCAAATGATCAGTAACCCTTCCTCTTCTTCAAATTCAGCCTTTGCTGTTGCTCAATAAATGTATGTTGAAAGGAAAAAGATGAGGGGTCAGCTCTTCAGAGGACTGAAGAAGTGAGAACAAAATATCCAGGCTTGTCATAATCTCAAGGAAAAAGCAAGTGGTGTCACTTGCTCAAGGATGAGGATTAAGCAATAGGTGTGTGGAGTTGGGTCCTCAATCGTGGGGAAGGTTCTAAACAGATTGCCCTAGGATCTCAGTGAGGCGTGAAGCTTATTCAAGTTCTCACCTGCTATTTTCCCTGTCTTCAAAACACTCCTCTAGGCTGGGCACAGTGGCTCACACCCGTATTCCCAGCACTTTGGGAAGCCGAGGTGGATGGATCACTTGAACCCAGGAATTTGAGACCAGCCTGGCCGACATGGAGAAACCCTGTCTCTACTAAAAATACAAAAAAAAATTAGCCAGGCATGGTGGTGCATGCCTGTAGTCCCAGCTACTCAGGAGGCTGAGGAAGGAGAATCTCTTGAACTCAGGAGGCAGAGATTGCAGTGAGCCAAGATCACACCTCTGCACTCCAGCCTGGGCAATAGGGCAAGACTGTTTCACACATACACACACACACACACACACACACACACACACACAGACACACACACACACACACAAAAGACTCCTCCACTCACCTGTGCTTCTTTTCTCTTTTACCCTTCCGCCTCTGGTTAAATGTTAGTTCCTCAAGGAGACCTTTCCTAGCCACCAGACTAGGTCAGAGTCCTCTTTTCGTGCCCTGACAGCCAGCATCCAGTACCTTCCAGTCACAACGCTGATCAGAGTTTGTAACTGCATATTACTCTGTGTATGTTTGTTTGCTGTCTGTTTCCCCTGTTCCCTGAAAGGCAGTGCCACTCCTGTTTTGCTCTCCATTGTATCCCCAGCACAGGGGCTGGCTCATAGTTGATATTCAAAAACCATCTGATGGAGAAAGGAATGAATGAATTGTATTCTATCATTTAATGCTCAGAACAATCTTGGGTCTTCAGTGTTGTATTTGTCTCCCTTTCACATGAGGAAAGTGAAAATTAGAACTCTAGGGGGACACAGAGGGGACTGGAATCAGTTCTACTGGATCAACAGCCCACATCTGCCCTGCTGCCTGGGTGAAGCGGAGGGTCCAGGTTAGTGAGAATGGGAGAGATGCAGGGGAGACAGGAAGACAGTCAGGAAGGGCCAGGGCCAAGTCCGGAACAGTGAGGAAGGGAAAGAAGTCCAGGATGCTGCCCAGCTGACTTCAGCCTGACCCTGGGAGTCAAGAAGGATGGGTGAATGGGTGTATGTCATTGACGTGGAGCAGGGCAAAGGGGGTGCAGACTCGACGGGCTGTGGATTTCTTCTCAATTATCTTCTGAATTATCTTGATGTCTTCAAGAGGCAGTGCAATCCTAGTTAAAAGATGAATTCCAGAGGCTGGCTCTGCTTCTGCTCTCAACCTGCTGTGTGAACTTAAACAAGTGATTAAACATCTCTGTGCCTCAGCATCTTCAGTTGTAAAATGTGGATGATAACAGCACCTACCTCATGAGGTTGTTTTAAGAATTAAATGAGTTAATAAATGTAAAGTCCTTAAAACAGTGCTTGGGAAGTAACATTTGCCACAGTATTAGCAATTATTATTTGAAGGGCATCTTTTGTGCATTGAAAAGTCTCCTGTGGTTATTATGGTTTAAATTAATATTAAATGTAGGCAGGCCATGGTGGCTCATGCCTGTAATCTCAGCACTTTTGGAGGCCAAAGTAGGTAGATCATTTGAGGTCAGGAGGTTGAGACCAGCTTGGCCAACATGATGAGACCCTGTCTCTACTAAAAATACAAAAATTAGCTGGGCATGGTGGCACACACATGTAATCCCAGCTACTTGGGAGGCTGAGGTAGGAGAATCGCTTGAACCCAGGAGGCGGAGGTTGCAGTGAGCTGAGATCATGCCACTACACTCCAGCCTGGGTGACAGAGCGAGATTCTGTTTCAAAATAAATAAATAAATAAATGTAGTGAAGTCACAAGTACAAGCTCCATATTCAATAAACAGACCTTTTAATTTGTGATGGGATGAATTATTAGTTCTAATTCCTTGCTTCCTTATAAAAGAGTTGAATATCACACATTGCCATAGCCTCAGAATGGACAATGCCCCTCAACCTTGGGCTTGACCAAAATATTTACTATAGCCAAAGGGATGTTAGCAGATGAGGACTCAAGCAGAGGCTGAAATACATTTGTATGGATCAGCTTTCTCTCCTGAGTTCCAGTGATCCACTATTAGAAGAACATGCCCCAGGGACCTATTGTCTGTTCAGCCTTGGCCCCAGGAGAAAACCCAGGAATCAGATCCAAACTGAACCCATGGCCAGGGGGAGCCAAGCGCAGCTGGCCAGCAGTCTGTGGCAGAGTCACCCAGCTAAGCCCAGCCTAGATCAACTGAACTATAGTTGATATTCATACCCATAAGCATGAGAATAAAATTTATTGTAAGCATGGTTGGGGTGGTTTGTTATATAGCATCATTATTGCAAAAGTCACCTAAGACATATTTCTATCAATAAATCTAATAAATTTTAAAAATAATTCAGCCTTGGCAACATGGCAAAATCCTATCTCTACAAAAAATACAAAAATTAGCTGGGCATGGTGGCACACACCTCTGGTCCCAGCTACTTGAGAGGCTGAAGTGGGAGGATCACTTGAACCCGGGAGGTCAAGCCTGCAGTGAGCCGTGATCATACCACTGCACTTCAGCCTAGAGAACAGTGCAAGACCCTGTCTCAAAATAATAAGAAGAAGAAGTTTCAAGGGACCTTTGATGAATATTTAAACTTCCTTAAATAAGTTTAAACTGACATCAGTCAATGTCAGTTTCATGAGAGAAAACCTGGCACACTCAAAAGGGGGTAACTGCAGGGAGTTTGAACAAGGGCCTTTTTACAGAGATGTGCATAGGGTTAAGGAAACCAACAAGGGTTGGGGAAGCACTCAGGGACTAGCAAGAGCAGGAAGCTGTTATTGCCTTAGGCTTGAGTGAACAAGGTGTGGCAACAGTGATAGCTGAACCCAGAAACAGCTGCAGCCTTAGGTGAAGGAACCACAGCTGTTGCTTGCTCAACTTCAGCCTGGCCAGGTGGGAGCTGAAGGAATAAATACTCTGCCCTCTTTCCTTTCCTACTTTCTCATCTCTTGCTGGTTCTTCCCATTGACTGAACCCAGCTGGAAACAAGAGGAGAAGGGAGCATGGGTCACACAGACAATGGATGTCCTCCTGGATCACAGAACAGGGTGGAGTAGGGAGGAGGACAGAGCTGGAGGAACAGAGACTAAATAGCACACAGTCCCCTCTCACAGCTGAAACAGTCGGCACAGGATAATAGCTACTAAGAAATCTTAGTGGCCTAACATACAATAAAAGTTTATTTCTTGCTCATGTAAAGACCATTGTTCGTGGTTCCTGGATGCTCCTGTTTGGGTCACTCTGTTGGGTGGCTTTCCAACAAAGAGTGATTCAGGGGCCAGGCACGGTGGCTCACGTCTGTAATCCCAGCACTTTGGGAGGCCAAGGCAGGCAGATCACCCGAGGTCAGGAGTTCAAAACCAGCCTGGCCAACATGGTGAAACCCCTGTCTCTACTAAAAATACAAAAATTAGCCAGGAGTGGTGGCGGGCACCTGTAATCCCAGCTACTCTGGAGGCTGAGGCAAGAGAATGGCTTGAACCCAGGAGGTGGAGGTTGCAGTGAGCTGAGATTGCACCACTGCACTGCAGCCTGGGCAACAGAGAGAGACTCTGTCTCAGATAAAAGAAAAAGTGATTCAGGGACTCAGGCTCTTTCCATCTGGTAAAGTCTTCATCCTTGATGTGTGGCCTCTGAAGTCAACACACAATGGAAAGAAGGTCATGGGAAAAGCAAGCCACATACCCAAACCTGATGGCCCAGAGGGGATACACTTAACTTCTACTCCCTCCCACTGACTATAGCTGGTCACCTGGTCCACTTAACCACAAGAGGTTGAGAATGGAGTCCCACGTCAGGCAGCCAGTTCCTATCAACAACAAACTACAGTGGACTTCTGTGGAAAGGGAGCCCAGCTTATTTGGTGGTCAGATAGCCTTCTTTTCCATGACAATCTTAGTTAATTAAATTCCCTAAACATTTTAACTTGCATTGTTAAAGATAACATAGTCATTTTTCTTTTTTAAGCATTTCACTTGTTTCATCAGCTAAGTACAACTTCTCTAAGCATCTAATCAGAAAACCCTAATAAACTGATAACATATAGTAAATCTCAAGTTATCTTTGAACATTCCATCACTGTTTATAAACTTCATATATTCTCACATATTTCTCTTAAAAATCATGTGTTTAGAATCAATTACTTAACTGCTTATTAATACATGTTATTCCTGAAGATAACAGAAAAGTACTAATACAATGGATTTATTTTATCATCTCTATATATGAACTCTGAACTGTCCATAAACTTAGTTACTAAGAGGACAATTTCACTCTACCCAGCAATAACTAGGATTACCATCTCAGTAGGCTGAGTTGTTTATTACATGGAAAGTTTTGACTGGGATGCAAAACTTGATTCTCCCTTACAGATGTGCTGAGCCCTTTTTAAACAAAAGCTCAGCCAGCTGGAATTGCAAATCTATATCCAGTAACAGAGGAGTTCTCATGGGACCTATCCATTTGAGTCCATGCTACACCATCATCAATTCTTTCATTAAATTTGAGTATACTGAAGCTGATAACTTCACATTATGTTAAGCAGGCTTCCAAACTAATTAATGACTAATTAATCTGTATGATGTAATCTGTAGCAAATGATTGTAACTTCTGTATTGTCCCCTCCAATGAAAAGAGGACAACTCAGGTATAAGGAGTTACCCCCTCCCTTCTTTTAAATTTTTCTATAAAAATCTACCTGTGACAAATTCCAGAGCACCTCCAACTTTGTTGATATGTTTTCCATGCCACTAGACCCTACCCTTTCTGAACTTCCTTGCTCTGAACTCTCAATTCTCCTCTTTCTCCTCCCTTGCTTTTGGATCCTCCTGAGAAGCTCCCTGTCCATTCCAGACAAAATCTACTAACTGAGGCACACCTGCTCTTGTTTATACTCCCTGGGATAAAACAGAACATAAAAATTGGGTCATAGTCAGGTGCAGTGGTTCACGCCTGTAATTCCAATATTTTGGGAGGCCAAGGCAGGTGGATTGCTTGAGCCCATCTCTTCAAAAAATACAAAAATTTGACAGGCATATTGGCACGTGCCTGTGGTCCCAGCTACTAGGGGGACTATTGATTTCAGAAGAGAGGGACACCAAATGGATTAAAAATGCTAATTGGCAAAATCCTCTGGAAAACTTTAATAGAGCAAATGAAGGTATACAACAGAATAGAAGCTAGCGCTTTAGCCAGAGAGCTTTTAGATGCCATCCCAAAAGTCTTTCCAAAACATATAGATTGGGTAAAATTTGGCAATGCTGCCAAGGTCCTAACATAACAGATTTAGATAATTTTGAATGATTCAAAAAGACATTTAAACAATACTTTGGTGTGTCTGATAACAGTGTTAATAATAGAAAAAAATGAATCTATGTTAAGCTCAGCTTTTCTTAACGGCCTTGACTAAGAGTTTGTTACCCTCGTTAAGTGACATCAGATAAATTGAGCAACCACTCAGATATGTGATCTAGTTAATATTGTGGCCTTCTCCACAAAAAAGAAAAGTCTAAATCTGCTAGGATTATAAGCTTTCAAGTAGCAACAGTTGGCCAATCCACAACAGGGATTTCAAAAACAGCAGTTTCAGCCCTCACCAGATCAGAGAAATGTACGTTTTTATTGTAAGAATCCTGGTCACATCAAAAAGGATTCCAGAAAGCTCAAGTGGCAACTGGAAGAAAAGGCCATGACAGAACCATCAGAGTAAGACTGCTTTGAGGAAATTCCAGGGTCCTTTCCTTTCCTTCTAATGCCCTTGGTGAAATGAATTTAACTACTAATGGTGAAAAGACCAAGGCTTTAATTGATACTGGAGCAACTTTATCTGTTTTAAATTCCACCTCCTTAAAGGGCCCCTTCCTTGGAGTGCAGAAACCTTAAACATGGTGGAAATCTCTAACCGACCCATGACTGTGCACAAAACCTTACTGTTGCCTTTCCAATTAGATACCTTAGTCCATTATCATGAATTTTTACTTGTACCTTCAGCCCTGACTCACCTTCTTGGGAGAGATTTCCTAGAATTACACAATGCACATATTTCTTTTTTTCCAAAGGGGATAATGTATTTGAACCTGTCAGTAGAACCAACTGAAGCAGAACCAACTGACATGTCACTTAAATTTTTCTTCCCCTGCTTGTTCTATTTAAATTTGTTCAGCAACCTCTGGCCCCTCAGAAAAGTCTTCTGAGTCTATCAAACAATTTGCTTGATACCTTGCTAGCCCACTGTGGTCCCAGTCTTTCACTGAAATTGGGGAAATTCTTTCAGCTACTACCATTAAAATGGAAGTAAACCCTTAAAAATCAAACGTCAAGTAGTATCTTTTGTGACCAGAGGCACTCCAAAGAATTAAACCCATAATTAAAGAGTATATCAAGAAGGGATTTATCCTTCTCTGCACCAGTCCATGCAGCACCCCTATTCTGCCTGTTCAAAAGCCTAATGGTGAAGGATGGGGATTTGTACAGGACTTAACGGCTATCAACAACACTGTAGTGCCACAGCACCCTGTGGTTCCCAATCCACACACTTTGTTAGCTAACATTCCCAAGAATAGCACCATTTTTACAGTAGTACACTTATGTAGTGTCTATTAGAATTATTGTGGATCCTAATAGCCAGTATCTGTTTGCCTTACTCAGAATAATTGACAGTATACTTGGACTGTTATACCTCAAGGGTATATTGAAAGCCCCATTTATTTTTCACTGATCCTGAAAGTTTATCTAAATGATGTCTCACTTGAAATGTTTCTACTTTACTTTAGTACATAGATGATTTACTTCTTTGTTCACCTAACTTGTTTACTTTTCAGCAGGATAGCCTGCATCTTTCTAAAGATGTTTTATTTTTAATTATTATGGATATATAATAGTTGTACATATTTATGGGGTACATGTGAGGTTTTGATACAAGCATACAATGTGTAATGATCAAATCAGGGTAATTAGAGTTATCTACTACCTCAAACATTTAAAATATACAATAAATTATTGTTAACAATAGTCTCCCAGCTGGGCACGGTGGCTCATGCCTGTAATCCCAGCACTTTGGGAGGCCAAGGCGGGTGGATCACAAGGTCAGGAGTTCAAGACCAGCTGGGCCAACATAGTGAAACCCCGTCTCTACCAAAAAATACAAAAATTAGCTGAGCATGGTGGCACGTGCTTGTAGTCCCAGCTACTCAGGAAGCTGAGGTGGGAGAACTGCTTGAACCCGGGAGGTGGAGGTTGCAGTGAGCCAAGATCATGCCAGTGCACTCCAGCTTGGGCAACAGAGTGAGATTTTGTCTCAAAAAAAAAAAAAAAATAGTAACCCTATTGTGCTACCAAATACTAGATCTTATTTCTTCTATCTAACTGTATTTTTTTACTCATTAACCACCCCCTTTTTATCCCTCTCCCCACTACCCTTCCCAGCTTCTGGTAACAAGTTTATCAAAAGAACATCCACACTCCCATGTTTACTGCAGCACTATTTACAATAGCCAAGATATGGAATCAACCTAGGTGTCCATCCATAGATGAATAGATAAAGAAAATGTGGCACATACATGCAATGGAATATTATTCAGCCATAAAAAAGATTGAAATCCTATCATTTGCAACAATGCAGATGGAACTGGAGGACATTATATTAAGTAGCTTATTTAAGCCAGGCACAGAAAGACAAATATCACATATGCTCACTCATATGGGGGTGCCTGCATCTTCTAAGGCAACTCACAGGCAAATGTCACAAACTCTCTAAAGAAAAACTCCAGTTATGCCAAGAACAAGTTAAATGTTTGGGTCATTCAATATCTAAGGAGGGGTTTTCCATCAACTCTGATAGAGTTAAAGGCATAATTGCCTTTCTAAAACCAAACACTAAGAAATAGCTATGAGGCTTCCTCTGATTGGCAGGATATCGTCAAAACTGTAATCCTGATTTTTCTCCAATGACCCAACCTCTTTGTGAATTACTAAAAATTGACCAGCCAGAGCTATTAATATGGACAGAAAAAAGCCAGAAAGCCATAAATCAAACTAAACAAGCCCTAATGGAACTCCAGCTTTAGGACACCCAAATTACAAAATGCCTTTCTCTTTATTTGTGCATTAAACACATGGGAATGCCTTGAGAGTTCTTATACAAAAACATGGGAATCATAACAGACCCACAGGGTATTACAACCAGAGGGTGGACTCAGTGGCTCAAGGCCTGCCCCCATGTCTAAGTGCTATTTCAGCTATTGCCCTGCTATTTAGGTCTATAGAAGAAATAACAATGGGTCCCCCATAACTATATATGCTCCATTCATTCCATTGAAGCACTCTTAAATTCATATCACACCCAATGTTAATCAATGAGTCCACTGGCTTCTTATGAGATCCTTTTACTTTCATCTCCTAACGTAACTATTACTCAATGCAATAGTTGAACTCTGCTACGCTTTTGCCCCTTCCATTCAACGCATCTCACCATAACTGTTTGACACTTAACTGCTCAACTCCTTCTCCCAAGAGCTGAGTTACAGGAAAGAACCTTGTACAATCCAGATTTTATTTGGTTCACAGATGGATCCTACTTGAGAAGTAAAGATAGGAAATTTTCTGCAGGTTATACAGTAGTTTCAAGTACGTGATCAAGGATGTTATCGAGGATGGATGATTACCTAATGTTTCATCAGCCCAGAAGGCAGAATTAGCAACTTCAACTCGTGTTTGTTTCTTAGTTGAAGGAAAAACTGCAAATGTTTATACTGACAGCAGGTATGCCATTGGTGTGGCTCATGATTTTGGTATGCTATGAAAACAAAGAGTATTCCTTACCTCTGCTGGGCAGAGCACTAAAAATGAAAAACAAGTTTCAGAGCTCTTAGGTGCAGTTCAAAAAACCTAAAGCTTTGGCCATTATCAAAGTCCTAGCGCCAGGTGTGGTGGCTCACACCTGTAATCACGCATGTAATCCCAACACTTTGGGAGACAAAGGCAGGCAGATTGCTTGAGCCCAGGAGTTTGAGACCTGCCTGGGCAACATGGTGAAACCCCTCTCTACAAAAAATACAAAAATTTAGCCAGGTGTGGTGGCACACACCTATAGTCCCAGCTATTCAGGAGGCTGGGATAGGAGGATCACTTGAGCCTAGGAGGTCGAGGCTGCAGTGAGCCATGATTGCACCACTGTACTCGCTCTACTCTGGGCAACAGAGTGAGACCCTGTCTCAAAAAAAAAAAAAAGGCCTGAGACACTCTAAAGCAAGCTTGTCCAACCCACAACCTGCAGGCCACATGAGGCCCAGGACGGCTTTGAATGCAGCCCAACACAAATTCATAAATTCATAAACTTTCTTAAAATATTATGAGGTTTTTTTGTGATTTCTTTTTTTAGCTCATCAGCTATTGTTAGCATTAGCATATTTTATGTGTGGCCCAAGACAATTCTTCTTCTTCCAATGTGGGCCAGGGAAGCCAAAAGACTGGATACCCCGCTCTAAAGGAAATGAGCCTGAAGCTAGAGGCAACTATTTTGCAAATCAGGTAGCTAAAGAAGTTGCCTTAACTAAGAAATTTGGTTCCCCTAACTCTTATTTCATACAAATATTCAAATTAAACCCCTCAATATTGAGGGAGGCTCAACAGGCTGCCCCAGATACAGAAAATAAGGTTTGGGAAGGAAAATGGAGACAATATTCTTCTCAGACTCGTATATGGTATGGCCCAGATCCAGATAACAAACCCATAATGCCCACTGGATTGCAGTTTCCATTTTTGGAGTGTGTATACAAGTTGGGGACCCACTGGGGTCCCAAAAAGATGACTGAGTGGGGATTGAAAACCATCATTTACTGTAGCAGAGAAGGTGGCATCTAGATATATCAACCAGTGCCCCTGGTTGCAAAGGATGTATCACATGGGCAAGTCTTTCCATAGCACTCCTGGGCACTTTCCCTTATCCCTTGGACCTTCTGAGGTGTAGCAATTGGATTTTATCCAGACACCACCCTCCCAAGGCTACAAATATGTCCTGGTTATGATTTGCATGTTTTCTTATTGGGTGGAAGCCTTTCTATGCAGAAGAGCCACCACCTTAACAGTAGGAGGAATGCTATGAGAATGCATTATCCCATATTGGGGAATCCCCTTGGGACTCCACAGTGATGAGGAATCCATTTTACAGGACTGGTCATGAAATCAATTTGTGAAATCTTGCCTATTATACAACACTTCCATTGTGCCTCTCACCCTCAGTCTTCTGGGTTGGTTAAGCGCACTAATGGGACTATAAAAACCCAACTGGCTAAGTTAACAGAAGCTTTTAACCTTATATGGCCTAAGGCTCTTCCACTGGTCTTGCTTAACATGAGATCCACTCCTTTTGGAAAACATAAATTGTCTCCATATGCAATCATTACTGATTAGCCTTCATCATCACAGGACCCTAGTTTTAATTCAACAGGACTAAAAGGTGAAATTCTACGCTATTGTAAAAACTTTGTTAAGTTTCTTAATAACAGCTGGCTGGTAAGGGACTTTCCATAGTGCACTCCCAAGAGGTGAAGACAAAAAATTTCATAACTTAAAACCAGGTGATTTAGTATCCTGGAAAAGACCTTTTTAAAGATTCTCTCCAGCTTCGTTGGAGAGGTCCTTATCAGGTACTCCTCACACCCCTGCACTGCAAAATTAAAAGAAGTCCATTTTTCTCATTTTAAAAAATACTAAATCTTCTGAGTGGATTGTTTAATCAGAGAGTGACCTCCAGGTCAGGCACAGTGGCTCAAGCCTGTAATCCCAGCACTTTGGGAGGCCAAGGCAGGAGGATCACTTGAGCCCAGGAGTTCAAGACCAGCCTGGGCAACACAGTGAGACTCTGTCTCAATTTTTTAGAAAAACGTAATTAGCCAGGCACTCCTCCTGCCTTAGCCTGGGCACCACAGGTGTGTGCCACCATGCCTGGATAATTTTTTATTTTTATTATTTTTTAGTAGAGATGAGGTCTTGCTATGTTGCCCAGGCTGGTCCCAAACTCCTGAGCTCAAGTGATCCACCCGCCTAGGCCTCCCAAAGTGCTGGGATTGCAGGCATGAGCCACCATGCCCGGCTAGCACTTCGATTAAACTATCCCAAAGTATTGCCACTGGGGGAAACATAGCTGATTTTTGGATCTGCAATATGATTCCTAGATCTATTCATTACCAATATATGCCATTAGTAACACCTGTCGCTGACTTTTCAGATGTCCCTGGTGTCACCACTTATTTAGAACAATCCTTTGGGGATTAACTTTCTAGGTCTAACTTCATAACCCCAATACTATCACCCCCTGTTTAAATTTGTCTCTGGTTGTTAAGGTTGGCCTGAGTTTTAACCCAGACTATACTCCAGGACCTCCTTGATCCATGTGTTATTGGATAAACAAATGTGTTAAAGAAGATAAAAATGAGCCTCTACTATGCCAACAATATAAATCAATAGGCTACCATGTAAATGGATTCCAGAAGGCATGCAAAGGAGGAAATCCCTGATTTAATTTGGTATTGTTACTCCCCATGAATGAGTCTATTAACAAAAATACCTTGAGGGGAATCACCTGCCTCCCATGGGTTCTGTGTTTGTATGTGGCATTGGGACTGATTTGCCTACATAAGGATGGGCCCATTGCTTTAATAGCTGGCAGACAGAAGGTGTATACTTGTTAGGACATTTTCTAAATCCTTTGTCATTGCATAAAAATCAACAAAAAGATCCCTTTTTTCTCTATCTTACAGAGGTAAGAGGACTACATCAAGCTAAGAGGATCTGCATATAATTAGAAACCTATCATCAGCTACCATTGATCAGATAGCTGGAGACACTGCAAAAAGCATTGCAGCTCAACAAAAAATCTTTAAATTCTTTAGCCCAGGTAGTACTAAATAACAGAATTGCCTTGGACTATTTATTGGCTAAACAAGGAGGTGTCTGCACAGTAGCTCGTACTACTTGTTGTACCTATATTAACACCTCTATAGAAGTGGAAACTTGAGAAATGGTAATTTAAAAGGCTAATTGGTTACAGGCATAATAAAAACTGATCCTCTAAATGACTTTTTTCGTTGGTTACCCTCGGGACTAAGTTTTTATTCCATTCTGGTCTTCAAGTTGTTATTACTATAATCATTAGCATAACTGTTATTTTCCTGAATATTAAGTTACTTACGAATTACATTTTTGTTTGCTTTAGGTCAAAGACTAAGGCCAGAATAATGCTCTCCTAGTGCTGGGGGTGATTCATTATTCAAGAGAATAGCATGAGAATAGCTTCAAATCACGACTGCCCCACTTTGCTAGCAACCTGGCCCACATGCAATAACAAGGCTCTTTCTCCCCTGCTGAGAAACATGACTTCCTGCCAATGAGACTTCCCAGTGCCAAGGAATGAAGAACTTTCACTCCAACCTAGCCAGTACCACAGGTTTGTGCCACTCCAACCTAAGCAGAGACTGATCACCAATGTTTCCACGGGAAGAGTTTTGGTGTTTGTTTTGTTTTGTTTTGTTTTTGTTTTTTTGAGATAAAATCTCGCTCTGTGGCCCACACTGGAGTGCAGTGGCGCACTCTCGGCTCACTGCAGTCTCCACTTCCCGTGGAAAGAGTCTGATCAAAAGGGGGGAACTGATAACCTACAAGTCACATTATGTTAAGCAGGCTTCCAAATCAATCCACTTTGGAGAGGTCTTGTGACTTGGAGACATTCTGCCACTGAGTAAGGAATCTTATTGTAAGTTCCTCAGACTGTTGATGTACCAATCATTGTATGGCCTGTTGACATTGACTAGGAGGCTGATTTAGGATTAGCTGAAGTATGAAGTTCTACTGAGTGTCTTTCATGTAGACATTTTTTTTAGCCTATATGATATAATTTTTATCTAATGATCATAACTGCTATATTGTACCCTCCAATGAAGAGGGGACAACTCTGGTGTGAGGAGCCTCCCTCCCTTCTTTTAAACTTTTCTATAAAAATCTTTCACTATGTGACAGACTCCAGAACACCTCTGACTTTGTTGGTGTGTCTTCCAGGTCAATTCTCACATTTTGCTTTCAATAAACGTTTGTAAAATTATTTCTTGGCACAGCGGCACATACCCATAGTCCCAGCTACTCAGGAGACTGAAGGCAGAGAGTTGCTTGAGCCTAGGAGTCAAATTCAGCCTGGGCAACATAGTGAGACCTTGTGTCTAAAAACAAAAATGTGTGTGTGTGTGTGTGTGTGTGTGTGTGTGTGTGTGTGTATAAAAATACATTTCTGCCTCGACATCCTCAATTCAGTTGACAAGATCAACCCTCACAAAGATTGCATCTAATTTCTTCATTGCTTGGATGGATTTTGCATTTCTTTCATTTTCTTAAGGAGCAGTAAGTTAGCGTAATAAGGTGGGTAAGAGTATAGACTCTGGAGGCAGACTGTCTGGGTAAATTTCTGTTCTACTTTGTAGCTGTGTGACCATGGGCAAGTCCCTTAACCTCTCTGTGCTTTAGTTGCTTTATCTGTAAAATGATAATGATAATAGTACTTAACTTAAAGGGCTATCAAGTATATTGAGAGTTAATACAAGTAAAGCATTTAGAACAGTGTTTGGCAAAGGAGTAAATACTAAATAGTTATATATACTCATTTGCTAACATTTTTAAGACTCCAAAGGTTCTTTTAATGCTATTTCATTCACTCCTTCACATCCTTATGTAATTCCACCATAATGTCTTCAAATTCTGTATCCTGAGCACATTATTCCTTTCTCTATAGGCCTAAATGCACCTGAATGAACCTGCCCCTCTCCAAGGCTTTGCTTGGCATTACACAACACATGGAAAGAGCAAGATAAGATAAATGGCTTGAGTCACAGAGTACAAGAGCTGAGTGGCCTTGATCTCACTAACATTGTTGCAGACTTTCCCACTAACACTCATTTCTAGAGTAAACAAGGAGTGAGATCTTCCTCAGAGACAAGGAATGACCCAGGGATAGGAAGGTGGCTTCTGGGATTCCAGCAACATTTCTCCTTTTGAAGCAAACACCACCAGTTCTGAAATTGTTGGAATTCCTAGCCTGGAACTTCCACACTTAGGAAAGGAGTTTGAAACATCAGGATTCCAGCAGTGCTCTTCTTGTTGTGCCAGACTTTTCTACGCGGCTCAGCCAGGGGCTAGGGCTGGGGCTGGGAAGAAGCTTCGGGGAAGCATGCCAGGAACCTCAGGGAAAGATTCCCCCAAGAAAGAGAGCCCCCGACCCACTCACTCCATTTGGGGAGATGCCATCTTCATCTCCACCATGAAGAGAAACACTAGTGAGAATGGCAGAGCAGGAAAAGAGGATGAGCTTAGGTCCTCAGTGAGTCACTGAAACCTCCCTGGAGCAGGCTCTCCTGGCTCCAGGCAAAGTGGTGATCAATGGCCTGGCTGCTTTAGCTGTTTTAGCCAGGTGTTAATTATAGCTGAAAAAAAATTCATTAGCATGACACTGGAGTTTGCCCAGCTCTTAAATTCGTATCTACAGATAACATACTAAACATGGAATAAAGGACAAAGCGGGATTTATGAGGCTCCGCATTTCTCACTGGGCTATCTAATTGTGGCGGAGCCCTAAGCCAAGATGCAAGAGACCCAACCATGATCCCAGCTCCAACTGTGCCCAGCTCTGTGTGTCCTTGAGCTTCACCTCCCTGGGCCTCAACTTCTACTCTCTCCTTTTGGCCCATCCTTTCCCTATAATAATCTCCACCTTCTCACACCAACACTCTTAGAATAAAGATAAGAAGAATAAATATTAATTTGTATATCGATGGCACTTGGTAGATGATTCAAAGATGAGAGGTGTGACTAATATACTAGATGACAGAAACAAAACCAATGTTGGTTCTATCTAGTAGTGAAACGGTCAGAGGGATATTCAGATTTGTGCTGTTGGTCTGTTACTGGAAAATGGACTCAGGGAATAACCACACCGCTTGTGAAAAGGATGAGGGAATTGATGTCACCTCTAAGTTCATTGTAAGTCGAGTAGGACCTGGTGAGGTCCCTCTCCTAGTCACAGTGCAAGTCCTACTTGTTCCCTGGGTCCCTCCCTGCCCCCTTCTCAGAGCCTCACCCTTTCAATAGCCTCTCAATCTCCTGTATCTTCAACTTCTCCCTCTCTACTGGACCCTTACAGGCAATATTTAAACATGCTCACATTTCTCTTACTAAAAACAAAAAAGTCTGCTCTGTTTTTCTCTTCAGCTGCTGTTCTCCTTCCTTTATTCCTCCCTTCCTCCAGATTTTCCTAAAGAGTTGTGTATCTTTGATGCCACCATTCCCCCATCTGCCACGGTTCTTAATCTCCCCACCAGGACTCCATGCCACTGTGTCACCAGCATTGCTTTTGCTAAGGTCACCAATGATCATCATGTTGCTAAGTCTAATGTATGCCTGTACACGTTAGATATGTTTTCATCTTTCTCAACCTCTCGACGTTGTCATCACAATCCCGGGTCATATACACCTCCTCGCGCTAAACTGCTGGTGAACGTACCACCTAGAGTAGATTTTTTTTTTTTTTTTTGAGTCAGAGTGTCATTCTGTCATCCAAGCTGGAGTGCAGTGACGCCATCTCAGCTCACTGCAACCTCCACCTCCTGGGTTCTAGCAATTCTCCTGCCTCAGCCTCCTGAGTAGCTGGGATTACAGGCACATGCCACCGTGCCCTGCTAATTCTTGGATTTTTAGTAGAGATGGGGTTTTGCCATGTTGGCCAGGCTAGTCTCGAACTCCTGATCTCAGGTGATCCCCTGCCTCGGCCTCCCAAAGTTCTGGAATTACAGGCATGAGCCACAGCACCCGGCCAAGTAGATGATATTATAGTTCCCAGTTGTATCTGTGCCCTCTGTGATGTGACTTGGTATTAGATTAGTAGTTCCTCCCATCAGAGGTTAAGTATACTTTCCCACTCCACTAGTGTTGGGATTGGCCGTGTGACTTGCATTAGCCAATGGGGTATGGGACGAAGTGACAGTGTGCCAGAACGAGCCCAGGACTTCAGGGGCGTTGCATGTTTCTATTAACTTTGCTTATGCCACTGCCATTGTCATGGGAAGAAAATGTTGTGGCTCCTGAGGAATGAGAGATCGTGAAGCAGAGCTGCTCTGGCTGACCCACTGACTGACCTGTGAGCATGAGTGTGATAGTTACTGCTTACTGTTGGATCCCACTAACTTTGGGGTGGTTTGTTACACAACACTGTTATGGTAAACAGTAGCTTTATACACCTCCTTAAAATAGCCATCGGCCTCAAAAACTGGTCTAGAAATCAAAGCTGTTCACCAATGGTTTGCTTTTTTAATTTTATTTACTTATTTTGAGACAGGGTCTCACTCTGTCACCCAGGCTGGAGTGCAGTGGCACCATCACAGCTCACTGCAAACTCCACCTCCCAGGCTTAGGCAATCCTCCCACCTCCGCCTCCCAAGAAGCTGGGACTATAGGCACATGCCACACGCTCAGCTAATTTTTGTATTTTTTGTAGAGACAGGGTTTCATCAGGTTGGCCAGGCTGGTCTCTGAACTCCTGGGCTCAAGTGATCCTCCCGCCTTGGCCTCACACAGTGCTGGGATTACAGTGTAAGCCACTGCACCCAGCCAATAGCTTTCTTAAGACTCCATTTTTTCTCTTTCTATATCTGAGTATTGGAAGAAAATGGAAGGTTCCAAGAAGATATGTTGGCTTTTGAAATTTACGAGAATCCCAAATTTCCACATAAGAATTTGAGATCTAGGATCTGTGGGTTTGGACCACATGGGAGGTGATTTTAAGTATTAACATCACAGCTTTCTTATCCAAAAAGCACCAACCAGGACATAAGGTAGCTGAACTTTCACTTTTCTACAAACGGGTGTCCTTTTTTTTTCTTGGTTGGCATTTATGACCATAAATTCCCAGTGTTTGATATTTATAAACATTAACACAGTTTCCTATACTTCTGAAAATAATAAAATGTTCGTTATTAAATTCTGAAGCCACTTCCCACAATTTCTGTTTCCAAGTTATGTACCGTTCTGGCACCAGCCACAGAGTTTCATCGGCAGCAGTGATTTCAGCTGTATTTTATGGCTAAGGCATAAAGCTGTTATTTTAAAATGATTCTATCCTTGCACTGCCAAGCTACTACATTTCTTGGTGATCTTTTTCTAATATTTGTGGCCTATGTATGAAAATTGTGAGGGAGAATTGAGCTGGCTCCGTAAAGAAGTACCCTTCGTGGGGCCATGCACCGTGGCTTACGCCTATAATCCCAGCACTTACGGAGGCCGAGGCGGGCGGATCACGAGGTCAGTAGACCAACATGGTGAAACCCCGTCTCTACTTAAAAATACAAAAATTAGCTGGGCGTGGTGGCACGTGCCTGTAGTCCCAGCTACTGGGGAGTCTGAGGCAGGAGAATTGCTTGAACCCGGGAGGCAGAGGTTGCAGTGAGCTGAGATGGCGCCACTGTACTCCAGCCTGGCAGAGCAAGACTATATCTCAAAAAAAAAAAAAAAAAAGGAAGTACCCTTTGTATATATGTGTGTATATATATATATACACGCACACACACACGTATGTATTATGTATGTATATATTATATATAAGATGGATCTATCTTATATATAAGATAGATATGTATATCTTATATATGATAGATATATATAAGATAGATATAAGATAGATATATAAGATATATATAAAAGATAGATATATATAAGATATATATAAGATAGATATATGATATATAAGATATATAAGATATATGTAAGATATATATAAGATAGATATAAGATAGATATATATGATAGATATATATGATAGATATATAAGATATATAAGATAGATATATAAGATATATATAAGATAGATATCTATCCTATATATCTATCTTATACATAAGATATATATGATATATATAAGATAGATATCTATCTTATATATCTATCTTATATATAAGATGAGATATATCTTATATATATCTCACTTATATATATCATATATCTATCTTATATATCTTATATATGATATATAATAATATTATATATATTATATATAATATATAATAACATAATAACTTATATATGTATCTTATATATAATACACACACACACACACACACACACATTTTTTTCCATATATTCAGTACCTGGCTCTAAAGGGGATATTTCCATGGCTGGATGAGGATGTTAAATACCACATCAGGCTATAAGCTAGAATCCTCATGTCAAAGACCAAGTGTTAACTGATACCAGTATTTTCCTCTTCAACACACAGCTCAGTATCCTCCAGCCTGTGCTTCAGGAAGCCACAGAATTTTTTTTTTTCAGATGAGATCTCACTCTGTCACCCAGGCTGGAGTGCAGTGGCATGATCATGGCTCACTGCAGGCTTCACTTGCTTCTTAGGCTCAAGTGATCCTCCTACCTCAGCCTCCCAAATAGCTGAGACTACAGGCATGCACCATCACACCCAGTAGGTTTTTTGTTTGTTTTTTTGTTCGTGTGTGTGTGTGTGTCTGTGTGTGTGTAGAGATGAGGTTTCACCATGTTACCCAGGCTGGTTTTGAACTCCTGGGCTCAAGCAATTGTCCCGCCTCGGCCTCCCAAAGTGCTGGGATTACAGGCATGAGCCACCATGCCCAGCCCACACAAATTTTAAGAGAATTATCCTTGTGCCCTCTTCTGTTTAGCTCTAGTTGTGACTCATTCTGACTAATTTATAATGTCCCAACCAGTGGCCACAGCTCTCTCACATCTCTCATCCTGTGTTACAGAGCCACACAGTCTTTATGCCATCATGCCCATGAATTTCAGGCCCTGGCTGGATTTGGAATACTTAATAAATATCCATTCCATCTGTAAATCCTCAGCTCTCCATGTACCACTGACTCCCTGTTCTACTCAAACACGTTAAGAAAGTTTCTTGGTTTGTCAGAGCTGTGACTCTCTTAAGGGGATCTGTTCTGCCCATGCACAGGCCCAGACAGGAAAGCAGGGACAGAGATGATCTAGGGGCACTGCTTTTCATCACCTGGACCTGGCAAACTTGTTCTCAAGTAAATAAAGAGAACATAGTACTAGTAGGAGAGCCAGCCACAGTTACCACCAAAGCTACACAGGCAGCTTTTGTCCATGCTTGGAGTCATTCATCCATTACTCAGTGACACCCCCATCAGCTCCCAACTTCTCTAGGGCCATTTTGCTGAGGAACAAAATGACCTTCCACTCTAAAGGGCATCTAGTGGCATTGTCTGCCTGTTATCTGACTCCCCTGGGAATACCACACAGTTGCATTTATTCCATGGTTAGTTCAGAGGCTCCATTGAGAACCTAGGTAGTCAAGTGATGAGTGTGCAGATTTTGTTTGCAGTTATTTGTAACCATATTTTCTACCTGCACTGTTTACAAAGGTGACTCATCCAATCACAGGTGCCACTTACACAGGTGGCACTGTGTAAGCCTCAGGGTACCTGACATCACAAGGTTTGGTTGGGTGCCTGATGGCAGTGCTGTAAGGTCCCAGGCCTAGGAACCGCAGGATGACTAAAGAGAGGTGGTGAGCTGGAGTGGAATTCTGCATTGCTTCGGATTTAACCATAGAAAAAGTTCCAGGAGCTTCTAACCACATCGCTTTATCTGTGATAGATTAGCAAGCCAGGGCTTATCTGTCCCATTATTCAGTCTTGTTTATATCCTGTCTCCGTTTATGCACACACCCTCAGGATTGTAAACTCTTTTTAGCTTTGAGCACTTAAAGACTGCTAGGGGGCTGGCATGGTGGCTCATACCTGTAATCCCAGTGCTTTAGGAAGCCAAGGTAGGAGGATTACTTGAGCCCAGGAGTTTGAAACCAGCCTGGGCAACCTAGTGAGACCCTGCCTCTTAAAAAAAAAAAAAAAATTCACACACAAAAAAGAGACTCTCAAAAATGTGGCTTGAAAGTGGCAGTTTTATTTGTCTCACATAACTCTGAAAAATGTGGCAGCTTTGTTTATCTCATATAACAAGACATTCAGAGGAAGGTAATTCAGAGCTGATAAGGCAGTTTTACATCACCAGGGACCTAGGGTCCTCAAGCTCCCCACTTTTTTTATTTTTTTGAGAGTGTCTCACCCTGTCACCCAGGCTGGAGTACAGTGGTGCCATCATGGCTCACTGCAACTTCTACCTCCCCAGGCACAGGTGATCCTCCCACCCCAGCTTCCCAACTATCTGGGACTACAGGCACAAGCCATCACACCTAGCTAATTTTTGTATTTTTAATAGAGGCGGGGTTTCGCCATTTTGCCCAAGCTGGTCTCAAACTCCTGGGCTCAAATGATCCACCCTCCTTGGCCTCCCAAAGTACTGGGGTTACAGGCGTGAGCCACTGCGCCCGGCCTGAGCTCCCCACTCTTATTCCTAGGGTGAGCTTTCAACCTCATTCATGATGGCTGCTAAGATGGAAGCAATTCCACACACCTACTGGTGGGGAGGGGGAGGGAAGAAACAGCTAAGTACAAAAGGCTGGGATTGCCCGTTGAGTCTACCTCTTTTTTTTTTTTTTTTTTTTTTTTGAGACGGAGTCTCGCTCTGTCGCCCAGGCTGGAGTGCAGTGGCGCGATCTCGGCTCACTGCAAGCTCCGCCTCCCGGGTTCACGCCATTCTCCTGCCTCAGCCTCCCGAGTAGCTGGGACTACAGGCGCCCGCTACCACGCCCGGCTAATTTTTTTTTTGTATTTTTAGTAGAGACGGGGTTTCACCGTGTTAGCCAGGATGGTCTCGATCTCCTGACCTCGTGATCCGCCCGCCTCGGCCTCCCAAAGTGCTGGGATTACAGGCGTGAGCCACCGCGCCCGGCCGAGTCTACCTCTTTTTAGCAAGCCTGTGATTTCCTCTGCTATCTCATTGTCAGAATTGTCAGAATTGTATCATGACCACCTCCAGCTTCAAGATAAGCTGGGAAATGTATTTTTTTAGTTGGACTTTTTGACACCCTGAATAAAATTGAGATTCTGTTACTAAGAAAGAAGGGGAAAATGGATATTGGCAGGTACAGCAGTCCCTGCCATACTAGGCAAAGGCTTTGCCACTGGACTTGGGGACACATACAACACCTATGGGGAGGAAGCTACTGTAACACCCCTAATGGGTGGTGTTTACTTTTGCCCAAGGCAGGAATGAATTTGAGCCCTTTATTGATCCTCACTCTTTTAAAAATACAGCAACTATGTAAACATCTTTGATTAAACTGAGTTTGCACTGCTTACCTGTGGAAACCCTCAGCTGTCAAACTAAATTAAAAACTGAATCAGGCCCAGGCGCGGTGGCTCACACCTATAATCCTAGCACTTTGGGAAGCTGAGGCAGGTGGATCATTTGAGGTCAGGAGTTTGAAACCAGCCTGGCCAACATGGTAAAACCCATCTTTACTAAAAATACGAAAATTAGCCAGGCGTGGTGGCACATGCCTGTAATTCCAGCTACTCGGGAGGCTGAGGCAGGAGAATCACTTGAACCTGGGAGGTGGAGCTTGCAGTGAGCCGAGATCACACCACTGAACTCCAGCCTGGGCAATGGAGCAAGATATTGTCTCAAAAAAATAAAAATAAAATAAAATAAACTGAATCCAAACAGAATCCGTATGACCCCAAAAGAGGTGACCATAAAAAGATACCATAAGAACATTTCTATAATTCGGGATATTCATGAGACTCCTACAAGAGAGAATACCCTCAGAGACACCCCCCAAAGATAAACTCAGAAATAAAAATTATACAATATAGAGGTAATCCAGTACCATGAGAAATAGTTAGCAAATGCAACAAATTGTGAACTAGAAATAAGAAGACAATTTGGAATCCACTTTAAAATAAGTGTGTTTGCATTTTTCAAGGAGAATAAAGAATAAATTAAATCCATAAAACAAAGCCAGGGCATTATGCAAAAACCAGCAGGCAGATATGAGAAAGATTCAAATAGAAAGTCTATAAAGTTTTTTTTTAATAATTAAAATTGTCTGGGCGCGGTGGCTCATGCCTGTAATCCCAGCACTGTGGGAGGCCGAGGCAGATAGGTCACATGAGGTCAGGCATTTGAGACCAGCCTGGCCATCACAACGAAATCTGTTTCTACTAAAAATACAAAAATTAGCGGGGCATGGTGGCCCATGCCCATAATCTCAGCTACTCGGGAGGCTGAGGCATGAGAATCACTTGAACTCAGGAGGCAGAGGTTGCAGTGAACCGAGATTGCACCACTGCACTCCAGCATGGACGACAGAGTGGGACTCCGTCTCAAAATAAATAAATAAATAAAAATAAATTAATTAATTAAATGAAATAATTAAAATGAAAAATAGTGAATGGATAAAAGCAATTTGGAATTAGCTGAAAAGATATTACATAAACCAGAAGACAGATTTGAAGAAATTCCCCAGAATAATACATAGAGAGTTAAACAACGGGGCTAGGCCCAGTGGCTCACACGTCTAATGCCAGCACTTTCAGAGGCTGGAGCAGGAGAATTGCCTGGGCCCAGGAGTTCGAGACCAAACTGGGCAACATGGTGAAACCCTGTCTCTACCAAAAAAACAAAAATTAGCCAGGCGTGGCGGCATGTACCTGTGGTCCCAGCTACTCTGGAGGCTGAGGCAGGAGGATTGCTGGAGCCCGGGAAGTTAAGGCGGCAGTGAGCTGAGATTGCGCCACTGCATGCCAGCCTGGGTGAAGAGTGAGACCCAGTCTCAAGTAAATAAATAGTTTTAAAATTAAAAATAAAAAAAACTAAAAAGAGAGTTAAATATCTGGAAAAAAATGGAAAATAGGGTAAGAGGCATGAAGGTTAAATGAAGCAGTCCAGAAAACATCTGACAGAAGTTCTAGTAGAAAAAAATAGCAATAATTGGCCAGGCGTGGTGGCTCATACCTGTAATTCCAGCACTTTGGGAGGCCAAGGCGGGCAGATCACTTGAGGCCAGGAGTTCAAGACCAACCTGGCCAACATGGCGAAACCCCGTCTCTACTAAAAACACAAAAATTAGCCAGGTGTGTTGGTGCATGCCTGTAATCCCAGCTACTCGGGAGGCTGAGGCACGATAATTGCTTGAACGCAGGAGGTGGAGGTTGCAGTGAGCCGAGATTGCACCACTGCATTCCAACCTGGGCAATAGAGCAAGATTCTGTCTCAAAAAAAAAAAAATTAAAATTAAAAATAAGAAAAGAATAGGTCGGGTGCGGTGGCTCATGCCTGTAATCCCAGCACTTTGGGAAGCCGAGTTCGGTGGATCAGGACGTCAAGAGTTCCAGACCAGTCTGGCCAGTATGGTGAAAGCCCATCTCTACTACAAATACAAAAATTAGCCGGGCATGGTGGCGCACACCTGTAATCCCAGCTACTCGGGAGACTGAGGCAGGAGAATCACTTGAACCCAGGAGGCGGAGGTTGTAGTGAGCCAAGATCGTGCCATTGCACTCCAGCCTGGGTGACAGAGCAAGACTCCATCTCAAAAAAAAAAAAAGAAAAGAAAAAAGAAAAAAAAAGAATAGCAATAATGGAAAGGCACAACATTAAAAAAAGTGAATAGCACCGGGCACAGTGGCTCACGCCTATAATCCCAGCACTTTGGGAGGCGGGTGGATCACCTGAGGTCAGGAGTTCAAGACCAGCCTGGCCAACATGGTGAAATCCCATCTCTACTAAAAATACAAAAATTAGCTGGGCGTGGTGGCACGTGCCTATAATCCCAGCTACTCGGGAGGCTGAGGCAGGAGAATCGCTTGAACCCAGGAGGCAGAGGTTGCAGTGAGCCAAGATCGTGCCACTGCACTCCAGCCTGGGTGACAGAGTGAGACTCCATCTCAAAACAAACAAAAAATTCAAAAAAAAAAAAAAAAAAAAAAGGTGGCCGGGCGTGGTGGCTCATGCCTGTAATCCCAGCACTTTGGGAGGCCAAGTCGAGCGGATCACGAGGTCAGAAGATCGAGACCATCCTGGCTAACACGGTGAAACCCCGTCTCTACTAAAAATACGAAAAAAAAAGTGAATAGCTAAGAATTGTCCAGAACTGAAGTAAGGAGTATGCATCCTGTCTGAAAAACACATGCCAAGTTCTGAGCAGGATAAATAAAAATAAATCCACAGATTGTGGTAAACTGCAGAAGACCAATGATTAAAAGGAAAAACTTAAAACTACCAGAAAAAGAGGCAAATGCTAATAGGTTTCCTTTTTATTATTTTTATTTTTTATTTTTTAAATTTTTTGGAGACAGAGTCTTGCACTGTTAACCGGCCTGGAGTGCAGTGGCCCAGGCTCAAGTGATCCTCCCACCTCAGCCTCTACAAGTGCGCACCACAACGCCCAACTAATTTGGGGGGGTTTTTTTTGGTACACTCGGGGCTTTGCCATGTTGCCCAGGCTGGTCTCCTGGGCTCAAGTGATCCTCTCTCCTCAGCCTCCCAAAGAGCTGGGACTATGGGTGTGAGCCATCACAGCCGCCCCAAATAGGTTTCTAACAAGAAAATGATACTCAGAGTGGCAGCAGCCTTTTCATTAGTAACAACAGATGTCAGAAGACAATTGAATTATACCCTCAAAGTTCTGGGGAGAAATAACTGTCAGTTTAGAATCTTATACTCAACTTCAAGGGTGAGGTGAATTAGACATATTCGGACTTAACAAAGACTAAGAGTGTTTTTTTGACGCCAATATTCCTTCTGAAATACCTACTAAAGGACGTACATGAGTGAAAGAAAATAAACCCAGAAAGAAGTTAGTGGGATGCAACGAGAAATACTAAGCATAGAAGCTAATAAAACAAATGGGTTTATCTAAATATTAATAATTTCAAGATTACGGCCAGGCATGGTGGCACACACCTATAATCCCAGAACTTTGGGAGGCTAAAGTGGGAGGATTGCTTGATTCCAGGAGTTTGAGACCAGCATAGGCAACATAGTGAGACCCTGTCTCTACAAAAAATTTTTTTAAAAAATAGCTGGGCATGGTGGTGCACGCCTGTAGTCTCAGCTATTTGGGAGGCTGAGGTGGGAGAATTGCTTGAGTCCAGGAGGCTGAGGCTGCAGTGAGCCATGACTGCACCATTGCACTCCAGCCTGGGCCACACAGCAAGACCCTATCTCAATAAATAATACTAACAATAATTACATGATTATAAATAATGACTATGTTGTGTGTGCCTGTATCCATCAAAGTTCTCCAGAGAGACAAATAGGATATATATATATATATATAGAGAGAGAGAGAGAGAGAGAGAGAGAGAGATGAGAGGGGAGAGGGGATTCATTAGGAGAATTGACTTACACGAATTTAGGAGCTGCGAAGTCACACAACAGGCCGTCTGCAAGCTGGAGGCCCTGGGATGCTGGCAGCATGGCTCAGTTCAAGTCTGAAGGACTGAGAACCTGGGGTGCCACTGGTCTATGTCCTGGAGTCCATAGGCCAGGGAAGCTAGAGTTCTGATTTCCAAGGGCAGGAGAAGAGTGTACCCCAGCTCCAGGACAGAGAGAGAGACCGGTTCACCTGTCCTCTGTTTTTGTTCTATCAGGGCCCCCAACCAATTGGATGGTGCCTGCCCACATCAAGGGTGTGTCTTCTCCACTTAGTCCACTTAGACTCACACACCAGTCTCCTCTGGAAACACTTCCCAGATACACCCAAAAATAATGCTTTACCAGTTTTCCAAGTATTCATTAATCCAATCAAGCTGACACCTAAAATTAACCATCACAGTGCCTAAAACTCTAAACCTAAAATATTAAATATTTGTAAATGTGAGTATTAGAAAACAAGAGCATAAAACATGGAAAAGGAACGTTTGGAGTGAAGCAACAAAGGGAGTAAAATTCTTGTCTTGTTTAGAAAGAAAAAAGGTGTTCTAATCAGCATGAGATTTTGATGGAAAACTATAAGGACAAGCACATTATGTTAAAAATGTAAGAGTAATAGTTAAAAGTATAGAAATAAATGCATATCTTCCAAACCAATAGAGAAGGGGAAAAAATGAAAAAGAAAAAAGTCTTAATCCAACAGAAAGCAGAAGAATACTAGGGAGTATGAAAGTAAAAAAGCATGGGTATCCAAAAACTCCAAATAAGATGTTAGAAATATATCCAACTGTATGAGAAATTGTGATCAATATGAATGGACTTAACTCATGTAAAAGTCTTGTTTGTAAGGCATATCTAAAAACAAAAGAAAAACCATACAGCAAGATTAAATAGGAAAGAATGGGAAGATATTTACTAGGCAAGTAACTAAAAGGAAGCTGGTAAAACAATACTAAAATCAGAAAAATAAAATTTTAAACAATGTCTATTGACAGAAATAAAGAGTAGCATTTTGTAAAGATAAAAGGAACACTCTTACAAGAATATATAGCAATTAGGCTGGGTGTGGTGGCTCATGCCAGTAATCCCAGCACTTTGGGAGGCCAATGCAAGCAGATCACAAGGTCAATCATTCAAGACCGGCCTGGCCAATATGGTGAAACCTCGTCTCTACTAAAAATACAAAAAAATTAGCCAGGCGTGGTGGCAGGTGCCTGTAGTCCCAGCTATTCAGGAGGCTGAGGCAGGAGAATCACTTGAACCCGGGAGGCGGAGGTTGTCGTGAGCCGAGATCACACCACTGCACTCCAGCCTGGGTCACAGAGCGAGACTCCATCTCAAAAAAAAAAAAAGGGGGGTGCGGGGGCTGGGCACGGTGGTTCTCCTGACCTCGTGATCCACCCATCTTGGCCTCCCAAAGTGCTGGGATTACAGGCGTGAGCCACTGCGCCCGGCCTACTTTATTTTATTATTATTATTTTTTTATTTTATTTTTTGCGACAGTCTCACTCTGTTGTCCAGGCTGGCGTGTGGTGGCGAGATCTCAGCTCACTGAAAACTCTGCCTCCCAGATTCAACCGATTCTCCTGCCTCAGCCTCCCAAGTAGCTGGGATTACAAGTGCACACCACCATGCCCGGCTAATTTTGTAATTTTTTTTAGTAGAGACGGGGGTTTCACCATGTTAGTCAGACTGGTCTTGAACTCCTGACCTCAGGTGATCTGCCAGCCTCGGCCTCCCAAAGTGCTGGGATTACAGGCGTGAGCCCCCGTGCCCGGCCGGGAATATACATTCTTTTTAAGCACACATATGAATATTTACAAAATGGACCATAGTAAATGGACCATTTACTATGAGCAAAAGGGTTTCCCCAAAAATGGATAAGTTACAGATCATATTCATAACCACAATGCAGTGCGGTTAGAATCCGCACGCGCACGCGCACAGGCCAGGAAATTAAGACACATAATCCTAAAAAATGAACGAATTAAAGAGAAAAATCTCAGTTGAGGTTGCTATTTAGAAATGAACTGTGATGTGCTTCTGGTTTTTACCAATATGCTGAACTAACCATAAAGGAAAGACACCATGCAATGGGAAGTTTGTGAAAAGCCCCAGAGGCGGAGGGGTCTGTGCCAAGCGTAGGGCAGGAGCTTTGGCTGGCGGCCAGACGCCTGTGGGTGTTTAAAGTAGGGGAGTAGCCGCCGGAGTTGTGCTTTTGCTTCTCCCCCACCATTACCTTGGGGAAAATACTATCTGCCTCACATCTGTGGCCACACCGGAGAACCTGAAGTTCTGATTTCCAAGGGCGGGAGAAGAAGCTTGTATCCCGGCTCCAGGACAGAGAGAGACCAATTCACCTTTCCTCTGTTTGGTCCAGGTGTCCTCAGCAGTAAAATCAGGGCAGAGCAGGTGCAAGGGGGAGACAAAGAAAAACAAGGAGGCCGACTAACTTGAATATTACCTCTCTACCACATTCCGCATCTCTCTTTCCAAACTCCCGGAAGGCAGTTTCAGCTCCTAATTCAGTGAAACCATGACCGTGCATTCCAACAAGAACACTCCACTGTGCACTAGAACCTTCACATCCCCCAAATTCAGGATCATGGGGATGGGAAGCAGAAATTATTCAAGCAGTCTACGAGGTGTAATAGTGAGGGAGATACTCAACTTTCACTCTTTGTTCCCCAAACCATGCACCCGGGCTAAGGCAAAGAAGACATGTTCCAGCCACTGGTTTACGATGTATGGCAAAAGGGGCCCTGACTTAGGCCTGTGTTTCAGAGGACCTGCTGTTTCTCTTGTGACACTGACCTCACAGGATGAGGAGTCTATGTCAAGGGGTTGTACTTCCTTAGAGCCCATGTGCCCCCCACCCCCGCCCCAGCCCAGGCACCTCCAGTGCCCAGGACCCTACAATTCCCTGCCCACTTCCAAAGTCTGTGCAGTGCTCTTCCTGAGATCTGTGCCACTGCCAGCAGTGTGCACACCCCTGGGCCCAAGGGGTGGCCCCGAGTCAACTGTTTGCAGGACATGTGGACAGAGCTTGGGATGTTCACATGCAGGACATGTGGACAGAGGCTTGGGTGTTCATACCATATTATGGAAGGACAAAGCCAGTGATTGGAGAGGGAAGGGAGTGGTCCACAGGCTGCTGTAGGAAGCTGACTTGCCTTGCACTACAAAGACAAAAACTCTCAGTTCAAATCGGGGTTTCCAGTTCCTTATGAAGATGTGATTGTTAAGACAGGAAGGCAGAAGGTGAGCCTCATTTGTAACTTTAAAATATTTAGACATATGGTGTGTCTGCCTCTGTTCCCTATTCTTGCCTTAGCCCTGCAATGTTAGGGGATGGCCGGTGTGCTGCAGGGCAAGCCCAAAGGCACAAGGTATGGGCTCCCTGCTGGCAGGCCACTGAGCCTTCAGCAGACCCTTACTCTGTTCTGTCACGCTGCTGCTTCCTGCTGAGGGGCCACTTGCCAAGACAAGGAATTCTGTGAGCATTGGCCCATTATCACACTTCCTTTGCCATAAAATGTGTCCCCTGGTTGGCATTTTACATGCTGTGAAGGACACCAGGGTGAGAGACGAAGCATTCTATAAGACCATGAAACAGGATGCCGGTGAAGTGCTGAAAGTAGGGCATGCAAATCCATAGCCGGGATACATGTCTATCCCCAAGTGGACAAAGTGCTTCTCCCCACCCCCATGATGGGAAAGGGCCCAGTGAAATCCACTTGCCCCTGGTTAGCCAGCTGGTCCCCCAAGGAATTTCAGGAGCTTAGTGTTGATCTCTGCTGTTGGCAGGTTGGGCACTCAGAGGTAGCAATAGCCAAATCCACCTTGGGAAGAGAATAATGTGTCTCCACTATGGCCTCTTTATACCTGGACCCATTGAGCAAACACTGGGATGGCTGAGCAGGAAAAGAAAACCCATGCCTGGAATACATGCTGATATGGTTTGGCCTTGTGTCCCCACCCAAATCTCATCTCGAATTGTAATCCCCATGTGTCAAGGGAAGGACCTAGTGAGAGGTGACTGGATCATGGGAGTGGTTTTCCCCATGCTGTTCTCATTATACAGAGTGAGTTCTCATGAGATCCGGTGGTTTTATAAGGGACTCTCCTCCTTTCGCACACTCTCACCTGCTGCCATGTAAGACGTGCCTGCTTCACCTTCCGACATGATTGTAAGTTTCCTGAAGCCCCCCCAGCCATGCGGAACTGTGAGTCAATCAAACCTCTTTTCTTTATAAATTACCTAGTCTTGGATAGTATCTTTAAAGCACTGTAAGAACGAACTAACGTGCCTGGCAATTCCAGTTAGGGCAGATCACCACCCACTCCAGGGCAGAAAGGCTCTGATGTAATCAACCTGCCTCTGAGTGGTAGATTAATCTCCTCAAGAGACTGTACCATATCAGTGGCTTAGCCATGGTGCTGACACGTCAGACATTCAGGAGCAGCAGCAGAAGCTAGATCAGGCTTGTTCAAGGGAGCCCAAGCATAGGCCCATGCATAGCCTGCACCCCTGCCACTAGGGATACTCCGCTCACAGAGCCATTTGTTGGTCAGCACTGGGGCATGGAGGAGCAACAGAGAATGGCTCACATCCACTAAGTGAGTTAGTGTATCCACCTGGCTATTGAGATTTCTGAGGTTGATGATGCCTGATATTATTTGGCTGTGTGTCCCCACCCAAATCTCATGTCCAGTTGTAATCCCCAGTGTTGGAGGTGGGGCCTGGTGGGAGGTGATTGGATCATCGGGATAGATCTTTCATGAATGGTTTAGCACCATCCCCTCAGTGCTATTCTCGTGATGATGAGTGAGTTCTCACAAGATCTGCTTGTTTAAAAGTGTGTGGGCCCTCCCAACTTTATCTTTTGCTCCTGCCCCTGCTCCTTCCATGTAAGATGCCTGCTCTCGTTTTGCCTTCCACCATGAGTAACAGCTCCCTGAGGCCTCCCTAGGAGCAGATGCTGCCATGTTTCCTGTACAGCCTGGGGAACTGTGAGCCAATTAAACCTCTTTTCTTTATAAATTACCCAGTCTCAGGTATTTATTTATAGCAGTGAGAGAACAGACTAGTGCAATGCCCTCTGATAATTATTGACAGAAAACATAAATATCTCCAATGCTGGTTCTTAAAAATAGGCAATTAAAAAATTAAAAAATTATATATATATATATATATATATATAATTTTTAAAAAATAGGATATATATCATTTTTAAAAAAATAGGCCAGGCGTGGCGGCTCACGCCTGTAATCTCAGCACTTTGGGAGGCCGAGGTGGGCAGATCACTTGAGATCAGGAGTTTAAGACCAGCCTGGCCAACATGGTAAAACCCCGTCTCTACTAAAAATACAAAAATTAGCCAGGCATGATGGTGCATGCCTGTAATCCCAGCAACTTGGGAGGCTGAGGCGTGAGAATCACTTGAACCCAGAAGGTGGAGGTTCCAGTGAGCTGAGATTGTGCCACTGCACTCCAGCCTGGGTGAAAAGAGAGTCTCCGTCTCAAAAGAAAGAAAAGAAAAAAGAAAACATAAATATATGCACACTAATGCCTTTTCCCATGGGTCCATCCACATATGTCTTCTCCAGACCTCCTTTCTCCAGTCTTTCAATCTTCTTCCTTCCAGGCCCCAGACCAGCCAGCCAAGCTATTCTTCATGGTCCAGGAGTCCATATATATCTTCACCTCTGACCACTTTGCCATCCATACAAATTTGATGACCAAATGTAATGCATGCTCTAAGCTCTGCCCACTGGGAGGGTTTTCCCTGATGACTTTCTTTCAGGGCCACCTCTAAATAGGGCTACAGTTGTCCCTATTCAGCTTGTACCAATATACCAAGGTGATCCTTCTGTAGCCTAGCTTTTTTCCTTCTCTATTTGCTGGTCATAGGGGAACTCTCGTAAGGCCACAGGTGTGAGCTAATGAAGAGGCATTGGCACAGGACGTGACAAAGGGGCCTGGCCAACCCATTTCTGTAACTTCATCGTACCCTCTGCAGAGCCTGCGTTCTATCTGCAGGAGTGGAGGGTCTATCTAAATGGTGGCATTCTGGCTTTCACAGTGTGCTCTAAGTTGATAATAGGCTGACGTCAGCCTGTCATTCTGTTTTTTCAAGGTTTTTATGACTATTAACTAAAGCCAACTAATTCCACTACCCTTATAATTTACTTTGCCCAGGCCAGGTGCAGTGACTCATGCCTGTAATCCCAGCACTTTGGGAAGATGAAGTGGGAGGATCATTTGAGCCCAGGAGTTCGAGACCAGCCTGGGCAACATAATGAGAACTCTTCTCTACAAAAAATTGAAAATATGAGGCAGGGGGAATTGTTTGAGCCTGCGAGATCAAGGCTGCAATGAGCCGTGATCACGCCACTGCACTGCTGTCTGGGCTACAAAGTGAGATGCTGTCTTAAAAAAAAAAAAAAGCTGGGCGGAGTGGCTCACACCTGTAATCCCAGCACTTTTGGAGGCTGAGGCGGGCAGATCACGAGGTCAGGAGTTCAAGACCAGCCTGGCCAAGACGGTGAAACCCCGTCTCTATTAAAAATACAAAAATTAGCCGGGCATGGTGGTGGGCGCCTGTAATCCCAGCTACTCGGGAGGCTGAGGCAGAGAATTGCTTGAACCCAGGAGGTGGAGGTTGCAGTGAGCCGAGATTGTGCCACTGCACTCCAGCATGGGCTACGGAGCAAGACTCCATCTCAAAAAAAAAAGAAAAAAAAGAAAAAAAAATTTTACTTTGCCCCTGTATCTTTCCAGTGCTGGAGATATTGCATGACCCAGTTTCTCCTTCCACCTGTTTCTCATCCCATCTACCACAGGTGAGGGTTTGCAGTTGTGCTGCTGTGGCACTCAGGAGCTTTGCTGTCCTGCCTACCACAAGCAATGAGGTCTAATATGGTTTGGCTCTGTGTCCCCACCCAAATCTCATGCCGAATTGCAGTCCCCACGTTTTGGAGGAGGGGCCTGGTGGGAGGTGATTAAATCATTGGGCTGACTTCTCCCTTACTGTTCTCATGATAGTGAATGAGTTCTCACGAGATCTGATGGTTTAAAAGTGTCTGGCACTTCCCCCTTTGCTCGCTCACTCTCTCTCTCTCTCTCTCCCTCTCTGTCCCTCTCCCTCCCTCCCTCCCTCTCCCTCTCTCCTGCTCTGCCATGGTAAGACACACCTGCTTTCCCTTTGCCTTCCACCATGATTGTAAGTTTTCTGAGGCCTTCCAGCCATGCTTCCTGTTGAGCCTGTGGAACTGTGAGTCAATTAAACCTCTTTTCTTTATAAATTACCCAATCTGAGATAGTTCTTTATAGCAGTGTGAGAACGAACTAGTCCAAGTCCAGAATTCCATCCTGAGGCTATGCTTTCTTACAGCTGCTTCTGCTCCCAGCTCTCCTACGCTGGGTTCCCTGCAGTGCAGACCCTCAGATAAGGATTTGAGTGCATGCTCTTTATTTGGGAAGCAGTCATATAAAACTGTGAGGAAATAGGGAGGGGAAACAAGGAAGGGAGGAGAGCTCATGAAGGTATGTGTTAATATGTGGGGCCCAATCCCACTGGGGATCCTTTGAGGAAAAGTGTGGAACAAGCTTCAGAATTGCGCTGAAGAGCAAGAAATTTGGGATATTTGTCCCCACCCAACTGCCTTCCCTCATTGGTTGGGAGCGTTGCCTCTTGCACTCTAGGCCTGCCCTGCATGCAGGCAGAGAGACCATGCTTCCTTGACAAGAGAACATTCTTGAGCAAAGAGATGCAGAAAACCAACAGCGCGTACAGGGACTGTGCTCTGGAGTAGGCGAAGGTAATGGGTGAGGCACCATCGAGCAGCATCTGCAGGTTTTTACCTTTGCTGCTGCAACCTGAGCCAAATAATTGCAGGTCCCTTACAGAGCCAGGTTCTGATTTCCACAGAAACTTTATTTTTTATTTTTATTTAGAGACAGGGTCTTGCTCTATCACCCACAGGGGAGTGCGGTGGTACGATCATGGCTCACTGCAACCTCAACTCCCTGGGCTCAAGCAATCCTCCTGCCTCAGCCTCCCAAGTACCTGGGACTACAGACACCATCATACCAGGCTAATTTTTTTTTTTTTTTTTTTTTTTTTTAGAGATGGGGGTCTTGCATTTTTTTCCCAGGCTAGTCTTGAACTCCTAGCTTCTAGTGATCCTCCTACCTCAGCCCCCCAAAGTGCTAGGATTATAGGTGGTAGCCACCATGCCTGGCCAGAGACTTTCTCACCATCCTGGTGAGAACAACACCTAGAGTGAGGAAGGAAGATAGGTTTCATGATTCCACATCCTGCTTAGCCCACAGCATGTTTTCCCTCCTGCAAGAAAGAAAAACCCATTTGAGAGCATGTAAGATCTAGGCAGCAGCTATCCTTCCATTGGGAGGGTGCACTTACTCCCAGGCCTGCCTCACCTCCCTCCACTGCCTGGCATGTACTCATGGGAGTCCCTTCTGCCTTGGTTTGTGTTTAAGCCATGAGAATTGGAAGAATAAAGCATTTCCAGCAAGAAGCACAGCTTGCCACTCAAAGTCAATGAGGGACAGGCAACATTGTCATGATGATGCCTCATACCTGCCTTTCTGTTTTCTCTTACATAGCAGAGGGTTGTAAATGAAGATGAAGGACCTCCTGTGAAGTCTGGTCTAGTAGAATTCACACTCAGACCTTCTGATGCCTGGCAAATACTCTCACCTCTAGATCAAGTGACCTAACTCTCCTCCCACCTCTGCTTCCCTCCACCCTTGCTGGCAACTGGAGAAAAGTGATGAGAGTCCTTCACCCTTCTCAGTTCTGTGTTCTCCAGGACACCCCCCAGCACCTCAGTGTTGTTCTCTCTAATGAAGAGAGTTATTAGTTACCCCCATACATATTTGACTGTGACTTGAGATATGACCAGGTTCCTAGCTACAAATCAGCCCTGCAGATAGGAACAAAATACAGGGAGAAAATGTCACTTTTATAGAGGTCAGACCAACCAACAAACAAACACACCCTGGTAGAGTCTGGGTGTGATGGCTCACACTTGTAATCCCTGCACTTTGCGGGGCTGAGTCAGGACAACTGCTTGAGCCCAGGAGTTTGAGACCAGCCTGGGCAACATAGGGAGATCTATTTAAAAAAAAAAAAAAAAAAACCCTGGGAGAGTGAATAGAGACTTGAAAAACTCACTGATTAAACAGGGAGTCAAAGAGATTAGAGGAAGTTCTTTATTAGCCTAGGATCATTTATAATTGATCTGGGGTTTATTGACACAAAGGACAAAGTCTCTGTGAATCTCAGCCTGTCTCCCATTATGCTCTTTCACAGTGAATGATCAAAAAAACCTTTTTGCCTATTTGTTTTGAGACAGGGTCTTGCTCTGTTGCTCCGGCTGGAGTGCAGTGGCACAAATGGGGCTCACTGCTGCCTCAACCTCCCAGGCTCAAGCAGTCCTCTTAGGTCAGCCTCCTGAGTATCTGGGACTACAGGCGTGCATCACCACACCCGGGATGGTCTCGAACTCCTGGGCTCAAGTGATCCTCCCACCACAGAGATAATCCTAAACTATCTCTGTCCTCTCCAATCATACTTTTCATTCTTTCACTGATAGGTGCCAGCTGCAAGGTGGAGTAGTATCAGGTACAGTATTTCAGAAAAGAAACAAGGTAACATGGAGAACCTTCCCTCATCCCACTTAAATGCAGGTAGGCTTCCTGGAGGAGGAGGACTTTGAGAGAACACCAGAAGTGTTTTCTGATGCCCTAAGCATTTTGCAATCCAAGGACAAGATCTCACCCATAATCACCCTATGATCCATGTGGACTGTGTTGGTATATGTCAGATGCTGAAGGATAAAAGCCAAAAGTTTTTGGTCGCTGGTCAAAATGATCAGTGGCTTCTGGCTTCTGCCCTGTATCATATGTTCTAGAATGTCAGCAAAGATTTTCAGTGACCCTAGAGAAGCTATCAGGATGACATGGAAATACGTTAAAATGGGTTTTTTAAAATCCTCACCCTTTGTGAAATGCATATACCCAGGATGACCCAGCAGAGAATATAAGGGTGAGAGAAGAAGGCATTGTATTAGTCCGTTCTCACACTGCTATGAAGAAATACCTGAGACTGGATAATTTATAAAGAAAAGAGGTTTAATTGACTCACAGTTCCACATGGCTGGGGAGTCCTCAAAAAACTTACAAGGAGCAAGAAATAGAATGAGTGCCAGCAGGGGAAATGCCAGGCACTTATAAAAACATCAGATCCCCTGAGACTTACTCACTATCACGAAAACAGCATGGGGAAACCATCCCCATGATTCAATTATCTCCCACCAGGTCCCTCCCACAACATGGGGGGATTATGGATTACAATTCAAGATGAGATTTGGGTGGGGACACAGCCAAACCATATCAGGCATTGAGGATGTTGCTGGAAGGGCAGAGTCTACACGAACTCAAGCTGAAGTTACACTAGACCCCAGGCACATGCCAAATCTGGGCTTGTTGAAAGGCCCTTCTGGCCGGGCGCAGTGGCTCACGCCTGTAATCCCAGCACTTTGGGAGGCCGAGGTGGGTGGATCCTGAGGTCAGGAGATCGAGACCATCCTGGCTAACATGATGAAACCCCGTCTCTACTAAAAATACAAAAAATTAGCCGGGCGTGGTGGCGGGCACCTGTAGTCCCAGCTACTCTGGAGGCTGAGGCAGGAGAATGGCGTGAACCCGGGAGGCGGAGCTTGCAATGAGCTGAGATCACGCCACTGCACTCCAGCCGGGGCCACAGAGCGAGACTCCGTCTCAAAAAAAAAAAAAAAAGAAAGAAAGGCCTTTCTAAACCATGGGCTGTAGCTGTGCTATGTATAAGGATACAGCACACTCAATCATTGCAAGTGAATGTCTGACTTTATTCATAGAAGTACAAATTGTATAAAATAACAATAAATATGTGCATATATCTTCAGCTTCATTTTAGGCAAAAACATATTTTACCTGCAGAAAATTGTCAGATATTTTTTCTTTTTTCTTTTTTTTTTAGACAGTGTCTCGCTTTGTCACCCAGGCTGGAGTGCAGTGGTGCTATCATGGCTCATTGCAGCCTGGAACTCCTGGGCTCAAGCGATCCTCCCACCTCAGCCTCCCAAGTAGCTGGGACCACAGGTGCATGTCTGGCTAATTTTTTTTTTTTTTTTTTTTTTGGTCTCCCTATGTTGCCCAGGCTGGTCTCAAATTCCTGGCCTCAAGAGATCCTCCCACCTCCAAGAGGCCCTGCAACCTCAGCCTCCTGAGTAGCTGGGACTACAAGCATGCACCACCACACTAGGCTAATTTTTAAATTTTTTATAGAGGTGGAGTCTCCCGATGTTGCCTATAATCCCAAAGTGCTGAGATTACAAGTCTGAGCCACCACACCCAGCCAACAGCTCATGTTATTTTAATGTAAATTTTTGGTAAATAATATAGGAACTGACTTTTTTTGTTTTTTGTTTTTTTTTCCTTTAAAAACCTACTTGTGGCCAGGCTCAGTGGCTCACACCTGTAATCCCAGGATTTTGGGAGGCCAAGGCAAGTGGATCACCTGAGGTCAGGAGTTCAAGACCAGCCTGACCAATATGGTGAAACCCCATTTCTACTAAAAATACAAAAATCCAGATGTGGTGGTGGGTGCCTGTAATCCCAACTACTCGGAAGGCTGAGGCAGGAGAATCGCTTGAACCCGGGAGGCAGAGGCTGCAGTGAGCCAAGATCATGATGCCATTGCACTCCAGCCTGGGTGACAGAGCAAGACCCCCTCTCAAAAAAAAAACAAACAAACAAACAAACAAACAAACAAACCAAAAAACGCTACTTGTAACTGTTGCTAGATGGAGCATATATATTCAGGACAACTTGAATTTATGCTCCCAGGTTGCAATCCTCAGTCTTGGCCCAAATACACTCTCTACTTATATTAATTTTACCTGAGCTTCTTCCTTTTAGGTCAACAAATGAAAACCTAAAATACACAATAATGCCCTTGAGAACAAGCAGGCAATAAGTAGCAAAGATATAGAGAGTGGTGGGAAAATGGTGAACTACTATATAGCAAGACACTTGGTCTAACTGCTGCCTGGCAAAACCTTTGGTAAAATTGCAGACTCACATCTCAAGAAAGAGATGAGCTTATAAAATAACTGGCCAGTTTGCAAACAATCAAGAGGAAATATGGACAGTGCAGAAATTAAAATTGTTTAATTTGAAATTAAAATTGAAATTAAATTAAAAGTACAACTGTTTCCTAGCATATGAAAGGCATGGCCATCAAACTATAGCCTCAAAAAACACCCAGATGCAGCTGGGTTCGGTGGCTCAAGCCTGTAATCCCAGCATTTTGGGAGGCCGAGGTGGGTGGATCACGAGGTAAAGAGATCGAGATCATCCTGGCCAACATGATGAAACCCCATCTCTACTAAAAATACAAAAATTAGTTGGGGGTGGTGGTGCATGCCTGTAGTCCCAGCTACTCAGGAGGCTGAGGCAGGAGAATCCCTTGAACCCGGGAAGTGGAGGTTGCAGTGAGCTGAGACGGCGCCACTAGACTCCAGCCTGGCAACAGAGCAAGACTCTGTCTCAAAAAAAAAGAAAAGAAAAGAAAAGAAAAACACCCAGATGCTGCCATTAAGACACAGCCTGTATTCGTTAGATTTTGCTACATGACAAACTACCCCAAATCCTAATGGCATAAAATATGCATTTTTCTCACAATTCTATACAGGTTGACTGGGCAACTCTTCACATCTAGACCAGCTTGGCTTGGGCTGAGGCTGGATGATCAAACAGTCTCACCCATGTGTCTGATTGTTGGCAGACTGAGTAGTCTAAAGAAGCCTCAGCTGGAACTGCTGATCTCTGCTTCATCTGGTCTGTCATCTTCCAGAAGCCTCCTTCACAAGTGGCAGAAGGGTTCTAAAATGAGCAAGCGAGGGCAAAGCTTTTTCAAGTCTCTCCTTTCATTGTTTTGCTCATGTAGAGCAAGCCACCTGGCTAAACCCAGATTAAAAGCGTGAGAAATCGAATCCACCCGTTATTGTGAGGATTGGCAGAATCACAATGCAAAGGGGTGTGCATACAGCAACTGGAGGAATTTGTGGCCATTTTTGCAATCTACCACATGGCTTTAGGCAAAGACTAAATCAGGGTGTGATTATTGCATCCCATTTTGAAGATCTATGTAAGGATTAAGGTGGTGCCATTCAGCTAGACAAAAGCGTTCCTAGAATGAACTGTGTGGTCCCACAGAAGCCTGATATGCCTATTATTTAGTATCTGATATTAAGTCTAGAGAGGAAACCATGAGAGAATTGTGGACATGGCTTTTGGCCCATGAAGTTGTCTGAAATCAAATACACAGAAAATATTCAGTTCAGCCAGGCGCGGTGGCTCACGCCTGTAATTCCAGCACTTTGGGAGGCCGAAGTGGGTGGATCATCTGAGATTGGGAGTTTGAGATCAGCCTGACCAACATGGAGAAACCCCATCTCTACTAAAAATACAAAAATTAGCCGGTCATAGTGGCGCATGCCTGTAATCCCAGCCACTTGGGAGGCTGAGGCAGAAGAATCGCTTGAACCCGGGAGGCGGAGGTTGTGTCAAGCCAAGATCGTGCCATTGCACTCCAGCCTGGGCAACAAGAGCAAAACTCCGTCTCAAAAAAAAAAAAAAAGAAAAGAAAGAAAGAAAGAAAGAAAGAAAAGAAAATACTCAGTTCAAGAAAGCTATTTTGGCAAAGTGCCCCCAACTTAGACTGAAGGAGACAAGATGTAAAATAATTTCTATGTCCCCAACTTTCTATGGACAGAAAGAGGCTAAAAATGCTTCTCAGCCAACACAGAGGGCACATGTTCCAGTGTCCTCTTCCACAGTGCCCAAGGAGGAGGATGAAAAAGGAAGGACTTTGTGAATATCGAGGAAGGTGACAAGAAGAACACTCAGGGATAAATACTCCACTGAGAACTTCGTGTTGCTAAATGCAATGTTCATGTAACTGTAATAGGTTTGTTTCCCGATGCACACAGCAAATCAATAGACTAAGATACTGGGCTACAGCAGAGAAAGAGGTTTAATCGTAGGGCTGCTGAATGAGGAGAGAGGGGGAAACCTCAAATCTGTCTCCCCAAGGAATTTTGGACTAGGGTTTTAAGGGTTTTGGAGCAGGCTGAAGTATGATCATTGGTTGGTCAAAGAGTGAAGGATGAAGTTATGGGACAGGGAGATAAAGAAACTGTATTCTCATGCTGATTCTATTCCACTGGGGAGGGCTTCAAACTGATTGGCATCAGCTGTTTCACTGGAATTCAGGATCTGCTTAAGCAATCTTTAAACAAAAGCCTTATGATTCCAAACCAGAGACTCTATCTATCTTAAAAGCCTTATGCATTTTTTTTTTTTGAGACAGTTTCACTCTTGTCATCCAGGCTGGAGTGCAATGGCGCGATCTCGGCTCACTGCAACCTCCGCCTCCTGGGTTCAAGTGATTCTCCTGCCTCAGCCTCCCGGGTAGCTGGGATTATAGGCGCCTGCCACCAAGCCTGGCTAATTTTTGTATTTTTAGTAGAGACAGGGTTTCACCATGTTGGCCAAGCTGGTTTAGAACTCCCAACCTCAGGTGATCCACCCGCCTCAGCCTCCCAAAGTGCTGGGATTACAGGTGTGAGCCACCTCGCCCGGCCTCTGATTTTTTTTTTTTTTTTTTTTTTTTTGAGACATGGTTTCATTCTGTTGCCACACCAGGGGAGTGCAGTGGCACAATGGGGCTCACTGCAGCCTCAGCCTCCCAGGCTCAAGCCTCCCGAGTAACTGGGACTACTCTTACCTCAGCCTCTCGAGTAACTGGGACTACAGGCATGCACAACCATGCCCAGCTAAGTTTTGTATTATTTGTAGAGATTGGGTTTCACCATGTATCCCAGGCTGGTCTTGAACTCCTGGGCTCAAGTGATCTGCCCACCTCGGCTTCCCAAAGTGCTGGGATTACAGGTGTGAGCCATCATGCCTGGCCCAAACTCTTATGATTCCAACATCAGAAATCCTATCTATAGGAACCATGAGGATACAAACAGCCAGTATCAAGTGCTGCTACATGACTTTCAGTTACAAGGAAGGGGACCAAAGTGCAGCCTGTTTAATGATTAATGATAATTATATTTCTGTCCAGAATTCTTGTTACCCCTATGAGGCTGGCTTCAGTCACCTCTCTGTGTTCATACTATTTGCTTTCTTGGAAGATTTTAGCACAGTTGACTTCTCTCTCTGATTTGGTTTGAATGTTTTGTTCCCTCCAAATCTCATGTTGAAATGTAATCCTCAGTGGTGGAGGTGGGGCCTTGTGGGAGGTGTTTGGGTCATTGGGCGGATCCCTCATGAATGGCTTGGCACCCTCCTCTCGGTAATGAATGGGTTCTCTGAGTCCACGTGACATCTGGTTGTTTGAAAGGATAGACCACCCTGCCCTTGCTTTCTGTCTCGCCGTGTGACAGGCTTGCTCCTGCTTTGCCTTTCGCCATGAGTAAAAGCTCCCTGAGACCTCACCAGAGACTGAGCAGATGCCAGCATCATGCTTCCTCTATGGCCTGCAGAACCGTGAGCCAATTAAACCTCTTTTCTTTATAAATTACCCAGCCTCAGGTATTCCTCTATAGTGACACAAAACAGACTAACGCATCCTCCTTCTAGGAACCAGTTCTTCTTTTGGCTTCCACTCCACCACATCCTTCTGTAACCACCTGACAGATTCCTCCTGCCCACTGTACAAACAAAATCAATTCATGGGGACCATGGCATTGCAGTAAAGAAAGAGTTTAATTGACCCAAGGCCAGCCATGCCACACTGGAGATAGTTATTACTCAAATCAATCTCCCTGAAGGCTTAGAGCTTAGGAGTTTTACAAAGATAGTTTAATGGGCAGGGGGCTACAGTAGGGGAAATGCTGATTGATTGGGTCAGAGATGAAATCATAAGGAATTGAAGCTGTCTTCTCGTGCTGAGTCAGTTCCTGGGTGGGGTCCACAGGATTGGTTGGCAGGTCCAAATGGGGCCATCCAGTTGTCAGAAATGCAAAAACCTGAAAAGACATCTCAAAAGAGGCCAATCTTAGGTTCTACGATAGCAAGGTTATCTGCAAGAGTAATTGGGAAAGTTGCAAATCTTATGACCTCCGGAATCATGGCTGGTAATTATTTTGAATTCAAGCCCCTCTTACACTCCTAACTTGATGGCCTTTCATTAGTTTTTTTTTTTTTTTTGAGACGGAGTCTTGCTCTGTCGCACAGGCTGGAGTGCAGTGGTGGGATCTCCGCTCACTGCAAGCTCTGCCTCCTGGGTTCATGCCATTCTCCTGCCTCAGCCTCCTGAGTAGCTGGGACTACAGACGCCCGCCAACAGGCCCGGCTAATTTTTTTTTCTGTATTTTTAGTAGAGACGGGGTTTCACCGTGTTAGCCAGTATGGTCTCGATCTCCTGACCTCATGATCCGCCTGTCTCGGCCTCCCAAAGTGCTGGGATTAAAGGCGTGAGCCACCGCGCCCAGCCTGTCTTTCATTAGTTTTACAAGAAGAGTTTAGTTTTGGGGGAGGGTTATTATCATTTAGACTATAAACTAAATTTCTCCCAAAGTTAGCATGGCCCGCGCCCAGGAATGAGCAGACAGCCAACCTGGGAGGCTAGAGGTAAGATGGAGTCAGCCACGTCAGATTTCTCACACTGTCATAATTTTGCAAAGGTGGTTTGACTTCAGGTTGTTGAGGCTCAGAAGCTGATACCCCAAAATATGGTACTTTGACATACTGAACTGAAGAAGCCTCATTGTCTGACAATCTCTCCCCACCGACACTATCTCGTTTATCTGCCTAAGATCCAGACCCACCGAAAAGAACAATTGTTTTTATTTCCCCTCCCTGTAAGACCAAGAATGTAACCATACCTGAACAGATCCTTTCGCTGACAAAGAGAACTGTTTACAAGTGAATCTCTGTTCCCGAACCCATTCATTCTCCCTATCCTTTACTGTCCCTCAACAGAATTCCTCTCCCCTGACCCCCTAACCTGTTTTGCCAGCATGGTGTATAAGCTTCTGAATCCCGTTGCAGGGTAGATAATCACTCTGTGGTTCTCCCCATGTACGTGTTAATAAAATTTGTATGCCTTTGTCTCCCATTAATCTGCCTTTTGTGAGTTTCTTTTTCAGCAAACCTTCAGAAGGCAATGGGAAGTTTCTCTTGACCCCTACAGTTGCCTCACTGATGCAGGATTTTTCTCAGCCACTTTGCCAACAGGGGTCCTCCGTGGCTGGGGACACCCACATGCCCAGGCCTCGCTCAGTCCCAGGACTGCCGCTGGAGGTGCCTCACCAACTCAGCCCACCTGTGCTATAGTTTGTACCCGCATTCGGTGGTTCTTGAGCTCTTGTCCTGCATCCAGGAAGAATGAGGATATGCTGACAATTGAAGGATGAGGATGGGCAGAGAACAATTTTATTGAGCAATGGAACAGCTCTCAGGGAAGAGGGGATGTGGAGAGTGGTCTTCCACTCTCGCAGTGCGGTAGTTTCTTTCTGTCAGTGTGGCTGAGTTTGGGGCTTTTATGGCTCAGAATAGGGGAGTGTGTGCTGATTGGTTTCTGAGTATGTAAAGAAAAGCTAAAGCAAAGGCATCACTCAGAGGTGGGCACGGCAGTGTAGAAAACCAATTAGGAAAGGGTTGGCATATGTAAAACTGGTGAAGTGTGGGGATCAATCAGAGGAAAGTGCACCAAATGGGAAGACAGGTTCTCAATTTAGTCCGTGGATTTACCTGAGACTTATAGCTAGATTTTAAACTGTCTTCAGCTTGAAGGTGGGGTTTCACTGGGGACCCTCCTCTATCTGCTTGGTATTTGCCTGCCTCCTGCCACTATCATCACCACCTCCTACTCCCTGAAGAATGTAAGCATCATGAGAGTAGAGATCTCACTTATTTTGTTCATTCTATTTCCCCCATACCAACACCAGGCCTGGAACATAGTAGGCATTCAGTGAATGAAGAAATTAAATGAACTATTCTTGCCCAGCCAAAGGCTGAGGTCTCAGTTTGTCTTCATTGCCCTGCATCCCCTGGCCTTTTTGTCTTGGAACAGCACAGTCGGAGTTTACTGTCATCATGTTTGTCTGCAAAACCAAGATATCTTGCACATATCTTAGTGGTTTCTGATCCCAAAAGAAAACACATCTGGTGACTCAGAAAGGATGCGGAAGCCGTGCCTGGATGTCATGGACTCCCTTGATGTTTGCCTTGGCTCTTTCTGCTGCTATATTGCATCCTTTGGCATTATTACTGCTAACATAAGTGTACTGCATGGAGTCTCATGAATCCTTTCCTCCATCTAACTGTCAGAGTTGTTTGAACCAGAGCGACTCCATCTTGAATAAGTGCTGGGTAAAATAAGGCTGAGACCGACTGGGTTGCATTCCCAGGAGGTTAGGGCATTCTTAGTCACAGGATGAGGTAGGAGGTCAGCACAAGGAACAGGTCACGAAGACATTGCTGATAAAACAGGATGCAGTAAAAAAGCCAGCCGAAACCAAGATGGCAACAAAAGTGACTTTTGGTTGTCTTCATTGCTCATTATACACTAATTATAATGTATTAGCATGCTAAAAGACACTCCCACCAGTGCCATGACAGTTTACAGATGCCATGGCAACATCAGGAAGTTACCCTATATGGTCTAAAAGAGGGAGGAACCCTCAGTTCCAGGAACTGTCCACCTCTCTCCTGGAAAACTCATGAATAATCTGCCCCTTGTTTAGCATATAATCAAAAAGTAACTATAAGTATTATCAGTCAAGCAGCCCAAGCTGCTGCTCTGCCTATGGAGTGGCTATTCTTTATTCCTTTACTTGCTTTTTTTTTTTTTAAGTGAAAGCAAGTTTATTAAGAAAGTAAAGGAATAAAGACTGGCTACTCCATAGGCAGACCAGCCTATTCCTTTACTTTCTTAATAAACTTTCTTTCATTTTACTCTATGGACTTGCCCCAAATTCTTTCTTGCACAAGATCCAAGAACTCTCTCTTGGGGTCTGGATCAGGATCCCTTTCCGATAACATCTTCCTGTGGAATCACAAAGGCACTATAATGAGGAGACCCCCGACCCAAAGGGAATAGACTGCAGCACCAATTGGCCGACCTTGGGTGAGTGGTGGGATACATTTTACCCAGGTAAAGAATGGTATTGGGTTAGAGTCCTTCCTAAAACAGAGAGGGTGAAGGTCCCTCTTAATAATAAGGCAAGGATGCTTGACCAAACTTGGGTTTGAAGCCCAACTTAGGAAGGTTAGAGTCCTTCCTAAGATTTAGGGGGTTAGAGGCCCCTTTCAGCAAAGTCCCTCTTGGTTAAAAATGGATTTGGCAGCCAGGCACGGTGGCTCACACCTGTAATCCCAGCAGTTTGGGAGGCTGAGGCAGGTGGATCACCAGGTCAAGAGATCGAGATCATCCTGGCCAACATGGTGAAACCCTGTCTCTACTAAAAATACAAAAAATTAGCTGGATGTGGTGGCTCACGCCTGTAGTCCCAGCTACTCGGGAGGCTGAGGCAGGAGAATTGCTTGAACCCGGAAGGTAGAGGTTGCAGTGAGCCGATATCACGCCACTGCACCCCAGACTGGTGACAAAGCAAGACTCCATCTCAAAAAAAAAAAAAAAAAAAAAAGGATTTGGCATTATGGAATGTTAACCATTAATCTCTTTGGATTACTCTATCTTGCGCTGTTTGCTAATGGCTATGAGTGACAGGATTAGGCAAGTACAGGATCACTGGACATGGAGAGCTTTTTTCTCCCTAAAGGGGGAAACTTGAGAGCCGATGGGACTGCTGGAAAAGATCCCTTCACTACTGTCAAGTAGCTGCCTGAACTTTTATTCAGTGTGGCTGCAATGGGTAGGTCTTTCTCTGGCCTCCCTGAGCTCCTTGCCTTCCCCACCCTGCCAACCACCCTGCCACAGGTAATGTTTTTCTCCCTTTCTCTTTCCTATCTTTTCTGTTACTCAGGGCAGCTCTCTGCTTTTTTATCTTGCCCAGAGACCACATGTTAAATCTCCTGGTCAGAAGATCATTCCACCCAACCCTGAATGGATTAAAGTTGACAGGGCCCAACCAGGGGTAAGTTTGAGACTTGCCAGGTCGATATCGCATGCTAAGTGGAGTGGCTAATATCTATGTTTTATCACATGCATTTTGCTCTGTCCAGAATGGAAAATGTTAATTTGGTTACCCCATGTAATCTCTTGGGCAGCATCTTACAAAATTGAGAGGATTTTGCCTATGGTTCCATGAAACAGAAAAAGATGATTTTCTTTTGTGTTGTGGCTTGGCCTCCAGGGCTATGGTGTGGCGAGCAGGGAACTGCTCAGGGAAAGGGAACCCAGATGCCTGGCATGTGCCCAAAGGGTAAGAATTTCCTACCAGTCAGGCTTTTGGTCTCTCTCTTGCTATGCAAACTTGTTGAATGAATGGTCAAAATCACTGTTTATCTCCTCTGTAAAGTTTTAATTAATGGGAAAAAGGATTTTTGAGGCTGGTCTTAAGCCATAGCAAATCTGGTATACTTTGTGCTATAAATATATCTTTCTGTATCATTCGGTCATAAAGAGGAGTACTTTAGGATAGAACATGGGCTTAGTACCCCAAGCCAGCCCAGCAAACTGGCCAGTAACAAACTTTGCTGCAGGTCCCTGAAATTAAAAAACAAAACAAAAAACTGGATGAGGACTCCATCTTGTTTTATGTCTTTGGGAGCTTGACCTTGTAACCATGTGGCAATACTTTCTCTTGGTCTTCACCATTCGGAAGACAGGAATTTTGGGTTTCATGTCACAGTTACCCCTAAAACTTGTCTTGAGCATTTAAAAGCCATTGCAAGCTCAAAATTGGCTGCCTCTAGGATCCTTGTGGGAAGAGCAGTGGAGACTGCCCAGTGCTGTAGCTCAGTAGCTACAGCTTTCTCTTTTCACAATGGCATCCGGGGTTCAATTCCTGGCTTAAGGAATGAGTCTTTTCTGGCTTAATATCTGCACGACCTTGACCATTTGTTGATTCTCTTCCCCTCCATAAACTGTCTTGAATTTTTTTTTCTCTGAGCACCTGGGAGGTTACCTTTGGTAAAGTTCAAAAAGCCAGAAATATTGGCCATTTGGTATGGCTAAAGTTGGGCAATAAGAGATTTTAAAGGATTTTTTTAGTATTATGGCTAACACACTCAGCTTAATTCAGGCCGGGAACGGCAGCTCATGCCTGTAGTCTCAGCACTTTGGAAGGCCAAGGTGGGTGGATCACCTGAGGTCAGGAGTTCGAGACCAGCCTGGCCGATATGACAAAACCCCATCTCTACTAAAAATACAAAAATTAGCTGGGCGTGGTGGCGCACACCTGTAATGCCAGCTACTCAGGAGCACCAATGGGATGGCGCTAAACCATTCATGAGAGATACGCCCCCATGATCCAAACACCTTCCAATAGCCCCACCTGCAACAGTAAGGATTTCATTTCAACATGAGATTTGAAGGGTATATCCAAACTATTTATCAGTGAGGAAAAGGGGTGCATGTGTGCATGTGCATGTGTGTGTGTGTGTGTGTGTTTTAGAGACAGGGTTTTGCTCTGTCACCCAGTCTGGAGTGCAGCGGTGCAGTCATAGCTCACTGCACCCCCCAACTCCTGGGCTCAAGGGATCCTCCCCTCTCCACCTCCCAAGTAGCTAGGACTATAGGCATGTGCCACCACACGTGGATAATTTTTAAAAGCTTTCTGTAGAGACAAGGTCTTACTGTGTTGCCCAGGCTGCTCTCAAACTCCAGGCCCCAAGTGATCCTCCTGCCTTGGCCTCCCAAAGCACTAGGATTACAGGCATGAGCCACTGTGCCCGGCCAGGAAAAGTTTTTATTATAGAAATACTTCTGCTAATACAAAAAAGAAAAAAAAATATTCCCGCTAATAAAGAAGAAACCAAACATGCTGGTGCACACCTGTAGTCCTAACTACTCAGGAGGCTGAGGTGGAAGGATCCCCTGCACCCAAGAGTTTGAGTCCAGCCTGGACAACATAGTAAGACCTCATCTCTAAAAATAAATAAATACATCCACAAATAAAGAAGGAATGGTGGAATTAGAATATCACAATATTGCATTCTCTAATGAAATAATGAATCTAGGCAGTGATTAAAAGCAGCTGCTAGCCGTGCGAGGTGGCTTACGTCACACCTGTAATCCCAGCACTTTGGGAGGCTGAAGTGGGAGGATCACCTGAGATCAGGAGTTTGAGACTAGCCTGGCCAACATGGTGAAACCCCATCTCTAATAAAAATACAAAAATTAGCCAAGTGTGGTGGCAGGCACCTGTAATCCCAGTTACTCGGGAGGCTGAGGCAGGAGAATCACTTGAACCTGGGAGGCAGAGGTTGCAGTGAGCCGAGATTGCACCACTGCACTCCAGACTGGGTGACAAGAGTGAGACTCCACCTCAAAAAAAAAAAAGAAAAAAAAAAAGCAGCTACTGATGAGTGGACAGGGTGGCTAATGCCTGTAACCTCAGCACTTTGGGAGGCTGAGGCAGGAGGATTGCTTGAGGCCAGGAATTCAAGACCCACTTGGCCAACATAAGGAGACCCCTGACTCTACAAAATAATTTTTAATGTTTTAATTAAAATAAATAAACAGGCCAGGCACAGTGGTTCACGCCCATAATCCCAGCACTTTGAGAGGCTGAGGTGGGCGGATCACTTGAGGTCAGGAGTTTGAGACCAGCCTGGTCAACATAGTGAAACCCTGTCTCTACTACAAATACAAAAATTAGCCAAGCATGGTGGCAGGTGCCTATAATCCCAGTTACTCGGGAGGTTGAGGCAGGAGAATCACTTGAACCCAGGAGGTGAGGTTGCAGTAAGCTGAGATGGTGTCACTGCACTCCAGCCTGGGTGACAGAGGGAAACTGTCTCAATCAATCAATCAATCAATAAAAGCATTAGGTGAAAAGTTGCATGTATTTTCATTGTTACGTATGCATAAGAGTAACATATAACGGATAAAACAATGTCTAAATAAATCTAAAAAGGCTCTTTCAATAAAATAAAATGTCTAAGTGACTGGAAGCAATGGCAAAATTCTCCCCATCATGAGCCATCAGAGAAATGCAAATCAAAGCAAAATGAGGTACCACTCCACACTCACTAGGATGGCTACAATCAAAAAGACAGGGCCGGGTGCAGTGGCTCACGCCTGGAATCCCAGGACTTTGGGAGGCCAAGGCAGGTGGATCATGAGGTCAGGAGATCGAGACCATCCTGGCTAACACGGTGAAACCCCGTCTCTACTAAAAGTACAAAAAATTAGCCAGGCATGGTGGGGGGCACCTGTAGTCCCAGCTAATCGAGAGGCTGAGGCAGGAGAATGGCATGAACCCAGGAGGCAGAGCTTGCAGTGAGCCAAGTTCACGCCACTGCACTCCAGCCTGGGTGACAGTGCGAGACTCCGTCTCAAAAAAAAAAAAAAAAAAAAAAAGACAGACGTAAATAAGTGTTGATGAGAATGTGCAGAAATTGAAACCTCACGCATTGCTGGTAGGAAAGTAAAATGGTACCACTACTTTGCAAAACATTTTGTCCGTTCTTCAGAAAGTTAAACATAGAGCTACCATATAACCCAGCAATTCCATGCATAGGTGTATACCCACAGAAACAAAAATATATGTCCATGCAAAAACTGGTACAGGAATGTTTATAGCAGCATCATTTATAGTAGCCAACAAATGGAAACAACCCTAAAATATCCATCAACTGATAAATGAACACACAATATGTGGTATATCCATACAATGAAATATTATTTGGTAATGAAATGAGAAGCTGATATATCTATAACAAGAATGAACCTTGAAAACATTATGCTAAATGAAAGAAGCTAGTCATAAAAAGCCACTTACATTATGATTCCATTTATATGAAATGTCCAAGATAGGTAAATCTATACAGAGAGACAGAAAGTAGATTAATTACCAAGGGTATCAGAAGAGAAAGAAAAAAGAAAAGGAAAGGAAAAAAAGAAAGTAGGTTAGTTGTTGCTAGGGATCAAGGGAAGGGAGGAAAAGGAAGTGACCACTAATAGGATTTCTTTGAGGAGGGGAGAATGCAACTGTTCTAAAATTAGATCTTGGTGATAGTTGCTCAACTCAGAATATATAAAAACTATGAGCTGGGCACGGTGGCTCACTCCTGTAATCCCAGCTCTTTGAGAGGCTGAAGCAGGAGGATCACTTGATCCCAGGGGTTCAAGACCAGCCTGGGCAACATAGTGGGACTCTGTCTCTACAAAATGTGTTTTAGTCCAGGCACTATGGCTCATGCCTGTAATCCCAGCACTTTGGAGGCCAAGGTGGGTGGGTCACTTGAGGTCAGGAGTTGGAGACCAGCCTGGCCAATATGGCGAAACCTTGTCTCTGCTAAAAATACAACAACAACAAAAAAAATTAACTGGGTGTGGTGGCACACACCTGTAATCCCAGCTACTGGGGAGGCTGAGACAGGAGAATCGCTTGAACCTGGGATGCACAGATTGTGGTGAGCCAAGATTGAGCCACTGCACCCCAGCCTGGGAGACAGAGTGAGACTCCATCTAAAAAAAAAAAATTTATTTTAAAAACTACCTGGGCATGGTGTCGCATGCCTATAGTCCCACCTATTCAGGAGGCTGAGGTGGGAGGATTGCTTGAGCCCAGAAGGTCAAGGCTGCAGTGAGCCAAGATCATACCACTGCATTCCAGCCTGGACAACAGAGCAAGACTTGCTGTCTAAAAAAAAGATAAGAGAGAGAGAGAGAGAATCAGTGAGGACAACATTTTCCTTTCATGATGATGTATAAAATAATGCTGCATGCTGCATCTTACAATTGATGACATCTTAGCATTAAGTATGGTTGTTTGTTTTCTTTTTTCTTCTCTTTTCTTTTTTTCTTTTTTTTTTTTTTGAGACGGAGTCTTGCTCTGTTGCCCAGGCTGGAGTGCAATGGTGTGATCTTGGCTCAAGGCAACCTCTGCCTCCCGGGTTCAAGCGATTCTCCTGCCTCAGCCTCCTGAGTAGCTGGGATTACAGGCATCCACCACCATGCCCAGCTAATTTTTGTGTATTTTTGTAGAGACGGGGTTTCACCACGTTGGCCAGGCTGGTATCGAACTCTTGACCTCAGGTGATCCACCCGCCTTGGACTCCCAAAGTGCTGGGATTACAGGTGTGAGTGGTGTTTGTTTTCCTAATTGTCAAAACAATTCTGGGACTTCAGTATTAATATCTGTATCTTGTAAAGTGAACAGCCATTTTCCTGTATGACTCCTACATTCTGCCCAGGGAAAGTCTGAGTAATTGCAAACCCAGGTTAGTGCAGAGTTAGGCAGGAAGCCAGCTGTAATATGAAGGAGCAAGATCAAGCCCAAACCTAGGGGTCTCACAGAACTGCTTTGGACTCCAGGAATCCAAGTGGAGGAGAATTAGACAGTTGTCAATTTCATCCAGAACCAGAAAAGGGGAAAAATGGAGCTGGAAACAGAGTATCATTATCTAAGCTCAGTAGTTCCCCAGGAACCTGCCTGGTGCTGGTTATGGGACCCACTCTCAACCCTCAAACCCCAATGTCAAGGATGGAGTCATCATAGGCCTTCTCTGTTTTCCCCCATCCTAAGGGCAACATCACCAGCTCTGACTCTCCCTCAGAAGGTTTCACCCTGTTCTACTGGAACATTACAACCAGAAAACTTTTTCTCTCTTCCCCATGAGAGGCCCAGGAGTTTAAGACCAGCCTGGTCAACATAGTGAGACCCCAACTCTATTAATTCTTTTTTTTTTTTTTGAGACGGAGTCTCACACTGTCACCCAGGCTGGAGTGCAGTGGCATGATCTCAGCTCATTACAATCTCTGCCTTCCGATTTCAAGCTATTCTCCTGCCTCAGCATCCCAAGTAGCTAGGATTACAGATGCCTGCCACAGATGCCCACCACAGATGCCGCTAACTTTTTGTAATTTTAGTAGAGATGGGGGTTTCACTATGTTGGCCAGGCTGGTCTCGAACTCCTGACCTCGTGATCCACCCGCCTCAGCCTCCCAAGGTGCTAGGATTACAGGCATGATCCACCATGCCCGGTGAATTTTTTTTTTTAATTGGATGGGCATGGTGGCACAAACCTGTAGTCCCAGCTACTAGGGAGGCAGAAGCAGGAGAATAATTTGAGCCCAGGAGTTCAAGGCCACAGTGAGCTAGGATTGCACCACTGTACTCCAGCCCTGGTGACAGAACAAAACCCTTTCTCAAAATAAACAAATAAGCCATTCTGAGTCATCATAGACCTTCTCTGTTCTCCCCCATCCTGGGGGTAACACCACCAGCCAATTCTCCCTCAGAACGTTTCACTCTGTTCTGTTGAAACATTACAACCAGCCAGTCACGGTGGCGTGACAAAAAATTAGCCTGGCGTGGTGGCGGGCGCCTGTAGTCCCAGCTACTCAGGAGGCTGAGGCAGGAGAATGGCGTGAACCCGGGAGGTGGAGCTTGCAGGGAGCTGAGGTCGCACCACTGCACTCCAGCCTGGGCGACAGAGCGGAGCGAGACTCTGTCTCAGAAAAAAAACAAAAAGAAAAAGAAACATTACAACCAGAAAACTTCTCTCCTCCCCGTGAGGGGCCTATCCCCTTGGGCATGGCCTGGGCTCTGGCTTAGGAGAAGCCTGCAGATGCTCTCACAGGCTAGGGGGCTTAGTATTTAACTAAATGCTCTTGTCAGAGGCTTCCCCCTCCAGCCCATCCTTAGTGCACAGCAGACAGCTGTTTGGAGAGTTTCTGGAACCTCATTTCAAGTGATGGCTTGGAACTGGGTTAGAATTTTGGCTTCAGACAAGTAGCAAACCAGCCACAAAAGCCATCTGAGCAAGGGGGGCGGGGGAAGAAAAGGCAGATAAGTAGGTGTTTGCTTAAGGAGGTATAATTTCACCCCCAGGTGATATCCAGAAAACAAGGATCCTCTGAGCAAGGCCATGATTCCTGGAGGGTAAAAGTAGTATCTAAAGCCATTCCAACGGCCAGGCACGGTGGCTCATGCCTGTAATCCCAGCACTTTGGGAGGCTGAAGCGGGAAGGTCACTTGAGCCCAGGAGTTCAAGAGCAGTCTGGTCAACATAGTGAGACCCATCTCTACAAACAATTTTTTTTAAGTAAGCGGACATGGTGGCACAAGCCTGTAGTCCCCGCTACTCAGGAGGCTGAGATGGTAGGATAGCCTGAGCCCAGGAGTTCGAGGCTGCAAGGACCTAGGATTGCACCACTGTACTCCAGCCCGGGCGAGATAACACAACTCTGTCTCAAAATAAATAAATAAGCCATTCTGAGTCCCCTCTCTTTCCTGACTTCTCTGGGTTAGGAAAAAGAGCTCAGCCAGGTGCAGTGGCTTAAGCCTCTAATCCCAACACTTTGGGAGGCCAAGAGAGGTGGATCACTTGAGGTCAGCAGTTTGAGACCAGCCTGGCCAACATGGTGAAACCCCATCTCTACTAAAAATATAAACTTAGCTACGCTTGGTGGTACGCTCCTGTAATCCCAGCTACTCAGGAGGCTGAGGCAGGAGAATCACTTGAACCCAGAGGCGGAGGTTGCAGTGAGCCGAGATTGCGTCACTGCACTCCGGCCTGGGCAGAAAGAGTGAAACGCAAAATTCTGTCTAAAAAAACAAAACAAAAAAAAATGCTCTGGGTTCCAGCTTTGACCAGTTTTCTTGTTTGTCTCTCAACCCCAACTCCCCTGAAATCTGCTGTATTGCATTCTTTTTCCTTTCTGAGGCTCAACTTTGCCCTTGATGGCATAGGTAGATTTACCCTGCCCTGGTAACTATCGCTGCTGGGAATTTGCGACCTCCTGGTTCTTCCCAGCCTCCTGCAAGAGCATCTGTTCAAACCCCCCTGCCGTGTCTGCCCCTGCCACTGCTGAGATGCCAGGACTCTGCTGTGGAGCCCCTCTTATCCTGCATTCTCCCTTCGGGGTGGGACAGACGTAGTCTGTGCCTTGGTCAGGAAAAGATAGACACACGGTTCAGCCAATTGGAATGAGTAGTGCAGAACCTAGAATCAGTTCGCATTCCAGCATGGGTCAGGCTTCCAGGTGGAAAGGTTAGTGGTAAAATCTGTACACCTGAGGCCTTGCCTCTCATTACCAAGAGAGTGATGACTCAGCCCTGGGCTAGGTTTACCGAGGGGAACCCCAAAGGGAGCCTTCTCTACAACTTTATCAGGGGCTGGCCTTATACCTTGTTGCAACAGAAGAAGACCCACTTGGTGGGGTTTAGAAATAATAGGAAGGCCTATCTAGCCCCACAAATCTCTGCCCACAGCACTTGAATCCCTCTGCTTTGTCAAGTTGCCTGGCTTAGCCTCATTAGGGCTGCATTCCTTTGAGTTAATTGAATCCAGAGAACCACCCAGGTGGCCAAGATTGTTAGGTTTAACCTAATCTAATATAAATCAGTTAGCTTTGCATAAAGGAAAATACCATTGCTAGACCACTGTATCCCATTAGGTTTGGTCCAGCCCAGGACAGGATGCAACATCAAATTTGAGTGGAGTCAGAGGAAGATGGGAGTGGCTCAGTCTACCATGGGGGTGCTTGGGGAATAGAGAAAGAGAACCCTGGTCACACAGGACTATGCTAGGACCACCTTAGGAGTTGTCACTTTGTATTCATTGATTATTATCATCAATGTTCATAGCTTCCCAAATCCAGGAAGCATAGCTGGGAAGGGGAGTACGACAAAAGGACCATGAGGTTAGAGTAGCCAACCTCCCTCTCCAGATCTTCTTTGTTACTTGCAAATTCCAGGAGCCCAGTCTCCCATGGGTAGATGTGGATGGGAAAAGGTAGAGTGAAAATGGATTGTGTGCTTCAAATCTCTTACAGCCATTCTGGGCCTTGTCCCCTCCTTCTCAACATTTTATTTAGATAGGAGGTATCTTTTTGGGAACTGCCACATTCAGAAACAAACTGTGGGTCTTTTTTGGGGGGTGGGGGGTGGAGTTTCACTCTTGTCACCCAGGCTGGAGTGCAATGGTGCAATCTCGGCTCACTGCAATCTCTGCCTTCCAGGTTCCAGCGATTCTCCTGCCTCAGCCTCCTGAGTAGCTGGGATTACAGGTGTGGACCACCACACCTGGCTAATTTTTGTATTTTTAGTAGAAATGGGGTTGCACCATGTTGGCCAGGCTGGTCTTGAACTCCTGACCTCAGGTGATCCACCCACCTCGGCCTCCCAAAGTGCTGGGATTACAGGTGTGAGCCACCACACCCGGCCTAAACTGTTGGTCTTAAGTGTATGTGCTGCTGGGAGCTGAAGTTTGGTTATCCAATCATCCATTCCAGTTTTTCCTTTTTCAAGAATCCATACCATCTTTTAATGGCACCTGCTGCCTGGGGACGATATGGGGCCTGAAAGGTCCAGTGAATGTCCCAGGTGCTGCTCACTGCTGGGTACTTTTTGCTCTGATGACACCATTGTTTGATTGGCTATGTTCAAGGGATCAAAAATGTAACACAGTCCATCTAAGAGTCCTTGCATAGTATGGCACTCATCTACTGTGCAGATGGATATGGTAGTGTCAGATCCTGAAGAGATATCTAGAGTAGGCAAAATAATGGACCCCCAAAGGTGTCCAGGTACTAAACCCTGGAACCTGTGAATATATTGTGTTACATAGCAAGGGACATTAGAGATATAGATGTAGTTAAGGTTGCTAATCAGCTGAATTTGAGACAAGGAAATTATCCTGGATTTCCTGGCTGGGCCCAATGTGATCACAAGGGTTCTTATAAGTGAAAGAAGGAGACAGAAGAATCAGCATCGGAGAGAGTGAAGAAAGGCTGGATCAGCCTGGCTCAGTGGCTCACGCCTGTAATCCCAGCACTTTGGGAGGTTGAGGAGGGCAGATCACTTGAGGTCAGGAGTTTGAGACCAGCCTGGCCAAATGGCGAAACCCTGTCTCTACTAAAAATATAAAAATTAGCTGGGCATGGTGGTGGGCACCTGTAATCCCAGCTACTCGGGAGGCTGAGGCAGGAGAATCACTGAAGCCTGGGGGGCAGGGTTGCAGTGAGCTGAGATCGAGATCATGCCACTGTACTCTAGCCTAGGCGTCAGAGCAAGACTCCATCTCAAAACAAACAAACAAACAAACAAAAGAAGGGCTGGACTGACCACGGCTGGCTTTGGAGATAGAAGGGGACCAGGCACCAAGGAATGTGAGCCGCCTCTAGAAATCTGAAAAGGCAAGAAAATGATTTCTTCCTAGGACCTCCAGAAAGGAATGCAGTCCTACCAACATCTTGATTTTAGCCCAGCAGAGACTCATTTTGTGTTTCTGAACTACAGAACTGTAAGATAATACATTTATGTTGCTCTAAGCCTCTAAGTTTGTGGCAGGTTGCTACAGCCTCTATAGGGTATGGACACAGTGTCTGCTGCAGTCAACGCCCAGCAGTACTCTTACGAAGAGGTCTATGTAGTCCATCGCCAGGACTAACAGGATCCGGTACCCCTAGCTATATGCTCTGAAGTTCACTTTGCCACTCAACTATATGGCTGGCATTTCAGGCATGTTTGCCAGGCTTTCTTGGCCTCAGGTGCTGGAACCACTAGGCCTGGTTTTGGGGCCCAGTCCTGAATTGTACATGAATTACATGTGTGATGGTGTATCCAGGGAGCTATGGTCCTCACCTGGGCAGCGCAGATCTGATTACTTCATTGATTTCACTGATGTTCATCCTTGAAGGGTCCTTTCTGAGGGGCATTCACATGGGTCATGAAGTGGGGGTAGGGGTAACAGGCTACATTGGCCGGGTGGGGTCATGTTAACAAGGACAAGTGCCACAGCCTGCCACTCTGCCCATTGAGCCGAATTCTCTTGCCCATGCACTGTTTGAAACTGTTTTCTTTGGGGCTGCCCAGCAGTAGTGGTCCAGGACACTCCATCATTCATTAAGTAAGTGGATCCATCCATGAGCCAGGCCCAGGCATCTTCAGGAACCTCGTGTACCAAAGCCCCCAGGAAGCCCAAGACGCCAACATAGACCGGCATCTGGGGTAGCCACATCGGAGTGTGACTGGCCACTTTTTCATGTTGCTGTGGGGCACCACTAATGCTCAGTTTACTTCTATTGTTTTCAGCCACACATTTTGTAGTAACCTGTTACAACCACCTTAGGAAACTAATAAAGCCTGTATTACAGAAAGACAAATAGGCCTTCTTTGGCCAACTTTTGCTGAGTTACAAGTTCTGTATCAGGAACATAGAGTTTCTTACTTTGTAAAAGACAGAATTTTCTCCTTGACTGCCAGAGAAATTCAGTGTTGTAAATCCACCTACATTGTTTTAAAATACTTTACTTGGCAAGGAGGTCCTGAGTTTTATTGGGGCTTCTGGGTCGGGGTTGCTCCCACTGGCAGGCAGCCAAGGCCACTAAGAATGAGGACTTTAACTTGCTAGTCAGCAAGACATCATTATAGAGTGAAAATTTTGGACACCAAAAGAATTTTCCAACACTTTATGCACATTCAAAATCCAAACATGTAGCTACTCTGGGCACACTGCCTATAGCCCTGCTCTGCAAGGGGCAGGAAAAAGAAAAAAAAAACAAAACAATTCAAACTTGTAACACATTTCAGCAGCAATGACACATTTTTACAATAGTTCATTACAGTGAATGGGCTGGAGTCTCGTTTGCAAAGTCACTTTATCCTTTTCTCTGCCCTCTTCACTGCAAGTTTTCTGCCTAATATGTTAGGCAGTTTTTTTACAGAAACACAGACCAAGGACTTTTAACACAGGTACTGCAGGAGTTATGCAGTAGCTAGAAGCACACAGAGTAATTTGCACCAGGGAGCACAGCTTTGCACTACTTTTGGTTTTAAGTGACCACTAACTCAGCCTCCAACTCACTTTCAACACCTGGGCACCAATCCTACCTCTAGCCGCTGGACCTCCCAATGTGGATCCAATATATTTTTTGGGTTTTATTTTATTTTATTTTATTTTATTTTTTTATTTCATTTTTTGAGACAGAGTCTCCCTCTGTCACCCAGGCTGGAGTGCAGTGACACGATGGTAGCTGTAGCCTTGACCCTCGGGCTCAAGGAATCCTCCCCACCTCAGCCTCCTGAGTAGCTGGGACTATAGCCATGCACCGCCATGCCCAACTAATCTTCTTTATTTATTTATTTATTTATTTATTTATTTATTTTTGAGACGGAGTCTCGCTTTGTCACCCAGGCTGGAGTGCAGTGGCGTGATCTCGGCTCACTGCAAGCTCCGCCTCCCGGGTTCACGCCATTCTCCTGCCTCAGCCTCCCGAGTAGGTGGGACTACAGGCGCCCACCACCACGCCCGGCTAATTTTTTTGTATTTTTAGTAGAGTCGGGGTTTCACCATGTTAGCCAGGATGGTCTCGATCTCCTGACCTCGTGATCCACCTACCTCGGCCTCCCAAAGTGCTGGGATTACAGGCGTGAGCCACCACGCCCCGCCTAATCTTTTTAATTTTTATAGAGACAAGGTCTCACTATGGTGCCCAGACTGGCCTTGAACTCCTGGGCTCAAGTGATCTTCCTCCTCAGCCTCTCAAAGTGCGGGGATGACAGGTGTGAGCCACCACCCTGGCCTGCCTCCCAATGTTTATCAACAGGTGGCATGAGCTGCCAGCTCCCTGGAAGTCCCATCCCCTAACTGGATCCATGCAGCCCCTGAACAAGTAGGAGAGTGGGAAGATCCTACTCCTTCTTTCTCACCTGCCACTCAGGTGAAGGCCATGCTAGCAGATAGTGGGGCACACAAATCATCCCCTTATATTATCTCACGAAGCCTCAAGTCATCTTTTTTTATATTTTTTTATTTTTTTAATTTTATAAAGTAGAGACAAGATCTCTACTACTGAGCTCGAGCCATCCTCCTGCTCTAGCTGGGATTACAGGTGTGACCCACCACACTCAGCTTCGAGTTGTCTCTTAAGGGCACTGTAACTTTACAGTCCCCCCCACTGGGTGGCAAATTTGTCAAACTCCTGAGTACAAGATGAGGCAAGGCCAAGATCTGACTGATTTGACCAGTAAAGATACAATGAGGCCGGGCGCGGTGGTTGATGCCTGTAATCCCAACACTTTGGGAGGCCGAGGCAGGCGGATCATGAGGTCAGGAGTTCAAGACCAGCCTGGCCAACATGGTGAAACCCCGTCTCTACAAAAATACAAAAATTAGCCGGGCGCGGTGGTGGGCGCCTGTAATCCCACCTACTTGGGAGGTTGAGGCAGGAGAATTGCTTGAACCCAGGAGGCAGAGGTTGCAGTGAGCCGAGATCCTGCCATTGCACTCCAGCCTAGGTGACAGAGCAAGAACCCATCTCAGAAAAAAAAAAGATACGAGTCACTCTTAGATTTGACACGTTAGTACTTACACCAGTGGTGAAAAGAAGGAAAAGCCAAAGCAGGCATGCTCCCATGATCCTGTCCCACGAAGTATGGAACACCCTACTGAGGAGGAGCCAAGCTGAGGCTGCAGCTCTGTGGTTTGGTATCCTACGCTCTACTCTGAGGAAGGGATGGGGCAGACTGAGTAATCAGAATCCAGGAGTCATGAAAAAGAGTTTCATGACAGTTTTCTGGGAGAGAGAGGCAGGTGGGAGATGACCTCATAGTAGCCCTTTACAAGCCTGCAGTCCCCTCGTGTTCTGGGAGGATCACAAGGCATTCTGCCAAAACTCAGGGAGGCTGTGTCTCGAGCCTTTGCCTGCATGAATACATGCGAGGTCGCCATGGTGCCATGGCAGAGTTATTCCCCTACTAGAAAATAGAACGAACAGAACAAAGATCCCTGCCTGCATGGAGGTTAGATTCTAGAGGGATGGCAGAGAGCAAATAAGTTAGAAGCCAGAATGGTGGCTTTGGTGGAGACGGGAAAGAGATGAGCATGAGGGGCTTTCAGGGGTGCTGGTGATGTCCTCTTTCTTCATCTGGGTGTTGGTGATAGGGGTACATTTTCAGTTTGCGAATTCCTTGATTAATTCACTTATGATTTGTGCACTTTTCTGTATGTGTGCTATACTTAAATTCAAAAGGTAAAATAAATATATAATGAAGTACAGATTAAATAAGGAAAGTATACAGTATGTCAGATAGTGGTAAATTAGAGAATTTTCTTTTTTTTTTTTTTTTTTTTGAGACGGAGTCTTGCTGTGTCACCCAGGCTGGAGTACAGTAGCACGATCTCAGCTCACTGCAACCTCCACCTCCCGGGTTCAAGCAATTCTCCTGCCTTGGACTCCCAAGTAGCTGGAACTACAGGTGCGTGCCACCACACCCGGCTAATTTTTTTGTATTTTTAGTAGAGACGGGGTTTCACTGTGTTATCCAGGATGGTCTCGATCTCCTGACCTCGTGATCCACTCCCCCCTCGGCCTCCCAAAGTGTTGGGATTACAGGCGTGAGCCACCACGCCTGGCCAATTAGAGAATTTTCTGTAGAGAAAAATTAAAGCTGAAAAAGGGGAGAGAGCATGTTGAGTTTGGGAAAGAGGTTGCAAGACCGCTTGATGGTCATAGAAGGTGTCTCTGAGCTCTCAGGTGACATTTCAACAAAAACCAGAGGCTGGCCACCGTGCCCTTCCTATCACCCCCAGGTTCCATCTCAGGCCTCCTGTTACCCTCTGCCTTGCTTTTCCATTCCAAATAGCTGACCTCTTTTCATTTGCTTTCTAAATCCCTTATTTAAAAAAAAAAAATCGGACACGCTCCTGTAGTCCCAGCTACTAAGGAGGCTGAGATGAGAGGATCACCTGAGCCCAGGAGGCAGAGATTGCAGTGAGCCCAGATCGTGCCACTGCACTCCAGCCCGAGCGGCAGAGAGACACTGTCTCAAAAAAAAAAAAAAAAAAAAAAAAAAAAAAAAAAAAGCTATCTATATATCTCCATCATCAGCACACTCACACACCCCTTGGTTGCTTCCTCCAGCTTCACGGTGCTAATATTTCTAGACTTACCTCTTTATTTCTACATTATAATGGATAAAACTTTTATTTCATGTTTGGTCTCAGTTAATTCTGTTAAGACAACAAACTCTCATATATCTCTTGCAGTATCTCCTTGTCTTGTCTTGTCTCACCTCTTTTTAAAATATTTCGTCCAAAACTGCTTATTTGCTTGTAACACCTTGCAGGACAAAATTTCTGAAGCCTTGCATTCCTGGGGATCTTATTATCAGGTATATTTAAGTAGTTTGGCTGGATGTAAAAAATCTAGATTTTTAAGTTATTGTGCTTCAATATTTTTAAAACTTCGTTACTTCTCCAATATCTTCTTGTACCTAGTATTGCTGTTAAAAAATATAATACTGGTCTGGTTCTTATTTCTTTTTTTTTTTTTTTTTTTTTTTTTTGAGACAGAGTCTCACTCTGTCTCCCAGGCTGGAGTGCAGTGGCGCAATCTCAGCTCACTGCAACCTCTGCCTTTCGGGTTCAAACGATTCTCCTGCCTCAGCCTCCCGAGTAGCTGGGACTACAGGTGCCCACCACCATGCCCAGCTTATTTTTGTATTTTTAGTAGAGACGGGGTTTCACCACATTGGCCAGGCTGGTCTCAAACTCCTGACCTCGTGATCCGCCCGCCTCACCCTCCCAAAGTGCTGGGATTACAGGTGTGAGCCACCGTGCTCAGCCTGATTCTTACTTCTTTTTTTTTTTTTTTTTTTTTTTTGAGACGGAGTCTCGCTCTGTTGCCCAGGCTGGAGTGCAATGGCGCGATCTCAACTCACTGCAACCTCTGCCTCTCCGGTTCAAGCGGTTCTCCTGCCTCCTGAGTAGCTTGGACTACAGGCACCCGCCACCACACCTGGCTTTTGTATTTTTAGTAGAGACGGGGTTTCACCATATTGGCCAGGCTGGTCTCGAACTCCTGACCTTGTGATACACCCACCTCAGCCTCCCGCTGGGATTACAGGTGTAAACCACCGCGCCCAGCCTCTTATTTCTTTATAAGCAATTTGCTTAGAATTTTCTCTTTGGCTTTGATCTACTTAAATATCACTAGAATATATGTAGGTGTGAGATTTTCCAACTCTGTCGGCTTTGGCAAGCTATGGGCCCTTTCAATCTGAGGTTTGACAAGTTTTTGAATTCTCAGAAATTAATCTCTATTGTTTTTCTTTAATATTTCCCCCTCTATTTCTCTCTCTCTTAACACAAGCGTCTGGATGTTAGCACTTCTACAACTAGCCTTTGTATTTCTTAGGTCTTCTTTTCTATTTTGTATTACTTTGCTCTTCTGCTCTGTTTTTATTCTGGGAGATTTCATTGCTGTGGTCTTCTAAATCTTTTTTTTTTTTTTTTTTTTTTTTTTAATGGAGACTTGCTCTGTCACCTAGGCTAGAGTACACTGGCTTGATCTTGGCTCACTGCAACTTCTGCCCCCCTGGTTCAAGTGATTCTCCTGCCTCAGCCTCCAGAGTAGCTGGGACTACAGGCGCACACCACCACACCCGGCTAATTTTTGCATTTTTGGTAGAGATGAGGTTTCACCATGTTGGCCAGGCTGGTCTCAAACTCCTGACCTCAGATGACCCACTGCCTCTGCCTCCCAAAGTGCTGAGATTACAGGCATGATCCACTGTGCCTGACCCACTTATAACTTTTTCTTTTTTTGAGACATAGTCTCTCTGTTGCCCAGGCTGTAATGCGGTGGTGCAGTCTTGGCTCACTGCAAGCTCCGTCCTCCGGTTCATGCCATTCTCCTACCTCAGCCTCCCAGGTAGCTGGGACTACAGGCGCCCGCCACTACACCCAGCTGTTTTTTGTTTTTGGCAGAGACGGGGTTTCACCGTGTCAGCCAGGATGGTCTGGATCTCCTGACCTCGTGATCCGCCTGCCTCAGCCTCCCAAAGTGCTGGGATTACAGGCCTGAGTCACCGCGCCCGGCAAACCACTTATAACTTTTTAAACTGTTGTTGTTGTTGTTGTTGTGTGTGTTTGGTTTTTTGAAACAGATTCTCCTTCTTGTGCCCAAGTTGGAGTGCAATGGTGCGATCTCAGCTCACTGCAACCTCCACCTCCCAGTTCAAGTGATTCTCCTGCCTCAGCCTCCTGAGTAGCTGGGATTACAGGCATGCACCACCACGCCTGGCTGATTTTGTATTTTTAGTAGAGACGGGGTTTCTCCATGTTTGTCAGGCTGGTCTCGAACTCCCTACCTCAGGTGATCCGCCCGCCTTGGCCTCCCAAAGTGCTGGGATTACAGGCATGAGCCACTACACCTGGCCTTGTTTTTCTTTAGGATATTTATATTTAAGTGACCCCTTTACTAACTTGTATTAATTATAAGTTTATTAAGGGCTGGATACGGTGGCTCACACCTGTAATCTCAGCACTTTGGGAGGCCGAGGTGGGTGGATCACCTGAGGTCAGGGGTTCAAGACCAGCCTGACCAACATGGTGAAACCCCGTCTCTACTAAAAATACAAAAATTAGCTAGGCATATTGGCAGGTGCCTGTAATCCCAGCTACTTGGGAGGCTGAGGCAGAATCACTTGAACCCAGGAGGCAGAGGTTGTGGTGAGCCGAGATAGCGCCATTGCACTCCCACCTGCAAAAGAACGAAACTCCATCTCAAAAAAAAAAAAAAGTTTTAACTTTTTGGACTTCCTGAAAATGCAGTATTAATTGCAAATAATGACTATGCTTTTTATATTAATACTTCTTTTTTTTCCATTTAGTATCTTACTGTATTGTCCTGCCCATAAACTTCAAAATATAGTTATGTAGTATCTTTGGGGTTTTGTTCTTGATCTTAATGGATCAGTTCAGTAGTCAGCAGGAAGTATATTTGGACTGATGATTTGAATTAAGAGTATCTTTTTTTTTTTTTTTTTTTTTTTTTTTTTTTTTTTGAGACGGAGTCTCGCTCTGTCGCCCAGGCCGGACTGCGGACTGCAGTGGCGCAATCTCGGCTCACTGCAAGCTCCGCTTCCCAGGTTCACGCCATTCTCCTGCCTCAGCCTCCCGAGTAGCTGGGACTACAGGCGCCCGCCACCGCGCCCGGCTAATTTTTTGTATTTTTAGTAGAGACGGGGTTTCACCTTGTTAGCCAGGATGGTCTCGATCTCCTGACCTCATGATCCACCCGCCTCGGCCTCCCAAAGTGCTGGGATTACAGGCGTGAGCCACCGCGCCCGGCCTAATGAATTAAGAGTATCTTAATCATGTTATTAAAATATTTATTTAGGGCAGGCGTGGTGGCTCACACCTGTAATCCCAGCATTTTGGGAAGCCAAGGCAGGTGGATCACTTGAGGCCAGGAGTTTTGAGATCAGACTGGCCAACATGGCGAAAACTCATTCCACAAAAAAAAAAAATTAGCCAGGTGGCCAGGCACGGTGGCTCACGCCTATAATCCCAGCACTTTAGGAGGCCAAGGCAGGCGGATCACAAGGTCAGGAGTTCAAGACCAGCCTGGCCAATATGGCGAAACCCCATCTCTACTAAAAATACAAAAATTAGCCAGGCATGGTGGCAGGTGCCTGTAGTCCCAGGTACTCGGGAGGCTGAGGCAGGAGAATCTCTTGAACCCAGGAGGTGAAGGCCGCAGCCAGCCAAGATCGCACCACTGCACTCCACAGCCTGGGTGACACAGCGAGTCTGTCTTAAGAAAAAAAAAAAAAATTGCCAGGCATGGTGACACATGCCTGTAGTCTCAGCTACTTGGGAGGCTGAGGCAGGAGAAATCACTTGAACCGGGAGGTGGAGGTTGCAGTGAGCCAAAATCACACCAGTGCACTCCAGCCTGGGTGACAGAGTGATACCCTCAAAAAACAAACAAACAAAAAACCCCAAATTGGGGGAAAAAAAAATGGAGAGGGCAGGGTCAGAATAGACCTTTCCCTTTACAGGAAACCCAGAAACACAAGTCACTTACATGTTTTTTTCTTAGGGTAGGTGTTAGGAAGAGTGACACACCCTCGTCACTTCTTGGACAGCTACTTCTCTGCAGTGATGTCCCAACATCTTCTTTAATGCTGGAGTCCTCATTCCAAACACCTGACCTGCCCCCCTCCCAATATGCAAAGCTAATTAAGAGCAGGGCACCATTTAAAAACCACTCCTCTGTACATTTAAGAAAAATGCCTACTTTGCATTTGGATGACTCAGGTCCCTGAGAACCAGGGCTCCCATGCTGAGGCTGAGCATCTCAGCTCCCAGACCCAAAAACCCTGAGACACAGACATACTTGTCTTTCAATATAAGTTTCCTTTTATTTTGAAATTGAAACAGCAAAATGAAGTGGTTTGTGGCTGAAACAACCTTCACGGGAAAGAAAACTGGAGTGTTCGTTCATCCATCAAAGAACAAACTCCAACGTGTGAGCCAGCTGCCCCACCTCCCCCAAAGCAATGAACAGATTAAAGGATGGGAGGAAGGATACAATCAAAATCGGGTGGTGATGGCTGGCAGATTTCCAGTAAAATACAATTTTCAAAGTTGCCGCAATTACAGAATAAGCTAGCACTCATATTTAAAAAAAAAAAAAAAAAAAAAACTGTCCCAAGCAGTAGGCCTCCAGCTCTTCCCAATTTGCACTCATCAAAATACATCGTTCCCTCTTCTGAGTAAGTGATGTTTCAGAACTGCTTACAAATCCACTTTGCCTCAGGGGAGGAAGCTCTTTTGATTCACTCTGGTTTTGGGGACCAGGATCAAGATCCTGGAGAAAAGGGAGACTCCAAATGGTGATAGAGGACGTTTATTCATTATGGTAACACATAATCTGCTGAAATTCATTTTGAACGTGCTTTTACATAGCAGTGGCTAACATAAAATCTGCACAGAAATGTTACAAGTGGCTCCCCAGCCCCCACAGCCGGGAAGTGCCAGTCAAGATTTAAGCATCCCCAAAACAAAGCCTTTATTCCTGGGGGAGCTTATTGGCAGGGGAGGGGGGACAGGGGTGACTGAAGTCAGCTGGCTGGGAGGGGAGAAGGGAGAGAAGCACAGGAAGGACTCACTGGCAGGAATAGGGTGGGGGATGGGGTGAGACAGGCCAGGGGCAGACTGTGAAAGCTGTTACCTGTTGGAATAGCTAGCACGTTATCTTAAACAAGTGAAGAAAATCGCCAAAGAGTGAAACTTATTTATGGGGGAAAAAAAAGCTTGGGAAATTAAAACAATCCAGTGGTCACTGGAAAATGTCTCCCTTTTAAAAAAAAATTTTTTTTTTTGGTTTTTTTTTTTTTAATTTTATTTTTTGGAAAGTATTCTCAAGGTAATATTTTTTTCCTTTGGAAAAAGAAATCTTTTTCCCCCCCTAACCTAAGCAAGTGGAGCTGCCACTACCTAATTTATCTATTGTTTTGCTAAGAGGTAGATAAAACAAAAGTGAAATGGGGCTTCTATGAGGAGGTCCATTAGAGGGTGGGTGGGGAGGGGCTGGGATCGCCCAGTGGAACTCCCCCAACTACAAAGACGGCCTGAATGAGTCCAAGGACCGCGCCCTCAGACTCCCCCAGGGCAAAGGATCCTGCTTCACCTCTTCTCCTTCTAGAGCCAACTGGGCCCCCATTGAAGACTGAAAAAGGGCCCAATGGAGGTGTAGGATCTCAAAGAAACCCTGTTGAAGAGGTCTCAGCTCTGGTTTCCCCAGGCTTCCTGACTTTGGGGCTGTGTGGTGGGTTCCAGGCCAAGCCCCAGGTCTCACTCCAGCCAGCCCCCTCTAGAAGGGAAGAGGCCATTCCTTTCCTCACCATCTGGTCCAACAAAGCTATAGAAAGTGAGAGAGGGACAAGCTGGAGGCCAAAGGGGTGACACATGGGCAAGGAAAGCAGAAAGTGGGGACCTCATGGCCAGCCCTCCCAGCCCAATCGATATGGGGGGGATCCTGGCAGGCCTGCCTGTTCCCCAAGGACAAACCTTTTGTGGCACAAGCCTCAACTCACTTGTCCTGGCTGGGATTCATACCCTTATGCATGAGTCCCTGCCCTTAGTTCCAATCTTACTGTAAGGATTGAGGTAGTTAATCCATTTATACTCGTAGCATCCATCACCTGCGGTTAATCAAAACACATGCTCCCGAGGAGCTTCCTGCTATTTCATTCAAGAAAAAAAATTTTTTTTCTTTTGTCCATCCGGAGTCAACCATACTAAGGCGCCAGCAAAGGCGCCATCAGACTGTGCCCCAAAGCGGTGCACAGGACCGAGGGTCAGGGCTGGGGCTCTCGCCCCTAAATCCCCCTTCAGACATGAGGCCTCCTCCCTGTCCCGTACCCCGATAGAGAAGCCTTATGTATCCAAAGGAAAGAAACTGCAGTTTTCAGCTGGTGTTACTCTAAGTCTGAATACAGAGAAATGTTCTGCATCTAAATTGTCGAGTATTTGGAAGGGAAATGGCTTTTATGTCCCCTGGCATTGATGAGGATTTTTCTTCAATCTTCCTGCAATTACTGTGACAGGCTGTGCTGTTTCCCTTCTACTGGTTTTCAAGAAACAGGCAAACAGTCGAGTGGTTTGAATGGCAAAGCCACTAGGATCTCCCCATAAACACTTCAGGGGAAAGAAAGGAGAACCCCCACCCCTGATGAGAGGTGGGAGGAAGGGGTTGCCTAGAGGCACCAGCTTCTCCTGTGGAGCAAGAAGGCTCAAGCAGGCCCTCTGGGGCTCTGTGAGGTAGTTACTAGCACTGCTGGTTCCCAGTTTGGCAGAGGGTATGTCTGGGTTGGGAGGAGGGGAAGGCACCCTTGAGAGCTAACTGAGGCCCCTCCTCACTGCCCGTCTGCCAGGCCTGAAGGGAACTCGGCAGTGCTATCTCTGCAGTAGGGGCAGGGGACAGAGCAGTCCCACAACAGGGAGCTACCTGGAGCCCCAAACTTCCTCTCCTTCCCCAAAGTGCAACCAGGAGCCGACAGACCAATTTCTCGGCTCCCTACCCCTTGGCTTGGCAAACACCACACCCTAATCCCCCAGGAGCCTCTGAAGGGAAGGGCCTCGCCCTTAGCTCCCAGTTTCCAGGAGGCCTTCCTCCTCAGACAGCCAGGTATGTGTCGAAAGCTGGCTATTGCTTTGATTCAGGAACAGCCTCTCTCAGCCTCTGTCTGTCTGTCTTTGGCACAGAGGAAAATGGACACAGAACCAACTAGAGCATCCCCCTCCAGTGTTCTCTGGGTTTTAAATGGGGTCTTTTCTGCCAATAGTGAGGCATAAACAAGGATAGCTCCCAACTGCCTCCAGAAGGAGGGGGTCAGGAAAAAGGAAAAAAGATTGATAAGGACTGGGAGGAGGGGAGGAAAGTAGAAAAGGGCTATAAAACTCCCTGTCCTTAAAAATGGCTCTCTCCTAACCAGACCCCTCACAGGAGCTGAGTCCACAACCCAAACTGCAAAAGGCAACCAGACCCGAGAGGGGATTAAAGCCATTTGGGGTGTAACTGGCAGATGCAGCTTCAAAGTCAGTCAGTGAATCAAACCATTTTGGTTATGTGTTTCAAAGAATTTAAAAATATATCCTAAAGAGATGGTCCTTTCTTAAAAATATATATGTAGCACACACACACACATATATATCTTAGAGCACAGAAGCATTTTTTTTAAGTCACTCTTCTCAAATCATCCAAATCTCCCAAGTGCTTTTCGCGATAGCTTGTTATCTCACCAAGGATGGGGAAATGGAGGTGCTGAGCAGGAGGGCAAGGAGTTGCCCTAAGACCTAGCCTACGGGGCACAAGAGGGCCCGGCCCACCAAGACAGGTCCTTCATCCCACTAAACCTTAACCACCAAACCATGCTCCTTTTGCTTTCTGGTGGTATAACTTACATGATTTTCCTGCTGGGCAAATATCAACAATGAGTGGAGCCTTGCCTAATCCAAGCAAGTGAAGTTTTCCAGTCCCTTGCCACACACTTCCTCGTCTCTTCTGGGAGCTGAATCAGCCAACGGAAAAGGACTTGGGCTCAAGGTGTGAAGGGAGCAGGCCCCCAAGGAAACTGAACACTGCAACAATCACATTTCAGGTACTGTGGGATTTTTTTTTCTTCCTGATGATAGTCTGAACCAGATATCAAAGCATGCTTGCTGCTGGAAATTCGCTTTAAATTACTAAATGGCCGACGTCTGAACGTTATCTGCTTTGTTTTGGGATAAAGCATATAGAGCCAGAGATGGAAAGCTGGGAGACCCTTTTTATGGTTGGGACAGGTGGAGAGGCTTAATTCTACTGGCCTGATGTTATCCCTAAATGTTTTTCTGCTTCTATTCAATTTGGGCCAGACAATTCTGGGGGCTACAAGGGAATGTCCTAGGGAGAAAATGATAAGGCAGGAACCTGTCCCAGTCACGTCCCCATATCCCCTGCCCCTCCTTGCCACCAGCCACCCTAAATCAAGAATTCCCTAAGTTTGGGTCCACTTTTAAAATCAATCAGACCGATCTAAAGAAGACAGGGAGACAGAGGTGGGGGCAGTTAACTAGTATCTGTTTGCCCCTTAGATCTATGGATATAGATTAGGAAGAATAGCAAGACGGAACTGAAATGAAACAATAACAAAAAAAAAAAATGAAAAGCATTGCAATGACAAACCAGGTGGACCTCTCTGAGGGCGAGAGGGTGGCCTTGTCTTTTTTCCACGAACGGAATCTCAGCTCCCATATTTTTAGACAGAGAAATATAGGTTTTTTTAAAGGGTATATTTTTTAGTTATTATTTCTCTCCTCGATAAAACGGAGGCAATATTTTAAAATATCTCAACAGCACCACTGGTGGGAAAAGCTGGCTGAGATGCTCTTTAACCAAAGGAGGAAAGAGAGGAGACCAAGGGCCAGCTGGTTGGTTGTTGGGCATTGTTTAACCACTGAGAGCCCCCAGCTCCACTAGGCCTTTTAATCCTATCAGGTAGGATATTCCAGCAGCCGCCAGCAGCTGGGGCTCTAGAAGTCAGAGATCAGGGCCAAACAAGGCTCTGGGCTCTGCCCCTCTGGGCTCTCTCAAACCTGGGCCTTCCCTCTTAGCACTAGCCTCCTCCTAAGGGGGCAGCCCCCAAAGCCTTTCCCACCAGGCCTGTTCTCCATAGAGAGTTCCTAAAGGGTTACTGGCTCATGTTGTAAGAAATTATGAAACATAACTTTCTTGTTTTTTCTTTTCATTAAAAAAATAAAATATTCAAGACTATCAGCTTCTCTTTTGCTTTGCTTTTCTTTTTTATATAAAATATCAGCAAGCTGCAAAAAAACAAAAATCAAAAAAAAATTTTTTTAATGGGGTTGGGGGGAACAAAAAGGAAAATAATTGCTGAGGTAACTTCATACCTTGAGGTAGTTTACTTCGCACACAGCATTGCCTGACTACGCCCACATGTTGCGGTTGTCTTGTTGTTACTGTTGTTGCAATGTTGAAAGGAGGGGAACTCCACGCATGGGCTTTTCCATATGTAGAGAGGCCTTCCTCCCTTCCCAGCACACTTGATAGCATTGTCCAGGGTAGCTAAAGTGCATTACCTGGCTAATATGCATTGTCAATCAGTATATTAGGAGGAGAGGCCTAACCTCATTTAACTGATGGCTTCTGTCTCCCACAAGGGCTAAACACTCCATGGGATCTTAATTAAGCCTGGTAAATTAATAAATTAAGCTTATTTACCCCTTGCTGTACAATGCTGCTGGTATTCTGAATTGTTTTTTAGACACACCTTTCATCATGCTGATAATGATTCATGGAGACAGAAGCCGTCAGTTAAAAATTCCTCTCAGATACAAACAGAAGCAAGTACTCTCCAATTTACTGAATTTGCCAGATGATGGACTTTAGCTTTATCGGGAGCTCAGGGTTGGGTTCCAAGTCCCACCACCAAGGTAACAGTGCCGTGGCTGGGAGTGCCCCACAACCCCTGCCTCTAGGAACCAGCCCTTATGGGAGCACATGGGCTGGGGTGAGGGCACCGTGGCAGCCTTTGGGGCCACTCAAGTCCTCCATGGAACCGAGACTTTATCAAGGGGAGTTAGCGTCCCCTTCCCAGTGCTCATATCCAATCATTAAAATAGACTTTAAAAAAATATAAAATCCGCCTGAGAACGATGGGAATCAGGGACAGTGGTCAGCCCCTACCCTGCTGAGCATTCAATACCACCTATGTGCACCTGGACATAATGTGAAACCTACACGGGAGAGGGACATGAATGTGGTGGGGAAGCCCCAACAGAGTGGGGAAATTTCAGTTGTGCCAATTTGAAGATGGTGATCTGGCATAGATCAGCCACAAGTGCGCTCCTTTTAAACGTGGATTATTATGTATTTTAACCATCTTTCTCCCCATTTTCCCCTCTTCTTCATTCCGTATTGTACCTATTGGTTAGGGAGTGATTGGAATTAATCTACAGATACTGACAGTTCTTTTCCCTTGAGTCAATACTGTAAGCAAAGCAATGCATTCGTTCGCATTTTTTTCTGGTAGCAATAAAGATAAAAAAATTAGTGTAAATATAGAAAGAGGCCGTAAATGGAGGTATTTTAATCAATTACCCAAGTAGGGGGAAGAAGATTGGAAAAACATTAAGGTCAAGAAATGAACCATCCTTTAAGGCTGATTAAAACACCTCTCTGCATGTTTTTAAAACCTGAAGGAAATTTTATTTTTCTTCCCACTGAGGTGTGATCCACCCTCTTGGTGGGGCCTGGAGAGCTTCTTTAAACAATCCACGTTTAAAAGTGCCTTGCGCTAGAATTTCTGACACCCCGAGGGGCAGACAGTGTTGGGCCAATTGGGTGGGTGTTTGGGGCTGAGAGATCAGGGTTCCTCACTGGAACATCTTTCTCAATCAAGTGGGCAAACCTGATCTACAGCCCGGCCCAGGTGTCCCGGATTCCCACTCATTCTCAGGCCTGCCGGGGAGAGCACACTCTCGATTTCTGCCCGTTGTTGTCCTGGACTCGAAGGGACAGGGAGGGGCTGGTCACTTCCTCCGTGCCTGGGCCTGGTTACTCTGTCCCTTCTGATGCTGCTGCTTAACCTGGGCCAGGATGTCTCGGATCTTCCGTTGAGCCATCTGCAGCAAGAACAGGCAAGAGAGTGGGTGTGAGACCTCCAAGGAGACAGCCTTCCACGGAAGAGAGGTCATCAGGTCCAGACACAGGCAATAAACAGAACAGGTCACACAGGACTCAGAAGAAAGATAAAGAGGAAGAATGAGGGTTGGGGTGACCTTACATTTCTTTGCCTCCAGTGGAGCCTGAGTATCCCCTGGAAAATACAGCAAACGTGGTGGGTGTTAAGTGGGAGATGGGGTTGGGGGACTTGAAGGAAGGAGAAACAGTAGTATCAATCCATTCATCAGAATTTAAAACTTGACAAAGTTGATAAACATTACCAAACGCAAAACAGAATGCCTAGAGTTTCTAGGCAGAAATATATTACATATTGCAGAGCAGTGGTCCCCAACTGTTCTGGCACCAGGAACTGGTTTCATGGAAAACAATTTTTCTTCCACGGATGGAGGTGGGGGTGGGGAAGTGGTTTCAGGATGAAACCTCAAATCAGCATGCAGTAGATTCTCATAAGGAGTGTGCAACCTAGATCCTTCACATGCACTGCGCATCCCTCGAGCACTTCACAACAGGGTTAGCCCTCCCATGAGAATCTAATGCCGCCCTGATCTGACAGGAAGCGGGGCTCAGGAGGTAATGCCCACTCGTCTGCCGCTCACCTCCTGCTGTGTGGCCCGGTACCAGTCCGTGGCCCGGGGTTTGGGGACTCCTGTTGTAGAGGGTCGTAACTTAGAAGACATCATCACAAATCCACGCTTCATTTTAATACCCCAGGAAAAGGAATAATATGTCTAGATATGGCCAGGTGCACGGTGGCTCATGCCTGTAATCCTAGCGCTTTGGGGAGCTGAGGCGGGTGAATCACCTGAGGTCAGGAGTTCGAGAGCAGACTGGCCAACACGGTGAAACCCCATCTTTATTAAAAATACAAAAATTAGCCGAGCGTGGTGACGTGCGCCTGTAATCCCAGCTACTTGAGTGGCTGAGGCAGGAGAATCACTAGAACAGGGGAGGCGGAAGTTGCAGTGAACTAAGATTGTGCCACTGCACTCCACCCTGGACAACACAGCGAGACTCCATCTCAAAAAAAAAAAAAAGTAAAAATAAAAAATAAAGTCCAGATATGGGTTAGTCAAAAAGCATAAATACATAAGCTTCACTGTAAAAATGGACAAAATACCCAATCTTTTATTATTTCCTTCTTAAAAGGTTCTTCCCTAAGAATAAAGTTTTATAAAGGAAATAAACTGCAAAATGGGATTCACTTCATAGAATGAAGACCAGAATGTCTCCTTTCCATAAATGAGTGCTTCCTTTCCTGGTTAAAGAAGCAGCTGAGGCTGGGCATTGTGGCTCATGCCTGTAATCCCAGCACTTTGGGAGGCTGAAGCAGTGACATCACTTGAGCCTAGGAGTTTGAAACCAGCCTGGGCCACATGGTGAAACCTCATCACTACAAAAAAATACAAAAATTAGCTGAGCGTGGTGGTACCTGCCTGTAGTCCCAGCTACTTGGGGGGCCTGAGGTGGGAGGATCACTTGAGCCTGGGAGGTAGAGGCTGCAGTGAGCTGTGGTCACACCACTGCCCTCCAGCCTGGATGGCAGAGCGAGACCCTGTCACAAAAAAAAAAAAAAAAAGAGGAAGTTGATCTAGGTTGGGAAAATAATGTGTAAGTCAATAAGAGGTCCAACTCCATCAACCCTGGCTTGATGTTTTACATAGCTTTTCATTTAATTCTCATTCTGATCAGCTAAAATTGCTTCAGTGTTTAATATTAATATATCCTGGCTTTATGCATCTTTGGAGGTATCCTTTACTCTCTTTAAAAAAAAAACGCTGAATTAAAGATTCACATTTACCCTCTTAAGCTTCATTTATAAAATGAAATTGTTGTGGGAATTAAATGAGTTAATATACATAAGCCACATAAAACAGTGCTGGGTATACAAAGGCATCGATAAATCTTAGATATTATTATTATTATGGCTCTTATTAATACTTTTTTGTTATTTTATATATATATATAGTTGAGATGTAACTAAAGCCTCTTGTTAATACTTCTCAAAGGGTTATCAGAGAAAGTTACTTATCCAAGGTCACATAGCAGAAAGGCTATGTATGTGAAGTTTGAGGTCAAAGCTCCCTGGATCCAAAACCTTCATACTTGATGCTATACTATATGGGCACTGGAAGCCAAAAAACCAAGAGCCAGTTTGCCCCAATTGCTCTAGCAGCCCCAGCAGACCACAAGCCTGCTAAGATCTGGATATCTTCTATGAATTGTAGGAACTGTGATCAACAGTCTCCAAAGTTCCTTTCCAGTTCTAACAATGATGGATTTAAGACTTTAGGAAAACACCATTAGCTGCCAACCACCTGTTTGCTTGCCTTGCTGAGGTTCAGCAAAATTTGAACCTGATATTGGCCTTCCCTTCCATGCTCTGGAGCCTGTCCGAGTGCTGAACGGCAATGATGAGTTCTGGGAAAGGAATGGGAGGGTGGAAGAGCAGAAACCAGGGAGAGAACAGCCATTCTGCGAAAGGCAGAGGGACTACATTTCAAAAATGCCATCAATCCAGGGTGTTAGTACTGTTATCATTATTCCATGAACAAAACTAATCTTCTTTCTTAACCAGTGCAGAAAGGGGTTAGGGAGGGACTAACGTAGAACATATATATATATATTTACATATAATATATATTCATATATATGTTATTTATATATATAATGTTATACACAATATATGTACATTAAACTTGTCAAATCACTTTTCCTAGAGAGTAATAAGAGGTAATATGTCATCTACACATCCCACTTCTGCACCTGAAAGAGGGCAATAACCTAGCCTAGAGGCAGGCAGATGTGGCTGAGGCCCCAGGACTTGTCAACGTCATGAAGGTCAACCTCTATAGAGTCTCTGCTTCTCTGCTCCCTGGGCTCCTGCAGCCCTCCCTCAATGGGGGAGCACCATATGTACCTGACTGGCATAGAAATGTCCGATGATTTTCACGATGACCTGGTCGTTCTCATCAGGGGTCTGGTCTCTTGGTACTACCACCTCAGCTGCCGTCAAATTCTGCAACTCGTTCACCTGGGGGTGGCCAGAGAGGAGCTCAGGGTGCCATCAAGAAAGCATGGGTGGGGTTGGAGGGAGGAGCCAGGGTGACTAGTGGGGAGAACCTGGAAGAGTCAGGACCTGAGCTTGGGGAGTAGAATCAAGTAAATGAGCAAATCAGGAGTCCTGAGGTTGAGCAGTACAGGAGACCAGAGAGAGCTGCTGAGATTGGAGACCAAGGCCCAGGGCTTTCAACCTGGCCCTCACAGCTCACCGTTTTTCCACCTTTGCCAATGACCCGGCCAGCTGCTGATGCTGGCACACGTATGTGGGTCTCCAGCTTCACTTCCTCCTTGGGACCAAAGAAGTTCTCCTCCTTGAGTTTGCCATAGATTCTTCCCTGAGCCTGAGAAGAGGAGGTAATTGTTAATCAGTGGTTCATATATCTGTGACAAAAGAGAAAAGTGGGAAAAAGGAAGCTCCAGCCCATATTTTCTGGCCCACAGGCCCTCCCCATCCTAGGCGGGCTAACCATCTAAGGCAGGTGAAGGGCAAGGCTCAGGTGGGCAGCTTGTCAGCATTCCTTCTGCTTAGCTATCATACTGGAGACCCTGGGTGGAGATTATGAGTTATGAGTAATTGAATAAACACTTCCCAAGGGAAAAAATAGTTCCCAGAGGAATCTAATTCACAAGCTACAAACCAGACCTATGGAATCTGGACGTGGCACTGACCAGCATTTCAAGGCCCTGAATGGCAACTAATCAAGTCACACAGAGGGCAGGCCTGTCTGACTCTCCAGTGGCCCAGAGAGCTGTCCCAGTCCTCTATCCTCACATATGTTAGGTTAAGCTAGTTGATGGTTCATTTTTTGGCTGTCTGATCAGAAGTTCAAGAACCTTAGGATTTAGTGGGGACATAAAAGATGAGAATTTGGCATTAAAGGCCTTCCTTAGAAATGACAGCAGAGTGCAAATAAGATGCCCTCAGACTTCTTTCCTTCCCATCTTCTTCTGTGGACCTTAAAAAGGGAAGACGAAGTCAACAGAAATCCAGTTTGATGTCAATTTGAAAATAGCTCTGCAGCCCTTTATCCTGCATGGAAGGCTTAAAGATGTGATGAGGACTTGACAGCTAACGGGAAACTGACCCAGCCTTTTTCCTACCTCAGGGGAAATACCCAACCTCAATTCCTCCATGTTCAGCTTGGAAAACAATAAAGACCAAAACCTTGAATTGGGCCTCTGGCGGTCCAGTGATGATAACCATACGAACTTTGGAGTCAGGTGTTTCGGGTGGTGCAATCTAAAAAGCAAAAAGCTAGTCAATGAGGGACCCTCTATGGGAAGACCCCCACCATGTCCACTTCATCCAGTTCCCCTTCTACCACCCTTACTCCCAACTACCCATTCTGAAGACTTAGGGGAGGAAGAACAAAGACCCTGAAGCCCACATCATTACGCCTTCACACCAGAATTATTAGGAGGGCAGAGGTGGTCAGTTAGAAGGATTGGCTTCAATGACACTTTCTAAGTAGGGCCTCCTGCCCCCTCCACCTACCAATCTCCCAGAGAGGTTTCAGTGGAGTCTTGCCAACAGGCAAGGACACAAATGAAATGACCAACGGATAGAGGGCAGTGACTGCACCTCCACTGGAGAACAATCAAGGTTTTTGCTCAAAGCTTTTAAGACAACTAAAGCAACCGGATTTAGGTTTGTGAAACTCTAACAGCATCCTTGTTTCACTATGACAGATTCTCCCTTCTCTCTCCCCTGGACCTTGGCCAGGGAAGGTGACAGACAACTAACACTTACTTGGTGTTAGTATGTGAGCGAAGGGCTTTGGCTGCGTAGCCTCATAATATTGTACTGACGAGGAAAGTGAGGCTCAGATCATATAGTGTATTGGGGGAAGGGGTGATGAGATGGATCTTGGATTTGAACCCATCAGTTTGTGTTAGAACCTAAGTTCTCTTTCTATGTTATAACCCTGCCCCTGCCCAGCCTGAAAACCCAGAAGCACTGAAGCCATCCCATGGGGACCAAGCAAGATCAAAAACAAAGAGGACTTCGATTCCATGGGGGAAAGGTCCCTCATATGACACACAGAATTCTCAAATGAGTAGGGGGAATATGGGAGAAAGTGCAGAGTGATAAAAGCAGAGACCCCTCCCTTTCCAGAAACAGGAAGACCCACAGAGCAGATCACCTTGATGGAGGCGCTGGCAAACCGGGAGAGCTGTTTGATGTGCTGCCCCTTCTTGCCGATGATGGCGCCCACTGCCTGGGCGGGGATAAACACCTGCACCATCTCCTGCTCGGGAGCCTGCTGCCAGGATAGGAGGCGTTGTTACCAGGGGGCCCAAGTAGCATGGCCCAGAAACCCTCCACTCCCCTGCCTTGCATCCTCAAGGAGGAAGGAGTACAGGCACCAAACCGCCACCCTGGGCTGCCAAGGGATGCTGTGAGCTCTTTAGCTCTTCCTATGCCCAGTAGGGCTAAAGGGAAGAGGCCAGGAGAGAGTAAGGGAACAGTGCTGTCTATGCCCCGGGAGCATTCTAGGCAGACATTTGGGAGCCTCAGAGCCAGTGGCTAGGAGCACTGGAGAGGAGGGATGCCTCTGAGACCTTCCTTCCCTCTCCCTGCAAACTTGCCAAGCATCCAACTCCCAGAGCATGCTGAGTCCCCCTTAAGGGAGGCCACATATGGGCCCAGGGATCCCGTGTAATAAGATCTTCCACCTACCATAAAGGAGCTATAGGGAGCAGCCCCAGTAACGCTGCTGGGAGGCGGCGGGACTGCGCTGGATGAAGCTGGGAAAAGACCTACAGCAGCCAGGTTCAGGCCAGGGATCAGGTGAGACTGCAGCTGGGGAAGAAAGATGAGGAGGAAGAGTCAGCACACCCTGACAGGGGCTTGTGTGTGACCCCCGCTGTATAAAAGGCGAGTAGCCCCAGAGGCAAGTGGGCCAAAAACATGAATTACATACTTTTCCACAAAAGCCTATTCTGTGCTTTTCATACACTCTCACCTACACACTTCGGGTGTGGAATTTTAAGTGATATGATGTTCTCACTGGACTAACGGCTAGCAATTGCAACCAGAAATGCCAAACAGTTGTACACCCTCAGGAGTCCTTCCTCTCTGGCTGTTCAGACTGCTGGAGACAGACGATAGACCCATGACACTATACTATAACCCCCTATATGAGAAAAAGGCGTGGAGACAGAGCTCCATTGGACTTCTAGGACTCTGATTCTAAACATTTTTGGTCCTGTACCCCAACCCCAAGTCTCCTTTAAAAATCAGATGAGTTGTGTGCAGTGGCTCATGCTTATAATCCTAGTACTTTGGGAGGCCAAGGTAGGAGAATCGCTTGAGCCCAGGAGTTCTAGACCAACCTGGGTGACACAGCAAGACCCTGTTTCCAAAAAATAAAATTTTAAAAAATTAGCTGGGCATGGTGGTGTACACCTGTAGTCTCCTAGGTACTTGGGAGGCTGAAGCAGGAGTATTCCTTGAGCCCAGGGGGTCAAGGCTGCAGTAAGCTATGATTGCGCCATTGTGCTCCAACCTGGGCAACATACCAAGACCCTGTCTCAAAAAAATAAAATAAAAATCAGATGAAAACGATGGACCCCCTCATTTCAATAAAGTGCACACAAACACAAATTGTACACATACTTGGAATCACAGGACTCAAAGCCCAAGATTGGACCCCTACTCTAGGAACCAGGTGAAGAATCCTTGCTAATTAAATACTATTTAAATACTATTTCTGATAGTCGAAGTCCAAAAGCATCAACTAAAGCTCCAAGGCCACACGGCACAGGGCACATGTCCATCACCCTGCACCCCACAAGCTGCTGTTGCTAAGACTCAGGAAAGGATAAGCAGAGGGTACTACCCAGCACTCACGCTCATGGCAGCCACATCATTCTCATAGGCCTCCCGAACTTTCTTCATTATTTCCTGCTCGGCCCTGCAACAATTCTCGATGGCCCCCTTCACAGTGATGGTCCTCTCAGGGTTGTAAAGGGTAAGGTCTTGCAACCTGGCAGAAAGAGCAGAGTTGTGTCCTTTCACTGGCAGGCCAGGACCAGGCCCCGGCAGTAACAAAGACGAGAGGCCAGCTGAGTCACAGGCCCACCATTTCTGCAGCCTATTCAACTTCTGGCAAATAACTCTGCAACCCCAGTCTTTGGTGTTCCCAGTTTGTAACCAGGGCAGGGGGTAAGATGGAGGGAGATGCCAACACCTAACTCAAACTCCTCTGTTAGCAATGGATCCAATCTCAGATTATGGTTGTGCCTCCAAGTTTCCCCATTGATTCTACATAATCCATGTCCTATACCTTTTTGGACAAGAGCAATTACTTTGCCCACAGGTTAGTCTCTGATGAAACGAAGCACACTGCTTGCAGGAGCAGCCCACCACAGACAGAAAAGGGCCAAGGTCACTTCTCACAGTGACAGACAAGCCTAAAGCCCTGAATCCCTGGCTCCTAGCTGCAGGCTGTCCACGAGCCACAGGGAAAGAGGGCTGTGAAGTGGTTGGACGTGGACTGTAGAGGCAGCACCTTACAACACCCCTGCCCCATATGGCAGTGGGAATGGGCAGATCCAGTCCTTACAGGGATTTTTTAAATGCTCTTTACCACTTCGACTGTTTTTCTTCAAGAGGCAGAAGGAGCACCCATTTTAAAAGAGCACATATCAAGGTTCCATGATGAAATACTGACCCTGGCCCCCATGCATCCCCCACTCATAAACAGGGAAATAGAAGAGAGCCTTACGAGGAGATGGTGATTTTTGTCTCGGTATCTTGCTCTACCTTCTTCAGGTTCCGTCCTTCCTTGCCAATGAGACGCCCTACAAAGTTATTATGGGCCAGGATCTTCAGGGGAACCTCGTCAGCCCTTGGGAAGACAAAGGAAGAAGTGGAAGACAAGAGTTCCTTCAATTGTGGGCTTCATGAAGACTCAATCACCATGCCACCCCAGACTTGGCATTTCCAAGTAAAACATCTCAAAACTTATCAAACTGCATACTTTAAAAATATGTATGATTTATTATACATCAATTGAACATCAATAAAGCCAATTTGTTTTATTTTTTGAGACAGGGTCTCACTCTATCACCCAGGCTGGAATGCAGTGGCACTATCAAGGCTCACCACAGCCTTGACCTCCTGGGCTCATGCGATCCTCCCTTCTCAGCCTTCCGAGTAGCTGGGACTATACGCACAGGCCGCCACGTCCAGCTGATTTTTCTATTTTCTGTAGAGGTGAGGTTTCACTATGTTGCCCAGGCTGGTCTAGAACTCCTAGCCTCCAAAGTGCTGGGATTAGAGGCATGAGCCACCGTGCCCAGCCAATAAAGCTATTTTAAACAGCACAAGTGTGTAAAGGAACATGTGTAAGCAGATTCCTTGCATCACTGTTTTCTGATAAGGAAAAGTTTAAAACAATTTAAACACCCATCAAGAAATAGGAGATTGATTACATGAACTATGAATAGCTATACTGTGGAATTCTATGCAGCTATAAAAATAATGCGGTCTGTCCATATGTACTAATATATGTGCTGATACAGAAAATGAAAAAAGTATAGAACAGCCTGTTCAGTGTGATTCTCTCTGAGCTAAAACACATGTGCATACACGCACAAGTGAATACACACAGGCACACATATCCGTACATGCAGGCACGCAGACACAATATACACACACCTGTGAGTGCACAGAATTTCTAGGAGGTCATACGACAGGAATAAGAAGGGATGGGGTGTGGTGGCACACGCCTGTAATCCCAGCTCTTTGGGAGGCTGAGCTGGGTGGGTCACTTGAGTCCAGGAGTTCAAGACCAGCCTGGGTAACATGGCGACACCCCATCTCTACAAAAATCACAAAAAACTAGGCAGGCGTGGTGGTGCATGCATGTTGTCCTAGCTACTCAGAAGGCTGAGGCGGGAGGATCCCTTGAGATCCAGAGGCAGAGGTTGCAGTGAGCTGAGATCATGCCACTGTACTCCAGCCTAGGTGACAAAGTCCTGTAAGAAGAAAGATTTTATTTCTCAGTTTACATCTTTTTGTGCAATTGCTGACTGTATTTCTTATATGTCTGTATAAAAGCTTGAAAGTTGAGTTGGGGAGGCTCAACTGGACTAGCAGACCCTGAAGATCCAAGAAAAGCTGGAGACTTACGTTTTGGTGTCCTTAGCCTCTTTATGCATAATCTCCAAGATCATCTTACAAGCGGAGGAGCAGCCCTCAGGGGTGGAGTGCACACTGATGGCTTTTTCAGCTGCACCTGCGTTCTCCTTCCTATGCACGTCTATCCTGGGGGCCACAAGGACAAGGCTGGTTAGTTGTCCCCAGTGATACCAGTACTTCAGGCTCCCCACCCCACTACCCCTCCTCAGTCAAAGGCATAGAACCTGCTCTTCTTGAAACAAGGACAATCAAGTACAACTTTGGGAAGGGCAATGAAAGGACTGGAGAAATATGACCCGTCTGTTACTGTGGATTCTGTCTCAGACCAGCAGTGTCTCAATCCACAGGTGGTTGGTGGCCAGGCACGGGAGCTCACGCCTGTAATTCCAGCACTTTTGGAGGCCGAGGCGGGTGGGTTACTTGAGGCCAGGAGTTTGAGACCAGCCTGGCCAGCATGGTGAAACCCCGCCTCTACTAAAAATACAAAAAATTTAGCTGGGTGTGGTGGTGCACACCTGTAATCCCAGCTACTAAGGAGGCTGAGGCACAAGAATTGCTTGAACCTGGGAGGAGGCTGCAGTGAGCTGAGATCACACCACTACACTCCAGCCTGGGTGACGCAGTGAGACTCTGCCTCAAAAAATAAAATAAAAATAAATAAATAAGCAAGCAGTGGTTGGGGACAAGAACACAGCCTATGACACAAATGCAGGGGTGGGAATTACCAGCCCACAGCTCCAAAGCTGCATTTCCGCTTGAATTCCGTATGTCCCCCTTGAAACAAATATAAAGAGAAGACACAGTGCCCCAAACTCAAAGTAAATAACAAGATTTACTATGATAAGGACATAATATGACCTGTTCTTTGCCACTGAGTACACTGATCAGATATAAAGATTAGAGAAAAGGCCGGGTGTGGTAGCTCACGCCTTTAATCCCAGCACTTTGGGAGGCTGAGGCGGCCGGATCACGAGGTCAGGAGTTCGTAACCAGCCTGATCAACATGGTGAAACCCTGTCTCTACTAAAAATACAAAAATTAGCTGGGCATGGTGGCACGCGCCTGTAATCCCAGCTACTCGGGAGGCTGAGGCAGGAGAATTGCTTGAACCCGGGAGGCAGAGGTTGCAGTGAGCTGAGATCGCACCACTGCACTCCAGCCTGGGCAACAGAGCAAAACTCTGTCTCAAAAAAAAAAAAAAAAAAATATTAAAGAAAGAAGGTGGCAGTGGCAGAATGGGAGATGGGACACAATTATGAAGGTCCTAATTTTGGACAGGTTGGCCAGCCCTGTTACCACACTAAGTGATCATGAAATCACAGAGCACTGAGTTGCTGACTCATCAAAATGAGGTTTGCTTGGAGACTTTTTTTATGAAACTTCACATGAGAAATTATAGAATCTCTCTTGCTAATACGAGTGTGTGGCCTAGCACCCCAGACCCATTCTCCCTCCCTATCTGCCCTCCCTTTCCCAGGAGGCTGGTATTGGAAGCAGGGACCCCTGAATGCTCCAGGCAACATTTCCTAAAAGGTAAATGTTGATGTCTCCAGCATGCTTCCAGGAGGCCTCTTTAGGTACCAACCACTGTTCCCTAGCACCCAACCTCCATTCCCCAAGAGCCAAGACTCACTTGGACTGGGTCTGTTTTGTGATGTTGCGGATGGTGGCCCCCTCCTTGCCAATAATGGCACCCACATACTGGGTGGGCACCAGGAGCCGAAGGGGGATGTCCACTTGCTGCTGCTTGGCTGGGGCCCCCGCTGCCACAGGTGAGCCCTGGCGGGGCTGACCCCGAGAGCCAAAGCCCCCTCGGCGCCCATTCTCAGGTCCCTGTGCTATCTGCTCATCGGGGATGTAGGAGACCTTCAGGGCATGGTTCTCCAACTGGTGGCCATTCAGCTTCATGATGGCTCTGGGGACAGAGTGAGAGTCTACAGGTCATTCCAATCCATGCCAATCATACCAGATGCTCTCTTGGCCAAAGCACTCTAGTAAGTTACAGCTTGGAACACACTAAAGAAAAGGAGATAGTCACCTGCCCACTACCTCCACCTCCATTTTTCACAACTTTCCAGTCTAAATGGCATCAAAGACTTCAAAGGAAAAGTAAATAAATACAGTGTTCCCTAACACTTAGTTGGGATTTATTGTTCACAAAGGCTTTCCACTGGAACCATCAGAGAAATGGGCTTCCAGTCCAATAGAAAGTATAGGGTTCTGCTAGCCTAAAAAGGAAGAGCAAGCCATAGATCTCAAAGTACTCCCATGCCAACTGGAAAGCCTACCACAGACCTGAAGAGGCTCCACAAAGCTAACACATACACTTCCCGGATTGAGGAATCCCTACTACAGGGTGAGGAAACCAACTGCTAACTACTACATACTCCTAACTTTAGAGATGATGAAACCAAGGTCAAAGGAGATTGAAATGTATACATGTAGAATTCAAATGTTAATCCTGCCCTAATGAAGTGTGGGGTTTATTTTCGTTTTTGAAATAAAAGATCTTTATTTCAGATAAAAATTAATATTTCCATAATTAGGATAAAGCAAACACACATTCTTGAGTCCATTATTTAAGGAAATTTATACTATAAATGACTTCCATGAATATTAGAGTTCCTGAATATCATTTGAATATTTGCCTACAGGCTTATGGGAAGTTTCTGTAGCCTTCTCTTTGTAGAAATTCCAGTTTTTCTGAATTCTTCCTTCCTTCAGGTATTCCATTTTGCATTCTTCATAAAAGGCTGGATCATTATAGTGAGCAGTTAGACGTCCTTTCAATAGAGAATTTTCTTTCCAGCATTTTCCTACCGTAAGGGTTCCAGAGTTCTTGCAACATTTGGTAAAATCTTGAAGTTGTTCAGAACACCTCTCTCTGGCCTTTTCTCTCATTATTTTAGGGATCCAAACATCTTTTTCAACATGTCTGAGATGCTGCTTCAAAACTTGCAGCGTCTTCCCATTGTTTTTTATATAAAATTCAAACTCCTTGAAATGCTTGAAATGGTTTACATGACATTTCATAATTCACAACTGAAACCCCTCCATAGCCATGGCACACACTCCTCTTTGATCTCAATTCTTTCTTGTGGCCTTTGCTTAAGCCACTGTTTTTTGTTTTGTTTTGTTTTTTTCTTGAGACAGAGTTTTGCTCATTGCCCAGGCTGCAGTGCAATGGCGTGATCTCGGCTCAGTGCAACCTCCGCCTCCCGGGTTCAAGCCTCAGCCTCCCGAGTAGCTGGGATTACAGGCATGCGCCACCATGCCCCGCTAATTTTGTATTTTTAGTAGAGATGGGGTTTCTCCATGTTGGTCAGGCTGGTCTCCAACTCCCGACCTCAGGTGATTCGCCCGCCTCGGTCTCCCAAAATGCTGGGATTACAGGTGTGAGCCATCGCGCCCAGCCCAAGGCACTGTTTTTCAAATTTCAGGGCAACCCATCAGAGAGTTGTTAAATTAATCTGCCAGGTTGAACGCCATCGTGGCGGGTGTTGAAGCAGCAATTGAGGAATTCTTCTAATGAGCTGCTGGTGCACAAAAAAAAACAAACATGCAGTCTCGAAATTTTAGCTCCTCCGCAGTCCCCCATTTTTTTTTATTATTTTTTATTTTTTTATTTTTTTGATGGAACGCTTCACAAATTTGCGTGCCATCTTCGCGCAGGGGCCATGCTAATCTCTGTACCGTTCCAATTTTAGTATATGTGCTGCCGAAGCGAACACCTCCGCTGTCTTTTGTGCTACCTCTCCTTCCAGAGTCTCCAGAGACCCCTAACTGCCCACTTGGCTCTGGGGCCACAATCTCGCAACGCTCCCCAACCCAATGGGGTCCGCCAGCACGGGGCTGTAATACCACACACCACCAGCAGATGCCGCAGCCCCAACACTTCACAAAGCTAACTTTCAAAATTACAGCCATTTTACTACCTGCTATATACTTGCCAAGCGCTATGCCGGTCGCTTCCAGTCAACCCCGGTCGCTTCCAGTCAACCCCGCACCAGTTGGCCCAGCTGGGAAATGCGGTCACCGTGAGGATTAAGTTAGTAAAATGGTACACAGTGCCTTAAACAGTGACCGGCTGGCCGTGTCAAATTACCAGGCCGAGACCAGCCTGGAGCCGCGGCCTCCACTCCCGCCTAGTGCAGTCCCGGGCCCTCCCACAAGGAGGTCCGGCCCCCGGGGTTGCCTTCCAGCCAGTTGGGGCTTTTGCCCATTTTCCTATCGCCTGCCACCAAGCTGCTGCTACGTATCCCGGCTGGAATCTGACTACCCCTCCAGCAAAGTGGTGGGGGGCGGGCCCGGGTCAGGGAGGCCACATCACCAGCTTCCTGCAGGAACTTCTAGAAGGCGAGCAGCCCGGAAAATGGCATGGGCGGCCGCCCAGGGGAGACCTCGGAGGGCAAGGCATCCCCGTTCCCAGGTGCCCCAGCCACCCCCACCGCTGCAGGTGCACGCCCGCAGGGAGGCGCCATGTGGTGGGGCCCCACATGTGTGTGGGGAGACTGCGAGGTCCCAGCCTACCCACCGCAGGCCACTGCCCCAGACCGCTGCCACCTCCCAGCGCACCTCGCATCCGCATCTGCCCAGGCTCCCAGGGCAAAGATAACTGAATTAGGACACCAGTATTCCAATCTTAGTTCTATTGCTCACTAGCTATATGAAGCAGGAAACTTACAACCTAGTCTAGACCTAAGTCTCATCAACTGTAAAGGAAAACTGATACTTGTGCCCTGCCTACCTTACAGCTAATACATTTAGGTCTGTAATCCATTTTGAATTAATTTGTGTGTTCAGTGTAAGGTAGAAGTCCAAATTCATCTTTTGTCATGTGGATATCATCGAGCTGCCCCAGCATCATTTGTTGAAAACACCTTATCTTTCCTAATAAACTGTCTTTTTAGCACTTTGTGTGAAAATAAAAACAAAAACCAGCCGATCATAAACGTAAAGGCTTTTCTAGGCTCTGAATTCTATTCCATTGATCAGTATGTTTATCCTGAAGCCGGTACCACACTAATTTGACTACCGTAGTTTGATGTAAGTTTTAAAATTCGGGAGTTTAATTCTTCCTTGTTCTTCTTATTCAAGACTGTTAAGGTTTTTCTGCATTTCCTCAAGATCAACTTGTCAATGTCAGCCGAAACTGCATATCTTACGGGATTTATGTGACAATCACAAGTGAAAACATGTAATAAATTAAGGGATTTGTCATTTTTACACCTATTAAGTCTGGCACCTCCTTTGGTTGAATCCACCTCTGTGGATTCCATCTTGAAAAGTTTTGTGTTTTTGGTTTTTCGTTTTTTTTGTTTTTTTTGTTTTTTTTGTGTTTTTTTTGAGACAGGGTCTTACTCTGTTACCCAGGCCAGAATTCAGGGGCATGATCTCAACCCACTGCAACCTCCACCTCCACCTCCACCTCCTGGGCTCAAGCAATCCTCCCACTTCAACCTGCTGGGCATGTGCCACCATGCCCAGCTAATATTTTGTAATTTTTATAGAGATGGGGTTTTGCCATGTTGCCCAGGCTGGTCTTGAACTACTGAGCTCAAGCAACCCACCCTGCATTGGCCTCCCAAAGGGCTGGAATTACAAACATGAGCCACTAAACCCGACAGCATTTTTAAAGATTTTGAGGTTTAAAAAAAAAAAAAAGGCCAAGTGTGGTGGCTCATGCCTGTAATCCCAACACTTTGGGAGGCCAAGGTGGGCGGATCGCCTGACGTCAGGAGTTCAAGACCAGCCTGGCCAACATGGGGAAACCTCGTCTTTACTAAAAAATACAAAAAATTGCCAGGCATGGTGGCAGACACCTGTAGTCCAGTAGTCCCAACTACTCGGGAGGCTGAGGCAGGAAAACCACTTGAACCCGGGAGGTGGAAGCTGCAGTGAAGAGAGATCGCACCACTGCACTCCAGCCTGGGCAAGACTCCATCTCAAAAAAAAAAAAAAAAAAAAGGGGCAAATCATGATATAATTCTAACACTTTGGGGGGGCTGAGGTAGGAAGATCGCTAAGGCCAGGAGTTTGACACTAGCCTGGGCAACATAGCGAGACTCCCATCTCTAAATATTAAAAATTTTTAAATTGGCCCAGCATGGTGGTGCATGCTTGTTATCCCAGCTACTTTAGAGGCTGAGGCAGGAGTATTCCCTCAGCCCAGGAAGTTAAAGCTGCAATGAGCTGTGTTTGCAACACTGCACTCCAGCCTGGGCAACAGGGAGAGAGTGTCTCAAAAAATAAAATAATTATTTTTCTTTTAACCGTGGCAAAGACATAGGAATTGGAGACAGAATGGCTTGCTTACCACTTGGAGACTAGAGTCTCAGTATATTTGGTATGTCTGTAAAATGGGGCTGAATAAGATTGAAGGGAGGGCACAAGCATCATCCATTCCCAAGGCTGACACTGGTTAGAAATGTTAATAAGGCAGCCGGGTGCGGTGGCTCACTCCTGTAATCCCAGCACTCTGGGGGGCTGAGGTGGGTGGATCACTTGAGGTCAGGAGTTCGAGACCATCCTGGCCAACATGGTGAGACCCCATCTCTACTAAAAATACAAAAATTAGCCAGGTGTGGTGGTCCACACCTGTTAATCCCAGCTACTCAGGAGACTGAGGCAGGAGAATCACTTGAACCTGGGAGGTGAAGGTTGCAGTGAGCCAAGATCACGCCACTGCACTCCAGCCTGGGCGACAGAGTGAGACTCCGTCTCAAAAAAAATAAAATAAAAATTAAAAGATTAAAAAAAAAAATTAGCCAGCCGGGCATGGTGGTGTACACCTGTAGTCCCAGCTACTCAGGAGGCTGAGGCACAAGAATTGCTTGAATCCAGGAGGCGCAGGTTGCAGTGAGCCAAGATTGCACCACTGCACTCCAGCCTCCTGTACGACAGAGTAAGACTCAGTCTCAAAATAATAAATAAATAAATAAAAAGCCCAGAAATGTTAACGAGGTAACAAAGGGCAGGCGAGGTGGCTGAAGCTTGTAATCCCAGCACTTTGGGAGGCCAAGGCAAGCGGATCACTTGAGCCGTTCGAGACCAGCTTGGGCAACATGGTGAAACCTCGTCTCTACAAAAAAATACAAAAATGAACCAGGCATAATGGTGCATGTCTGTAGTCCCACCTACTTGGGAGGCTGAGGTGGGAGGATTGCTTGAGCCCAGGAGGTTGAGGTTGCAGTGAGCAGATATCATGCCACTGCACTCCAGCCTGGGTGGCAGAGTGAGACTTGTCTCCAAAAAACAAGAACACAGCAACAATAGGCAGGAGAGAATGAACAACTGTTGACATGAGCTTTAAAGCCAAACCCTAGTGGCCACAAGGGGCAGTAGGAACCTCTAGAAAATTCTGAGCCCAGGAGGTATCTAAAAGAAAATGGTAGGTATTTGAAGAAGAGGTAGGATTTTACATAGTATTATTAGATTGGAGAAGGCGGCATGTTAAGAAGCAAGAAAGCCCAAAGCAAAATGTGGCAAAAGCCTATAACGGGCTCGGATATTAATATAAATGAGTAATGCGCAAAATGTATAGTCTGTCTGTAACAGTGAGTGAGACGCATAATTGCTCAATCAAAGGGCTAGGAGCTAAAATTGTGGGTGCGATGGGACTAAAAGGACCCCACAACTATCACCAGCTAGGTTTACGACCATCACTGCAATAAAATGTCCCAGCATCCCAAGGTTGAGGAATCTTTTTTGAACCCCGAAGTTCCCCCTCATTATCACTAGATGGCGCCATGAACACGGCAAAGGACTCTAAGGTCCTGGAGCAACCAGAGACCTATCAGCAGGGGACATTTTCTCTGCAAGGGATTTCCCACTTATCTGGGAGGGCTTTGGAGCCCTCCCTTCTATGTATTTTTGCTATCAATCTTGATGTTTCTGAGCCTTTGAGATCCCTGAAACAATGGACATGAAGGAGACCCCCTGAAGAAACCTTTTATGGAAGATTCTAGGTTTGGCTTGGGCTAATATCAGAACCCTGGATGGGGACCCAGCCTGCCTAGACCCCCCTGAGGAAAAAGTGGGACCAGGCTCACACCACCCTTCACAGAACCCCCCCCCACCGCACCCAGCCCCACTTCCCAGCCCACTCACTGCCTGGTCTGCTCCCGGTTGGAATAGGTGACATTCACCACTGCCGTCTCACTCTCGGTGTTCACTGCAGAGAAAAGAGAGGATAACCTCAGAGCAGGGAAATCTGGAGGCCCAATCAATGAATCCCCAACTCCAGCTTTCCACGTTTTGAGATCAAGAAGACATCTGGCAGGCCAGACACGGTAGATCACAACTGCAAATCCTAGCATCTTGGGAGGGCGAGGCGGGCGGATCACTTGAGCCCAGGAGACCAGCCTGGCCAACACAGTGAAACCCTGTCTCTACTAAAAAATACAAAAAGTAGCCGGGCGTAGTGGCACGTGCCTGTAGTCCCAGCTACTGGAGAGGCTGAGGCAGGAGAACTGCTTGAATCACTTGAATCTAGGAAGCAGAGGTTGCAGTGAGCCCAGATCATGCCACTGCACTCCGAACCTGGGCAACAGAGGGAGATTCCACCTCAAAAAAAAAAAAAGAAGAAAGAAAAGGACACCTGGCAGATACTCCAACTTGAATAAAAAGGCAAAAAACTTTTCCCCTTTCAAGGAAGCTACTAGAAAATTCAAATTTACCAGGCAGAGCATGGTACCTCACGCCTATAATCCCAGGACTTTGGGAGGCAGAGGCAGGCAGATCATTTGAGCTTGGGAGACCAGCCTGGTCAACATGGCAAAACCCTATCTCTAACAAAAAACACAAAAATTAGCCTGGCGTGGTGGTGCACCCTTGTAGTCCCAGCTACTCAGGAGGCTGAGGTGGGAGGATCGCTTGAACCTGGGAGGCGGAGGTTGCAACGAGCCAACGCACTCCAGCCGGGGTGATAGAGTGAGAGCCAGTCTCAGAAAAACAAAGAAAGAAAATTCAAATTTACCTTCTTGCTTTTTGTAATTTCCTCAGCCGGTTCCCAAGAAAGTGGATATACAAATGGGTGTAGCCACCCTATCAGCAGTTGTACAACAAGGCTATACAGCAAGGCAAACACTACTACCCACCTCCACATACACACACAACCTGGGAGTAAATTCCCCTTAGAAAGTTAAACTAGTTGGCCAGGAGCGGTGGCTCACACCTGTAATCCCCAGCACTTTGGGAGGCCAAGGCGGGTAGATCACCTGAGGTCAGGAGTTTGAGACCAGCCTGACCAATATGGTGAAACCCATTTCTACTAAAATTACAAAAATTATTAGCTGGGTGTGCTGGCATGCGCTTATAGTCCCAGCTACTTGGGAGGCTGAGGCAGGAGAATCGCTTGAACCCGGGACGTGGAGGTTGCAGTAAGCCAAAGATCGTGCCACTACACTCCAGCCTGGGCGACAGAGCGAGACTCTGTCTCAAAAAAGAAAAAAAAAAAAAGTTCAACTAGTTAAAAATCAACACACGCTGAATGAGATTAGCAATTTATAGAAGTAAACATCCCAAGAAATGGCCTGCAAAGATATGGCTGACAACACTTGGAAACACCTAAATCCATTCTAGAGGCCTATGTATCCTCAAGGACACAAGAACCAAAGTGTATTAAAATCCAGCTAAACAGAGGCCGGGCACAGTGGCTCACGCCTGTAATCCCAGCACTTCAGGAGGCTGAGGCAGGTGGATCACTTGAGGTCAGGAGTTCAAGACCAGCCTGGCCAACACGGCAAAACCCAGTCTCCACTGAAAATACAAAAATTAGCCAAGTGTGGTGGTGCATGCCTGTAATCCTAGCTACTTGGGAGGTTGAGACAGAAGAACTGCTTCAACCCAGGAGGTGGAGGTTGCAGTGAGCAGAGACTGCACCACTGAACTTCAGACTGGGTGACAAAGCGAGACTCTATCTCAAAAAAAAAAAAAAAAAAGTCCAGCTAAATGGACTGACAGGAATGGCTGTAGAAGTCTAGAAAGAAAAAAAAGAATTTGCATGTTTTCCAGGGGAAAGGATTTCCTGTCTTGGATGTGGCCATTGTAGCCTCAGGATGCTAGTCATTGATCCCATCAAAATTCTTGGCTCTAACTAGGAAAATGGTTTGGCAAGCTGACATTAGAATCCCAAGCAGTCTGGAAACATATTTCTCACTTACAATTATTAAAATTAACCGTCTGAGGTGGGAGAATCACTTCAGAAGGTGGTGCCAGGAATTTGAGACCAGCCTGGCAACATAGGGAGACCCCGTCTCTACAAAAAATTAAAAAAAAAAAAAAAAAATCAGCCGGGTGCAGTAGTAAACACCAATAGTCCCAGCTACTTGGGATGCTGAGGCAGCAGGAGAATCACTTGATCCCAGAAGTTTGAGGCTGCAGTGAGCTATGATCACACTGCATTCTAGCCTAGGAGGCAGAGCTAGACTCTGTCTCTAAAATAAATAAATAAATACATAAAGTTAACCTTCCTTCTCCTGTATCAATGTCTTGTGAATTTGGGTCCCCTGGGCTTGCTCAACCATGGGGTGGGGGACCCTGGCTTAAATTAAGCCTCTGCCCCCCACAACACTGAGGACAGATAAGGCACTTGGTCACAAACTTCAGTGCAAAGAATCTGTCATCCAGGCTGGAGTACAGTGGCGTAATCAGAGTTCACTGCAGCCTTTAACTCCTGGGCTAAAGCTATTCCTCCCATCTCAGCCTCCCAAAGTCCTCGGATTACAGGCACGAGCCACCACGCTAGGCCCCAGGCCACTCTTAACTGCTCTGGTCTTCATCAGTAGGTCTCTCCCTCCTCAGTGGTAAGGAAGCTTCTGCAAGAACAATCTTCCAGTGACTGGAAATACAGTAGTAAACCAACAAAACCTCTGCCTTTGTGGAGCTTATGGAGAGATAACAATAAGCATAATAAATAAGCAAGTTCTACAGAATATTTGACAGTGATGACTGCTATGGAAAAATATAAATCAGATGAGGCCAGGTGCGGTGGCTTACTCCTGTAATCCCAGCATTTTGGGAAGCCGAGGTGGGCGGATCACAAGGTCAGGAGTTCGAGACCAGCCTGGCCAATATGGTGAAACCCCATCTCTACTAAAAGTACAAAAATTAGCTGGGCATGGTAGTGGGTGCCTGTAATCCCAGCTACTTGGGAGCTGAGGCAGGACAACCGCTTGAACCCAGGAGGCGGAGGTTGCAATGAGCCAAGATCGCACCACTGCACTCCAGCCTGGGTAACAGAGTGAGACTCCATCTCAAATAATAATAATAATAAATCAGATGAAAGAGGATGGGATAGGTAGAAAGAATGGACCTCACTCACAAAGTGACTTTTGAGCAGACTCAAGGACTTTCTCTACTGTCCAACAAAGTCAAACATTTCCCATACTGTTCTCTCCAGGTAGCAGATATCCTTCCAGACAGGGTGTGTTACAGCTCCCTAGTGAGCCTTGGATAAATTTAAACTAGTGTTGATTCCTTACACACCTCTCAGTGAAATTCAGCATGCACTTGCTCCCAAGCCACTGCTCAATCTTACTGTTTGTCCAGGAGTAACTTATTCATTAGTCTAAACTGTGAACAGTACTGGGCAGTAGTTATCAGTGAGTCCTGTTGTATCCTGGCATTTAAGATAAAAGGCAAGCCACAGGATTAGAGCAGGTTAGAATGTGTTTGATAGATTCAGCAGTTTACTCTTGCGTGGGTGAAGGTTTTCATCATTTATAATCATTTATAACTTGCCCCTTTCCACAAATAATTTGGAGAGGAATATTTAAATCTCAAACCAAGTGATTATCCACTTGTTTCTTGAAGATCTCCAAACCTAACCCAGTATCTTATCTACCTAAAGACCGCCTTATGTCCAACCAAAGTCACTTTCCATTACTAAATGGACAAAACTTATTTTGTTTTGTTTTTGAGACAATACAGAGTCTTGCTTACCCAGGCTGGAGTGCAGTGGCACAATCACAGCTCACTGCAGCCTTGGCCTCCTGGGCTCCAGCAATCCTCTTGCCTCAGCCTCCCTAGTGACTGGGACTGCAGGCATGTACCACCACTCCCAGCTAATTTTTTGTAGACATGGAGTCTCACTGTTTCCCAGGCTGGTCTCAAAACTCTCGTGGCTCAAGAGATCTGCCCACCTTGGCCTCCCAAAGTATTGGGATTACAGGTGTGAGTCATTGTGCCCAGCCGGCAAACTTTTTTTTTTTTTTTTTTTTTTTTTTTTCTGAGACAGAGTCTCGCTCTTTCGCCCAGGCTGGAGTGCAGTGGCGCGATCTCTGCTCACTGCAAGCTCCGCCTCCCGGGTTCACGCCATTCTCCTGCCTCAGCCTCCCAAGTAGCTGGGATTACAGGTGCCCGCCACCACGCCCGGCTAATTTTTTATATTTTCAGTAGAGACAGGGTTTCACCGTGTTAGCCAGGATGGTCTCGATCTCCTGACCTCGTGATCCGCCTGCCTCGGCCTCCCAAAGTGCTGGGATTACAGGCGTGAGCCACCGCGCCCGGCTGGCAAACTTTTTATGACCTAGAATTCTTTATCATTTTTCCTTCTGTGGGCCTACTCTTCAAAAGACTTTGCTTACCTATTGAACTACATTAACTAAGTAATAAATCCTCTGCTTTTTATTTTAATTGACCAAAGACATATATTGCTACCAATCAGAGCTTCTAAAAAGAGACAACCGGTTGATTATTCCAGCCAAAAGCAAGAAACACGAAGCTTTTCAAGTAAAACGGCTGCAGAGTAACTCCGATTGAATGCAAGATTTCTGTTCTTAGACTAGTTCTAAAATCCTGGGATAGCCATTTCTACCTTGGTTGATCCCTAAGAGCCTGGAGACTCCAGGCTGGGAAGGAGTGGCTTTGTTCAAGCCTCCTGCTAAACAGAAGAGAAACCCAGTTCCACAGATAACCAAGATCCGAAGCCGAGGCCAGGAGTCCACGCCCCCAATCCAATGTATTTCCCCGCCTAACACATTCTATCTGCCTTTCTTCTTTTGGTTTTCAATGTAGATTTGATCACAGAAAGTGAAGCAGAGGCCGGGCGCAATGGCTCACGCCTGTAATCCCAGCATTTTGGGAGGCTGAGGCGGGTGGGTCACAAGGTCAGGAGATCAAGACCATCCTGGCCAACGTGGTGAAACGCGTCTCTACTAAAAATACAAAAATCAGCTGGGTATGGTGGCACGTGCCTATAATCCCAGCTACTTAGGAGGCTAAGGTAGGAGAATCGCTTGAACCCAGGAGGCAGAGGTTGCAGTGAGCCGAGATTGCGCCACTTCACTCCAGCCTGGTGACAGAGCAAGATAGACAGGAAGGCAGGAAGGCAGGAAGGCAGGCAGGAAGGCAGGAAGGCAGGCAGGAAGGCAGGAAGGCAGGAAGGCAGGAAGGCAGGAAGGCAGGAAGGAAGGCAGGAAGGCAGGAAGGCAGGCAGGAAGGAAGGCAGGAAGGAAGGAAGGAAGGAAGGGAGAAAAAGAAAGAAACAAAGTGAAGCAGAACAAATGCACCAAACTCCTCCAACCCCCACCACGAGTGCCACCCCACACCCGGCCCACTCTTACCTTGCTCACAGTTCTCTACTGTACCATACTGAGCCAGCAGGCTGTCCAGTACCTAGGAGAATGGAGAAGGGAAGTACACTTAACTCTGAGTCCCAAGACCCTTGCAAAGCAGCCACTGGACACCCTGCATCCCAAAGCAATCGGGCATTGACAGAGCCATAGGAGTGTTTGAGCATTATTACCTGTCCAGTGTGACCTTTCTAGGGTGCTAATGCTGATGGGGTATCTTTGCAGGAGTGTACTTAAGTTCTGCCTTAAGGGCCTTTTGGGAAGCAGACCTGGGCTGCCTGGGTCCCTAAATTATCTTCTGCCATATTACCAAGTTTAGGGCTTAGGAAACACTCATCCACCTCCCTAATGTCTCTCACCATAGGGACAACCTAAAGATGGGGCTGTGGGTTACATGAGGCCAGGCACGGTGGCTCACTTGAGGTCAGGCGTTTGAGACCAGCCTGATCAACATGGTGAAACCCTGTCTCCAATAAAAACACAAAATTAGCTGAGCATGGGGGTACACGCCTGTAATCCCAGCTACTTGGGAGGCTGAGGCAGAAGAATCGCGTGAACTCAGGAGGAAGAGGATGCAGTGAGTCGAGATCGCGCCACTGCACTCCAGCCCAAGCAAAAAGAGCAAAACTCCATCTCAAAAAAAAAAAAAAAGAAAGAAAAGAAAGAAAGAAAAAGAAGAAAGGATGAGACTCAAAAAGAAAAAAAGAAAGAAAGGATGAGACCCAGGCCTCCCTAGCCTGGCCCCAGACCTCCCCAATCATTTCTGGCAACTCCAGCTAGTCCAGACGTACTTTCCAGGCTCCACTATCCCACTCCATTTAGAGTTTCCCCCAAACACTTACTTCCCATCGGAGCTGGGGTGGAATATTTCGGATTTGAATTTTCCGGCTCCTGAAAGTAAAGGGGGAGCAGAGTTAAAGAAAGCTCTGAATACATTAGGGGTCTGTGAACTCGCAGTTTCTAATCCTTGCCCCAGTTTCTATTTCCCCACCTTCTGCTCACCAACACCATAGTCTTAAAATCTAAGAATACACTTTTAGGAATGGAGACTTGGAGTAGGGGTACCCGCTTTAGAGACCAAAATTATCATGGATGCTACCATACCTAGGAATGCAGAATCAGGTGTTCTAAGCACTCTGTTAACATTCCCAACACACACACACACACACACACACACACACACACACACACACACTTTGTTTGTCCCACCACTTTCTCATTCCTTTATTCAGTAAGCAGGTTACCATGACTATGTTCCAGGCACTAGGAATACAAAGCTAAATAAGACATTATTTTTTATGTTTTATTTGTTTTTGAGACAGAGTCTCTCGCTCTGCCACCCAGGCTGGAGTGCAATGGTGCGATCTCGGCTCACTGTAACCTCTGCCCCCTGGGTTCAAGCGATTCTCCTGCCTCAGCCTCCCTAGTAGCTGGGATTACAGGTGTGCACTACCACATCCGGCTAATTTCTGTATTTTCAGTAGAGACAGGGTTTCACCATATTGGTCAGGCTGGTCTTGAACTCCTGACCTCAGATGATCTGCCCACCTCGGCCTCCCAAAATGCAGGGATTACAGGCATGAGCCACAACACCCGGCCCAAGACATTATTATTAATTAATCTAACAACCATTTAATTGATACCTACTTCACATACTACTTTGTTCCAGATGCTGGAGACACACAAATAAACAAAGGAGACAAAATGCCTGGTTGAAGGTGTTCACAATTTATTAGGTGAGATAATATATGCAAACAAATCACAGCAAGATATAGTGCAGTGGTTAAGTCCTTGGCACAGATATGGATTTAAACCTATGCTCCACTTACTAATACTGACCTTTACAAGATTGTTTAACCTCTTTGAGGCCGTTTCTTCCTACGTAAAACAGAGATAATACCTTTCCACAGGGTGGTAGGGTGGTAGGTGATGCTAGAAAATGTAAGTACTTGAAGTATAACAATAGATGTATCTGTGAATACTAAGGTGGGAGTGATTAACACACATACAAGTCAGCATAATGCCACTACCTTCCCCTCTCCCAGTAACTATACAGTACTGTCTTCTTTCCATCTTTATTATCATTATTATTAACAATCTTGTAAAGTGCTCTGTCACCCAAACTGGAGTGCAGTGGCATAAACACAGCTCACTGCAGCCTAGACCTGCTGCGATCGAGTGATCCTCCCAGCTCCCACCCTCCTGTATAGCTGGGACCACATGCGCATGCCACTATGCCCAGGTAATTTCTTCTTCCCATCTTTAAAATGTAATTTTTAGCCACGCGCGGTGGCTCACGCCTGTAATCCCAACACTTTGGGAGGCTGAGGCAGGCGAATCACTTGAGGTCAGGAGTTGGAGACCAGCCTGGCCAACATGGTGAAACCTCCTCTCTACAAAAAAAAAAAAAAAAAAAAAAAAAAAATTAGCAGGGTGTGGTGGCACGTGCCTGTAATTCCAGCTACTCAGGAGGCTGAGGCAGGAGGATCGCTTGAACCAGGGAGGCAGAGGTTGCAGTGAGCCGAAATCACACCACTGCACTGCAGCCTGGGCAACAGAATGAGACTTGTTTAAAAAAAAAAAAAAAAGGTAGTTTTCCCTGAGGAAGGCTTTCAGGCTCAGGGTCGACTCCCAGATCACTCGCTCACCACCCAAATAAATGCGCTAATCCCTGGGTTTAAGATTTTTAAATTGACTTGATGCATTGGCCAATTGCATTTATATCTTTGTTTATCCTTGATCATAAACTCTTAGTCCAAGGACAATGTCCAAAAAAACTCTAGTGGCTTGAAGGAAAACTGAACTAGAAAGCAAGAAAGTCTAGCCCTTAACCTGCCCCTGACTGGCTGTCCCTCTAATTAAGCCTCTCTTAAGCTTCGGGCCTCAGTATTCCTACCTGACATGCAATGGGGACAGTGCCAGCCCTGCCAAGCTTGGGGGAAGGGGTTTGAAAACAGGGAAGGGGGATGCTAAGCTCTAGTTGTAAAAGTGTTGACCTTGGCTGTCCTGAGCCAGTTCACTCACTTTACCCATATGACCTCAGTATCTCCAGGTTTACAGTGGGTACAGCAAGATCTTTATGATCTTTTCTAGCCTGCAATTCTAAATGTGGAGAGTCTTCATCCATAAAATATGTTAAGGAAATCTCTCCCAGGGATGAAATAATGGGGAAAGAAGGAAATAAACATTGAAGAGAATCTCTGTCTTTGGCTGTCTTCTTTGGTTTGTTCATGAACTTGACCTAAGTAAGTCAGATTATAGCAGGACAAAATAGTAAGATACAAATCCAGTTCCAGGTCCCCAGATGCCATCAGACCACCTTTTTGTGATTCAATTCATTGGCCAAGAGGGAACCCCCACATCTACCCTTGTGAGGAATTTCCTAGAACTCATTCGATGACCAACTAGACAGACTGAAAATGTAGAAGCCCTCACAATGAAAGCAAAACTGCCGGAAGAAATGAGGAAAAGAAATGGCCATGCCATTGGAAGGTTGAGAACGCAGACCTAGTTTAACACCTATAACAGGTATTGCTTCGGCCCAGGCCCAGGACCTCCCTCAAGGGAACACTTCTGGATGTCTGGATGAAGGGCAGAGAGGTGGGGGTGGCTTACCTGGGAGTTCAAACCAGTAAGGGCCTAAGGGAACCCCAGTTTAGGGGCCCAGTTTGAAGTGTGCTCTTTCAAGATGGTCCCTTAGTACAATCTAAGGTCAAAGGTCAAAATTCCCTCGCACTTCAAACTCCCAGTTTTAGAGGCTTTCTTTCGTGGAGGGGATGGGGGAAGGGAGAAGGGTGGCAGTGGTGAAATCAAATCTCTGCTAGGATGTTAATCCATATCCTGAAAGCAATGGCAGGCAGATCGTCTGGAATGTCTGGAATGTTCCAGGAGAGGGAGGGGGAGGAGGGCAGGGCCACCCAACCAATGAAAGAAAAGACATCCTGGCAGCCCTCCCCTGCCCCCAACCAGCAGGGACTCACCCAGCCCTCCAGGGTACACACCCCACCCTGGGAACCCACTCCAGGCCCCTCCAGGCTGCCTCCTTTCAACAAAGCCCCCAGCCCTGATTAAAACACAACAGCGGGAGGGGCGGGGCGGGGGGCAGGGAGGCACAGAGGCCGTGAAGAACCTTTGTCTTTTAAGCCCTTGGCCCGGTTTCTATTAAATATGGTGCTACCTAATTTCTTTCAGGCCTCAAAGCACATGGGGCATTTCTGATCACTGTAACCCGTATTCCCTTCCCTTGGTCCCAGTCTCATTCATTCCACAAACACTTAGAGAAGGCCTGGTGTAGGCTGAGCTGGGGCAGTGTGTTGGGAACTTGGGGGATCCAGATGGAAGCTAAGAGCACCCTAACTGGTTACTTCTTCACTCTGAACCTTAGTTACCTCCTATGAAACTTGAATAAGGCTTTTATAAAACAAGCTGCCTGCCATGTAGTAAGCACTCAAACCATGTCCAAGTCCCCAGTCCCAGGGAACTGGAGTATCCAGACTAGTATGGAAAGAGGCAGGCGGGTAGGGCTGACAATAGTTAACAGTTATTAAGATTTTACTTCTGCACTGGTGGGGAAAATAGTGAAAAATACCACTGCCTAGAGCCCCACCCCCATCTCCCCAGTTAAAGGGTCCAGGGACCAGGGACCCGCTCCAGCACTTCAGTAGACCAGCTTCTACCAGAGCTGAGAAGTGCCTTTGCCCTATGGGCAGTATCTTCTGGGCACCTTCTATATGCCTGGATTGCCTAAACCGATGAACAGCCATTGTTCAGAAAAGGAAGGTGAACTCTGAGTTCATTAGTCCCTCCCCACCACCCTCCTATAGCTGATAAACCTGTGGATTCAAAGAATGAAGCAACCAGCCCCTGGCAATAAAGGCAACAGTTGCACCAGCCTATTTTTCTGGGTGCCAACATGCTGTGGCTTCTGGTGTCCTCTGCCTTCCTTGATGTACAGAGCAGTTATCAGGTCCTGGGCCAGGGGTGGGGCACGTGGGGACGGGGGCGGCAGCTTGCCAGATACATAGCAGCTATTGAGGACTCACCTCTCAAACGCTGCTGGGCCAAGGAGGAGGCATAAGAGCCACAAAGACTGAGTGACCATCCTCCAGAAGCCCAGGGGTGATTCAGGAGAAAACAGAGGGAAAGAGCATCCTTGCAACAGCTTAAAAAGCTATGTAGGAAGTAAGAGATTCAGGAAGCACAGGGAGCAGGGCCCCTGGGAGGGAGATGAGGTTGGGAACTCTCCCTGGGCTGAGAGTTCTCATCCTTCATACCTCAAGAGTTCAGAGAAGTGTCACTGACTTACACCAAAGAGAAAAGAAAACAGTTCTCAATTAGGGAAGAGCCTGCTTTTTTTTTTTTCCTTTGAGACAGGGTATTGCTCTGTCATCCAGGCTGGAGTGCAGTGGTGAGACCTTGGCTCACTGCAGCCTCGACTTCCCAGGCTCAAGGGGTCCTCCCACCTCAGCCCCCTGAGCAGCTGGGGCCACAGGCACATGCGCCATCACGCCTGGCTCCAATTTTTTTTTTTTTTTTTTTAATTTGTAGAGACGGGGCCTCACCATGTTTTCGAGGCTGGTCTCACACTCCTGTCTGTCCTCAAGCGATCCTCCCACCTCAGCTCCCAAAGTGCTGTATAGATGTGAGCCACCACACCAGGATGACAATAATTTCTTGATGTCATCAAATACCTAGTCAATGTTCAATATGCCAAATAATCACTTTTCAACTAACTATGGAAATACGCTGCTGGAAGAAGAAGTTAATAGCTTAAAGAATTATAGGTGGGATGTTTTGATTTATCGGAGTGCAATTCCACGGTGCAGACCCACTGTTCACTGGGTCGTGTGAACTCTTAAGTGTTTTTTATTTTGTCCTCCAGCCTAAAGTGAGTTTACTTTGGCAAATGCTTTTTGTCCCTTTTATGTCATCAAAAAGGCAGCATAGGGACAGTGCGAAGAGTCTGGATTCAAACAGGCTTTGGGTTCAAATTCTGGCTGTGGTTCTGCATGGCTGTGTGACTTAGACAAGATACTCAACCTCTCTATCTCAGTACCCTGGTCTGTAAAACATCCGTTGATACCACCTTAGTGGGTAGGGAGAATTATATGAGATAATGAATCTCAGAGCCTGGCGTGTTAATTCCCTTCCTTTAAAGGAGAAGTTAGGGCCAGGTGTGGTGGCTCACGCCTGTAATCCCAGCACCCTGGGAGACCGAGGTGGGTGGGTCATGGGGTCAGGAGTTCAAGACCAGCCTGGCCAACATGGTGAAACCTTGTCTCTACTAAAAATACAAAAATTAGCTGGGCGTAATGGAGCACACCTGTAACCCCAGCTACTTTGAAGCATGAGAATTGCTTGAACCCAAGAGGCTGGGAGGTTGCAGTGAGATCGCACCATTGCACTCCAGCCTGGGTGACATAGCATGACTCTGTCCCCCACCCCACCCCACCCCCCCAAAAAAATACATACATATATATGTGTGTGTGTGTATATATATGTGTGTGTGTGTGTATATATATGTGTGGGTGTATGTGTGTGTGTGTGTGTGTGTATATAAATATATATATATATATATATATATATATATATATATATATATATAAATTAGCCAGGTGTGCACCTGTGGTCCCAGCTATTCAGGAAGCTGAGATGGGAGGATCACCTGGGTCCGGGAAGCAGAGGTTGCAGTGAGCCGAGATGGCACCATTGCACTCCGGCCTGGGTGAGAGAGTGAGATCCTGTCTCAAACTAAATAAATAAAGTATAAGTTAGGAGCCAGGCACAATGGCTCACTCCTGTTGTCAATCTTTTAAAGTCATATTGTAATTCTTATATTTTAGAAATACATACTGAAATAGTTACAAATAAAATGACATGTCTAAGATTTGCTTCAAAATAATCAGAGCACAGGGGAAAATGACAACAGACTACATATGCATGGTAATTTTAAAGCTAAGTGATGGATGGTACACAGAGGGGTTATTACATTATCCTTTCTACTTTTATGTTTATATTTCTTTCCATAATAAAAAGGTAAAAACTAAAAAGACGTAATTCCAGCTCACCCAGTTCTGAAGTTATTAGCAGTTCAAAATTAATAGAAACTAGTATGAAGTAATGATGAAATTTTCCTATTGGTGTTCTATTCGAAAGAATCCAGAACCTTGAGGAGCTTACGGGGGGTTGGAAGGAGACAAGGGCTTGGGCTCCAAGGGAGGAAGGAGCAAATGCACCAGATGAGATGGTCTCAGAAAGAGGCCTCCCAGGAAAGCACTGTGCACAGTGTGAATGGGAGACTGAAAACTACCCCTGGGACTGGTATTTCTCTAATCCTCTGCAAACCTGCTCCTTCTTTCAGCCCCCATACCCAGAAGCGAGGATGCCATTTTCAATCATGTTTATGGCCTCCCTCACCCCTCCCTAGAGGGAGGACTGCCTTTAAACTGGGGTGGGGCAAGCCAGTTGAAGGAAGGGAGGAGGGCAAGGTGGGAGCAGGTTTTGGAATCTTGTCTAGTTTGGGGCCCCAATTCCCCTAGGGCCCCTGTCATGAGTCAAGCCTGGACTTTCATCTCCAGCAAAGAAGTAGGATTAAACCAGGATCTTCAGATTAGAACCTTCACCTCCACCCCTCCCCCAGGCCAAGCTTCTGGCTCCATGTGTGGCCTTCAACTCTGGACCTCAGTTTCTCACATCTGGGAAACTAGGAGTAGGGTTAGTCCATCTTAGAGGGTCCTGTGTCCCCAGACAGGGATCAACCCTGTCTACCTATAAGGAAACACCTTCTTAATTAGAGGGATTTTCTGTGTCCTAATAGTCTGAATAACTGGTTCTTAACTTTTTTTTTTTTTTGAAACAGTTCCTATTAGGATAAAAGGCAAGAACATTCCACCAGAAAAATGCACTTTGCACACCATTTCAAGATTTCAGGGATTAATGAAGACTTTCGAATCCATCCATAACCCCAAAGTAAAGGCACACTCCCTAACCCCCATCCCCACCTAACACAATTTAACTTCATCCCAAAGATATCCAAGTCTTCAGTCATGGCTGCAGGCATCTCAACAAGTAGAGAAGGAATCAGCCTGAGGCAATTAGACAACAAAGCTAGACTGGGAGCCAGTTTGGGGTTCCCAGGATACTGGAAAAGAGTGAGCAACAAACATGTTTCAAACCTGCAAAAACACACACACCATGCTCACGTCATCTAACAGGTACCAGATTTCTAATCAGAAGTCAAGAAGCTGGTGGTTTCTGGTAAGGGTCCAGCTGCTCGGAGCCATTCTTTTTTGTTGTTATTGTTGTTATCTTGACAGCTACTACACACTGGGCCTTCTCCGTCCACTACAAGAGCCACTAATTACATGTGGCTGCTCTACTGAGGCTCTTACAGCGTGGCCAGTCCAACTGAGCAACTGAATTTTTAATTTTGTAACTTTAAGTGTTAGGCCAGGTGTGGTGGCTCACACCTGTAATCCCAGCACTTTGGGAGGCCGAGGTGGGTGGATCACCTGAGGTCAGGAATTCAAGACTAGCCTGGCCAACATGGCGAAACCCTGTCTCTACTAAAAATACAAAAATTAGCCGGGCGTGGTGGTGCATGCCTGTAATCCCAGCTACTCGGAAAGTTGAGGCACTTTGGGAGGCCGAGGCAGGTGGATCACCTGAGGTCAGAAGCTCAAGGCCAGCCTGACCAACATGGTGAAACCCCATCTCTACTAAAAATACAAAACATTAGCCAGGTGTGGTGGCAGGCGCCTGTAATCCCAGCTACTCGGGAAGCTGAGGCTCAAGAATTGCTTGAACCCCGGAGGCTGAGGTTGTGGTGAGCTGATATCATGCCACTGCACTCCAGCCTGAGCAACAGAGTGAGACTCTGACTTGAAAAATAATAAATAAATGAATATGAAATAATTTTAATCTAGTTTAGAATACTAGATTTCTAAAACTTAAGTACCCTCCAAAAAGCAATCTCTTTAATAATTATTTATATTGATTGCATGTTGAGATAATTTTTTATATATTGGGTTAACTATCTTTAAAATTAATTTCACCTGTTTCTTTAATATGACTCGTAGAAAATAGAAACTTACATGTATGGCTCACATTGCATTTCTATTGGACAGTGCTGGGCACTGTGCTACAGTACCCAGCACATAGGCATGGTCCCTGCTTTGACAGGGTTTACAGTCCAGCAGGGGACCTGGTTTGATTTGATTTGGTCTGGTTTGGTTTGGGATAAGAGGACAAAGCTAACCAGGGAGTGAGGGAGAGCTGCTCACTGGACCCCTTCAGAAGTAGGTGATTCTGCTGACTCTTCAACAAGAGGGTTCCATGTGGCTGACACCAGAGTAGAAGCCCCCTCCCAAAGCTGGCCCCTCTCCCAGTTGTCGCTCCCATCTGGAAGTTGCCCTAAGGTGCCAACCTCTGCCTTTTCCAGAAAATCACCACTGACTCAGTCCTTCCTCCCCACCCCGCCTCCTTATCCCTACAGGGTGGAGAGGCGGTGAAAAAAAAAAATTGTCCAAGAAAACTTCTGAAGGGGGCGGACCTGGCACGCTTCAGGATGGCAGTAGCTGAGAAAGGGGGCGGGGGCGGGGAGGGGAGGAGGAGCTGGCCGAAAGCCCAGGGCTCTGTGCCAGGCTGATCCAGAGGCAGGGCAGCCAGACAGGCGGGAGGACAGGCGGGGGGGCAGGAGGACAGGGGGGCGGGCGGGCGGGCTGGCGGGCTGTCGAGTGGCAGGCTGGCAGGGGTAGGGGCCAGAAAACATTGACCTACTGGGAGATGTGGGACTGGGCAGAGCAGATGCCACCACCACGAAGAAAGCCAGAGTGTGAGGGGACTGGAAGGTGAGGACACCACTGGAATGCAACTGTCACCCTGTGAGCAAGGTCTTTTAATGTATGTGGCATACACGCACTGCCTCCTTCCTATACTACTTGTTGGGGGAAAAGTAGGAAGGAAAAGCAGGTCACCAAGAGCTACTCTGGGCTGAACCCTTCTTCCCACTCCTCTGGAGGGCTCTTCTACCCATATTTAGGGGAGAGAAGGGAATCACTCAGCTTATATGATCCCACACACACACACACACGTGCGCACGCACACACACAATACACACACCTTAATCTGTCACCAAGAAGTTCCAGTTGAAAAACATCAGATTCATACATTGAGGCAGAAAGGAAAGGGGTAAGCCTCTGAAGCCTGAGAGGATGCTGAACAGTCACCCTCATTTCACAGATGGAGAAACTGAGGCTCAGAGAAGGAAACAGACTTGCCAACTTGGAGGCAGGACTAGTAGGCTGCTTGTGCTCACTGCACCAAACTCCACTGCTTTCTTTCTGAAGACAAGTGTTAATACAGCAGAAGCCTGAACAGCCCCGACGTCAGAAGCAGGAAAAGTGCCCATATTCTGTATGGTTAAGTGCGTGCCAACTGGCTTTTACTGCATGCGGCTCTAATTTGGGCACGGGATTTCACTTGCAGAAGAGCTAAGTGCCCTATCATACGGCTGGATGGCTGTCAGGGAGATTTGTTAGTGGGGTGAAAGGGTGCTCACCAAAAATCCCTACCATGCAAAATGTCATCTTGCTCTGGGGGAGGAAGGAAGCAACTTGTGGAAGGTGCTAAGTGGCGGTGGGGTCAAGCCAACCTCAGCATGAATACTTTGCTCAATTCGCCTATCTCGGAAATAGTTTGACAAGAAAGCCCATCTGAGCAGCCCCCAAGGAGGCCAAAACAGAAGCTCTGGGACAGTCCAGCTCTTTCCAGACAAATTCCACATCAGCCTGGTCTCCAACTGCCACCCTCTCCCCCGACCTTGAGTGGCTCCCAAAGGGGAGAAGTGGTCATGTGGAAGCACAGAGAATGGGGGGTCCCTGGGGTAGACTGAGGAAGTGGAGAAGAAACCATCAGGACAAACCTACAGTACGGGGACAAATAGAAAAGAGGTGACCCAACGGGAGCTGTGCAACTGAGCCTCCCTCCTGCAATCTGAGATGGGGAGGTCCCCCTCAGGGACATTGCTCACGATCCTTCTCAGACTGGCAGTGGGAAGGGAAGTTTCGGAATCTTCCCCCGGGGGTCGGGAAGGCTACTAAGCTCCGACCGAGGGAAAGGTGGGGGGCAGGAAGACCATCTCTGGCCCGGCCCCGCCTCTCTGGAGATGCTGGTTTAGCACTCGCCCCCGGTGGAGATGCCAGCCTCTCTCCAGAAAGCTTAAAAGCCATACGGTCACGGCCGGGCAAAGTGGTTCACGCCTATAATCCCAGCACTTTGGGAAGCAGAAGCGGGAGGATCATCTGAAGTCAGAAGTTCGAGACCAGCCTGGCCAACATGGTGAAACCCCGTCTCTACTAAAAATACAAAAATTAGCCGGGTGTTGTGGCACACGCCTGTAATCCCAGCTACTCGGGAGGCTGAGGTTGCATTGAGCCGAGATCACGCCACTGCACTCCAGCCTGGGCGACAGGACACACGCTCAGGCACTCGGGGTTTCAGAGGCCCGGCCGAGGATGGAGCTGGTGCCCAGTGGAAGGCGTCATGAGAGGTACCTTGAAAACAGACAGAGTCGGGCTCTGTCCTCCAGAGGGAACAGCCGAGGTGGCCCTCTCAGGAGCCAGGAGAGGAAACCAGACCAGCCTCCAAAGCAATCTGTCTTCGGCAGCTTCCCACCGCACCATGAGAAGGACCCGGCAGACATCCCCGTGCTCCTCGGGGTCCTTAGTGCCCCCTGATGACGATGGGCAAACATCTGGGCACCAGCCCCGCAAGCGTCTGCGTGTCCATAAGTGGCGGCCGCTGCGCAGTAGCCCTCAGGGATCCGCGTCTCCCCCTAGCTGCCAACCATGACCTGCGGTGGGAAACAGGCGCTGCAGCTGGCTTCTTCCTGGCGGGCGCTTCCTCAGCCAGTCTCTCCCCTGACAAGGGCCCCAACGTGGCCCTCCTCCCCCCCTCAAGTGCCCTCTCTGTGGAGGTCTTCCTCCCCAGGGCTCCGCACGGTCTAGAATGTTCTACCACCAAGGATCCTGTCTGGGAGGACTGAGTGCCTTCCAAGATGGTTCTCGCCTATCCTTGGCCAGGAGGAGGGGACGGCCAAGAGAACCTAGGCGGTGAACACGGCCCCTCGCGGTGGAGCAGGGGAAAGCGCAGCAGAGCGGGCCACTGAGGGGGACGGCGACTGGGGGGCTGAGACTGAGGGGGAGACAGAGGGGGACGGCGACTGGGGGGCTGAGACTGAGGGGGAGACAGATGGGGACGGGGACTGAGGGGGAGACTGAGGCGGAGACTGAGGGGGACGGGGACCGCGGGGAGAACCACTAACGGGGATAGTGCGGTGCCTGGGAAGGGCGGCGGCAGCTGAGGCGGGGGAGGGGCGCCCTCGTGAACGGGCAATTGAGAACTGAGACGGCGCAGCTGAGGGGCGGGCTGTCCCCGCCTGTGCCCACGGTCGCCCCCTCCCCAGCCCCTCTCACCTAACCCGGGAAGCTGAGCACTCGCCCTCCCACCCCGGCCTCTGGGTGGGCTGAGGCCGCAGCGCGCAAGGAAGGGGACAGAGCAGCCCCCCAGCCCCTCCGCTACAGGGCTCCGCACGGTCTCGAATGTTCTACCGCCAAAGCCCCCTTGGGCGCCCCGACTCGCTCCAAACCTGTCCGGCGGGGACCCGCGGCCCTTGGCTACCCGCCCTGGGCCCCGAGGGGGAGGGGACCCGCGCCAGGGGCTGCGGGGTGGGGGTGGGGCCCAGGACTTTGCCCTTTGTCTCTCTGCAGAGCCACCGGCCGGTCGAAACCCGACCCCATGGCGAAGCCAGGCAGCCGGCGAGGGGCAGTCTCCCGCTCTGGGGTCCTTTAGTAAATCCAGACCCGACCTCCCTGTGGTCAGGGCTGTGACTGAGGTGGTCCTGTGGGGGAAGGGGGCTTCCCGCCTGCACCAGGCCTGCAAGCATTTAAGTGGCAACCGGTTGGGGGTAGGGAACCGGGAAGCCAGGGAGAGGCTGGAAGTGGGGCCGCGGAGGCTGGAGGGGAGAAAATGGCCCGGGAGGCGGCATTCCTTAGAGACCTTGGCTGGGCCGCGGGAGGAGGCGGGACGGGGCGGGAGGCCTCCCACTGTGAGGCCAGGAACTAAGGCCTGGGAGCAGGGTGGGGGCACGGAACTAGGAGCCTTCGGAACCCGCAGAGAAAGAAGGCTCTCCTCCCGGGCTAGTCCCCAAGGCCTTCTGGGAAGCTCCATAGCAAAGTCACAATAGAAGTCATACTCGCCCCCATGCAGAGTAGGACATTTGTTTGGGGGTGAGAATGACCTTTCAGCCCTTTTGGGGTGTCATCAATTAATGATCTTGTTAATAACTCACCTTTGCATAGTGCTTTAGAGTTCACAAAGTACTTCTTTTTGCCCACACTATGAACCTGGAACCACCACAAGAGGCTGAGTTGAGCCTCTCAACAACCAGGGGAGACTAAGAATATTGCTACTTCCGTTCTGCAGATCAGAAAACGGGCTCAGAGAGGTCAAGGTGACACTGGCCAGCAAATGTCACTACACTGTGCAGCCTGTTCCTGCTTGCCAGGAAAAAAACGTAACTGGGTTCCTGATATTTTAGAAACTAACATGTATGGAAGCCAGGCGCGGTGGCTGGTGCCTGTAAACCCAATACTTTGTGGGGGCTCAGGCTCTCGCTTGAGCTGGTAAAGTCAAAGCTGCAGTGAGTTGCGATCATGCCACTACACTCCACCCTGGGCGACAGAGGGAGACCCTGTGTAAAGAAAGAAAGAAAAACTAACATGTATGAACTATGAATTATGATTCTGTAGACCTGTAACAAAGGTCAACTCTTTGTCCCTTCCTGCTGGGAGGAGGGAGGAGGAGGAGGGAAAGGGAAGCATCTCAATCCCTGACCTTCCCCTCAAGCTCCCATTTTCCCGTGGCTTGAACCCAAACAAAGAGGGGGTGGATCAGCCTAAAGCTCCAGCCCTGGTACCTTCCAGAAGCGTCAAAGGATGGAGACTCCTAGAATTCAAAACACTCATCCAGCTTATTTTATGAAGTTTCTGGAGATGGGGAGGATTCAGGTAAGGAAACAGAGTCCCAGGAAAAGAGTTAGTGACCCCAGATCCCACACCTTACACATCTGCAAAAGGACAGGCTGAGGCTGACACGTAAGTTCTAACCCCACTCAGATCTTTCTTCCACTTTGTTCAGCTTCCTCTCAAGTGTATTATTTCATTCCAACAGAATTCCCATTTCTCATCTTAGCTGCCCAGACAAGGGGAGAAAATTTGGACCCATCCATCTCAATTTTCTTCAACTGGCCGGGCACGGTGGCTCATGCCTGTAATTCCAGCACTTTGGGAGGCAAAGGAGGGCGGATCGCCTGAGGTCAGGAGTTCGAGACCAGCCTGGCCAACATGGCAAACCCCTTCTCTACTAAAAGTACAAAAATTTGCCAGGTGTGGTGGCACATGCCTGTATCTACTCAGGAGGCTAAGGCAGGAGAATCACTTGAACCCAGGAGGCGGAGGTTGTATGTAGTGAGCCGAGATTGCACCACTGCACTACAGCCTGGGTGACAAAGCAAGACTCTATCTCCCAAAAAAAAAAAAAAAAAAATCAATTTTCTTCAACCACTCAAGATAATCTGAAAATCTCAACGGCGATAGGAAAATACAATGCAAGGTAGGTATGAAATGCCTGGGGAGGCTCAGAGCAAGGAGAAATTTTATCTGCTAAGCTTACGCCCCACTCCCCAGCCCCTGCAAAAAAAGCTCAAGAAAACCTCAACCTGAGTATTGGAGGATCACCTGTTCCCAACGTTTTTTTTTTTTTGGAACAGGGTCTCATTCTGTCACCCAGGCTGGAGTGCAATGGCACCATCATAGCTCATTATAATGTGAAACACGTGAGCTCACGCAACCTTCCTGCCTCAACCTCCAGAGTTCACACCTTCTAAGAGAGCTCAACTTTGGAAATAGAAATGCCTGGGTTTGAAATGCCAGCACTCCTACTTATTGAAGGTGTGACCTTAGTTCAGATTCTTCTGTAGGATGAAGATGATAATACCTTCAGAGTTCTTTGGGAAATTCGGTGAAGTAACAGTGTGAGCTGAGCAGATACTCAATAAATGCTCCTATAATTGTAGAAAGAACTCATCTTTTGAGCCTTATCACCTCACAGTGCTCAGAAGCAAAGATGCTCAAGAAGAGAAATAAACAGGAGTGGCTGCCCTACCAACTGAGAGCCTCATTTCTGTGAATCCTCACTGAATGCCTCCCTCTTCTAGGTGAATGGTCTGCCCGAAAACAGCTCCCTGTCCATCCACAAAGCTGTTTTTGTTTTTTTAGGGTTTGTTTTTTTTTTTTTTTTTTTTTTTTTTTTTTGAGACAGAGTCTCACTCTGTTGCCCAGGCTGGAGTGCAGTGGCACAATCTCGGCTCACTGCAACCTCCACCTCCCGGGTTCAAGCGATTCTCCTGCCTTAGCCTCCCCGAGAAGCTGGGATTACAGGTGCGCGCCACCATGCCTGGCTAGTTTTTGTATTTTTAGTAGAGACGGGGTTTCAATGTTAGCCAGGCTGGTCCACGAGGCTCTTCTTAACCCATTCCTCTATTTTTTCTGCCTTGCCTCCAAAACCCAGCTTAGCTCTAAAGTCTCCCTCCTCTATTTTCGTTCCTGAGTTTGTGTGCCTCCCATTTTAGTGCGTGGACTCCTGGACTCTGTACTCTCAGTTTTTCCTGGATTTAAAGTGAAAATGCTGGAGGGCAGAGACTTGGCCTTGTACCTCTGTCTTTTGGGAGCCCTCTCAATCTCTATGTCTCACTTCCCCACCTGAAAAGACCCAATAATGCTAAATAAAAACTCAATTAATAATCAGTATTTAATGCAGGAAAGGGGACACACAAAGGCTTCCATTTTCTTTAGGATGAAGAGGTGACTGCACTTTGGGAGGCCAAGGCGGGCAGATCACGAGGTCAGGAGATCGTGACCATCCTGGCTGACACAGTGAAACCCCGTCTCTACTAAAAATACAAAAAGTAGCCGGGCGTGGTGGCGGGCGCCTGTAGTCCCAGCTTCTCGGGGAGGCTGAGGCAGGAGAATGACGTGAACCCGGGAGGCGGAGCTTGCAGTGAGCCAAGATCGTGCCCCTGCACTCCAGCCTGGGCGACAGAGCAAGACTGTCTCAAAAAAAAAAAAAAAAAAAAAAAGATGACCACCATGTGGGAAAAAGTAAAACTGGCAATAGTTTTTAAATGGCCATTTTTTGAATCACAGCACTACTACTTACTGGAAATGACCAGAGGGAAGGAGGAATGGGTAAGTTATTATTTAATGGCTACAGAGTTTCAATTTTGCAAGATGAAGAGTTCTAGCGATAGATGAAGGTGATGGTTGCACAACAATGTGAATGTTTTTTGTTTTTTGTGTTTTGTTTTGTTTGAAATCGAGTTTTGCTCCTTTTCACCCAGGCTGGAGTGCAGTGGCGCAATCTCGGCTCACTGCAACCTCCGCCTCCTGGGTTCAAGCAATTCTCCTGCCTCAGACTCCCGAGTAGCTAGGATTACAGGCGCACGCCACCACGCCCGACTAATTTTTGTATTTTTAGTAGAGACAGGGTTTCACCATGTTGGCCAGGCTGGTCTCGAACTCCTGACCTCAGGTGATCCACCCACCTCGGCCTCCCAAAGTGCTGGGATTACAGGTGTGAGCAACCGCGCCCAGGTATGTTTATGTCACAAAACTATATACTTAAAATGGTTAAGATGGTAAATTTTAGCTTTTTGCATATTTTACGATTAAATTTTTTTTTTTAAGATGGAGTTTCGCTCTTGTTGCCCAGGCTGGAGTGCAATGGGACGATCTCAGCTCACTGCAACCTCTGCCTCCCAGGTTCAAGAGATTCTCCTGCCTCAGCCTCCAGAGTTGCTGGGATTACAGGCATGCACTACCACGCTCGGCTAATTTTTGTATTATTATTAGAGACAGGGTTTCAAATGTTGGCCAGGCTGGTCTTGAACTCCTGACCTGAAGTGATCTGCCCGCCTTGGCCTCCCAAAGTGCTGGGATTACAGGCATGAGCCACTGCGCCCAGCCTAAAAATAATTTTTTTAAAAAAAATACCAAGGATAAAGAGAAAAACCTAAGTTTCCAAAGAGAAAATATCTGAAATATCTGTTAAATTATATTTCCAGCAGGGCACGGTGGCTCACGCCTGTAATCCCAGCACCTTGTTGGGGGTTGAGGTGGGCAGATCACCTGAAGTCAGGTGCTTCAGACCAGCCTGGCCAACATGGTGAAACCCCCATCTCCACTAAAAATACAAAAATTAGCCAGGGGTGCTGGCGCACACCTATAGTCCCAGCTACTCGGGGAGGCTGAGGCAGGAGAATCGCTTGAACCCGGGAGGCAGAGGCTGCAGTGAGCCAAGATGGCACCACAGCACTCCGGCCTGGGCAACAGAGCAAGACTCCCTCTCAAAAAAAACAGAAACAAAAAAAAATTGTATTTCCTTCCATCTGCACTGTAAGATCAGGGTCTTTCACTTGTTCCTCATTGTATTTCTAATACCTAGCAAAGGGCATATCATGCAATAGTAGACTCTTACTAGATAAAAATAACTGGATGAATGCATGCCTGCATGCATGAATGAATACATCAGAAGTACCAATCTTTGCAGCAATATGCAAGCTATCCCAGACGTCTGCAGCATCTTGTTAAATGTTTTCTCCCATGGCATTTCATTGTAAATATATATTTTTTAAGTTATTTTTCAAACAGCCAGTGACTGAGGCAAGGACCCCACACACACTCCCAGGCTACAGTTGCTAACCATGGGGCTTTTAAGAGAAGAGAGCAAAGGAGTTTGGGCCTAGACAGACAGCATTCCTCTTTTAGTTAGAAGTTTAAAAGAAACTACTCATTCAAGATGGCCAGCAAGAGGGAAAGGGTAGAAGAGTGGAACAAAGATTATCTCACAGAAATATTAGAGGTTTGTGAAGATCATTCTGTTCCACCTCCTGCCTACACCCAGAGCTCATTCTGGACAGCAATCACTCCACTCTATTCTAAAAAGCCAACAGCAGCAGCATATCTTAACCAAATGGTAATAAATATAGAGAGGAAGAAAACCCTATAGATAACCTCAGTCAGCTAGATTTTAAATAAGTTTAAATAAGTTGTAGGAAGACCCTTAACAAGATTATTCTTCTGAATCTAGCTGCTTCCTCAGCCAACATCCTAGTACATCTAGTCCTTGTTTGGAATACACTGGCTGCAGCCACCAACAGCCATATCTCTCTGTGAAGAATTATCTTTGCCCTTCAATTTATTTACTTTTTTTTTTTTTTTTGAGATGGAATTTCACTCTTGTCACCCAGGCTGGACTGCAATGGCACAATCTCTGCTCACTGTAACCTCTGCCTCCTGGGTTCAAGCAATTCTCCTGCCTCAGCCTCCCAAGTAGCTGGGATTACAGGTGCCAGCCACCATGCCTAGCTAATTTTTGTATTTTTAGTAGAGACGGGGTTTCACCATGTTGGTCAGGCTGGTCTCAAACTCCTGATCTCAGGTGATCCACCCACTTCAACCTCCCAAAGTGCTGGGATTACAGGCGTGAGCCACTGCGCCTGGCCTGCCCTTTAATTTAGAACTTCATCTCCAAATCCTGCCAAAGCAACTGGTCTCTATTACAGTTGGAGTTCTCCTCCCAAGCAACTTAGAGACCTTAAGGAGGAAGTAGAATAAATATTTCTAACTTTGAATAGACATCCTCAACAAGTTTACTCCACCCAACAGCTCCCATTTCAGTTCCTGTCTCCCTCATTTTCTCTTCCTCAGAGTCCCGAATGGAAAGTTGACGAGCCCCAAGCAATCCCAAATGCCACTCCAGAAAGAGGCAATACATCATTCTGCATAAACTAATTGTAAAACCCTTTATAGTAAATGATTAAAGTCACAAGCCTGTTAAAAGACTGAAAACCACATCCGGATGGGAAGCCCTTTTCCTCCCCATCCCAGTAAGAAGGTTCAACCCTTATTCCGAGGGCTGGGGCTATGGACGTGTGTGTATGTATGTGTATGCACCCACCCATGTGCCTGCATTATGGCACGCAGCCTTTGAGCAGAGGGCTGAAATGAAGAAGTGGGCATAAAGGTGGGTTCTGAGTGCATCTCTGGGAACTGGTTCCAGACCAGGGAACCAGGGGGAGAATGTGAGGACACTACAGAAGCAGAAGAAGTAGGGAACAATGTGTGCAGTCACCCCCTGGGTATCTAGGGATCCCCAGTTCCTGAATGCCTACTTTGTTAGCTTACCAAGAGCAGGACATGAAAATGAACATACCCATCCCAGCAGATGGGGGAGGTCACTCTCATTTCTTCCTTCCTCAGACCCCCAGGAGGATTCTTACAGTCCCCTTCATCCTGAATTCTTACAACACCTACCTTATATGCAGAGTTAGTTCCCCTCTCACCAATGTCCCTACTCTACATGTACACCTTTGACAGTAGCCGTAAAGTGTGAAATTTCAGCTAGGAACCTGGACCAAGTTCAGGGCATAAACGATAACAGAATAAATGGCCTGTTTCCCCTAAAGAACAATTAATAGCATTATCCACCATGCTCGCCTCATCTCTCCAAGCCTCTGTCTCAGAGAATGTACTGGGGGAATCTATAATCTAGGGGCTCTGTGGGGTTGCCCTGGTGAGCTTCATCTCTCTCCACTAAAAGGTGGCTTTTCCTTTCAACATACAGGTAGAGTTACCAAAGCACCCTACGCACAGATCCCCTTCAACATGCCTAGCCATCACTGTTCCTAGTGCCTTAGATATATAGCCCAAGCTGACACACACACAGTTCAAAGACAACCTCTCATGGACACATTTTCAGGCATCTGTACACTTGATCAGTTCTAATACTCATGGAGCTAACCACAGCTATATGGGGCAGGGTAGGATACAACTGTAAAGCTTCAAAGGAGGACAAACAATGGCTAGGGCAGGAGGGACAGAAGTCAATATCTACAACAAAATAATAACAATAAGAGCTATTGTGTACTACTATTAGGACCACTTCTTTACAGTTACGGAAATTGAGCTCAAGCTTTTAAACACTGAATTCTCCTGGGAGGAAGACCTTTCCTCCAGACCCCAGTAAAGGATGAGTGAGAGACCTAGGGTAGGTCATTAAGACTCTGACCTAACAGCACTTCTTCCCTCCTGGAGCCTTAAGAATTTTGAATGATTCCTTTCCTCCTTGTTCCTCTTTGCCAAAGAGGTCAGACCACACAAACAACCATTACACACATATTTCTGAATTCTCTGATTTCTCCCCTTAAAGATCCTAACTATATCCAATCAACTAAACTAAACTATCCAATCAAATTTCACTCAGACTTAACATTTTCCATTTCAAGTGGCCAAAACATCCAAATGAGTGATTGAGTTGGTTTTTGTTTTTGTTTGAGACACAGTCTCGCTGTTACCCAAGCTGGAGTGCAGTGGTGCGATCTCGGCTCACTGCAACCTCCACCTCTCAGATTTAAGCAATTCTCTGGCCTCAGCCTCCCGAGTAGCTGGGACTACAGGCATGCACCACCACACCTGGCTAATTTTTGTATTTTTAGTACAGGCAGGGTTTCACCATGTCGGCCAAGCTGGTCTTGAACTCCTGGCCTCATGTAATCTGCCCTATTCGGCCTCCAGAAGTGCTAGGATTGCAGATGTGAGCCACCGTGCCTGTCCTGAATGAGTGATTGAGTTTTTAACCAAAATTAACTCAAAATGAAAAAAAAAAAATTTGAAGTTCTCCTTAACCTTCTTTTCATAAGGAAATGTAGAGAGGATTGACTAGAATCCACTAACCAGACATGGTAGAAAGGGAAAGAGAAAATGTAGAGCTTCCCCTCTTCTCCTGCCTCCTCTATTATGGGATTTTTCTCCACAACCCTCCTCTAAACTATAAGCAAAATTTCCAGCCATCCCATATCAGACACCATCCCTTACATGCCTTCCAGCCACCAAAATGCCACTTGTCTAATAACCAGACTTGTCCTAAGGGGTCTTGAAAATATCTGCACAATCCACTCAAAACTTCTCTTAATCATCGAGCTGTTTGCTCTCTATTTCAGTCAAAAGCAGTTTGCTTACGACCAGCCATGCTCCTGGGAACCTGGATTTCCCAAAATGCAAAAGGACTGCATTTCTGATGGTGTTTGTTCTGCACACAGTTACATTTCAGTGTGTTGCAATCAGGTTTTTTCCAACTGTATTAAAAGTATGAGGTCCAAACCTACTTTTCTGTGACTTACCTGTAATCAACATATATTTTGTCAGTCAACTATGGTTAGAGCAAAAGTTTGTTCCAGCCTGTTGTATTATTGCAAACCTACTGTGCTGCAAGGTAGTAAGCAGGTCTTACAAAGCAGGCTCTGCAATAAATTTTAATAGTAGGATGACCCCCCTTCTATCCAGTAATAAGTACATAGTCTCCTCTGATCAAAATCTGAAGGGCCATCCAAGTTCTCCTAGTAGAATGAAGTCACTACCTGGGGACTACGTAGCTTCCTGCTGGCATTGCCTCCTTGCCCTTGCGATGGTGTGTGTCAGGTGGTATCTTACAGGATCATTTTTAACCAAACTATCGGTAACCAAATGGGCATACACTTTCTTGAGTACAGGTTTGAGAGACCTTTCCTTCTGCTTTTTGTTTTGACAGGCATTTAAAAAGGTATAGGGGAGGAGAGGAAAGGTGGAAATGGATGGGGTGCAGAAGTTTTACACTAACATGGAGTCGAAGACTGGCTGAGACCCTGGACAACTGGAAGGCCTGTTGTCTCTCTTTTACAAGATAAACAAAATCCATGGATAGAACCTCTGACTACTATTACTGCCTCTGTTATTGTTTCGGTCAGCCTTCAGGACCTGTGGACAGACACAAACAGCTCATTTTGTAAAGATTGCAGGTTACTTAAATTGACACTTAACTCTTTAAGGTTCTATTTCTCAGGCCAAGACCCCAGCTACTGGGAGAGAGGAACAGCTACTTGCACTTCCATTTTCTCTCCAACTGTCTCATCCTATTTTCCCTTTACCTACTCTTCCTCTCTTCTTGCCTCTTTTCACTTCACATTTACCCACTGGCTTTTTGCCTTAGAATGGAGAGCTCCTGAGGCAGCCCAGGTGCTGGAAAGGGTCTGCAGCCCGCAGCCCGCAGCCGGTGAGGGGGAACCCTCTCGTGGGGTATCTGCTGCGAGGTTTGCGATCTGGGGTTCCCAGGACTAAGGCGCACCACAAGCGGCCTGGGATCTCCTGGGGTCTCAGGGATCTGAGAGGGGAAGTCCTCCTCGGAGACCCAGGCCAGCGGATGTTCTCTGTCAGGGGCTTGTTAAGAGAAGGCAGGCGGGCGGCCCCACCTCAGAGCGAGACGAGATTGCCGGGCTGGGACTGGCGCGGGGGCGGGCGGGGAAGGTTAGGGCCGCCGGGCCGGGGCGAGCGCTCCAGGAAGAGCCTGCAGCGCCGCCGCCACTTTCTCTCTCTCTACTCTCTCTCTTTTTTGAAAGGGGAAGGGAAGGCCGGCAACTCCAAAAGCAAATATAGCCTTGCCCTGAGCTGAGTCTACCACCCGTCTCCGACCCCTCTCCCGTGGGTAACACTGTGAGACTCCAGCCGCTCCCCTTTAAAAGGGAAGCGGGAAATCCACCCAACCCCGTATCTCCCCTCCCTCCCTCTCTCCCTCCCCCCTCCCCGTCTGGAATTTCCAAGCCGGGACTAACTCGTCTGATTTCTCCAGTCTCCCCCTGCTGCTTTTTTCCTCCCCTTTTCTCTCCCTAACACTCCCATCCCAAATTCTAAGCTGCACTTTCTGGAAAACATTAGCCACATTTCAAGAATCTTTTAAGAGGATAGGGAACGAACCACACTTATTTTAAATTCTAACAGCTGGGAAAATGTCCGTTCTTCAAATGCCTTTGGTTCATAAACTTATTCTAACAACCCCATCACCACCACTACCACCCCACACACAAAAATCAACAGATCTAACCACTAAATAACTCTTCACAAAACCTTTAAACTTCAACAAATAGCACTTGCTGTTCCCCACTTCTCACTCAACTAAACCAGATCTGAATTTTAAAATGTTTTAAAATTGTATACTCAGTAGACTACCTCAATAGTATCTTTGTCAACTGGCTGCTACACATTAAAGTATAGTATAAATACACTCTTAAAAAGTAAGCCTTAAAAGTACCCACACACATAGATTAAAATGATACATATTAAGGTAATTTTAAAAGATTAGAAGCTCAGAACCTTTGAATCAAGGTTCTTCCAATTGCTAATGTCATGTATTTAATCTCTGAAACATAATTATGTTTTTTTCCACCAAAAGCTGTGCCATTAAAACTTTACCTTTTCAACAATTAACAATACTTTGAATAAATTAGTGATGGGACTTGCAGTTCTTCCCCCTTTTTACTAAAAAGTTCTCCATCTGAGAAACCATTATGGTAAAATTTCATCTTTTTAATTTGGGTCAGAAAATAAGGGGTTCTAGAAACCTACAATTCTTCTAAGGGACAGTCAGTTGCCACTGCCCTTACAAAACTCTCATCTTGAAATACTGACCACCCAAATGAGAACAGTTAAGGATTTCTACCAGCAGTGAAGGAAACTAATTTATGAATTTGCAAAGTTTAATTTTTAGGTGGAAATTAAAATAGGGAAAGAATGTACCCCAGTTTCCACCTTTCCTCCAAACAGTGCACAAAAACTTAACATTCAACCATTTTTTTCACTTATGTAAAGCAAAAAAAAAAAAAAAATTCTAACCTAATATTAATAAGAAAACCTTTTTAAAAGAGTAATCAATTGTTTCTACTTTAAACTTCCATGTTGAATAGTAGTCACATGTTATCTTTTACCTCGTATGAGTTAAAAACTTTCTTTTTGACTTGGATACTAATTCATAATTACAACCATTAAAGTAAAAGTGCCTGAAAACCCTCCCGCTCTAGTAGTTTTCATTCCCTTTTTAACCCCTCTTCATTCATTTTCAGCCCCAAAGTACAAGGTAGGTTTTCTTTTTTCCTTAAGTGCAAATCCATTTCTGAAGACAATTTTTAGGTTGTTTTGAAAACATTTAGTGATCCAAGTGATTTCTTCAGAGCCTCAACAAATCATTGTTAAAATATATTTAAAATATTTTTTGCCATTTATAAGACATCCCTTCACAGATTTTTAAAGCTGTTAACTTCAAAAAATTAAACTGTAAAATTTGGACACTTTCTTTTGGGAGTTCTCAATTTTATGAACGATTTATAAAACTAATTTTGTTTAATAGGTACTTAAGGGAGTTAGCCCACCTCATTTTTAGTCAACATAGAGGAAAAGGACCATTAATCTGCCTAAAGAAATCACCAAACTTAGAATTCTTTAATGTGAACACATTTCACCTTTAAAAAAAATGAGTCAGTGCATCTCTTTCATTTTTTTCTTAATTAACAGTAACACCTTTTATTTTGATGACACCAGTTGACAGTGAATATGCTATCTTTAGGTCACATTCCTCTAGAAAAAGGCACACCACAGTGGCAAGTGTAACAAAGGTTTAATTCCCTTAAAAAGCAAATCATGTCTCAAAGTAATCAAGTCACACTAAAATGGTACCCCCTTTACCTCAACTACTCCTAAGTCTCTCAGAATAAAACATATACAAGCCCTTTCCACAACTGTTTTTAAATGCATTTGGTTTTTCTCTTTTGTCTCAGTATCTGGCAGTGAACATATACAAATTCTCAACAAAAAAGCACAAATTGTTAACCAAATTCCAACACTAAGGGGGTTTGAGATGGTGATCTCTAAGAAATTAGTATCACCTCATTTTAAAAATTCAAGCTAACTGCTGTTTTCAGTTGAAATGCATAGTGTTCGGCCTCTTGAGTTCTTAAAAAGGTACAAATTATATGTATCAAATAAATTCAAACTAAGAACAAAATACATTAAGAGGTATTGCTACAGCATATCTTTTGTTTGATTTCCCCCTCTTAAAAAACAAAACAAAACAACCAGGAACATTTAGTTGTTGGGTTTTTATGAATTATTTTAGAAATTGAAATCATAGTTCATTTGGAACTGAATGCCTCAAGAAGAGTTCATAAGGAAAATACAAGAGTATATATACACAAAATATTATTTGTATAGTTGTTCATTTTGCTTAGAATATATTAGTCATAATTAACTAGTTCCTGTTCTATACATCCATGAGATGGAAAGTCAGTAACAAACCTAACTGACGAAATACTTTTCAGACACAGACTAAAGACACATACCACAACATACTTCCTCAAAGACACAAAATGATAGAGCAAACTGACTTAATGAAAACAAACTTTCTTTTTTAAATCTTGAGACTTCAAAAATTGATTCATTCTAGAAAAATGAAGTGCCTTCTCACCACCAACCAAAATAAAAAGCAAAGAAAACACAACTGACTCAATGTTTGGGCTAAAAAAATTATTTCAGGAAGGGGAGAACACATAAAAGATCTAATTTAATATGGGTGTGGACAGATTTTTTTTTTTTACCCAGTCTTCTCACAAACCCCCTCTCCATTCCAACTCAAAAAAGAGCCCTCAGTAATGCATTTTGGAGGGAAAAAGGGCCTAGAAATGACTTAAAAGCAAGCAGATGGCTTGGGGAAAAAGATTCATAAATACAGGGCACCATGAAAATTAAAATATAAATGTTTTGAGTTCCATTTCATCACGTTTTGCTATTTCTCTTGCTTTTCACTTTATTCCCTAAAATTTAAACCATCCTCAAGAGCAAAAGAAAAAATCCACATATTTTAGAATTCCACTTATTCTGGATATTTTTCATCAACACTCAGCTTTCAGTTCAAATATCCATATCCTTTTCAATAAACCTGCTGGTGTCAGTGTATGTTCCTTAGACACATCTCCAGAAAATGTTTCAAAATAACAAATAAGACTTCTTTTCTTCCTTCCCATTTTATTGCCTCTTTACTCCTAACTCTAATTGCCTTTCCAATAACACGGTATTTCAAACATGTGAAGTTAAATCGCAAGCTCTATAAACATAGTAACAAGCCATATTGATCTATAGACACAATAGTTCCAAGTTACTTAAATATCAAGCTAAGCAACTGAACAGATTTTTATCTCACATTAAACTTTCTAGGCCCTCTTAATGGTCCCCCAGAAAAAGCAGTCATCATCTCCCATCTACCCGGAAAAGGCCAGAGACTATCCTGAAATGTACCAAGTTTTCAGCTGAAATGGGGGGTGAGGAAGATCAAAGATTTACTGGGGGCTGCTTTCCAGCTTGGGACATGAGAGCAAACTCTACACTGTCAACATGTTTAAAGTCTGATTTGAGAAAGTAGAAAGACTCTGCCCTTATACTTCCCAGCCAGAGTTCAAGGAAAGGTTTCAGAGTTCAATGCAAGATTTGAAATCCACCATGAATTCTCGGTAAGTATGATGGAGGTACCCCATTTTGCTGAAGAGAGAGGATAGAGGGTATTGGAACACACACGAACACACACACACACACACACACACACACACACACACACACCATTCATCCACGGAGTTCTAGACCCTCCAAAGAGCCCCAGCTCACAGCCTCAACACAAAGCTCTCACCCCAGATGGTCCCCTGGTAACAATGGGCTGAAGGAGTGGGGGTAGGGGGGCTCGAAAAGGATAGTACAGCCAAGGCATATTCTTTGGAAAATCCAGCTGGGGAGAGGGATGATGTGAGATATGAGGGATTGGGGGTGGGGGGTCCATGGAAAATAAAAAGTCTTTGCCTGTTGTAGAAATATAAATAAAGTACAAGCATAAGGGGATTCTTTGGGGGCCGGGAAACTCATTCCACATCGCTTCGGGAGAAGGGCAATCCACTTAAGAATTATGGTGTGGAAAGAGTGGGAAAAACAGAAAATGAGGCCTGCTACGAAGTTGCAGAAATCGCCATGAGTCTGAACTCTTCAAAGATTTTAAGGTTCCCCCACAAAAAACGGCCCCACGAGTTGAACAAACAAACTCCACAAGGTTTCTCCCCTATTGATTTTCTTTCCCCTTTAATTCTGCAAGTAACATCTTTTAGCCTACCCCAGCCCCAACTTATTTATTTTTTTTTTACAAGCTGTAAACCACCCATTACAAGATCTTGGCCAATCTTCCCTCCCTGCCCCCAACATCCGGAGTTGGGGGTGGGAAAGACCAGTAATGGGTTTCTTCCACTGGAGACGCTATGGACCCCTGAACACAGCTTCACAGCACACCCCCGCGGCCCCCCCACCCCCCCCGAAAAGAGCTCTTTCCTACCTTTGTTTTTTGGGCACCGAATGTTCAATCTCTAAGCGTTTTCCTTGTAATTCTACTTTCCCTAAAGATTAAAAAAAAAAAATTACCATGAGAGCTTGAACAGGGGTTGGGGGTGGGAAGAGGAAGGGGAAAAGACACTAGGATAATTCAGGAGTTACTGGGATTCGAGATCTTCCTAGGAATCCAGGCAGTGGCTTCCGCATCCAGATGGGAAAAAGGTTGCTCTAGGAATGGTGGAGTCTGTAAATTCGTTATTATTCATTTTTTAATTTTTGCTTTATTAAATCACTGAGGCTTGTTGAGTGGATCGCTCTGGAATCCCGATTTGGGAAAGGTGCGAGGCCATTTGTGTGGGTGCGCTGCCTACACAGCTCCCAGATGTGGGAAGGAGCCAGGAAAGAAAGGGCTCCCCGTTCCTCAGAAAGTGGGGCGCGGGGCGGGAGGCAGTGTGCAGAATGAAACTTTATTTTTCTCTGTTGGCCAGGAAGACGGGCTTTGGGCCACGGAGCGGTCACCTGTCGGGGCTGGTTTGGGAAGGGGTGGACCTGGGGGAGCGGAGCGGGGCCTGGCGGGGAGGGTCCCTCACTGCCACCGCGCGCGCCTCTCGGCCCAGCCTCGGCGTCTCGGGAAGCAGCATGGCGACCCGGCGCCGCCGCCGCCGCGCCACCCCGCTCACGCCCCACTTTCAAATCAAAATGGCTCAAGCCCCAGGCCCTGGGCGGGAGGCAAGACCCCCTTCCTTGCAAGTCCTGCTGGAGGGCTGCATTCCCCACGCGAAGCGGACAGATCGCAGGCGGTCCGGGTACCCCTTCCACGCCTGGAAAGGCCTAAGACTGAGGAACGGGAGCCGGGGTTTTCCAGCTGGGGGGGCGTCCACCGGCGGATAGGGAGGGGCTGGGCGTGGAAATAACGCCCAGCCAGGGGTCATCCCCGTGTCCCTAAATTCAACCCCCCACTACTGCCAGTGGGGGCTCCCGCCCCGTCGGTGGGGAGGAAGGATGGGGGAAGCCAGAGCTCCTTATCTCAGGCTGGGAGAAAGGGATGAGGAAATCCCGAATGTTTCTGCGCGGGGGTGGGAGGCGCAGAGCGAGGGAGGGGGCATCGAAGGGGGTAGGTCGAGGGTGGGTACGGAGGCCAAACCCCGCAGGCCCGGGAAGAGAGGAGTTGGCGGGAGAGGAACCGGAAGGTGCGGGTCTCCGTTGTTCGGGGCTCTCGTTGTGGCTTTTCCGGGAGGTGGCTGTGTTCTTACCGGAGAAAGTTTCGATGGCCTTCATCGCCCAGTGCTCGTCCGGGCAGTCCACGAAGGCGTAGCCGGATTTGACCAAGAACTGGCCGCTGTAGGAGATCTTGTGCTCCGCAAACACTTTCTCCAAGTCCGCGGGGGTCACGCTCTCGTTGAGGTTGCCGATGTAAAGCTTGTTCATGGTGGCGGTCTCGGGGCAGGACGCGGTCCCGGGCAAGGCCGAACGAGCGGGCGCGGGCGGCGAGCCTCCTAGGCCAAGAGGCGGAGAGGCCGGCGGCAGGAGCCGCAAACTTTCTTTGCACCCCACCCCAGAAGTTGTCCCGAGCCCAGGGCGGGGAAGGCGGCCTGAGGGCGCGCAGAGGTCGCGGGAGAGTTCGGGGAGAGCCCAGGAGAAGTGCCCGCGGCGCGCAGGGAGACGGACGACACGGCGCAGCTTCTTCCCTTCGGTCCGAAACCCCTCCGAGAGGGCTGGTGTGTCACGTTTCTCCGCGGCCGCCCTGGCGCCGCCTCTAAATAAAATCGACTTGAAAAAAAATGGAGCGGAAAAAAAAAAAAAAAAAAAAAGGAGAAGCCACGTGGTGACAGCCCCCACCCACCCTGCAGGGAAAGACCCCCGACGCCACAGGGCCCCTCGGCCCTCCGGCCAAACCCGATAATCTCCCGCCTGAGGGTGGGGAACTCAACTCACCCCCGGGGTAAACTGGGGCGGTGCGGCAGCGTCCCTGAAGCTCTACAGGCCCCTTCCCCCTTTGCAAGAACCTGGCCCCTAGGGAAGCGCCCCGCCCCCACCCATCCCCCTACCCCAGCCCAAACTGGGGGAGGATGGTCCAGCCCAGATCTCACATGTCTTAAAGGGTAAAATGTACGGTTATTTTTCATTCGTTTTGGGGGGCGGGGTTGCTCACCCCTCCCCGGTTAACTGCTAGCGACTGACAGGCGGGGGACGGCCGAGACAGACAAAGAGAAGCCGAAGACTCTGGGGTCTTCAGGAGAGGGTCGCACGAGCTGGTGATTTAAAAAGAAAGGAACCTTTTCCCTAGATGTTTAAATGGGGGGGGTCTCCGCCTTCCCCACGCCAGCCCCACGAAACTCCCCCGCCTCCGGGGATGCAGGACCGGGGGACCCTGCGAGCGCGGGACTGGAAAGCTGGGAACGGGGTATCCCAGTGGAGAACGAGGAAGCCGCAGGAAATAATGTTTTGAGATCCCCACGGGAGAAAGGGTGGTTCGCACCCGGGGTCCGGCTGTTAAATGATAACGTTTCGGGGTCCTGAGGGGAACACGCGGAACTGGCCGGAGATGACTCCAGGAGACAGGAACGGTGGGAGACAAGGAAGAGGAGTGATAGCTAGGGCTAACCGGAGCGAACTGAAGGGGGAGGTCTTAGGGAGGGAGTGACCGGGTGGAGATTTGAATGGTCCCCTTTTCCCTCCCAGAGTCGGGGACAGACAGGTGGAGTTTCCAGAGCCTGCACCACCCGGGACACTGCTGGCAGCTCTCTAGGCCCTAGGTTCGGGTCTCGGAACTTTGTTTGGGGTGCAGGATTCCGATCCTGGCGGGAAGGCGGGAGAGGGACGGAGGGCGGGGGGCTAAGCGGGAAGCCCCGCCCACGTCCCCAGGTCAGACCCGCGGGGGGAGGGGGTAATTTCCGCTCCGCGCACGGGGAAGCGAGGGGCGGGAGCTTAGGGGAGGGGGCGGCGGCCACTCCCCTCCTCCTCCCGCCGTTCCTGGGGAGGGGGAAGCGGATCCGCCTGGGTCCCTTCCCTCGGCTTTGACCAACTCATTCCGGATCCTCCGGCTCCCGGAGCCCGAGGGAAGGACCCGACTGGGCAAGGGGCGACACGTGGGCGGTCGCACCCCGTCTGGGCGGTGGGGGAGGGGGCTGCTCGCCGCGCGTTTCGGAGTCCCGGATACGCGGCGGAGAGCGGGACGCGCGGTCCACGGGCAAGCCCCGGCTCCACGGCGGAGCGGCGAGCGAGGCCAACGAGTTTCTAGCGGCGGAGGCTGGGATGGCGCCAGGGGTGGCCGAGAGCGCGGCCCGGAGACCCTGGAACCCCCTCGCCCAGGGAACGGGGAAAAAGGAGGGGTCGACCCCCAGAAATTCTGGAATCCCCTTGAACAGGGCGAAAACTGGGGTGTTACTCCGGACTCTGTGGGAGGGAGGATAATTCTAGCGGGGGCACGCGTGCTGGGAGGGCAGGTGAGGAAGGGGGTCACTCCCCTTCCCCAGTCCCCGACCCCATTGTCTCAGTCGCCTGCGGCCCGGGCCGACTCCGCAACACGTGTTGACTACACCGATATGAATGCCTTGAATTTTTTTTATTGTTATTATTTTTCGTTTGCAGAGTCTGAGCTGACTCCGACTTTGGCTCACCGCTCTGCGGCCGGACGATTGTATGCCATTCAAAAAGTCGGGAGTTGAAAGACAGCACGCAGCACCTTTGTCCCCCTCCCCGTTTTCCCGGCGCGCTGAAAAGAAATGGGGCTGGGACTTAGGGGCGGGGGAGGGCTTCCAACTCGGTTTCTCTATATCCTCCACCACCTTAGAGCCCACCCTCCCCAATGAGCGTTTTGTTCTACCCAGCCACGTGTTTGTCGGATTTTTGTTTTTGTGATTTTTTTTTCCCATGGAACAACAAGAATTAAAGTACTAGGAGCTATTTGTTGTTGAGTAGAAAGAGAATATTTTCTGTCCAAGAAGGTGGGAGACATCTGTGTCTCACCCCCACACACACACCTCCGACCCTCCCCCCTTATCTGACTCTTAATACTTAGCTGTTGGTCACAAGCATTATTTTTAAACAAACCAATGAGTAGGAAACAGGCATGCCACATAGTAGGCACTCAATAAACATTTTTTTAAATGAAAAACAAGCTAATACAAACAGCACAGCAAAGAGAATTGATGAAAATTAGAGTCCAGGGGGGAAAAAATTATCTTGGCCAGAACGTGTGGCTCTGTTGCCCGGGAACTTTTCTTGGTGATGTGTGTAGACTTTTGAAAGGGCTAAAAGATGGTCTCAAAAAGGCTGTTGTATTTCTTGGCCTTTTCCTAAAGAGGAGCCCCAATCTCCTTAAATCTTTTCTGTTATATTGGGGAACAAGGAGGAGGGCAACTAGGCAGATCATCCCAGTTCCCAGAAACTTTAAGTGCTGTTTCTTTCATTTAATTTGAATCTTTAGGTGCTAATAAAAGCACTTCTCAGATTGTCTCCCTGGGGGACATATCCACTACTCTGCCTCTGTATGCCTAAAACAAAAGCAAGTTACACCCCATAAAAATCTCCATCCAGACCTCTAAACTCCTATAAAATGCAGTCCACTTTTTACTATCCTAGAGTCAATGGGAAACAACATTTTTAAAAATAATCAGTGAATTCAGTTCACTTTCAGGTTGATTTTTTTCCATGTAAAAATATACTAACTAAATGTTAGCTGAAATCAGTTTTAATGTATTTAAGATAACGTTAGAAGAGAATATATAAATTTCACTTGAACAATCTGCTATTTTTAAATCCTTTTAAATATTTAATTAAAAATTACCAATAATTGCTAAATTGAAACTGATTAGTTCTTTTTAAAAAATCAGCTGTTTTACTGAATTCTAATCCTCTCCACCCCCCAAAAAAAGGCTTATGTGTGTATAGTCAGAAGCTGCAAAGGCTGCAAGAATACAAGAGAGGAGACAACAGGGGTGAGATACAGATCTTTTTAGCCCCCAAATCAGTTTTGCCTTAGTGACCTGGCTATTTTAGGCTGGGGTTGGGGGAACTAAATCACATTGATTGGTGTTTCATCTCTCCCTTTTGAATGAGCCCAGCACTCACATTAAGGGTTATTTCTTATCTAGACTGACATTCCTAGGTTAGGGATAAAAATGGGCAGACTTGAGGTACCATAACTTTTCATCTTTCTTTTCTTTGTTTTTGTTAACATTAAAGATTACTATCAAATATTGTATTTATTTTCAATTTTTTTTCTACATTGCTTCTTTGGGACAGATAAATCTTTAGTGCAGAGTTACACTTGTGTAAGAGTTAAAAATATAGCTACAGGATTAAATGGTTTTTTCTTTAATAATTATCCTTTATAATACATATCGTATATAATATATATTGTATATTCTACATAGTAATATTAATACTGTTATACCTCTTCCTCTTCTTGTTCTCCTCCTCTTCCTCCTCTTCTTTATTTTTTCCTGGAGAACAGTTTGGTCTAGTTATGGAATTTAATTATCTGAATTCAGAAACACTGACATTTGACTCCATTTTAAAGATAGGATAATAATCCATTTTCCTCCAATGTGAATATACAAATACATGCAGAGAGGAAAAAAAAAGTTTGAGAGAATAAACCAACTTTTTTAAAGATGAAAATAAAAGAATATTTTTCTTGGAGAAATAAGCCAAGTTAAAAAAAGGAAAGACAAAAAGGAAAGAAAAAAGTTTAAAAAAATGAAAAAAGAAAAAATAGAAAAATTAAAAATCAATAATTTCACTTGTCATAGAAAATTAATTTTACTTGTAAATGTTTATTTTTCAGCATTTGTCCATTTATAATGGTTTAAAATTTATCATTTTTATATCTTAATTTTTCACTTGCATTTGTACCATAAATATTTCCCCAGGCTGCCTCCAAGTTTTCATAACTATCATTTTAATTCAGTCCAGTTATATGTGTAAATTATTAATCATAATATTTAGATATACATTTCATCAAATTTTTTACTTTTGTAAACAGTGCTGAACAGATATTCTGGTGAATATAAATTTTTCCTTTTTGGGGTTAGCTCCTTTGCATAAATCCCCAGAATATATATTGCATTTTAAATCTAACACTTACTGACTCTTCTATTTTTAAAGTGTAGCATGTTTTACAAAAGAAAGAACAAAACAAATGGAAAGCAGCTAGGAGGGAAATACATTAAAATACAATTTATTTTCTAATGAATCCATCAATTTTGGAATAAAATTACGGTTGCTATAAAATACAGAAAAAGGAAAGCTCACATTTCCTGATATATTGCTGCTTTAACCTCAAAGTTTTTAGAGGAATTTGTTTTTTGTTTGGTTGGTTTTTATTTTATTTATTTACTTTTGTTGTTGCTTGCTTGTTTTTTTACTGTTACTACTTTAGGATGTTTTGTTTCTTCCTGCAACTTAAAGTCTTAGTGTGGTTCTTTTAAATGCCTATAAACTTTAAGAAAGTGTAAATTAGTTCCAGTTTAAAAGCACATGCAGCTTTTTCTCCTGTCAAATAAATAAGGATAAGTATGTGTTTAGGATATCTCATAAAATGTAAGCAAACTGTAAGCAGAAAAGGAAATTTTTCTCCTTCAAATTATCGTTCATTCAAAAGTGTTCAGTGTTTAAGACCTGAGAAAGAAATGTATTTATTCCAGAGATAGAAGAGGCTCAAGGGGAAAAAAGAACTTTAAGGACAATCGTTTGTTTTTCTGTGGGTCACACAGTGTGTTTGACAAAACCTCTCAATTTTTTGTTTTGGTTCAGGTTTACAATGTAGAAACTTTTAGGTAAGGAGGGGATCATTTATTTTATTAACTTTAAAAATAGATGTTTTCAAATTCATTTTGTTAGTAAACTACTCCACCCAACCTCTATTAATACATGTAGAAGAAATGGTCAATAACATGCTTCACATTACATTCTTATTACCTTTTGTAATTTTTTTTATTCCAAAGTCATTTGATCAAAAGATAATGTACGATCTTGTTTAGTTCCTACAGCACAAAACACAAAATAGATCACTGATTGATTTGGGGGGGGATTGTATAATTCAAGAAAAGACAAGGAAAAAATGTTATTTTTCAAAATAAATTGTAAAAAGCAACAAAAGAGAAGGAATCCATATATAAATATTAAGGTGGAAACAGTAATGAGACAATTTTGTACTTGAAATCAACATATCTTCTAAATATTTAAATTATTTTAATTCGAAATTAATCAGTTACATGTCAAACTTCATGAAGTTTCCATTTTAGCTACACAACATCTATACATTTTAAGACTAAAAGAATTTTTTAACTCAGCAAATTATTTTCGTTTGCTTTTCTAAAAATTTTACCCCTAATGATGAGATTAACTGACTACTCCTGTTTAGGATTTTTTTTCAGGAGCTGCCACAAATATTTCAGTTACTAGGGATAATGCTGCTATGTTGGGGTTTTTTGTTGTTTTAAATTTTAAAAATTAAGAAATATTATTTCACTAGTATTTCATCACCAAAAAATTAATTTAAAACAGTTCAATCTGTCTTCATGTACAAACCAGATTTACAAAGAAAAGAGACTCAGCCTAATAGTATGGCATTTTTGTTTTAAATGGTTGTTTGACTAAACTGAGACACAATTCTAAAAGTGACTCCTAATTTTCATGAGTTAACAATCTAGAGAGAATTTTGGTTCACCCAACTCTCCTATAAACACCTCCACCTTTTTTTTTTTAAAGAATTATTATCAACACAACTTAATTTCCACTCTTAAACACAATCTGAAAATATTTGGTGAGCATTTATATAATAAATTATTGAGTACATTCTTATAATTTTCTTTTCATTTCTAAAATGTGTTTATAAAGTGTATAGGGAAAGAATTCAGAGTTATTTCTAAATTGCTTTAAAATGAGGTTCCTGACCCATCTTTTTTCCTACCTTCCTCTTCCTCCCTGCCCCTCCCCCTGCCCCTGCCCCTCCCCTCTCTCTTCCTCCCCCTCTCCTTTTGTTCCTCCATTTTTCTTCCCGCTCCGGACACTGTCAGTTCCTTTCCTCCTCCCCCTTTACCTTTACCCTCTTTTCAATTTTTCTTTTTCTTTGTTGCTTCTCTTTACCCTTTTATTATTCTCCTGCTCCTCTGCCCCTCAACTGATTTGTTCCTTCTCTTAAATCAATATACCTAACCAAACTTTCTGTCCTTTTTCTTCTCCCTCTCCCACTATCACTAACTTGTTCTCATTCAAACTTACTTCTAGTGAAAGGGAAGGATGCAGAGATGCTTGAATTATTTTATACACCAAAAGGGGAAACTTGTTACATTTTTTAGGAGAACCTCAGGATGATTCAGTTCCCAGAACAACTCCGCTCCAGTATTCCCAGTTTTTATTGGCTGAACATTCATCAGACACTTTGACATTTTTGTGTCATTTTTCCATGTCCTACTTTGCTTATAACTAAATTTGTAATTAGCATTTTATGACCAAATCCTTGAGGGCAAAGCCTCTGTATCACCCAGGGTGTCTAACAGTGCTGACAGTAAAAATCTACTGAATAAGTATATTTGATACTATCTGAGAAGATGTGATCATTGTGATCAGATAAGATGCTGTTTTCAGCCTGTAAGCGCCTTTTTCTTTTAAATAAATACAACACAATCAGATGAAATACAGATAAATGTAGTCATTTAAAAGGATAATTGGTCTATATCAAAAATAGCAACCAAGGGGCATCTCTGAGCTTGAGCTTGTTGCTCCCTGGTTCTGTTCCCATGACAGTTTTGTGCCCATGGCAGTTCTGTACCCAAGGTCAGCAACCGCTTTCCTCTGTGTCTGGTCACACCGGCTCAGAATTCTCAACTGAGGGCTTCAGGCAATCACAGCCACCATCAGAATTAATTACAGAGCCCTTTGCCATTCTGATATCCTCTAGTGCCCCACAGCCAGGATGACAGTCTTAAGGAGGTAACCCACATACACCTACTGCCAAGAGCTCTCTTAGGTTCTTCCTTCTGGGAATGTAACTAGCACCCCACTAACTACATACATAAAGATTTCTTATTTTGTATATCATCCAAAGCAAAAACGTTACCCCAAGACAGCCCTTCTCATTGGTCCCCAGGTCGTCTGTTATAGCCCCTCAGCCAGAGCAGATGTTCACCTAATGTCCTACCTGTCAATACAGCTATGAACACCCAAGGAGAAAGCAAACCAATTTTTATAGCAGGCTAAATTAAAACAAAAACTAAGCAGTTCATGAAAATAGTAAGGTTGCGTGTTTTTAAATATATTTATAATACTCATTACTAGCAAGAATATAGTGAAATAAACATTCCATATGGCTGTGTGGGAGGACAATTTTAAGGCAACAAGAACCTTTAAAAATTAATTTCTCTTTCACTTAGAAATTGCACTATTGAGTAACCTCTCTACAAAAAAATCCAGTATGTAAAAAAAAAAAAATTATTCAGCCTTAAACAGGAATGAAATTCTGATACCTACTGCAATATGGATGAACTTTGGAAACATGCTAAGTAAAATAAGCCAAAGCAAAAGGATAAATGGATGATTCGTAGTTGGTACAGAATTTCAATTTTGGATGAAAAAATTCATGAGATGGGTAGTGTAATGGTTGCATAACAGTGTGAATGTACTTAAAGCCACTGAATTTTATGCTTCAAATGGTTAAAATTGTAAATTTTATTATGTATATTTTATCTTTTTTTTTTTAAGAGACAGAATCTCACTGTCGCCCTGGCTGGAGTTCAGTGACACAATTAGAGCTAACTGTAGCCTTGATCTCCTGAGCTCAGGTGATCCTCCCACCCCAGCCTCCTGAGCAGCTGGGACTACAGGCAAGCTACCACTATGCCCAGCTCATTTTTATTTATTTATTTATTTATTTATTTATTTATTTATTTATTTCGTAGAGACCGGATCTCACTATATTGCCCAGGCTGGTCATGAACTCCTGGCACCAAGAGATCCTCCCACCTTGGCCTCCCAAAGTGTTGGGATTGCAGGCATGATATCATGATATTTTTAAAGGCAAAAAAAAAAAATTGGTTTAAAAAAATCTAAACAAACAAACAGGGTCGGGTGCGGTGGCTCACACCTGTAATCCCAGCACTTTGGGAGGCCGAGGCCGGTGGATCACATGAGGTCAGGAGTTCGAGACCAGCCTGACCAACATGGAGAAACTCTGTCTCTACTAAAAATACAAAAATTAGCCGGGCGTAGTGGTGCATGCCTGTAATCCCAGCTACTCGGGAGGCTGAGGTAGGAGAATTGCTTGAACCCAGGAGGCAGAGGTTGCAGTGAGCCGAGATTGTGCCATTGCACTCCAGCCTGGGCAACAAGAATGAAACTCCGACTCAAAAAACAAACAAACAAAACAATGAATAAAGATGTGTTATTAATAACCGTCAAAAAAAACTTTCAGCTGGGCAAGGTGGCTCATGCCTGTAATCCCCCCACTTTGGGAGGCTGAGGCCAGAGGAGCACTTGAGCCCACGAATTCGAGACCAGCATGGGAAACACAATGAGACCTCATTTCTACGAAAAATTTTAAAAATTAGCCGCGCTTGGGAGCTAGGCGCGGTGGCTCACGCCTGTAATCCCAGCACTCTGGGAGGCCGAGGTGGGCGGATCACGAGGTCAGGAGATCCAGACCATCCTGGCTGACACGGTGAAACCCCGTCTCTACTAAAAATACAAAAAAATTAGCCAGGCGTGGTGGCGGGCGCCTGTAGTCCCAGCTACTCGGGAGGCTGAGGCAGGAGAATGGCGTGAACCCAGGAGGCGGAGCTTGCAGTGAGCAGAAATCGCGTCGCTGCACTCCAGCCTGGGCGACAGAGCAAGACTCCGTCTCAAAAAAAAAAATAAACAAACAACAATAAAAAAAAATTAGCCGGGCTTGGTGGCACATGCCTGTTGTCCCAGCTACTCGGGAGACTGAGGTGGAAGGATCGCTTGAGCCCAGGAGATCAAGGCTACAGTGAGCCGAGATGGGTGCCACTGCACTCCAGCTTAGGCAACAGAGTGAGATCCTGTCTAGAAAAAGAAAAAGAAAAAAGAAAGGAAGAAAAGTTTTAACAATATAAATATTAAAAGAGGAATATTCAAATAACTTCTAGCATAACCACTTGAAATATTACATTCCAAAGGGTTTAGAGAAATTTGAGAAAAAGTTTACAGAAAATGAACACAAAACAGTATTTGTGTTCATATAGTTCATATGATTGGAACCTTTTTAAAAAAAATTTAACTACACGTGCATAAAAGACTAGAAATTACCTGCAGAAATCCGTGCCCAGAGACATGTTGTACAAGCATATCCACAGCAGCATTGCTTATAATAGCAAAACTAGAAACCATACTAAAGTTTATCAATAGGAGAACAGATAATAATGCCTGGTATACTCATTCAGTGAAGTACTAATAAGCGGTGTCAATGAATGAACTTCACCCACACAAGCCAAGATGGATGAGTCTCACAGCGTTAATCTAAAAAACCTGGGAAGCAAAGGTGCGCACCATTAGTCCCAATTACTCAGGAGGCTGAGGAGGGAGGGTTGCTTGAGCCCAGGAATTTGAATCCAGCCTGGGCAACATAAGAAGTCTCCATCTCTTAAAAAAATTATTTAAGGTAAAAAGCAAAACAAAACCTAGAACTGAGGAACAGACACATTATGGTTTTGTTTACATAAGTTCCAAAATATCCAAAACTAAACAATGTATTGTTTAGGTATACATTCAGAAAAGGTAACACTTTAACAAAAGTAAAAAGAATGATGAACAAAATTCCAGAGTGTGGTTCATTCTGGGGAAGTAGCACAGGGCTGATTGCAGAGGGGCACAGAAGGCACTTCAAAGATATTGAGAAAAAAAAAGAGATATTGAGGATGTTCTAGTTCTTAATCCATGTAGCAACTACACAGTGCTTGTTTTATCATTCTTAAAACAGCACAGGCCAGGCGTGGTGGCTCAAGCCTATAATCCCAGCACTTTGGGAGGCCAAGGCGACAGATCACTTAAGGTCAGGAGTTTGAGACCAGCCTGGCCAACAAAGTGAAATCCTGTCTCTACTAAAAATACAAAAATTAGCTGGGCATGGTGGCAGGCGCCTGTAATCCCAGCTATTCGGGAGGCTGAGGCACAAGAATCGCTTGAACCCGGGAGGCGGAGGCTGCAGTGAGCCAAGATTGCGCTATTCCACTCCAGCCTGGGCTACAGAGCAAGACTCAGTCTCAAAAAGCAAAACGAAACAAAAAAACAGCACATGTACCTTTTATATTATGGATATTACGTTTGTTAAGTATAAATATGTCATAATAAAAACTAATTGAAATAGCCAGGCGCAGTGGGTCACGCCTGTAATCCTAGCACTTTGGGAGGCCGAGGTGGGTGGATTGCCTGAGCTCAGGAGTTCAAGACCAGCTTGAGCAACACGGTGAAACCCCATCTCTACTAAAATACAAAAAAAAAAAAAAATTAGCCGGGCTTGGCAGCATGCACCTGTAATCCCAGCTACTTGGGCGGCTGAGGCAGGAGAATCGCTTGAGCCCGGGAGGTGGAGGTTGCAGTGAGCTGAACTCAAGCCATTGCACTCCAGCCTGGGTGGCAGAGCCAGACTCTGTCTCAAAAAAAAAAAAAAAAAAAAAAAACTAATTGAAATAACAAAAAGTCTAGGAAGAAATTGTTAACAGTGATTCTCTTTGGCTTTGAGAACACGAATGTTCTCTTTCTTTCCCCGCTGTGTGTTTCTCTTCCTCTTAACTCATATTTTTCAACATTTCTAGATTGTGTGTATTATATTTTTACATAGCAAATTATTAAAAAGTCAAATGAATATTTGAAATATTTGAATGAATCATCCCAGAATACCTGTGTAAACCAAATGGGGAATAGTTTTGGATGATCTCCTGCCCCAAGATTTGATGCCACCAGAAATTCTTCCATTAATTAGCAACCAGCAAGCATTGAGGGTTAGCTGCAACACACCCTGATCAATCATGGATGTGGACTGACTTTAGCTAAAAGTCTGATTAATTATACATGTATTCATAATAAATTGAGAGGGCATGTGCTGAAACTTAGGACCACCATGGTAAACAGCAGCGAGTAAGCACTCAGATTCACACCTTGCCCGTCTGTCCTGGATCCGGCAGACGCGTTGCTCCTTTCCACTGCCAAGCTAGAGCATTTCATTTGCATTCACTGGAAACCTCTAAGCATGAAGCCCTCATCAGTCTGAGAGTTTCTCCTCATCAGTCTGAGAGTTTCTTGCTGTAGTATCACGTCTTACAACACACTGGAAACCACAAAGCAAGATCCATATTGCTTCGTTTTTTTTTTTTTGTTTTTTTTTTTTGAGACAGAGTCTTGCTCTGTTGCCCAGGCTGAAGTGCAGTGGCTCAGTCTCGGCTCGCTGCAACATCCACCTCCCAGGTTCAAGTGATTCTGGTGCTTCAGCCTCCCCAGTAGTTGCTATTACAGATGCACGCCACCATACCCGGCTAATTTTTTGTATTTTTAGTAGAGACAGGATTTTGCCAGGTTGCCCAAGCTGGTCTCAAGCTCCTGAGCTCAGGCAATCCGCCCTCCTCAGCCTCCTAAAGTGCTAGGATTACAGGCATGAGCCACTGTGTCTGGTCATATTGCTTCATTTATCTAAGCAAGTCGTTTCCATTATTTTCATCACCTAGCATTTCTTTTATTATTTCTTCATGAGCCCAATGTTTTGAAAAATGTTGCCTATCAAAAAATTCCATTGATCAAGTAATAACAAATTATGCCTGTTATAATTGTGTAGAGCAGGGCTTTTGCCCTGCATAAATGGCAAGAGTTTGTACAGCCAGGCATTGTGGCTAATGCCTGTAACCCCAGTATTTCGGGAGGCCAAGGCAGGAGGATCATTTGAGCCCAGGAGTTTGATTCGAGCCTGGGCAACATAGCAGAGATCTCATCTCTACTAAAAGTCAAAAAAGCCGGGTGTGGTGGCCCGTGTCTATAGACCCAGCTACTAGGAAGGCTGAGGCAGGAAGATCTCTGGAGCCCAGGAAGTTGAGGCTGCACTAAGCTATGATCGCTGCACTGCACTCCAGCCTGGGCAACAAAGGGAGACCTCATCTCTAAAAAGAAAAAAAGGCCGGGCACTGTAGCTCACGCCTGTAATCCCAGCACTTTGGGAGGCCGAGGTGGGTGGATCACGAGGTCAGGAGTTCAAAACCAGCCTGGCCAATATGGTGAAACGCCGTCTCTACTAAAAATACAAAAATTAGCCAGGCATGGTGGCACCTGCCTATACTCCCAGCTATTCGGGAGGCTGAGGCAGAAGAATCACTTGAACCCAGGAGGCGGAGGTTGCAGTGAGCTGAGATCGTGCCACTGCACTCCAGCCTGGGCGACAGAGCGAGACTCTGTCTCAAAAATAAATAAATAAATAGCCGGACACGGTAGCTTACGCCGGTAATCCCAGCACTTTGGGAGGCCGAGGCGCATGGATCACAAGGTCAGGAGTTCAAGACCAGCCTGGCCAACATGGTGAAACCTCGTCTCTACTAAAGATACAAAAAATTAGCCAGGCATGGTGGCACATGCCTGTAATCCCAGCTACTTGGGAGGCTGAGGCAGGAGAATCACTTGAACCCAGGAGGCAGAGGTAGCAGTGAGCCGAGATAACGCCATTGCACTCCAGCCTGGGCAATAGGGCGAGACTCTGTCTTAAATAAATAAATAAATAAGAAGAAAAAAGATTGTGCACAAATTCACTGAAAGCAAAGAGACTTTGCATTGGGATCTGCCTGTACAGCCTTGCCCAGAGCAAATGGCTGATTTGTGTTGGATGTCCTATAGATAACACTGTACCCATTAGCCCTACCTTCTTTCCTTCCTAGAGCTCCGAATCTAGGGACCTTAGGAATTAAGAGATGTTATTCAGGACCAGGATCAGCTTTCCCAGTCCCCTATGTTACCTGGGAGGAGAGCAGAAAAGGACAGAAGAAATCCAGGAGAACATTGTAAAACATGGCAGGCCGGGCGTGGTGGCTCATGCCTGTAATCCCAGCACTTTGGGAGGCCGAGGCGGGTGGATCACCTGTGGTCAGGAGTTCAAGACCAGCCTGACCAACATGGCAAAACCCCGTCTCTGCTAAAAATACAAAATTAGCCGGGTTTGGTGGCATATGCCTGTAATCCCAGCTACTTGGGAGGCTGAAGCAGAAGAATTGCTTGAACCTGCGAGGTGGAGGTTGCAGTGAGCCAAGATCGTGCCACTGCACTCCAGCCTGGGTGACAGAGCAAGACTCTAAAAAAAAAAAAAAAAAAAAAAAAAAAAAAAGTGGCAAACATCCTGAGGCGCCAGTACCATTGTTTCTACTTCATAGGTCAACTGTGCCTCACGTTGGTGGCAAGACCAGGAGTCTAACCCAGCTGTACCTACAGCCAAAGTCCTTGCTTTTGCCTTGATAACAGTGCTTCATGACCTTTGAAGCATTTAAAAATCCAATGCAGTCCGGGCGCGGTGGCTCATGCCTGTAATCCCAGCACTTTGGGAGGCCGAGGCGGATGGATCATCTGAGGTCGGGAGTTCGAGACCAGCCTGACCAACATGGAGAAACCCGGTCTCTACTAAAAATACGGAATTAGCCAGGAGTGGTGGCACATGCCTGTAATCACAGCTACTTGGGAGGCTGAGGCAGCAGAATCGCTTGAACCTGGGAGGCAGAGGTTGTAGTGAGCCGAGATCGCACCATTGCACTCTAGCCTGGACAGCAAGAGCAAAACTCCATCTCAAAAAAAAAAAAAAATCCGATGAAACACACATGTATCACAACTTATTTTATACAAGCCATAAAGTTATTGAGTTATACAACTCAATGGACAAAGCGTCTTTTCAACAAATAGTGCTAAAACAATTAAACATAGATATGCAAAAAAAAAAAAATCTTCTGTTCGTGCCTCACCTTATGTATAAAAATTAACTCAATCACCGGGTGCAGTGGTTCACGCCTGTAATCCCAGCACTTTGGGAGGCCAAGGCAGGCGAATCACCTGAGGTGGGATCACCTGAGGCCGGGAGTTCGAGGACAGCCTGACAAACATGCAGAAACTGTCTCTACTAAAAATACAAAATTAGCTGGGCATGGTGGCCCATGCCTGTAATCCCAGCTACTCAGGAGGCTGAGGCAGGAGAATCGCTTGAACCCAGAGGTGGAGGTTGCGGTGAGCCGAGATTGTGCCATTGCACTCCAGTCTGGGCAACAAGAGTGAAACTCTGTCTCAAAAAAAAAATTAACTCAATCATATGCTTAAATGCAATTATTTAAGTCACATACCTAAATGTAAGACCAAAAACTATAAATCTTCTAGGAGAAAAATTGGTGATCTTGGGCTGGGTATGGTGGCTCGTGCCTATAATCCCAGCACTTTGGGAGGCCAAGATGGGTGGATCACCTGAGGTCAGTAGTTTGAGACCAGCCTGGCCAACATGGCGAAACCCCATCTCTACTAAAAGTATAAAAAATAGTCAGGTGTGGTGGCACACGTCTGTATCCCCAGCTACTTGGGAGGCTGAGGCAGGAGAATTGCTTGAACCTGGGAGGCAGAGGTTGCAGTGAGCAGAGATTGTGCCACTGCACTCCAGCCTGGGCGATAGAGTGAGACTCTGTCTCAAAAAAAAAGAAAAAAAAAAAAAAGATGGTGATTTTGGGTTAGCAAAGACATTCCAGACAGATATGATGCCAAAAGCACAATCACTAAAAGGCTGAGTTGAGCCAGGTGTGGTGGCTCATGCCTGTATACCAAGCGCTTTGGGAGGCTGAGGCAGGAAGGGAGGATTGCTTGAGGTGAGGAGTTCCACACCAGCCTGGGCAGCATAGTGTACCCCATCTCCATAAAAAAAATACAAAAAAAAAATTACAAAAAGATACTGTTAAGAGAATGGGAAGATAAGATACAGTGAGACCCTGTCTCTATAAAAAAAAAAAGAACAAAAGAAAGAAAGGAAGGAAGGAAGGAAGGAAGGAAGGAAGGAAGGAAGGAAGGAAGGAAAAATAAACCAAACTGATAAATTGAACTTCATCAAAATTTAAAACGTCTGCTCTTGAAAAGATATTGTTAGCCAGGCATGGTGGCTTATGCCTATAATCCCAGCCCAACACTTTGAGAGGCCAAGGCAGTATGATTGCTTGAACCCAGGAGTTCAAGACCAGCCTGTGCAACATGATAAAACCCCGTATCTACCAAAAATACAAAAAAAATTAGCCAGTGGAGGCTGGGCGCAGTGGCTCACGCTTGTAATCCCAGCACTTTGGGAGGCTGAGGCGGGTGGGTCAGGAAGTCAGGAGATCAAGACCACGGTGAAACCCCGTCTCTACTAAAAATACAAAAAAAAATTAGCCGGCCGTGGTGGCGGGCGCCTGTAGTCCCAGCTACTCAAGAGGCTGAGGCAGGAGAATGGCATGAACCCGGGAGGCGGAGCTTGCAGTGAGCCGAGATTGCTCCACTGCACTCCAGCCTGGGCGACAGAGCAAGACTCCGTATCAAAAAAAAAAAAAAAAATTAGCCAGTGGAGTGCACCTGTAGTCTCAGCTACTGAGGAGGCTGAGGTGGGAGGATAGTTTGAGCACAGGAGGTGGAGGTTGCAGTGAGCCAAGATTGCACCATGGCACTCCAGCCTGGGCAACAGAGCCAGACCCTGTCTCAAAGAACAAACAAACAAAAAACTCAATAACAGGAAAACAAACAACCCCCCCCCAACCAAAATGAGCAAAAGATTTGAACAGATGCTTCACTAAAAAAGGTATACAGATGGCAAATAAGCCCATGAAAAGATACTCAACATCATTAGTCATTAGGAAAACACAAATTAAAATAACAAGGAGATATTACTACATAACTATTAAAATGGCTTAAAATTAAAAAGACTGATCCTACTCAGTGTTGGCAAAACTTTGGAGGAACTAGAACTGTCATACAAGAGGTGAGAATATAAAATGTTACGATGACTTCAAAAAACATTTTGACAGTCTTAAAAAGTTCAACATGCCTCAATCCTAGGTATTTATTCAACAAAAATAAAAGGAGGAAGCCAAGGTGGGCAGATCACCTGAAGTCAGGAGTTTGAGACCAGTCTGGCCAACATGGAGAAACCCCGTCTCTACTAAAAATACAAAAATTAGTTGGGCGTGGTGGCAGGTGCTTGTAATCCCAGCTCCTCGGGAGGCTGAGGCAGGAGAATCGCTTGAACCCAGGAAGAGGAGGTTGCAGTGAGCCAAGATTGTACCACTGCACTCCAGCCTGGATGACAATGAAACACTTCACCTCAAAAAATAAAAAAAGAAAAAGAAAAACATATGTCTCTATGAAGATTTGTTCATAAATATTCAGAGCAGGTTTATTTTGTTCTTGTTGTTGTTATTGTAGTTTTGTTTGCTTGTTTGTTTGTTTTTGAGACAGGGTCTCGCCGTTGATCAGGCTGGAATGAAGTGGTGCGATCACAGGTTACTGCAGCTTCAACCTCCCCGGTGCAAGCCAGACTCAAGGGATCCTCTTGCCTCAGCCCACCAAGTAGCTGGGACTACAAGGTGCATAACACCACACCTGGCTAACTTTTGCATTTTTTGTAGAGTGGGGCTTCCCCATGTTACCCCATGTTACCCAGGATGTTCTGGAGCTCCTGAGCTCAAGTTATCCACCCACCCCAGCCCCCCAAAGTGTTGGGATTACAGGCGTGAGCCACCAGACCCAGACCATAGCAGCTTTATTTTTAAGAGCCAAAAACTAGAAACAACTCTAATGTCCATCAACAGGTGAATAGATAAACAAACTAATGTATCCATATGACAGAAGACTATTACTCAGCAATAAAGACAATGGACTATTAATCACACTACAACATACATGAATCTCAAAATAAGTAGCTGAATGAAAGAAGCTGACAAAAAAATAATATAGAGTATGATTTCATTTATATAAAATTCTAGAAAAGACAAACTAATCTACGGTCTGCTGGGCACAGTGGCTCACGCCTGTAATCCCAACACTTTGGGAGGCCGAGGTGGGCAGATCACCTGAGATCAGGAGTTTGAGACCTGTCTGGCCAACATGTCAAAAACCCCTCTCTACGAAATATACAAAAATTAGCCTGGTGTGGCCGGGTGCTGTGGCTCACACCTGTAATCCCAGCGCTTTGGGAGGCCGAGGCAGGCAGATCACCTGAGGTCAGGAGTTCGAGACCAGCCTGACCAACATGGAGAAATCCCATCTCTACCAAAAATACAAAATTAGCCGGGCATGGTGGCTCATGCCTGTAATCCCAGCTACTCGGGAGGCTGAGGCAGGAGAATCAGAGGCAGAGAGTGAGCCGAGATCACACCATTGTGCTCCAGCCTGGGCAACAAGAGCAAAACTCTGTCTCAAAAAAATAAATAAATAAATAAACAAAAATAAAGTGCAGCAAGAATAATTATTTTTTACATAGGCATTTTATTTTATTTTATTTTATTTATTTTATTTTGACTGAGTTTTACTCCGTCACCCAGGCTGGAGTGAAATGGCATGATCCTGGCTTACTGCAAACTCTGTCTCCTGGGTTCAAGCAATTCTCCTGCCTTAGCCTACTGGGATTACAGGTGTGCACCACCACGTCTGGCTAATTTTTATATTTTGAGTACAGACAGGGTTTCACCATGTTGGCAAGGCTGGTCTTGAACTCATGGGCTCAAGTGATCTACCTGCCTTGGCCTCCCAAAATGCTGGGATTACAGGTGTGAGCCACTGCGCCTGGCCTACATAGGCCTTTTTTTTTTTTGGCTTTGATGGAACTTTGCTCCATAAAAGGAATCTTAGGTAAGACTTTTTTAAAGCTGAGCCTAGCTATGGGTTTGTACCCTTAAATACCTATATGAGTTGGGCAAATTCCTCTCTTCTTGAGGTCCCAAGATAACTTAGGGCTCCTGGGCCTGTCAGAAAGTGACCTTCTTTACTTACCACAGGTGAGAAACCCTGCACAGGGACTGTAGACAAGGTATGAGGCCAATTCTTCCAAGGGGCTTTTATTGGCTCTATAAGTGAAGTTTTTTGTTGTTGTTGTTGTTGTTATTGTTTTTGTTTTGAGATGGAGTCTCACTCTGTCGCCCAGGCTGGAGGGCAGTGGCGTGATCTTGGCTCACTGCAACCTCTGCCTCCCAGGTTCAAGCAATTCTCCTGTCTCAGCCTCCTGAGTAGCTGGGATTATAGGCATACACCACCATGTCCAGCAAATTTTTGTATTTTTAGTAGAGACAGGGTTTCACCATGTTGGCCAGCCTGGTCTTGAACCCCTGGACTCAAGTGATCCACCTGCCTCAGCCTCCCAAAGTGCTGGGATTACAGGTGTGAGCCACCACACCTGGTCCATTAGTCAAGTTTTATTCCTTAAAGGAAAACATACCATTCCAGTCAATACCTCAGTAAAATAATCAGTTTCTCCAATTGTGTCCTGTTGCAAAAGAAAACATTTTTATAGCACTTATGCAAATAACTATATTGCCATAAGTTAAGAATACGCTCAAGTAGTTTCCAAATTCTGGAGAAATCAGGTAGAGAGAAACAAATGTGCTCCAAATTGTGTTCACAGAAATATAGTTTACTTAATTGTTGAAAGCTGTAAGTAGCTCAAAAGAAAAGTTTTTGTGGCTCCAAAGTCAGCCAATTGGTGCTGCAGCCTATTTCCTGTGGGTTGGGGGTCTCCTCAGTATCGTACCTTCATAGTCACCAGGAAGATGTTACCGGAAAGGGGTCCCTGATCTAGACCCCAAGAGAGGGTTCTTGGACTTCTGAAAGAAAGAATTTGAGGCAAATCCATAGAGTAAAGTGAAAGCAAGTTTATTAAGAAAGTGAACAAATAAAAGAAGGGCTACTCCATAGGCAGAAAAGTCTTTTTTTTTTCTCAGCCCCCAAGTAGCTGGAACTACAGTTGTGTGCCACCGTGCCCCGCTAATTTTTTTTGTATTTTTTTAGAGGTGGGTTTTGCTATGCTGCCCAGGCTCCTCTGTAACTCCTGAGCTCAAGCAATCCACCTGCCTCAGCCTCTGAAAGTGCTGGGATTACAGGCATAAGCAACAATACCTGGCCATGGTTTTTGTTTTCTTCTTTTTTTTTTTGAAATGGAGTCTCTCTCTGTCGCCCAAGCTGGAGTGCAGTGGTGCGATCTTGATTCACTGCAAGCTCCGCCTCACGGGTTCACGCCATTCTCTTGCCTCAGCCTCCCGAGTAGCTGTGACTACCGGCGCCCGCCACCATGCCCAGCTAATTTTTTGTATTTTTAGTAGAAATGGGGTTTCACTGTGTTAGCCAGGACGGTCTCAATCTCCTGACCTCGTGATCCGCCCACCTCGGCCTCCCAAAGTGCTGGGATTACAGGCATGAGCCACCACGCCCAGCCGGTTTTTGTTTTATTCTTTGTTTTGAGACAGGGTCTCACTGTGTCGCCTACGCTGGAGCACAGTGGCATGCACTGCAGAGTCAACCTCCTGGGTTCAAGCAATCCTCTTACCTCAGCCTTGCAAGTAGCTGGGACCACAGGCATGTGACACACACACACACACACACACACACACACACACACGCACAATGTTTTTAATTAGCAGAGCATGGTGGTGTACACTTGTAGTCTCAGCTCCTTGGAAGGTTGGGGCAGGGGCATCACTTGAGCCCAGGAGATGAGCTATGATTATGCCACTTCACTCCAGCCTGGGGGACAGATTAAGACCCTGTCTCTAAAGCAAAACAAAATAAACTAATGAAATAGCTAAAGTTGATGATGATGAAAAGAAATGCTCAATGAACTGAGCATCTTCTGTAATAATAACAATGTTGGGCTGGGCGCAGTGGCTAATGCCTGTAATGCCAACACTTTATGAGGCCAAGGAGGGCAGGTCACCTGAGGTCGGGAGTTCAAGACCAGCCTAACTAACATGGAGAAACCCCATCTCTACTAAAATTACAAAATTGGCTGGATGTGGTGGCTCATGCCTGTAACCCCAGCTACTCGGGAGGCTGAGGCAGGAGAACTGCTTGAACCCGGGAGGCGGAGGTTGTGGTGAGCCGAGATTGTGCCATTGCACTCCAGCCTGGGCAACAAGAGCAATAGTCCGTCTCAAAAAATAAAAAAATAACAATGTTGGCCAACATATTTTAGGGCTGATTATGTATATGGTAGCCAGCCTCCAAACTGGCCCCCAGTGGTCTTCACCTCTTGGTATTCACATTGTGCGTAATGCCTCTCACATTGCACCAGGATTGGTCTGTGTGACCAACAGCATATAGCTGAGGTGATGTTATGTCACTTCCAGAGTAAAGTTTTAAAACCTAACTGTGGGCTGGGCGCAGTGGCTCATGCCTATAATCCCAGCACTTTGAGAGGCCAAGGCGTGTGGATCATCTGAGCTCAGGAGTTCAAGACCAGCCTGGGTAACATGGCAACACCCTGTCTCTACCAAAAACACAAAAAATTAGCTGGGCGTGGTGGTAGGCACCTGTAGTCCCAGCTACTTGGGAGGCTGAGGTGGGAGGATCACTTGAGCCTGGGAGGCAGAGGTTGCAAGTGAACTGGGATGGTGCCACTGCACTCCCGCCTGGGTGACAGAGTGAGACCCTGTTGCAAAAACAAACAAACAAACAAACAAAAAACAAAACATCTAATTGTGGTTTTCATCTTAGGTGTATGCCCTCACTCTGGGGAAAGAAATGACAAGCCCTATGGAGAGGTCCACATAGTGAGGAACTGAAGCCTTCAGCCAACAGTCATGGGAATGAGCATGAAAGGTGATCCTATAGCACCAGACAAGTTTTCTAAGACTGCAGTTTAGCCAACAGTTTGACTCCAACCTCATGAGAGACCTTGAGTCAGAACCACCCAACTAAGCTGCTCTCAAATTCCTGAATCTCAGAAACTGTGTGAGATAACAAATGTTTGTTTTAAGCTGCTAAGATTTGGAGTAATTTGTTAGGCAGCAGAAGATAACTAATGCATCAAGATACAATGTAACATAATGCATCTTCTAAGTATACATGTGTCTCAAATCAATCCTTCCAGGTAGAAACTATTACATTTCCTATTTTACAGAAAGGCAAACTGAAGTGCCCCCTGGAGCAAGTTGCTATAAATTATCCTACTCGTAAGCATAAGTGCATAAGTGGGTCTATCTCCAAAGCTCTTGCTCCTAATATGGACTTTCATAACCTTCCATCATGCCCCAGGTGCTGGGATGTCAGCCTGGCTTTCTTTTCTTTTTCTTTCTTTCTTTCATTTTATTTTATTTTATTTTATTTGAGACAGAGTTTTGCTCTTATTGCCCAGGCTGGAGGCTGGAGAGTTAAGCGATTCTCCAGCCTCAGCCTCCCAAGTAGCTGGAATTACAGGCACCCGCCACCACGCCCAGCTAATTTTTGTATTTTTAGTAGAGATGGGGTTTCACCATGTTGGCCAGGCTGGTCTCGAACTCCTGACCTCAGGTGATCCACCCACCTCAGCCTCCCAAGTGCTGGGATTACAGGCGTGAGCCAGTGCACCTGGCCTCAGCCTGGCTTTCTTTCTTTCTTTTTTTTTTTTTTTTGAGACAGAGTCTCTCTCTGTTGCCAGGCTGGAGTGCAACTGCGTGATCTCAGCCCACTGAAACCTCCGCCTCCAGGGTTCAAACAATTATCCTGCCTCAGCCTCCCGAGTAGCTGGGACTACAGGCACATGCCAACACACCCAACTAATTTTTTTGTATTTTTAGTAGAGACAGGGTTTCACCATGTTGGCCAGGATGGTCTCGATCTCCTGACCACGTGATCCACCCGCCTTGGCCTCCCAAAGTGCCGGGATTACAGGCGTGAGCCACCGCACCAGGCCCAGCCTGGCTTTCTTAATTCACTGTATTTAATTTTCTCCATAGCCCAAGCACAGTGGCTCACACCTCTAGTCTCAGCACTTTGGGAAGCCAAGGCAGGAGGATTACTTGAGCCCAGGAGGTCAAAACCAGCCTGGGGCAACATAGCAAGATCTGTACTTAAAAAATAAATGACCGGGCATGGTGGCTCATGCCTGTAATTCCAGCACTTTGGGAGGCTGAGGCGGGTGGATCACAAGGTCAAGAGATCGAGACCATCCTGAACAACATGCTGAAACCCTGTCTCTACTAAAAATACAAAAATTACCTGGGCAAGGTGGCACTCACCTGTAGTCCAGCTGCTCAGGAGGCTGAGGCAGGAGAATCTCTTGAACCCAGGAGCGGAGGTTGCGGTGAGCCGAGATCGCGCCACTGCACTCCAGCCTGGTGACAGAGGGAGACTCTGTCTCAAAAAAATAATAATAACAAAATAAAATAAAATTAGCCAGGCATGGTTGTGCATGCCTGTAATCCCAACTACTCAGGAGTTGGAGGAGGTCAGGCTACAGTGAGCTGTGATTTATTTTTTATTTTTTATTTTTTGAGACGGAGTTTTGCTCTTGTCCCCCAGGCTGGAGGGCAATGGCACAATCTAGGCTCGCTGCAACCTCCACCTCCCGGATTCAGGCGATTCTCCTGTCTCAGCCTCCTGAGTAGCTGGGATTACAGGTGTGTGCCACCACACCTGGCTAATTTTTGTAATTTTAGTAGAAATGGGATTTCACCATGTTGGCCTGGCTGGTCTCGAACTCCTGACCTCAAGTGTTCCTCCCACCTTGGCCTCCCAAAGTGCTAGAATTACAGGCATGAGCCACCATGCCCGGCCAGTGAGCTGTGATTGTGCCACTACACTCTAGCCTGGGTGACAGAGTGAGAAGACCCTAAATTAAAAATAAAAATCAATAATTTAAAAAATAATGATGATTTTCAGCATAGAGTGATGCAGGGGAGATCATTGCAGAGAATACTGCCAGCCAACACTAGCAGGATACCTTCAAGTTAACAGTAAGGTAAGCTGGGAAAGTTTTGTTCTTATGTCCAGTTTAGAAATGGGCAAGTGAGTTAAGCCTCAGAGTGGTTAAGAGCTTTGCCCAAAGCCAAACATAACCTTGGTAGTGGGGACAGGTGGAGCTGGGGCTTGAACTCCAGTCTAATCCTCTCTCTCTGCCCACCAAGCTGCTCCTTAATCTAATTAAGGAGGTATATGTTTTCCGAAGTTGCAGAAGCCCCACCCACACACTCACCCATTGCAGGACTCGGATACCAGGGGCAGGAGGGGGCGCAAGGGTAGGGGAGGTTCCACTGGGGACTCTGGAAACTGCTCCATCCTTCATGCCCCCACACAAGGAAAAGGAAGAGAAAACCCTCCCTTCTCACCACTGTCTTCCTTTCTCTGGGATGTACCCCTAGCAGAAAAACAGAGGAGCTCAGGAATTCTGCTCTTTCAGGGAGGCCCAGCCCTTTTCTTTTTCTTTTTCTTTTTTTCTTTTTTCTTTTTAGACAGAGTCTCGTTCTGTTGCCCAGGCTGGAGTGAAGTGGCGTGATCTCAGCTCACCACAACCTCCACCTCCCGGATGCAAGTGATTCTCCGGCCTCAGCCTCCCAAGTAGCTGGGACTACAGGCGTGCACCACCATGCCCAGCTAATTTTTTGAATTTTTACTAGAGACAGGGTTTCACTATGTTGGCCAGGCTGGTCTCAAACTCCTGACCTCGTGATCCGGCCGCCTTGGCCTCCCAAAGTGCTGGGATTACAGGCGTGAGCCATCGTGCCTGGCCCCCTTTGGCCTTTTATCCTAAATACACAATCAATTTTTTCCCTCCAGCAGGACTCCTTGGAAGTGAGGACCTTGTAGCCATCTTCTCCCATTCCAACTCTTCACTGCAGCCCTCCTCCCACGGATTAGGCAGCAACTACTAAGAGCTTGAGCTCTTTTCCCGACAAACAAAAGCCTTTGAAAACAGCAAGAGGGATTGGGGTTAGAACTGGGAGAGGACTTCCAAACTGCTTCAAACTGCTTGTAGCAGATGGCCATAAAGGCTATAGATAGCATATTCTTTTTTTTTTTTTTTTTTTTTTTTTTTTTTTGAGACGTACTTTCACTCTGTCATCCAGGCTGGAGGGCAGTGGCACGATCTCGGCTCACTGCAACCTCCTCTGCCCACTGGGTTCAAGTGATTCTCCTGTCTCAGCCTCCCAAGCAGCTGGGATTACAGGCGCCTGCCACCATACCTAGCTAATTTTTGTATTTTTAGTGGAGATGGTATTTCACCATGTTGGCTGGGCTGGTCTCAAATTCATGACCTCAAGTGATCCGTTCGCCCAGGCCTCCCAAAGTGCTGGGATTACAGGCGGGAACCACTGTGCCCGGCCATATATTCTTCTTGAAGACCCCTCTGGAAAGTATCTATCAGGACCTAAGGGAAATGCTGTCGGCAAAAATGTTTGGGAGCATGACTGTGTGTGTGATGTGACTGTGGGGAAAAGCTGGAGATAGTCCCTCTAAGCATCAGGATAGACCGGAGGACTTGGCAAAGTTGTTGGGCATCAAGTCACCTCTTGTTTCCTCCTCTGCCTAAGAAGAAATCTGTTGACTGGTGTGAGAGAAGCCAGAGAGGGAAGTCGGCTTTCTCAGTCAGCTGTGAGTTTGAAGACTAAGTGAACTTCAAAAGCAGGGTCCACGGCGGGGAGGCAGCAGCCAGCCCTCTGAGTCACCCTGACCTGGCTGCAGAGCTGGGCCAGAATGTCTGCGCCAGCGAGGGGGATGGGGATGGTGGTGGGGGTGGCGGTGAGTCACCAGTGGGGACTGGAAGAGCAAGCAAACCCCAGATGCTCTTCTGCTGTTACAGTTCTCATTCCTGAGGGCCCAGTCAGAACCCAGGAAGGGCTGGGAAATGGGACCCAGGGTTCTCTTGCGATGGCACTGCCCATCACCCCTTCTCTGAATCTCACTCCCCTGATTACCTAACTCCTGTAACACCTCAGAAACCCCCCAACCCAACCCAACACACTCTTTCTTTTTTTTGGCGGGGGATGGAGTCTCGCTCTGTCTCCCAGGCTGGAGTGCAGTGGAGTGATCTCAGCTCACTGCGACTTCTGCCTCCTGGGTTCAAGTGATTCTTCTGCCTCAGCCTCCCAAGTAGTGGGGACTATCGGCACTTATTGGCCAGGCTGGTCTCAAACTCCTGACCTTGTGATCTGCCCTCCTCGGCCTCCCAAAGTGCTGGGATTACAGGCGTGAGCCACTGTGCCGGGCCCCCACACACTCTTTCAACTTGTGTGGGTGTTGGGCTAGTTGGGGTGTCCTCCTGACCCCCATCCCCTGTGTCCTCTCTGACCCCTCACATGCTAGCAATTCTCCATAGTGAAATGGGAAGAGGGAGGCTCTGCTAATTCCAGAGCCTCCTCCTCCCCACCCCCAACCCCAAACCTGCACAGAACTCTGCACACCAGGGCGCTTCTCCTTATGGTGTGGACAGGCTGGCTTAACTGCCAGTTGGATTTATTAAATGATTTTGATCAAGTCCAGCAGGCTCTTCCAATCCTCAGAAACTTCCCAGGGTCATCTTTTCAATTTCCTGCCTCCCAATATGCCTTTTGGGGGAGCTGTGGAACCCCCTAGGAGTTTGGCTTCATCTCTGATCTCCCCTGGCCCTCCTCGCATATTCTGCTGCTTCTGGGGAGTGTGGAACTTGCAGACTTGAGCAGGAGCTCTAGGCTTGGGGGCCCTCCCCACATTCCCTGTTCCTGCCTGCCCTGCTCTTCCCTGCCTACAGGGTCCAGGACATATTCTCTCTTGTCTGTGCACTGCAGGGCATGAGGGCCAAAGATCAAAGAGAAATGGGGATGAGGCTGCAGAGAAGGGGGTGGGGTGGGGACTTAAAGTACACTTGCTTGGCCAGTCACGGTGGCTCACGCCTGTAATCCCAGCACTTTGTGAGGCCGAAGCGGGCGGATCACTTGAAGTCAGGAGCTCAAGACCAGCCTGGCCAACATGGTGAAACCCCATCTCTACTAAAAGTACAAAAATTAGTCGGGCATGGTGGTTCTTGCCTGTAATCCCAGCTACTCGGGAGGCTGAGGCGGGAGAATTGTTTGAACCGGAGGTGGAGGTTGCAGTGAGCTGAGATCGTGTCACTGCACTCCAGCTTAGGAGACAGAGTGAGACTCCGTCTCTAAATTAATAAACAAAATGAAGTACATTGGCCTTCAGAGCAGCCCACCCCCAAAACAAATCCACAGAGTACAAGGCAGGGGCTCATGGCTGCTAGAGCCCATCACAGAGCCTTCCTTGACTCCAATTTGGCCCCAGACTCAGGGTTCCCAGGGAATGTTGTCCACTTTTCTTGGATACTGTTGCCTCCAGGCAGGAGGCAGATTTGAACACAAGCCCTTCTGAGCTCATTAACTGTGTTGCTCAGCAGAAAACAAGATCACAAGCAGCCCTCACATCTCCCTTGGAGGTCAAATCTGAATCGACGTCTAATCTCTGCCCATTGGTAGCTGGGAGATGGAATTTGGAGAGCTTGCTAAGGGAGGAGTTTTTCTAGATGGTGGAGAATGGGTGGGTATGCAGAGGAGGTTTCCAGGAGGCAGAGGTAAGTGACCCTGCTAGTCCAGGTACCTCTCATCCCACACGCACACTTAATTTCATGCTGGATCTGCTCCTAGGCTAGGGTGTTCACCTGGAAAGGAAGGTGGCCTTTATTAGGACCTGGAGCTGATAGGCAGAGCATGAGCTTGGCTGTTTATGGTCCCAAGTACCCATGGCGGCGGCAGAGGAGGAGCCTGGAAAGAACGCCTTGGAGGTCTGCCAAAAATGCAATCTGTGCCCTGCCCCTTCTAGACTGAGAGCCCCTGTGGACAGAGCCATGTGCTAAGTACTTGGAGAAAGGCAAAGGGAGTATCCCAAGGAGTCTCCAGTCTGAGGGGGAGACACAGCCCTTAGCCTCAGAAAGCCTCAGTGTGCTGGGGGAACATCGCCTCCAGCTCTCCTCCTCCTCTCAGAGAGCTCCCAGGCAGATCAGGGACAGAAAGCCCCTGCCTTGGAGTGGCTCCTGTATAATAGAGAGGCACAGCATAACTCCAGGGTCTTCACTCTGATAGAAGAGACAGGATGACATACTTCTCTTGTACAGGACAGTAGGACATATGAGGAGAGGGGCTCCTAAATCTCTATAGATAAAGTTGTAACTACCCCACCCTCCTGTGAGCCCCTGAGGTACAAACATGTCTCTTTCTCCTGCTTTATCCTGCCCCTGAGCAGGAAGACAGCTTGAATGTATGTTCTCAGTTTATCCAGCTGTCCCTAGGAAACCCCGATCCTTCATATTCCCTCAACATTGAGCCCTTGGGACACCTCTCTAGATAATGTGATGGGGGCATTGCCACATCACCAAAGCCATAGGCCACTGTCCAGAGCTGGGATTCAGATGACTGTGGACCTACTCTCTCCCACCCAGAAGTAGCCTGTTGCCTTGTGGGAGTGTCCCCCTGCCAGTTAGTGCCACCCTACCCCAAGTCTGTCTTCACTACAAGTACCCTTTTTTATTTTTATTTTTATTTTTTGAGACAGAGTCTTGTTTTGTCACCCAGGCTGGAGTGCAGTGGCACGATCTTGGCTCACTACAACCTCTGCCTCCAGGTCTGGGTTCAAGCGATTCTCCTGCCTCAGCCTCCCAAGTAGCTGGGACTACAGGCACGTGCCACCATGCCTGGCTAATTTTTGTTTGTTTTTTTTTTTTTTGTTTGTTTGTTTGTTTTGAGATGGAGTCTCGCTCCGTCGCCCAGGCTGGCAGGCAGTGGCGCCATCTCGGCTCACTGCAACCTCCGCCTGCCGGGTTCACGCCATTCTCCTGCCTCAGCCTCCCGAGTAGCTGGGACTACAGGCACCTGCCAACATGCCCGGCTAATTTTTTGTGTTTTTAGTACAGACGGGGTTTCACTGTGTTAGCCAGGATGGTCTCGATCTCGTGACCTCGTGATCCACCCGCCTCGGCCTCCCAAAGTGCTGGGATTACAGGCGTGAGTCACTGCGCCCGGCCCCCTTTCTTTTTTCTTTTCTTTTTTTCTTTTTTGAGAGAGTCTCTCTTTGTTGCCCATGCTGGAGTGCAGTGAACTCGATCTTGGCTCACTGTAACTTCTGCCTCCCAGGTTCAAGTGATTCTCTTGCCTCAACCTCCCAAGTAGCTGGGATTACAGCCGTGCACGACCATGCCCAGCTAATTTTTGTATTTTTAGTAGAGACTGGGTTTCACCATGTTGGCCAGGCTGGTCTCGAACCCCTGACCTCAGGTGATCCGCCCGTGTCGTCCTCCCAAGCGCTGGGATTACAGACGTGATTCATCGCGCCTGGCCTACAAGTATCCCTTCTAACTGAGGGCAACTGTAAAGGAAGTAGGGCATAGAAGAATAGTAGTGGGCCCTGTGCCCAGAAGGGAGGAGGAGGAAGAAAAAAGGGGGTACTTAGGGTACCCTACCCACAGGCAGGCCCCAGACAGCAGCTGGAGATAGCCAAATGTTAATCACCAATTAGCACAGTTCAGGTGGAAAGGGCAACTCTATTATGTGTAAAATGGACTTAATGTGGCAGGAGCTGTGGGCTTAATTTCTTGAGATAAGATGCTTTTAGGCTAATCAGCAGGTCTATGCCTAATATAAAGGAGCTGGGGCATGATTTCTTCAGCAGGCTCAGAAGGTCCAGAAATCAGGGGAAGGAGACCCCTATCTGTCCTTCTTCTGGAAGAGCTGGAAAGGAAGTCTGGTAAGAGAAGTGGAGACAGGGATGGATGAGATGACCCGAGAGCAGATGGATCTTGGCAACCCTGAGATGCTCAGCAGCCCTGGCATCTTAGTTTTCTCTTCCTCTATATGAGATGTGAGAAGATAGTCAGGTGCGGTGCCTCATGCCTGTAATCCCAATACTTTGGGAGCCGAGGTAGGAGGATCATTTGAGCACAGGAGTTCAAGACCAGCCTGGGCAATGGAGGGAAACTCGATCTCTACACATAATTTAAAAAATTAGCTGGGCATGGTGGTACATGCCTGCGGTTCTAGGTACTCGGGAGGGTGAAGTGAAAGGTTTGCCTGAGCCCAGGAGGTCGAGGCTGCAGTGAGCCACGATTGTGTCACTGCACTCCAACCCGGGTGACAGAGCGAAACCCTGTCTCAAAAAAAGAGAAAGAGAAATGAGAAGGTAGCGCTGATGTTTCCTTTATTTATTTATTTAGAGATGGAGTCTCGCTCTGTCACCCAGGCTGGAGTGCACTGGCGCAATCTCGGCTCACTGCAACCTCTTCCTCCCAGGTTCAAGCGATTCTCATGCCTCAGCCTCCTGAATAGCTGGGATCACAGGCGCGCACCACCACACCTGGCTAATCTTTGTCTTTTATGTAGAGACAGGATTTCACCATATTGGCCAGGCTGGTCTCAAACTCCTGACCTCAAGTGATCCGCCCACCTGGGCCTCCCAAAGTGCTGGGATTGCAGGCATGAGCCACTGCACCCAGCCTGGTCCATCTTTTGGTAAGATTCCATGTCCCTTCTAGTCACTAACTCCAGTGCACAGCACCCCTCATCTTCCCCCATGGTGTTGCCCCAGGCTCTTAGAAAAGGTCCAAACTGGCAAGGCGCGATGGCTCACGCCTGTTATCCCAGCACTTTGGGAGGCCCAGGTGGGCAGATCACAAGGTCAGGAGTTCGAGACCAGCCTGGCCAATATGGTGAAACCCTGTCTCTACTAAAAATACAAAAATTAGCCGGGAGTGGTGGCACATGCCTGTAGTCCAGGCTACTCGAGAGGCTGAGGCAGAAGAATGGCTTGAACCCAGGAGGTGGAGGTTGCAGTGAGCCAAGATTGTGCCACTGCACTCCCACCTGGACGACAGAGCGAGACTCCATCTCAAAAAAAAAAAAAAAAAAGAAAAAGGAAAAGAAAGGGTCCAAACCTCAGGGCTTTGCCCCTCTCCAGCTTTCAGAACCCCTACTGGTTGCTCTCTCAACATGTCCTGGCTTTTTTCTGTCTTAGCTCAGGAAATAACCTTGGAAGATGGTGGCCACGAAGACCTTTGCTCTGCTGCTGCTGTCCCTGTTCCTGGCAGTGGGACTAGGAGAGAAGAAAGAGGGTCACTTCAGGTAGGAGTGGTGAGAGGAAAGGGATGGGGCAGAGGAGGGGTTAGGGGATGACAGGTTCTGGATTTGTTTCTAGGGGGAGATGAGAAAGGGAAGGAATCCAGGCTAAGAGGTAGGAAGCTCCAGGGAAATACCTGCCGGCAGCGTGAGTGCAAAGTGAGCACTGAGCCAGAGAGGATTTATTGTGTGCTGCTGTTACAGTGGGAGAGACTATGGTTAGATCTCTGGCGGGACTTCCTGGTGGTTAATTGTCCGAAGATGACAGAATCTCCCTTCCCAATAAATGTTTTATTCATTTATGCATGTTTGCTTCTTTCTTTTCTTTTTTTCTTTTTTCTTTTTTTGAGACAGGATCTTGCCCTGTCGCCCAGGCTGGAGTGCAGTGGCGTGATCGCAGCTCACTGCAGCCTCTGCCTGCCAGGCTCAAGCATCTTCCCATCTCAGCCTCCCGAGCAGCTAGGACCACAGGCATGTACCACCACGCTCGGCTAGTTTTTGAATTTTTTGTAGAGATGAGGTTTCGCCATGTTACCCAGGCTTATGAATGCATTCTTTTTTTTTTCTATTCTTTTCTTTTTCTTTTTTTTTGGGGGGGGATGGAGTCTCGCTCTGTCACCTAGGCTGGAGTGTGGTGGCACAATCTCGGCTCACTACAACCTCTGCCTCCTGGGTTCAAGCAATTTTCCCTGCCTCAGCTTACCGAGTAGCTGGGATTACAGGTGCCCACCACCACACCCGGCTAATTTTTGTACTTTTAGTAGAGATGGGGTTTCACTATGTTGGTCAGGCTGGTCTCGAACTCCTGACCTTAGATGATCCATCCACCTTGGCCTCCCAAAGCGCTGGGATTGAAGGCATGTAATCCCTGTGCCTGGCCCTTTTTTTTTTTTTTTTAATTGGAGTCTCACTTTCTCACCCAGGCTGGAGTGCACTGGCGCGATCTTGGCTCACTGCAACCTCCGCCTCCCGGGTTCAAGCAATTCTCTGCTTTAGCCTCCCAAGCAGCTGGGATTACAGGCACCTGCCACCACGCCCGGCTAACTTTTGTATTTTTAGTAGAGATGGGGTTTCACCATCTTGGCCATGCTGGTCTTGAACTCCTGACCTCGTGATCCACCTGCTTGGACCTCCCAAAGTGCTAGGATTACAGGCGTGAGCCACTGCGCCTGGCCTGTATCATGTAGATGTTAAGAACATAGATCTGAGCCCAGATGGCCTGGGGTAAATCCTGGATCTGTTACCTATACGGAGTGGCAGATAATAAGACAATAATAAGGTAATCTCTGCACCTTGGTTTCTCCATTCACAAAATGGGGATATAAATAGAACCTACCTCATAGGATGTTGTGAGGATGAAATTATTTTATGGATTCAAGGGCTTACACAGTGCTTCTCAGAGCTTTCGTATGAGTTGACTATTGTTATGGAATGTGAACCAAGGAATTGAATCAGGAAGGGCCAGGGCAGGAGGAATAAAGGAGGGAATTGTGTGACTCAGTCTTTTCAGATGAGGGGACCCCGATCCCTTTTTTTTTTTTTTTTTTTGAGATGGAGTCTCCCTTTGTCACCTAGGCTGGAGTGCAGTGGCGCGATCTCCGATTACTGCAAGCAGCGCCTCCTGGGTTCACGCCATTCTCCTGCCTCAGCCTCCCAAGTAGCTGGGACTACAGGCGCCTGCCACCACGCCTGGCTAATTTTTTTGTATTTTTAGTAGAGACGGGGTTTCACCATGTTAGCCAGGATGGTCTCAATCTCCTGACTTTGTGATCCACCCACCTTGGCCTCCCAGAGTGCTGGGATTACAGGCGTGAGCCACCGCACCCAGCCTTTTTTTTTTTTTTTTTTATTGAGACGAAGTTTTGCTCTTGTTCCCCAGGCTGGAGTGCAATGGCACGATTTCAGCTCACTGCAACCTCCACCTCCCAGGTTCAAGTGATTCTCCTGCCTCAGCCTCCTGAGTAGCTGGGATTACAGGCATGTGCCACCACGCCTGGCTAATTTTTTTTTTTTTGAGACGGAGTCTCGCTCTGTCTCCCAGGCTGGAGTGCACTGGCGCAATCTCAGCTCACTGCAAGCTCCGCCTCCCGGGTTCACGCCATTCTCCTGCCTCAGCCTCCCGAGTAGCCGGGGCTACAGGCGCCCACCACCATGCCTGGCTAATTTTTTGTATTTTTAGTAGAGACGGGGTTTCACTGTGTTAGCCAGGATGGTCTCGATCTCCTGACCTTGTAATCCGCCCGCCTCAGCCTCCCAAAGTGCTGGGATTACAGGCGTAAGCCACCACGCCCTGCCAACGCCTGGCTAATTTTTGTATTATTAGTAGAGACGGGATTTCTCCATGTTGGTCAGGCTGGTCTCGATCCCGACCTCAGGTGATCCGCCTGCCTTGGCCTCCCAAAGTGTTGGGATTACAGGCATGAGCCACCGCCCCTGGCCCCGTGATCTCTTTTTGCCCAGAATCCAGAGCCACACACACTGAGGCTGCAGGAAGTGGGCCCTGGAGCTGAGGATAAAGCCTGGGGTGGGGTGGGGGAGTGGATCCACAGGGAGTCTCCATAAAAACGGACTGGTTTGTTTTCAAGTGTCTGCCTCCTGTTAGTGACAGTCATTTACCCTAGCATTGTGATTCTCCCCCCATCTCTGCCCCTTCTCCGCACCCTTGTTTCCAGCGCTCTCCCCTCCCTGCCTGTTGGATCTCATGCTAAGGTGAGCAGCCCTCAACCTCGAGGCCCCAGGTACGCGGAAGGGACTTTCATCAGTGACTACAGTATTGCCATGGACAAGATTCACCAACAAGACTTTGTGAACTGGCTGCTGGCCCAAAAGGGGAAGAAGAATGAGTGAGTCGCTGCTTACACTCCTCCTGTTCCCTGTGCCGGGCTCTGCCTTCCTACCTTCAGAGGAGGCCACCGGCTGTGGCCACACAGGCCACATGATGCACAACCCCAGGTGGCACCTTTCTTTTTCTTTTCTTTTTTTTTTTTTTTTTTGAGATGGAGTCTCACTCTTTCGCCCAGGCTGGAGTGCAGTGGCGCGATCTCGGCTCACTGCAAGCTCCGCCTCCCGGGTTCACGCCATTCTCCTGCCTCAGCCTCCTGAGTAGCTGGGACTACAGGCAACTGCCACCATGCCCGGCTAATTTTTTTTTTTTTTTGTATTTTCAGTAGATACGGGGTTTCACCGTGTTAGCTAGGATGGTCTCGATCTGACCTCGTGATCCACCTGCCTCGGCCTCCCAAGTGCTGGGATTACAGGCGTGAGCCACCATACCCCGCCTCTCTCTCTCTTTTTTTTTTTTTTTTTTTTTTGAGACAGAGTTTTGCTCTTGTTGCCCAGGCTGGAGTGCAATGGCGCAATCTTTGCTCACTACAACCTCCACCCTCCACCTCCTGGATTCAAGCGATTCTCCTGCCTCAGCCTCCCGAGTAGCTAGGATTACAGGCATGTGCCACCACGCCTGGCTAATTTTGTATTTTTTTGTTGTTCTTTTGAGACGAAGTCTAGCTCTGTTGCCCAGGCTGGAGTGCAGTGGCTCGATCTTGGCTCACTGCAACTTCCACCTCCTGGGTTCAAGCGATTCTTCTGCCTCAGCCTCCTGAGTAGCTGGGACTACAGGTACGCGCCACCATACCTGGCTAATTTTTTTTTTTTTTTTCAGTAGAGACAGGGTTTCACCATGTTGACCAGTCTGGTTCTCAAACTCCTGACCTCGTGATCCGCCCACCTCAGCCTCCCAAAGTGCTGGGATTACAGGCATAAGCCACTGCGCCTGGCCTAATTTTGTATTTTTAGTAGAGACGGGGTTCCATGTTGGTCAGGCAGGTCTCGAACTCCTGACCTCAGGTGATCCACCTGCCTTGGCCTCCCAAAGTGCTGGGATTACAGGTGTGAGCCACCACACCCAGCCTGGGTGGCACCTTTCACCAGGCAAGGATGGGGAGTCAGACATGGTAGCTCTGGCCAGGACCCTGACTTGGGCACCAGTCTAGGCTAGGGGTAGGGACCAGGGCTATTCCCTAATCCTTTACTTCTTTTTTTTTGAGACGGATTTTTTTTGCTCTGTCACCCAGGCTGGAGTGCAGTGGCACAATCTTGGCTCACTGCAAGCTCCGCCTCCCGGGTTCACGTCATTCTCCTGCCTCAGCCTCCTGAGTAGCTGGGACTACAGGTGCCCGCCACCATGCACGGATAATTTTTTTGCATTTTTTTAGTAGAGACGGGGCTTCACCGTGTTGGCCTGGATGGTCTCGATCTCCTGACCTCGTGATCTGCCCTCCTCGGCCTCCCAAAGTGCTGGGATTACAAGTGTGAGCCACTGTGTTGGCCCTAATCCTTTACTTCAAAGGGGAGGAGTCAGAAGATGTATGGGAGCTCAGAGAGGATCCCCAGGGGTCTGAGGATGAAGCAAGGGAGAGACGAGCTCCTTCTAATGACTGCTTGCTTGGCGGTGGCCACTTTAGACTTTGAAAACAGGATTGGCTAGGGCCAGGCCCAGTAGCTCACACCTGTAATCCCAGCACTTTGGGAGGCTGAGGCGGGCAAATCACGAGGTCAGGAGCTTGAGGCCCTCCTGGCCAACATGGTGAAATCCCGTCTCTACTAAAAATACAAAGATTAGCTGGGTGTGGTGGCACGTGCCTGTAATTCCAGCTACTCGGGAGGCTGAGGCATGAGAATTGCTTGAACCCTGGAGGCGGACGTTGCAGTGAGCTGAGATTGCACCACTGCACCCCAGCCTGGCAACAGAGCGAGACTCCGTCTCAAAGAAAAAGGAAAGAAAATAGGATTGGCTGTTCATGGTGGCTCACACCTGTAATCCCAGCACTTTGGGAGGCCCAGGTAGGTGGATTGTTTGAGCTCACGAGTTCATTCGAGAACAGCCTGGGCAACATGGCAAACAAAAAGTACAAAAATCAGCTGGGTGTGGTGATGCCTGCCTGTAGTTTCAGCTACTCGGGAGGCTGAGATGGGAAGATGGCTTCAGCCTGGGAGGCAGAGGTTGCAGTGAGCTGAGATGGTGCCCCTGCACTCCAGCCTGGGCAATACAGCCAGACCCTGTCTCTCACACACACACCAAAAAAAATGAAGAGAAGATTAACTGTCCTCGTCCTTCTCCCTGCTCTATGCCAAGTCTCTTTCCCCGCCCTCTCTGGTCAGCACGGTAGATTCTGAAAAGCTGTTCACTGGTGGAGGCAGCTGAAGACCACTGTTAGGTGGGGTTGAGTGGAAAAAGGTACCCTCTGCTTTTGGGGTTCAGATATTAAAAGATTCAAGTGTCCCTAGACTGGAGTCTCCGCAGCTTGCCCACTCTCTAATCTTTATCTTCCCAGCTGGAAACACAACATCACCCAGAGGGAGGCTCGGGCGCTGGAGCTGGCCAGTCAAGCTAATAGGAAGGAGGAGGAGGCAGTGGAGCCACAGAGGTGAGTCAGGGCGCAGAGGGAAGGGAGGGAGCCAAGCCTCCTGCCCCGCCCCCACCTCTTTGTTCCCTCTCCCTGACCCCAGAGCAGAGCAAGGACCTGAGATAAGCATCCTCTTCCTCTCAGAGTTCAAAGAGGGGTCTTCATTGAGCAAACTCCTGGAGGTCAGCCCAAGCTTAAGGAAGAAGCCTTGGAGAAACGGGAGGGGTGCTAGGAGGGGTTTCAGGGACAGGGTTTCTAATATTGATGACTGCATGCACAGCACAGTCACTGAGTCAGGAGAAGGGCAGGAAAGAAGAGACCTCAGGTCCTGGCCTCACCACCTCTCCCTGCCAAACCTCGGGAAGACTGTTTGTGAAAGAGCGGGGGATCTTCCCAGGCCCACTCCCCTGAAATCAGTTATCCCCTCTCTGAATGGCACAGGTCATTTCAAAGAGTGAATGTGCCCAAAGTACTCTCTGCATTCTGGAACACTGGCAGAGGTGGATGGGCAGAATATCTCATACCAGAATTCTGTTTGACTCTCCCTGTATGAAGAGTCCATATTCCCCAGGCAGGCAGCGCTGGGTGGGGCTGGCAGAAAGGAGGCTCCAGATCTCAGAGCTGAGCCAACGGAGAGATAGCTGTGTCGGCTCCCTCCCCCCATCCGCGGCTGCCCCTCAGTGGTGTCCCCAACCCTGTGTTTACCCTCTCTGGGCGAAGCTCAGGCTAAAATAGTTAGCCAGAGACTGTTCCCTTGCAGCTCCCCAGCCAAGAACCCCAGCGATGAAGATTTGCTGCGGGACTTGCTGATTCAAGAGCTGTTGGCCTGCTTGCTGGATCAGACAAACCTCTGCAGGCTCAGGTAGGGGAGTGTGGTGTTGCACAGCGGTTCTAACTTGAGCTTGGGCATCAGACATGGATTCAGATCTTTGCCCCTCCACATGCTGGCTGATTACATAGCCTTTCTGAACCTCAGTGTTTTCACTAAAATCAGAGGTATAGAATCATTTCACAGGATTGTTGTCAGCTTTAAGTAAGAGAATGCAAGTGGAAAAATACAAAGAAAAAAAACAAAAGAAAAAAAAGACAATTCAAGTGGAGACCTGAGGGCCATCTTTGAGGAGTAATAAGAGCTCAGCAAGGTTAGTAGCTCTGATTACTATTTGTTCTTCTTCCTCACTCTTCCAGGCGAGGTGATGCTCTCCCCTGCCTATCCCTACCTGCCTGTCTCTACCCACCCAGAGCCCATCCTATGCCCCGCCTGTCCCTACCCACCGAGCTGAGCCCATCCTGTGTCCCGCCTGTCCCTACACACAGAGCTGAGCCCATCCTGTGGCCTGCCTGTCCCTACACACAGAGCTGAGCCCATCCTGTGTCCCGCCTGTCCCTACCCACCGAGCTGAGCCCATCCTGTGTCCCGCCTGTCCCTACACACAGAGCTGAGCCCATCCTGTGTCCCGCCTGTCCCTACCCACCGAGCTGAGCCCATCCTGTGGCCTGCCTGTCCCTACACACAGAGCTGAGCCCATCCTATGTCCCGCCTGTCCCTACCCACCGAGCTGAGCCCATCCTGTGGCCTGCCTGTCCCTACCCACCGAGCTGAGCCCATCCTGTGTCCCGCCTGTCCCTACCCACCGAGCTGAGCCCATCCTGTGTCCCGCCTGTCCCTACACACAGAGCTGAGCCCATCCTGTGGCCCGCCTGTCCCTACCCACCGAGCTGAGCCCATCCTGTGGCCTGCCTGTCCCTACCCACCGAGCTGAGCCCATCCTGTGTCCCGCCTGTCCCTACCCACCGAGCTGAGCCCATCCTGTGGCCTGCCTGTCCCTACCCACCGAGCTGAGCCCATCCTGTGGCCTGCCTGTCCCTACACACAGAGCTGAGCCCATCCTGTGGCCTGCCTGTCCCTACCCACCGAGCTGAGCCCATCCTGTGTCCCGCCTGTCCCTACCCACCGAGCTGAGCCCATCCTGTGTCCTGCCTGTCCCTACACACAGAGCTGAGCCCATCCTGTTCTCAGCTTTCCCTCTGTACCCTTGGGCCATGGCACCTTCCTGGTGATGGGAAACTACATAGTTAGAGGCATGTTTCCTTCCTCTGTGGCCACTGCTGGCTTCAATGGTCTCTTGAATCCCCCTCATCAGCTAGAAAATTCTTCAGTCCATTCCTTATGTCCCAGAATCGAGGCACTAAATATTATGAAGACACCTGTCCACCTAAAGGGTGAGACAGGACCCTCATGATGCAGACACAGAGGCACGGAAACCAAAACACTTCAGACATTGATGCTGAGCAGCTAGGGAGGGATTGAGGGAGCAAATCTGGGACAGGAACCTCAGGAGGGGAAGAAGGGACAGGAGTGTGAGCAGATCCATGGAGAAGAGGGTGTAAGAAAATCTCCGTAAGAAGGTGGATATTGTGAATTATTTTGATTACTTATCATTAAAATGGTGATTTGATGAGGCAAAGGTGGGAGCATTGCTTGAGGCCAGGAGTTCAAGACTGCAGTGATCTATGATCACATCTGTAAACAGTCACTGCACTCCAGCTTGGGCACCACAGTGAGACTGTCTCTTAAAAAATAAGTAAAATGAGGCCGGGTATGGTGGCTCATGCCTGTAATCCCAGGACTTTGGGAGGCCGAGGAGGGTGGATCATGAGGTCAGGAGATCGAGACCATCCTGGCTAACACAGTGAAACCCTGTCTCTATTAAAAATACAAAAAATTAGCTGGGCGTGGAGGCGGGCGCCTGTAGTCCCAGCTACTCGGGAGGCTGAGGCAGGAGAATGGCGTGAACCCAGGAGGTGGAGCTTGCGGTGAGCCGAGATCGCGCCACTGCACTCCAGCCTGGGCGACAGAGCGAGACTCCGTCTCAAAAAAAAAAAAAAAAGTAAATTGATAAAAATTAAAATATTTAAAAAGGTGATTTGAAGGTAGGAGGGGTTCAACAATGGTTGGGTCCCAGGATAAATGTGCTTGGCCGACTCCAAGTCCATAACAACCTTCTTCTCCTTTCCCCACTCTCCCCAGGTCTCGGTGACTCTGACCACACCCAGCTCAGGACTGGATTCTGCCCTTCACTTAGCACCTGCCTCAGCCCCACTCCAGAATAGCCAAGAGAACCCAAACCAATAAAGTTTATGCTAAGTCGAGCCCATTGTGAAAATTTATTAAAATGACTACTGAGCACTAACAGGGCATGTTTGTCTTTGTGTATCTCTGTGTGTGGGCACCACCCAATGAAAAGGAAATATGGTCTGGGCATGGTGGCATATGCCTGTAATCCCAGTACTCTGGGAGGCTGAGTCTGGAGGATTCGCTTAACCCCAGAAGTTCGAGACTAACCTGGGTAACAGAGTGAGACCCCATCTTTTTTTTTTTTTTTGAGATGGAGTCGCACTCTGTCGTCCAGGCTGGAGTGCAATGGTGCAATCTCGGCTCACTGCAACCTCTGCCTCCTGGGTTCAAGTGATTCTCCTGCCTCAGCCTCCCGAGTAGCTGGGATTACAGGCGCCCACCACCACGCCTGGCTAAATTTTTTTTTTTTTTTTGAGATGGAGTCTTGCTTTTGTTACCCAGGCTGGATGGAGTGCAATGGTGAGATCTCAGCTCACTGCAGCTTCTGCCTCCCAGGTTCAATTGATTCTTTTGCCTCAGCCTCCCGAGTAGCTGGGATTACAAGCATGCGCCACCACGCCTGGCTAATTTTGTATTTTTAGTAGAGATGGGGTTTCTCCATGTTGGTCAGGCTGGTCTCGAACTCCCGACCTCAAGTGATCCGCCTGCCTCTGTCTCCCAAAGTGCTGGGATTAAAGGCATGAGCCACTGCGCTAGGCCTAATTTTTTATTTTTAGTAGAGACGAGGTTTCGCCATGTTGGCCAGGCTGGTCTTGGAACTCTTGGCCTCAGGTGATGCGCCTGCCTCGGCCTCCCAAAGTGCTGGCATTATAGGCATGAGCCATCGTACCTGCCTGAGACCCTGTCTTTAAAATAAGAAATAAAAAGAGGGCCGGGTATGGTGGCGCAAGCCTGTCATCCCAACAATTTGGGAGCTTGAGGTGGGCAGATCACCTGAGGTCAGGAGTTTGAGACCAGCCTGGCCAACATGGCAAAACCTCGTCTCTACTAAATATATAAAAATTAGCTGGGCATGATGACAGGCACCTGTAGTCCCAGCTACTCAGGAGGCTGAGGCAGGAGAATCGCTTTGACCCAGGAGGCAGAGGTTGCAGTGAGCTGAGATTGCGCCACTGCACTCCAACCTGGGTAACACAGCAAGACTGTGTCACATACAAAAAAAGAAAAGAAAAGAAAAGGATCATTTGAGGTCAGGAATTTGAGACCAGCCTGGCCAACATGGTGAAACCCTGTCTTTACTAAAAATACAAAAAAAAAAAAAAAAAAAAAAAAGAACCAGGCGTGGTGGTGCACGCTTGTAATCCCAGCTAATCGAGAGGTTGAAACATGAGAATCACTTGAACCCAGGAAGCAGAGGTTGCAGTGAGCTGAGATCACACCACTGCACTACATCCGGCCTGGGTGACAAAGTGAGACCCTGTCTCCAAAAAAAAAAAAAAAAAAAGAAAAGAAAAGGAAATATGGTTTTTACTTGCATCTGTTAATTCATCTATTTATTCTACAAACACTTATTGGAAAGTTAATATTGGCAGGGCTGTGCTAAACACTGTGTATACAGCAATGAAGAAAATGGACACAATCCTTGCCCCCGAAGAGCTTAAAGTCTGGTGACAAAGACCTCTAGTTTTTTTGTGGTTTTGTTTGTTTTACTGGGAGAGTCTTGCTGTGTTACCCATGCTGGGGTACAGTGCTGTAATCATAGCTCACTGCAACCCCGAGCTCCTGGGCTTAAGCGATCTTGCCACTTCAGCCTCCCGAGTAGCTGGGAGAAGTTGGGACTACAGGCATGTGCCGCCAAGCCCAATTAACCAGAAAAGAAAAAAAAATCTGTGTAGAGAAAAGGTCTGATCCTCTGATCCTTTTGTAGTGCATGAGTGTGATGATTGGGTGTTAACGGGCATGTGTGAGATGTGCCACCCTTGAACCTTGTTACAATGTTGGCTCATTACCCTTCTGACATGAAGAAAAGAAAAAAAAGATAGAAAAAAGGAGTCTCGGCTGGACATGGTGGCTCACGCCTGTAATCCCAGCACTTTGGGAGGCGGAGGTGGGCAGATCACCTGAGGTCAGGAGTTTGAGACCAGCCTGGCCAACATGGCGAAACCCCATCTCTACAAAAATATTAGCCCGGCATGATAGTGGGTGCCTGTAATCCCTGCTACTCAGGAGGCTGAGGCGGGAGAATCACTTGAACCCAGGAGGCGGAGGTTGCAGTGAGCCAAGATTGCGCCATTGCACTCCAGCCTGGGTGACACAGCGAGACTCGTCTCAAAAAAAAAAAAAAAAAAAAAAAAAAAAAAAGCCAGTTGCGGTGGCTAACGCCTGTAATCCCAGCACTTTGGGAGGCCAAGGCAGGCAGATCACAAGGTCAGGAGATCGAGACTATCCTGGCTAACACGGTGAAACCCCGTTTCTACTAAAAAAAAAAAATACAAAAACAAAATTAGCCAGGCGTGGTGGCTGGCGCCTGTAGTCCCACCTACTCGGGAGGCTGCGGCGGGAGAATGGCGTGAACCCAGGAGGCGGAGCTTGCAGTGAGCAGAGATTGTGCCACTGCACTCCAGCCTGGGTGACACAGCAAGACCCCATCTCACAAAAAAATAAGAAGAAAAAAGAGGCCGGGCGTGGTGACTCACGCCTGTAATCACAGCACTTTGGGAGGCCGAGACAGGTGGATCACGAGGTCAGGAGATCGAGACCATCCTGGCTAACACGGTGAAACCCCGTCTCTACTAAAAATACAAAAAAATTAGCCGGGCATGGTGGCAGGTGCCTGTCGTCCCGGCTACTCGGGAGGCTGAGGCAGGAGAATGGCGTGAACCCGGGAGCTGGAGCTTGCGGTAAGCCGAGATCGCGCCACTGCACTCCAGCCTGGGAGACAGAGCAAGACTCCGTCTCAAAAAAAAAAAAAAAAGAAAAGAAAAAAGAAAAAAAGAAAAAGAAAAAAGGAGTCTCCCTATTTGGCTCAGAATGGTCCTGAACATCTGGGCTCAAGTGATCCTCCCGCCTCGGTCTCCCAAAGTGTTAGGATTATGGGGTGTGGGCTGCTGTACCAGGCCCAGACTTTAATTTTTATATTTATTTACTTATTTAAAAGATCCTTGAGTCATAAAGACCTTCCTTCATTTTTGTTTTTTTTTTGAAACTGAATCTTGCTCTTGTTGCCCAGGCTGGAGTGCAATGGCGCAATCTCGGCTCACTGCAACCTCCGCCTCCTGGGTTCAAGTAATTCTCCTGCCTCAGCCTCACAAGTAGCTGGGATTACAAGTGTGCACCGCCATGCCCGGCTAATTTTTGTAGTTTTAGTAGAGACAGTTTTCACCATTTGGCCAGGCTGGTCTTGAACTCCTCACCTCAAGTAATTGGCTTGCTTCAGCCTCCCAAAAAGGCTTTAAATGAACCACTGTATTATAGCCTGGGTGAGAGAGCAAGACTCCGTGTCAAAAAATAAAATAAAATAAAATAAAATAAATAAATAAATAAAATAAAATAAAATAAAATCAGGGAGTGAATGGCCGGGCATGGTGGCTCACGCCTGTAATCCCAGCACTTTGGGTAGCCAAGGCGGGTGGATCACTTGAGGCCAGGAGTTCAAGATGGCAAAATCCCATCCCTACTAAAAACACAGAAAATTAGCTGGGTGTGGTGGCATATGCCTGTACTCCCAGCTACTTGGGAGGCTGAGGCAGAAGAATCGCTTGAACCCGGGAGGCAGAGGTTGCAGTGAGCTGAGACTGCAGCACTGCACTACAGCCTGGGTGACAGAGTGAGACTCCATCTCAAAAAAAAAAAAGTATATATATATATCACGGAGTGGGTTTCTTGCTCCAATCAGAGCACCATCCTATCTTCACTGCTCCTTATCCTCTGCTCTGGGAGGTCCACGTAACTGTGCTGCAGCTTCTGTCACTCTGTGACCTGCAGATATTGGGAGATCCATAACTAAGACACCAGGACACCCCGGAAGCCAGGAAAGCAACACCTTGATGCCTTGTGTATGCTTCTCCAATCCAGAGTATGGGCCATCAACCCGCAAAAGATACAAAGCCCAGGACCAGCTGTAAAGCTCCTAAAGTCACTTGGCCAGGTTTCATTGTTTGTATTGTTGGTGTGGCCTCTGCTAACAAGCATAAAACAAATTAATGCAACCTGTCCACCCATGCCATGGAAATGACTGCAGCGCCCCCTTCTCTACAGGCTGAGGAACCGTCGTGAAAGAGGTGGGTGCATGAGATTGTATGAGCCGGATTAGATGAGTGGAGTGTGGTCAAGAGAGGGACTTTATTTTAAATCCTAATCTGACATGTAATTTCTGATTTACCCAGAAGTGCCTCCCAAATGTCTACTTGATGTATTACGCTTTCTGTAGAACACTTATTCACTGTAAGTTTCCTCCAAAACAACCCTTGATGCTGTTGCAGAAATCATAGGCTGTGAAGCTTGTAAACGCCTGCACATTACTTCCAGAGCATTTATACTTTTCCCCAGGATATAAGCCCTGGGTCTGGGGGTTGTTTTGTGGAGATCTACCCATCTTGTGGCCACCCAAGACCACCCTTCTGTCTGTAAGTTATCCTAATAAATTACCTAAAACCAAAATTAATAAATAAAATCAAATCAGGGAGAGAGTGGCAACCAGATTGTCCCAAGGTCTGGCTGTGAGCAAAATGGGGAGAGTGCAAGACAATGGGAGGGGTAGGATTGTGCCTCAAGGCATTCTGCTAACCAAACAAAACTCCTTTTTTTTTTGAGACAGAGTCTTGCTGTGTCACCCAGCCTACTTTAAATTTTCTTTTTTCTTTTATTTTTATTTTTTATTTTTTTTGAGACAGAGTCTCGCTCTGTCGGCCAGGCTGGAGTGCAGTGGCAAGATCTCAGCTCACTGCAACCTCTGCCTCCCGGGCTCAAGCAATTCCCCTGCCTCAGCCTCCCAAGTAGCTGGGATTATAGGCGTGTGCCACCACTCCCAGCTAATTTTTGTATTTTTAGTAGAGACGGGGTTTCACCATGTTGGCCAGGCTGGTCTCGAACTCCTGACCTCAGGTAATCCGCCCGCCTTGGCCTCCCAAAGTGCTGGGATTACAGGTGTGAGCCATGGCGCCCAGCCAAATTTACTTTTAAAAAAAAATTTTCAACTTTTATTTTAGATACAGATATTTATGTGCAGATTTGTTAAACTGGAACATTGCATGATGCTGGGGTTTGGAGTACGGGTCCTGTCACCCTGGCAGTGAGCATAGAGCCCGATAGGTAGTTTTGTAGGCTTTTTAAGGCTTTTAATTTTCTACCTCATAGAGGCAGTGCAGTGCATGGTTAATAACAATTATTATATTATCATTTTTAAAGGGTTATGATAAGGATTTAAATGAGATCATCATGATAAAAAAAAAAGGAAGACAATGTTTACAAAATGCCTAGCACAATGCCGAGCCCATAGTAAGAACATTGTACAAATGGAAAAAAGCTAACTTCTTTTTTTAGAGTTGGGGGTTTCCCTCCGTTGCCTAGGCTACAGTGCAGTGGTGTGATCATGGCTCACAGCAGCCTCAAACTCCTGGGCTGGAGATCTTCCTGCCTCGGTACTCCACCCCCTTCTGCTCCGTGGCTGGAATTATATTAATAGGTGTGAGCCACCATGTCCAGCTCAAAACTAACTCTTTTTGATTCACTAACCTCCCCCGAAGACATCCAAGACCCCAGAAATGCAGATTCAAATTTCTCCCCCAGACAATCAGTTCTATCATGGAGAATCACTAAAATAAACCCTCTAAACAAAGGCTTGCTCTAAATTGTGTGTACAGATTCCAGGAGCTCCAGGAATTTAAAGGAATAGAAACCAAGAATGTCAGAGCTGAAAGAAACCTTAGAGGTCAACTGGAGGCTGAGTGCGGTGGCTCACGCCTGTAATCCCAGTATTTAGGGAGGCCAAGGTGAGAGGATGGCTTGAGCCCAGGAGATCAAGACCAGCCAGGGAAACAAAGCCAGACCTTGTCTCTATGACAATTTAAAAAAATTAACCAGGCATGGTGGCATGCATCTGTAGTCCCAGCTGCTTGAAAGGCTGAGGCCACAGGATCCCTTAAGCCCAGGAGTTCGAGGTTACAATGAGCTATGATGGCACCACCGCATTCCAGCCTGTGTGACATAGTGAGACCCTGTCTCCAAAAAAAATAAAAATAAAAATAAAAGACCATGTTCTAGCCGGGCGCAGTGTCTCGCGCCTGTAATCCCAGCACTTTGGGAGGCCGAGGCAGGTGGATCACCTGAGGTCAGGAGTTCGAGACCAGCCTAACCAACATGGAGAGACCCCATCTCTACTAAAAATGCAAAGTTAGCCGGGCGTGGGGGCGCATGACTGTGGTCCCAGCTACTCAGGAGGCTGAGGCAGGAGAATCGCTTGAACCCAGGAGGCGGAGGTTGCGGTGAGGCGAGATTGCACCATTACACTCCAGCCTGGGCAACAAAAGCGAAACTCCGTGCCCCTCCCCGCAAAAAGACCATGTTCTTAGCCACCCTGCCACGAAGCCAATGAGTCACTTAAAGCAAACGAGGGATTCCATAATGGTCAGCATTCAGTGATGTGCTGGAAGCAGGCACAGTGGCGAGTGCCTTGTCCCATCTACTTGAGAGACTGAGGCAGGAGGATCACTTAAGCCCAGTTGTTCAAAGCTGTAGTGCCCTGTGATGGCACCTGTGAATAGCCACCGTACACCATCCTGGCAACATATCAAGCCCATGATCAGAGTATTTACACCATGGAGATAGGCAAATGCTACAAATCAGGGTTCCCCTCTCCCAACCTGGCAAGGTAGTTGTTAAACCCTTACCAGGATATCACTGGTCAGCATATTTTCCCTAAAATTATAAAACGGTACAAAGGTATCTGCATAGGAGGATGAGCATGTCTGCCTGAGTGTGGCTACACTCAGCATAGCCATTGAGGTCCATTTCGTGCATCTAAGGGACTAGGCATAGCCAGGCATGGTGGCTAACGCCTGTAATCCCGCACTTTGGGAAGCCAAGGCAGGTGGATCACCTGAGGTTAGGAGTTCAAGACCAGCCTGGCCAATGTGGTAAAACCTTGTCTCTACTAAAAAGCCAAAATTAGCCGGCCATGGTTGCGAGCGCCTGTAGTCCCAGCTACTTGGGAGGTTGAGGCAGGAGAATCTCTTGAACCCAGGAGGCAGAGGTTGCAGTAAGCTGAGATCACGCCACTGCACTCCAGCCTGGGCAACAGGAGCGAAACTCGGTTTCAAAAAAAAAAAAAGTCCAGGCGCAGTGGCTCATGCTTGTAATCCCAGCACTCTGGGAGGCCGAGGCGGGCGGATCACCTGAGATCAGGAGTTCAAGACCAGCCTGACCACCATGGAGAAACCCCGTCTCTAATAAAAATACAAAAACTTGGCCAGGCTTGGTGGCACATGCCTGTAATCCCAGCTACTCCGGAGGCTGAGGTAGGAGAATAGCTTGAACCCAGGAGGCAGAAGTTGCAGTGAGCTGAGATCGCACCATTGCACTCCAGCCCAGGCAACAACAGCGAAACTCCATCACAAAAAAAAAAAAAAAAAAAAGGGACTAGGCATGTGTGTATGCATTTGAAGGCATGAATGATTAAATCTAAGGTCTTCACTGTGAGCGAGCGGATCAGTGTGTATACCTTAGGGCACTGTATAATGAGTCAAAGAGTAAGGGAGGAAGCAGGTATATCTAGATGGTGTCAGTGAGTACCTATGGGACCAAGTTTTGTGTTTGGAAGCTATGTAGTTAAGACCTCATATGATGGCTGGGGGTGGTGGCTCATGCATGGTATCTCAGCACTTTGGGAGGCCAAGGTGGGTGGATCACTTGAGGTTGGGAGTTTGAAACCAGCCTGGCCAACGTGGCGAAACCCTGTCTTTACTAAAAATACACAAATTAGCCAGGTGTGATGATGTGCGCCTGTAGTCCCAGCTACCCGGGAGGCTAAGGCAGGAGAATTGCTTGAACCCGGGAGGCAGAGGTTGCAGTGAGCTGAGATCATGCCATTGCACTCCAGCCTGGGCAACAGAGGAAGACTCTGTCTCAAAAAAAAAAACAAAAAACAAAACAAAACAAAAGGCCGGGCGCAGAGGCTCACGCCTGTAATCCTAGCGCTTTGGGAGGCCGAGGCGGGCAGATTGCCTGAGCTCAGGAGTTCCAGACCAGCCTGGGTAACATGGTAAAACCTCGTCTTTACTAAAGCACAAAATATTAGCTGGGCATGGCAGTGTGCACGGTAGTCCCAGCTACGTAGGAGGCTGAGACAGAATTGCTTGAACCCAGGAGGTGGAAGTTGCAGTGAGCCGAGATTGCGCCACTGCACTCTAGCCTGGGCAACAGAGCGAGATTCCGTCTCCAAAAAAACAAAAAAAAAATTAGATTTGGCAGCTGGGCAAGATGGCTGACGCCTGTAATCCCAGCAGTTTGGGAGGCCAAGGCGGGTGGATCACTTGAGGTTAGGAGTTCAAGACCAGCCTGGCCAACAGGGGTGAAACCCTGTCCCTACTAAAACTACAGAAATTAGTCGGGCATGGTGGCAGCTACTCGGAAGGCTGATGCAGGAGAATCGCTTAAACCCAGGAGGCAGAGATTGTAGTGAGCTGAGATTGTGCTACTGCACTCCAGCCTGGGCAACAAAGGGAAACTCCATCTAAAAAAAAAAAAAAAAAAAAAAAAGCCAGACGCGGTGGCTTATACCTGTAATCCCAGCACTTTGGGAGGCCAAGGTAGGCGGATCACCAGAGATCGGGAGTTCGAGACTAGCCTGACCAACATGGAGAAGCCCCATCTCTACTAAAAATACAGAATTAGCTGGGTGTGATGGCGCATTCCTGGAATCCCAGCTACTTGGGCGGCTGAGGCAGGAGAACTGCTTGAATCCGGGAGGCAGAGGTTGCGGTGAGCTGAGATCGCGCCATTGCACTCCAGCCTGGGCAACAAGAGCAAAACACCATCTCAAAAGGAAAAAAAAAAAAAGAAGAGATAGATTTGGCTTCAAATAACAGGAAAACACAAAATAATAGTGGCTTCAGTAAGACAGGACATTATTTCTCTTTCTCATAAACACTCAATACTTACCTGGCAGGGGAGATACCATGATCCTGAAGGTGGTTTTCCTAGGGCGAGGCTCATCCATTGCACTCCGGATGTGCCGACTCGCGATTTCCCCAAATGTGGGAAACTCGACTGCGTAATTTGTGGTAGCGGTGGACTGCGTTTGCGCTCTAGTAAAATTAAAAATAAAAAAAAAAAAAATAGGCTGGGCTCACGCCTATAATCCTACCACTTTGGGAGGCCAAGGCGGGCGGACTGCCTGAGCTCAGGAGTTCAAGACCAGCCTGGGCAACATGGTGAAACCCCGTCTCTACTAAAATACAAAAAAAAAAAAAAAAAAAAAATAGCTGGGTATGGTGGTGTGCTCCTGTAGTCCTAGCTACTCGGGAGGCTGAGGCAGAATTGCGTGAACCCAAGAGGCAGAGGTTGCAGTGAGCCAAGATCGTGCCACTGCACTCTAGCCTGGCGACAGAGCAAGACTCTGTCTCAAAATAAATAAATAAATAAACACTCAGAGATTGGTGGCCTAGGGCTAGTATGACAGTCTGCTCTGTAAAATCCTTAGGGATCGAAGCTCATTGGACTCATGGTTCCACCATTCCTCTAGGTCCAAAATGGCAGCTACATGTCTTGCCATCAACCTTTGCTCTCATCCTCTTTTTATCATTTTACTTGAAACCTTCCTAGTAAAATTCACATTCATGATTTCACTGTGTTGATTCCAAAACTGTAACTCAGTCCAGCTCTTTTTATTTTTATTTTTTGAGGCGGGGTCTTGCTATATTGTCCAGGCTGGTCTTGAACTCCTGGCCCCAAGAGATCCTCCCAGTCCAGCTCTTTTTAAAAATTTATTTTAAAAACAGAGACAGGTCTTCATATGTTGCCCAAGCTGGTCTCAAACTCCTGGGCTCAAGCAAGCCTCCTGCCTCGGCCTCCCAAAGTGTTGGGATTACAGGTGTGAACCGCTGTGTCCAGCCAGCTCTTTTTTTTTTTTTTTTTTTTGCGACAGATTTTCACTCTTGACGCCCAGGCTGGAGTGCAATGGCACAATCTCGGCTCATTGGAACCTCCATCTCCCGGGTTCAAGCGATTATCCTGCCTCAGCCTCCCGAGTAGCTAGGATTACAGGCATGCGCCACCATGCCCGGTGGCGCATTTTTAAAAATAAAAAAATATTTTAAAAAATTAGCCAGTGTCGTGGCATGCGCCTGTAGTCTCAGCTACTCGGGAGGCTGAGGCAGGAGGATCGCTTGAACCCAGGAGGCAGAGGCTGCAGTGAGCCGAGATCGCACCACTGCACTCCAGCCTGGGGGACAGAGTGAGGTTCTGTCTCAAAAAAACAAAAATACTCTACCCTTCATTATTTCGCCAATATCGTCTTCATTCTGTGGCCCCCCTCTCTGAATGGCACTACCATGTTACCCCAGGTAGAATACTGAGCATCTCTCGTCCTTGTCCCACCCATGCCACCCTATTTGTTTTACCACTCTTTCTTTCTTTCCTTCCTTCCTTTCTCTTTTTTTTGTTGACATGGAGTCTCACTCTGTCGCCCAAGCTGGAGTGCAGTGGCTCAATCTCGGCTCACTGCAAGCTCTACCTCCCGGGTTCACGCCATTCTCCTGCCTCAGCCTCCCGAGTAGCTGGGACTACAGACGCCCGCCACCACGCCCAGCTAATTTTTTTGTATTTTTTTTAGTAGAGATGGGGTTTCACCGCATTAGCCAGGATGGTCTCGATCTCCTGACCTCGTGGTCTGCCCTCCTCGGCCTCCCAAAGTGCTGGGATTACAGGCATGAGCCACCGCGCTTGGTCCTTTTTTTATTTTTTTTTGAGACAGAGTCTCGCTCTGTCGCCCAGGCCTGAGGGCAGTAGCACAATCTTGGCTCACTGCAACCTCCGCCTCCCGGGTTCAAGCGATTCTTTTGTCTCAGCCTCCCGAGTAGCTGGGACTACGGGCTTGTGCCACCACAGAGACAGGGTTTCACCATATTGGCCAGGCTGGTCTTGAACTCCTGACCTCGTGATCCACCCGCCTCGGCCTCCCAAAGTGCTGGGATTACAGGAGTGAGCCACCGTGCCTGGCCTCACTCTACTTTCTTAATATCTCTTGGATTTGTCCCATTCTCGCTTTCCTTATTGCCACTGTCTTTGTTCTGGCCCTCATCATTTCTAGTTTGGATTACTACAACTGAGATGAATTAAATCCAGGCTGCCACTGAGGCAGGAACATAGGGTCTAGAGGCAGGCAACTCACTTCAGCTATGAGAGGAAATATCCTTTTCATAGGGCATACACTGGGTAAATGGGACTGTGTAACTTTACTTCATCCTTTTCATTTACATAGGGCGTGTGTACCCCAGGTAGAGGGCATTTAAATTCACAAAAAACTCTGTAACAGAACCTTTGAGCCCCTATGCTTGGGCCCGCTCCCACGCTGTAGAGTTTTCTTTTCTTTTTTTTTTCTTGAGACGGAGTTTCGCTCTTGTTGCCCAGGCTGGAGTGCAATGGCGCAATCTCAGCTCACCGCAACCTCCTCCTCCTGGATTCAAGCGATTCTCCTGCCTCAGCCTCCCGAGTAGCTGGGATTACAGGCATGTGCCAGCACGCCTGGCTAATTTTGTATTTTTAGTAGAGAAGGGGTTTCTCCATGTTGGTCAGCCTGGTCTTGAACTCCCGACCTCAGGTGATCCATCCGCCTCGGCCTCCCAAATTGCTGGGATTACAGGCATGAGCCACGACGCCCAGCTGAGTTTTCTTTTCTTTGCTTTTTTTTTTTTTTTTTTTGAGATGGAGTTTCCTTCTGTTGCCCAGGCTGGAGTGTAATGGTGTGGTCTTGGCTCACTGCAACCTCGGCCTCCCGGGTTGAAGTGATTCTCCTGCCTCAGCCTCTCAAGTAGCTGGGATTACAGGTGTGAGCCAACACATCTGTCTACTTTTGCATTTTTTTTAGTAGATAGAGGGTTTTACCATGTTGGCCAGGCTGGTCTCGAACTCCTGACCTCAAGTGATCCACCTGGGTCAGCCTCCCAAAGTGCTGGGATTACAGGCGTGAGCCACCGCGCCCGTGCTACTTTCATTTTCAATAAATCCCTTAATTCCTTCCTTGCTTTGTTTGTGCGTTTTGTCCAGTTGTTTGTGCAAAACCCCAAGAACCTGGAACACCCTCCACCGTTAACATATTTTGGCGAGCCAGCCAGGAGGAAAATGTAAGCCCAAAGTTTGGGATTTATTTTCCCCCTTTTTCCTTTTCCTTTCTACTCCATAAAGGGGAATCTCTCCCTCTCTCTGTCTTCCTTTCCAACCCAGGACCGTTGGTGGGCAGCGCCCAAACATGGAAGCAACTGCAGGTTTTTGGCCATGGCCAGTGAAACTAAGGGGTTTCCATGTGGAGAAGCCTAACTACCACCTCCTGGTTCGCTTAAGGAACCTGGGTCTTTTTCGTTTTTTTCCTTTTTTTTTTTTTTTGAGATGGAGTCACTCTGTCACCGAGGTTGGAGTGCATTGGCAAGATCTCTGCTCACTGCAACCTCTACCTCCCAGGTTCAAGGAATTCTCTGCTACAGCCTCCCGAGCAGCTAGGATTACAGGCACCAGCCACCACGCCCGGCTAATTTTTTGTATTTTTAGTAGAGACGGAGTTTCACCATCTTGGCCGGGTTGGTCTTGAACTCCTGACCTCGTGATCCACCCGCCTCGGCCTCCCAAAGTACTGGGATTACAGGTGTGAGCTACCGCGCCCGGCTACAGATGACTGATTTTATCTCAAACAATGAATAACAATCATAAATGATATTTATTTGTGTGCCAGGCATTGCACTATATAATTTACTGCTTTTTTTTTTTTTTTTTTTTTTTTGAGACGGAGTCTCGCTCTTGTTGCCCATGCTGGAGTGCAATGGCGCGATCCTGGTTAACTGCAACCTCCGCCTCCTGGGTTCAAGCGATTCTTCTGCTTCAGCCTCCCGAGTACCTGGGATTAGATGCGCACCACCACGCCCTGCTAATTTTTTTGTATTTGTAGTAGAGACGGGGTTTCGTCTTGTTGACCAGGCTGGTCTCGAACTCCTAACTTCAGGTGATCCGCCCGCCTCAGCCTCCCGAAGTGCTGGGATTACAGGCTTGAGCCACCGCGTCAGGCCATGAGTAGGTATTATTCTATTTCACTACAGCGGATAGTGAAACATAAAGACATTAAAATAATTTGTCTTAAGTTCCTGGACCATATGTAGTGGAACTGAGCTTTGTAGCCAGGCAATCTGTCTTCAGAGTTCAACTTAACTTCAAGGCGCTTGGTAGTCAGAATCCTTTGTATGTGATTCCAACAGGTTAACTCCTTTAGGGCAGAGGGCTGTTTTATGCTCAATATGGAACCTTGGATGGCCAACACAGCGTGTGGCACGTAGGAGGTGGTCCAGGGGCATTTGATGACCTCCAGGCAGTGGAGAGGCAGTCGAGGAAGACCAGGGCCCCAGGCGCCTACGTGGGTGGAATGCACAAGGTTGGCCTTGGCTGCCGGGGCTCCATGTCCCAGCACTAGCCAAGGAGGGCCTCAGCCGCGCTTGAATACTCGTGCTTTCCTCGCCGCGAGGCTTTGCGAATCTTGGCCACTAGCTAAAGGCGGGGTCGCCGGGCCGGTAGGAACTGGAGACACTCAGCCTCGCGGCAGGAAATGCGGCTCGTGGCTTCCGGCGCGTGCAGATGACGCGCGGCTCGGGCTTCCGCCTTGGGGAGCCGGCGGCGGAGTCCGGGACGTGGAGACCCGGGGTCCCGGCAGCCGGGCGGCCCGCGGGCCCAGGGTGGGGATGCACCGCCGCGGGGTGGGAGCTGGCGCCATCGCCAAGAAGAAACTTGCAGAGGTGAGCAGGAAGAAGGCCGACCCACAACCTGCCCCTGACCCGTGCGAGACTGAATTGTCCCGGAGCAGTGTCCTACCCGTTAATCACCTCCCAACAGAATCTGAGACTGGCTTCTCGGCCCCGGGACACAGAATTTCTCCAGCTTCCGGTGGATTGGCAGCGTTCCCAGATGCCCAGCCCTTTCTCCCATTTACCCAAGTTTAACTACAAATGGGATTCTACTCACAAATCTACAGTCGTCGATTCTACTCCTTCACCCTATCCTTCTCCCTAAGAAAACAATTTACAGAGATCCTCCTCTTTTCATCCCAAAGCTGTGGCAGCACAAATGGGGGAACCCAGCGCCCACTCTGTGTTTTTTTGTTTTGTTTTGTTTTTTGAGACAGAGTCTTGCTCTGTCGCCCAGGTTGGAGTGCAGTGGCGCGATCTCGGCTCACTGCAACCTCCACCTCCAGGGTTCACGCCGTTCTCCTGCCTCAGCCTCCTGAGTAGCTGGGACTACAGGCGCCCACCACCACGTCCGGCTATTTTTTTGTATTTTTAGTAGAGACGGGGTTTCACTGTGTTAGCCAGGATGGCTCGATCTCCTGACCTCGTGATCCGCCCGCCTCGGCGTCCCAAAGTTCTGGGATTACAGGCGTGAGCCACCGCGCCTGGCCTCCAGCGCCCACTCTCTTAACTTATGCTGGTCTCTTTGTCTGACAGGCCAAGTATAAGGAGCGAGGGACGGTCTTGGCTGAGGACCAGCTAGCCCAGGTAAGTCGGTTGGGGGGCCCCAGGCAGGGAGGGAGACCTAACCAGGTCTGGCCAAGACACCTTGGATACGAACTTGATTGTGTAGATTGAACTAGAAATAGGGTGTTTGGCAAATTTTGATTTCTGAGCCGCTGAGATCTTTTAGGTGACTTGCTAATAACAATAATGGCTAACATCTTTGAGTGATTACATGCTTGTAACGTCCCAGGCATTTGTCTATTTTCTTTACATAGACTGTCTTGTTCAATCCTCATTACAGTCCCATAAGGAAGGAACCCTATTATTCTGAGGTGTTTGTTTGTTTGTTTGTTTGTTTTTTGAGGGAGTCTTGCTCTGTTGCCCAGACTGGAGTACAGTGGCACGATCTCGGCTCACTGCAGCCTCCGTTTCCTGGGTTCAAGTGATTCTCCAACCTCAGCCTCCCGAGTAGCTAGAACTACAGACATGCGCCACCACGCCTGGGTAATTTTTGTATTTTTAGTAGAGACGGGTTTCTCCATGTTGGTCAGACTGGTCTCAAATTCTTGACCTCGTGATCCGCCCACCTTGGCTTCCCAGAGTGCTGGAATTAAAGGCGTGAGCCACTGTGCCGGGCCCTAATTTTTGTTATTTTTTTTTGTAGAGGCAGGGTTTCGCCATATTGACCAGGCTGGTCTCAAACTCCTGGCCTCAGGTGATCCACCCGCCTCGGCCTCCCAGAGTGCTGGGACTACAGGCGTGAGCCACCGCGCCCGGCCATATTCTGAGTTTAAAATTGAGAGCCGGGTGCTGTGGCATATGCCTGTAATCCCAGCACTTTGGGAAGCTGAGGAAGGCTGATCACCAGAGGTCCATAGTTCGAGACCAGCCTGGCCAACATGGCGAAACCCCGTCTCTACTAAAAATACAAAAATTAGCCGGGCGTGGTGGCGGGCTCCTGTAGTCCCAGCTACTGGGGAGGCTGAGGTAGGAGAATTGCATGAACCCAGGAGACAGAGGTTGCAGTGAGCCAGGATCATGCCACTGCACTCCACCTTGGGGGACAGAGCAAGACTCCATCTCAAAAAAAAGCAAAAAAAAAAAAAAAAAAAAAAAAAAGGCCGGGTGCGGTGGCTAACGCCTGTAATCCCAGCACTTTGGGAGGCCGAGGTGGGCAGAAATTGAGGACACTGGGGTGTTAAGTAATATATCCAAGGTTATATGGGTAGTAAGTGGTAGAGCTGTTATTGATTTAGGTCCTCTGGGGCTTTTCATTTTAAATACCTCAGAATAAAATGAAAATATTGCCTAACCTGTGGCACCCACACCACCATCATGACATCTAGGCACATACCAGGACAGTGTGTGAGTGATGGGGGGTGCAGCTCCTGTGCAGTTTTCTTTTCCAGCCCTTCCCTTCTCTGTACGTGCTCCGAGTTTACCCAGTGATTGTGATTGGGGAAGAAGTGGAGGAAGCCGTTAAGCAGGAAAATGGGGCTGTGAGCTGAGGAAAAATAGTAAACCCAGGCTGTGCTCTTCAAAAGCACCCACTCACAGGGGAGATGGCATGCAGGAATCAACTGAAAATGGTGATTAAAATATGTGGAGGTTTCTTTTTTTTTTTTTTTTGAGACCAAGTTTCGCTCTTGTTGCCCAGGCTGGAGTGCAGTGGCGTGATCTTGGCTCACTGCAACCTCCGCCTAAGAATGTGGAGGTTTCTAACAGTTTTATATGAGAAATAAATATTGGGCTAGGAGTGCTTATTTTTGGTGGGATAGAAGATGGTCCTTGTTAATTAGGAAAAGAGAAGGGGTAATACAAAGTCAGAAAATCCCCAAGTCTTTTGTATTTAACATGAAATGGAATCTGGCAAATTACAGTCCCAGAGCAGTTCTTTATCTGGAGTTGATCCCCAGGGAGGTTCATGACTCAAAAGTTTTTTGTTTTTTTAATTTATATTGGTTGATTGATTGATTGGCCCTGTGCGGTGGCTCACATCTGTAATCCCAGCACTTTGGGAGGCTGAGACAGATGGACTGTTTGAGGTCAGGAATTTGAGACCAGCCTGGCCCACATGATGAAACCCTGTCTCCACTAAAAATACAAAAATTAGCCAGGTGTGGTGGTGCATGCCTGTCGTCCCAACTAGTCGGGAGGCTGAGGCAAGAGAATCAACTTGAACTGGGAGGCGAAGGTTGCAGTGAGCTGAGATTGTGCCAGTGCACTCCAACCTGGGCGACAAAGCAAGATTCTGTCTCAAAAAAATTAAAAAAAAAAAATATTGATTGATTGAGACAGTCTTGCTATGTTGCCCCAGCTAATCTTGAGCTCCTGGGCTCAAGTGATCCGTTGTGGGATTACAGGTGTGAGCCACCATTCCTGGCCAGACTCAAAGGTTATAAACAGATTCATGTGACGCTTCACTTTTTCCCATCCAGCCTTTCTGTCGGCTGGGGGGGGTAAAGATTTTCTAATGGGTGAACACTGCATTCCCTCATTTCTAAGATATGATGAATTATTAGGTACATCTTCAAATTAATACGTTTTTCTGGGAAAAAGAAAAGGAATACCACATTATATATATACCTTTTTCTTTTTTTGTGCATATATTTGGTTGTATATATGTGCACCTTGATTATTAAATGCATGCTGATTTTAGAAGAGGAATACATGAAAAATTGTGTATTTTGGAAGTGAGAAAACAGTACAGCATCCCATTTCTGCTGACAACAGAACTGTGAAGGAGAGGCAGGGATAAAAAGAGAGATGGTAAACAGCATAATGGTAGGCTGAGGGAGACTGGTTATTTCAGCCTTTGCCCTGCCACAGGGCTGGGGACCTGTTTTTGGCATCTGATTATCATTTGGCTGGGCTGCCCTTCACCACTCCCTGTCCATCCAACAGATGTCAAAGCAGTTGGACATGTTCAAGACCAACCTGGAGGAATTTGCCAGCAAACACAAGCAGGAGATCCGGAAGAATCCTGAGTTCCGTGTGCAGTTCCAGGACATGTGTGCAACCATTGGCGTGGATCCGCTGGCCTGTAAGAAGTTGTCTGTAGGGGTCCAGCGTTCTTATAGAGTACCTGAGGAACAGAAGCTCACATAGTTGTTGTTACCACTGTTGGGGCATCCACTAGAAAGGCCTGCAGGAAGACCCAGAGGATGCTGTCTTTTTGAGACGGAGTTTTGCTCTGTCGCCCAGGCTGGAGTGCAGTGGCACAATCTTGGCTCACTGCAAGCTCTGCCTCCCGGGTTCACGCCATTCTCCTGCCTCAGCCTCCCGAGTAGCTGGGAATACAGGTGCTCGCGACCACGTCCAGCTAATTTTTTGTGTTTTTAGTAGAGATGGGGTTTCACCATGTTAGCCAGGATGGTCTTGATATCCTGACCTCGTGATCCGCCCGCCTCGGCCTCCCAAAGTGCTGGGATTACCTGCATGAGCCACTGCGCCTGGCCAAGGGTGTCGTCTTTAGGGAGTACCTAGCAGGATGGCTAGTTCCCAGTCTGATATGGAAGATAGACCGACTATAGGCTGAGTAGCCAGTGTCTGTGATCATTCCTTGAATGATCTACAGTAGAATTTTTTATGGCATTTTCCCTCTTTATTAAAAAATATTTAATTTTGGCCAGGTGCAATGGCTCATGCCTGTAATCCCAGCACTTTGCAAGGCCAAGGCAGGCAGATCACTTGAATCCAGGAGTTAAAGATCAGCCTGGGCAACATGGCGAGACTCCATCTCTACAAAAAGTATAAAAATTTGCCAGGTGTGGTGGCATGTGTCTATAGTCCAGCTACTCGGGAGGCTAAGGTGGGAGGATTGCTTGAGACTGGGAAGTTGAGGCTGCAGCAAGACCTTGTTTAAAAAAAAAATTTTTTTTTTTTTTTTTTTTTGAGACAGTCTTGCTCTGTCACCTACGCTGGAGTGCAGTGGTGCCATCTTGGCTCACTGCAACCTCTGCCTCCCAGGTTGAAGCAATTCTTGTGCTTCAGCCTCCCAAGTAGCTGGGATTACAGGCCTGCACCACCAAATCTGGCTAATTTTTGTATTTTTTGTAGAGAGGAGGTTTCACCATGTTGCCCAGTTTGGTCTTCAACTCTTGGGATCAAGTGATCGGCCTTTCTTGGCCTTCCAGAGTGCTGGGATTATAGATGTGAGCCACTGCACTGAGCCCTTCCTCATACTTATAAACTTTAAAAAAAATTATTCACCGGGCGCGGTGGCTCACGCCTGTAATCCCAGCACTTTGTGAGGCTGAGGCGGGCAGATCATAAGGTCAGGAGATGAGGCCATCCTGGCTAACACGGTGAAACCCTGTCTCTACTAAAAATACAAAAAATTAGCCAGGTATGGTGGCACATGCCTGTAATCCCAGCTACTCGGGAGGCTGAAGCAGGAAAATCACTTGAACCCGGGAGGTGAAGGTTGCAGTGAGCCAAGGTCGCGCCCCTGCACAACAGCCCAGGCAACAGAGCGAGACTCCATCCCCCCAAAAAAAAAAAAAAAAGAAATTACTAATTTATTATTTTTTAGCATTGAGGTTTCTGTCACCTAGGCTGGAGTGCATTGGTGCAATCAGCCCACTGCAGCCTTCAACTCCAGGGCTCAAGTTACTTTCCTGCCTCAACCTCCCAAGTGGAGCTGGGACTAGAGGCATGAGTCACCGTGCCTGGCCCCAGTGTTTTTTTTTTTTTTTTTCTTGAGACAGAGTCTCACTCTGTTGCCCATGCTGGAGTACTGTGGTGTGACACTCTTGGCTCACTGCAACCTCCTTCTCCTGGGTTCAAGTGATTCTCCTGCCTCAGCCTCCTGAGTAGCTAGCTGGGACTATAGGCATGTGCCACCATGCCCGGCTAATTTTTTGTATTTTTAGTAGAGACGGAGTTTCACCATCTTGGCCGGGTTGGTCTTGAACTCCTGACCTCGTGATCCACCCGCCTCGGCCTCCCAAAGTACTGGGATTACAGGTGTGAGCTACCGCGCCCGGCTACAGATGACTGATTTTATCTCAAACAATGAATAACAATCATAAACGATATTTATTTGTGTGCCAGGCATTGCACTATATAATTTACTGCTTTTTTTTTTTTTTGAGACGGAGTCTCGCTCTTGTTGCCCATGCTGGAGTGCAATGGCGCGATCCTGGTTAACTGCAACCTCCGCCTCCTGGGTTCAAGTGATTCTCCTGCCTCAGCCTCCTGAGTAGCTAGCTGGGACTATAGGCATGTGCCACCATGCCCGGCTAATTTTTTGTATGATTAGTAGAGACAGGGTTTCAGCATGTTAGCCAGGATGGTCTTGATCTCCTGACCTCGTGATCTGCCCCTCTCAACCTCCCAAAGTGCTGGGATTACAGGCGTGAGCCACTGCTCCTGGCGTGGCCCCAACTTTGTAAACATATATGGGATTATAATATAATTACTACTGCTCTATAACCTACATTTTTGTTTTCTTTTTTTTTTTTTTTTTGAGATGGAGTTTTGCTCTTGATTCCCAGGCTGGAGTGCAATGGCGTGATCTTGGGTCACTGCAACCTTCGCCACCCAGGTTCAAGCGATTCTCCTGCCTCAGCCTCCCAAGTAGTTGGGATTACAGGTGCCCACCACCATGCCTGGCCAATTTTGTATTTTTAGTAGAGACGGGGTGTCTCCATGTTGGTCAGGCTGTTCTCGAACTCCTGACCTCAGGTGATCCGCCTGCCTCTGCCTCCCAAAGTGCTGGGATTACAGGCGTGAGCCACTGCGCCCAACCTGCATTTTTCACTGAATAGAATATTGTCGTCAGTGGATTGTTTATTTATTTATTTTTTATTTCTACACTCCTGGTAACTCACAGAACATTCAGTGGATTTTTGAATGCTGAGTCTGCATATTCTTTCTCTTAGTCTTGTCTAGACCATATTTCCCATTATATTTCACTGCATGCTTTGTGAATGGAAACTCGTTTTTTCAGTATCCTGAGCCAGAATTAGCCAAATAGAAATGACTTTTGTTTTATTTTTTAAATTTTTATTTATTTATTTTTATTTATTTATTTTTTTTGAAACGGAGTCTCACTCTGTTGCCAGGCTGGAGTGCAGTGGCGTAATCCCGGCTCACTGCAACCTCTGCCTCCCGGGTTCAAGCGATTCTCTTGCCTCAGTCTCCTGAGTAGCTGAGATTACAGGCACGCGCCACCACGCCCGGCTAATTTTTGTATTTTTAGTAGAGACAGGGTTTCACTGTATTGGCCAGGATGGTCTCTATCTCTTGACCTTGTGATCCACCAGCTTTGGCTTCCCAAAGTGCTGGAATTACAGGCGTGACCCACTGTCCCCGGCTGTATTTTTTTTTTTTGAGAGAGAGTTGTGCTCTTATTGCCCAGGCTGGAGTATGGTGGCGCGATCTTGGCTCACTGCAACTTCTGCCTCCTGGGTTCCAGCAATTCTCCTGCCTCAGCCTCCCAAGTAGCTGGGATTACAGGCGCACGCCACCACTCCTGGCTAATTTATTATTATTATTATTAGAGATGGGGTTTTGCCATGTTGGCCAGGCTGGTCTTGAACTCTTGGTCTCGAGCGATCCACCTAGCTCGATGTCCCAAAGTGTTGGAATTACAGGCGTGAGCCACTGCGCCCGGCCAGAAATGACTTTTAGATTGCCTGCCCTCTGGAGCCGTCTGACCCTGTTCTTCAGCAGGAGTTACCGTGAGTCCGATTGTTTCCTGAGTAGCAGATGGAGCAGAAGAACTTCATGCCATGCAGGGAAGACTTCCCATATGATAGATGTTTTAATGCAGGTTTGAAAGAAAAGAAGGGATGTAAATTAATCAATAACCGAGATTTTGTTTTTCTGTCTTGTAGCTGGAAAAGGATTTTGGTCTGAGATGCTGGGCGTGGGGGACTTCTATTACGAACTAGGTGTCCAAATTATCGAAGTGTGCCTGGCGCTGAAGCATCGGAATGGAGGTGAGGGTGGCTAGGTCCTGTGAACTGGACTCTGGACTTCTCTGAGAGGGAGAAAACCGTAAAAGATTATCGTTTCCATCCTGCAGTCTACAGGCCTCTAAGGACTTGAGAGACATCTTAGCTGTTTCATGCAGTTGAATCCATGGCAAGTCTCCATGGCCAAGGGTAAATAGAATTACCTGAACGATTGTCTCTGTTCTCCAAAGATCTTTGGCCAGGAAGGTCTAGTCCCTAGTCAGTACAGAAAATAGTAGAGAGGTAGGAAGTAGGCCTTTTCCCCTGATGTCTGATGTGTCTGGAGTGATTTTCTCATTAGTAACTATAGTCCTGCACTGTCTCTCCGACGTATGGGAATGCCAACTGAGTCTGTGTTCCCTAAAATGTGACCTTAAAATTTGTCATCTGGTGATGCCATCTTTCTTAGTAAGCACGTTAAATGGTGTGGATTGAAGTTACAGAAAGAAAACTTAAAACCATTTACAAATCATCATCAACTATAAATAGACACGGCCTTGATGTCAAGAGGACATTTATAGTTTTTCAAAGATGATACTGCTTTTGTTTTTAGATTTTCGTAGCTCTCTGTTGACAGGCCTAGCAAGGTCTCAGAATCCATTTCTCATATTATGGTCAGTTATTTCATAAGGAGAGTGTTAAAAAAAAATTAGGAACTAGAATGTTATTTGCTACTTGTAGGCCACTGGAATTGTAATGACTGTCAACTTATTTAAAGTGGGTAATCTCTTTTTCTGATTTCTGTTCCCTGTCTCCAAACAGGTCTGATAACTTTGGAGGAACTACATCAACAGGTGTTGAAGGGAAGGGGCAAGTTCGCCCAGGATGTCAGTCAGTAGGTCTTGTCTTCCAATCCCTTGGAGTACAGAAAGAGGTCTTTAAAATTCAGATGGAACTCTTTTCTCCCTATTCCTCATGTCTAGGCTAGCTTAGAAATCTGTATGATCTCCATATCATACAGGAAAAAAAAAAACAAAAAACAAACAAAAAATAAGAGATAGGGTCTCACTTTTGCCCGGGCTGGAGTACAGTGGCATGATCACAGCTTACTGCTACCAAGATCATTGCTTACTGCAGCCTCAAACTCTTGGGCTCAAGTAATCCTCCCACCTCAGCCTCCCAAGTAGTTGGGATTATAGGCATGGGCCAGTATGGCTGGCTATTTTTAGAAAACAGAAAATATAGATTTAAAAAAGGAAACAAAAACCATTATTTCTCAATTAAGAGATTACAACTGCTATATATTTTAATGTAGTTCCTTCTAAGCATTTTTTCATGTATTATTTTTTAACAAACTTGGGGCTATATATAGTCTTTTTTTTCTTTGAGAAAGAGTCTTGCTGTCACCCAGGCTGGAGTGCAGTGACCCGATCTTAGCTCACTGCAACCTCTGCCTTCTGGGTTCAAGCAATTCTCGTGCCACAGTCTCCCCAGTAACTGGAATTACAGGTGTGCACCACCATGCCCGGCTAATTTTTTTTTTTTTTTTTTTGAGACAGAGTCTCACTCTGTCGCCCAGGCTGGAGTGCAGTGGCGTGATCTCTGCTCACTGCAAGCTCTGCCTCCTGGGTTCACGCCATTCTCCTGCCTCAGCCTCCCGAGTAGCTGGGACTACAGGCGCCCGCCACCACGCCCGGCTAATTTTTTGTATTTTTAGTAGAGACGGGGTTTCACTGTGTTAGCCAGGATGGTCTCGATCTCCTGACCTCGTGATCCACCCGCCTCAGCCTCCCAAAGTGCTGGGATTACAGGTGTCTGCCACCGCGCCTGGCCGCCTGGCTAATTTTTGTATTTTTAGTAGTGATGGGGTTTCACGTTGTTGGCCAGGCTGGTTTTGAACTCCTGGCCTCAAGTGATCTGCCTGCCTCAGCTTCCCAAAGTGCTGGGATTACAGGTGTGAGACACCACGGCTGGCCAGGGCTGTATATAGTCGTGAGATTATTTGAGGCCAAGGAGAGTAGTGTAGGTGCCTAGAAAGGCTGGGGAAGGAGGTGGTAGTGAGATGATGGAATATAAATTGATCTAGTTCTCCAGCCTCTATGTGCGAGTCCAGTTTGAGAAAAGATAAAAGGCTGTTTTTGATGTAACTTCCAAAGAGTCAGCCTACTATGAGATCTTGAAGACCTAGAATATTCAAAGAAAAGTAACGAGGCTGGGTGCAATAGCTTACACCTGTAATCCTAGCCCTTTGGGAGGCTGAGGTGGGAGGATCGCTTGAGGACAGGAGTTCGAGACCAGTCTGGGCAGTGTAGTGAGACCTTGTCTCTACAAAAAATAAAATTAGTTGGGTGTTGAGGCATGCACTCATTGTTCTAGGCTGCAGTGAGCTATGATTGCACCACTGCACTCCAGCCTGGGATATAGAGCAAGACGTCATCTCTACTTTTTTTTTTTGTTTTTTGAAATGGACTCTTGCTCTGTTGTCTAGGCTGGAGCGCAGTGGTACAATCTCGGCTCACTGCAACCTCCGCCTCCTGGGTTCAAATGATTCTTCTGCCTCAGCCTCCTGAGTAGCTGGGATTACAGGTACCTGCCACTGGCGCCCTGCTAGTTCTTGTATTTTTAGTGGAGATGGGGTTTCACCATGTTGGCTAGGCTGGTCTCGAACTCTCGGCCTCCCAAAATGCTGGGATTACAGGCGTGAGCCACCGCGCCCAGCCAAGACCTCATCTCCTAAAAAAAAAAAAAAGGAAAGTGATAACAAAAGATTACTAGCCATACTCATTGCAGATTTCATGAAGAGAGGGTGAGCATTTGAAGCATTTCAGTTTGCTATTCTTTGGGGGTTGGAGAATGCATTCCAATCTACCTAAAAGTGCCCTTTCCCTGGCTGTTTGGGTGATAACATTTTTTGAGCTTTGGCAGAGGTTTTAAACTCTGTATGTGGGCTGGATATGTGATCTACACACTGTTTTGTAGGTTTTCTTTTTCTCTGATTTCAATTAGAATCAGAAAACTTGGCAGTATTGGGTTTGAATTGCCACTTGGCAATAATAGTCAGCTGGGTTGCCCCCTTTAAAATAGATAAGCATTCTCTAGTTTGCCACAGGTGACACTACCCCCATTGCCTCTTCAGCTCACTCATTCACATTTCCTGATGGGCATCTGCAGGTGTATCTTTGACCGCTGTCTGGATGTTGGAATGAGTGGTTCGCTGAGCAGACAGCCTGACTCCTGTGTATCTCCCATGATTGTCCAAGCATCACTTATTGCTCCTTGACCCTGTCTTTTTACTGACGTAGTTGAGTGTTGTGCAGCCTTTTATTTTAGAGGCAGGGTCTCGCTCTGTCACCCAGGCTGGAGTACAGTGGTGCACAATCACAGCTCACTGCAGCCTTGAACTCCTGGGCTCAAGTGATCCTCCTGCCTCAGCCTCCCAAGGATTATAGGCGATTGCCACCATGCCCTGCTAATTTTTTATTTTTAGTAAAGATAAGGTCTTGCTGTGTTGCCCAGGCTGGTCTCTAACCCCTGGGCTCAAGCAGTCTTCTCAATGTGGGCATCCCAAAAGTGTTGCGATTATGGGTATGAGCCATTGCGCCTGGCAGTTGTGCAGTCTTCTAAATTTTCTGTCAGTATCCTGCCCAGGGCAGAGCTGAAACTGTGTTGTTAGGTCTGATTCTGCCAAGGGTCGTTAAGCAACTCTTCCTTACCTCAGAGATGACCTGATCAGAGCCATCAAGAAACTAAAGGCACTTGGCACTGGCTTCGGCATCATCCCTGTGGGCGGCACTTACCTCATTCAGTCTGTTCCAGCTGAGCTCAATATGGATCACACCGTGGTGCTGCAGCTGGCAGAGGTACTGGTGCACCTTCGAGTGTGTGTGTGTGCAAGGGACAGTCTGTGAGGCAAGTCTGGAGCAGTTCTCAGCTCGTGCTCCCCATTATGCAGGTCTTTTGCTGAGACTATCCAGTGGATGAACTACTCAGGCCTGTGCTTGTTCAGCAGACATTTATTGAGCAGCTACAGTGCAAAGCACTGGGCCAGGCTGTGGGGCATATAAAGATGATAAAATTCCTGCTCTCAAGGAGCTTACAGTCTAGTCAGGTAGACAGACATGCAGACAACTAACTAGATTTCTTTGGGTAGCCAGACTCTTTGATGTCTTTTGAAACTACTTTATGGATTCTTCAAAAACAGATTTTAAAAAATCTTGTTTGCCATGCCCCCATCCCTCATCATGCCTTAAGCATATGCCATCTTCCCCCAAATCCCCATCAGGTATTTAGATGTGTTCAGTTTTATTATTTTTGAGATGGAGTTTCACTCGTTGCCTAGGCCAGAGTGCAATGGCGTGATCTCAGCTCACTACAATGTCAGCCTCCCGGGTTCAAGTGATTCTCCTGCCTCAGCCTCCCGAGTAGCTGGGATTACAGGTGTGTGCCACCACGCCCAGCTAATTTTGTATTTTTAGTAGAGATGGGGTTTCTCCATGTTGGCCAGGCCTGAGTTTGGTCTCGAACTCCCGACCTCAGGTGATCCACCCACCTTAGCCTCTCTAAGTGCTGGGATTACAGGGGTGAGCCACCGCACCCGGCCCAGTTTCCTTTATGACGTAAAACAGAACTAAATAAGGGAGGGGCTTTTCTGTATTGGAGGATGAGTAGAATGAGGCAGGGCAAGGGCTGAATATTTAAATAATGGAGGTTATTAGCAGTTTATGATTATCATCATTTCTTCCCATCAATTAATTGTCCAGAATCTTCCCTTGTCATGCTCTAGAGTGCTTTGCAGAAGTCTAACTCAGTATGTTAGTACAAGGGACCCCACTTTTTTGTTTTTTGAGATGGAGTCTCGCTCTGTCACCCAGGCTGGTGTGCAGTGGTGCAATCTCCGGCTCACTGCAGCCTCCATCTCCCAGGTTCCAGTGATTCTTCTGCCTCAGCCTCCCGAGTAGCTGGGATTACAGGCGTGTGCCACCATGCCTGGCTAATTTTTGTATTTTTAGTAGAGATGGGGTTTCACCATGTTGGCCAGGCTGGTCTCGAACTCCTGACGTCAGGTGATCCACCCACCTCGGCCTCCCAAAAAGTGCTAGGATTACAGGCATGAGCTGCCGTGCCTGGCCGGTACCCCAGTTTTAGGATTGAACCCACCAACCTACCTCTGTCATGCTGAAAGTCACTTCTCTCTCTCCCCGCTGGAACCTTTAAACATTTTCTGTGTTCTCTCATGCTTGACAGCTTTTCCTCCTGTCTGGGTAAGTCTCTTGTTCCTGGGCAGATCCTGGGTTCTAAGGGAAGGTGCACTCTTAACTGATTCAATCCCCATTCCTCCTTCCTTCAGAAGAATGGCTACGTGACTGTCAGTGAGATCAAAGCCAGTCTTAAATGGGAGACCGAGCGAGCGCGGCAAGTGCTGGTATGCAACTTTGGAACAGTCCAGAAAAGACAGGCAGGCCCCAGTTGGGAGGATGTGGGTTCCACAAATGCAGGAACTTCAGCATTGCTTTGCTGGCCTTCTGCCTTGAAGGCTACTGCTGCCATGCTAGAAGGAAGCCCAGCACTTCTCTGAAGATGGCACCAAAAAGGTAGAACTAGGAAGGCAGGTTCCTAACTCTGGCATGCACACAATACCAGGCTGCCCCTGCTACTTGGGGAACTGACACTCTCTCTCCTGAACATGCTGAGCCTGGAGTTGCTGGTCAGGAGATTAATGTAGTTTGTACTGGAAGTAACACTGTTAGTACAGTGAATTATTAACTACGTTAATTACATATCTAATTATCCACTAAGCATTATATTGCATAGTATATACTCTAGCTTTATATATACAAATTTCATCGTACTGAAGAATGAATGATGTGAAGAGGGAGCAATGTAAGAACTCCGGCTTCAGTACCTTTTTTCCTTATCCAAACAATTCAACTGTCTAAACCTTTCATCTGTAAAATGGGGATAACATAATTATTTACCTAATGATATTGGACAGAAACCACCCATTTTGAGCATATTATTTCCAGCTCTAGGAACTGAGTCTATTCTTGCATAAGTATGGTCAATCATGTTTGCTACCCGGAATAACTTAATTCAAAGGTAGCTAAACAGTGATCTCTGTTTAACAGTTTCTGGGAAAATGGAGGCAGTGATTTGCTGAAGGCCACACAGCAAATATTTCTGTAGCTATGTTCTTTCCACTATATTCCACTATGCTAGGCTTTACCCCTCTTCCCCAGCAGCACAAGTTAAATGACTTCGTAGCATTTTTCAAATTCAGGCAAAGGCCAAGGCCAAACAGCTCGTTTAGTTGGTTGTGTAAAGGTTTGAAGGCACTTAGTAGATTTAGTTTGAAAACCTCACTGAAGCCAAAATAGGTGTGGGGGTTGCTTACCTACCCTTTGTCTATGGAACCTCCCTGTTCTCAAACTGCTCTTCTTCCCTTTTCCCTCCAGGAACACCTGCTGAAGGAAGGGTTGGCGTGGCTGGACTTACAGGCCCCAGGGGAGGCCCACTACTGGCTGCCAGCTCTCTTCACTGACCTCTACTCCCAGGAGATTACAGCTGAGGAGGCCAGAGAAGCCCTCCCCTGACTGCATGTGGAAGGGCACACAGCAGCAGGCAGGGAGGAGGCGGAGGTGGCAAATAAACCTGGGCAATTTTGTTTATACAAAAAATAGAAAAAAAGTTCCAAGTTTTTCTTTCTTCCCTCATTCTTTTATTTTTGAAAAGTGCCTTCACGTTGCATTTTTATTGGAGGAAAACCTCGCTCGTTCAGTAAGCATAATCTGATTAACACAGAGAACGGCAAGCACATATAAAATGATTTTTGTAGGTCATCTGCAAGTTCATGGAAGAGCTGGGCCTAGAATGTGGGTTGTTTCCTGGCCTGTCTAGTCTTTGTAGCTGTGAGACATAGATTACAGCCTATGCTAATTCAAACCTTTTAAATAAAATGTTCCTTATCTCAAACTAGCTGGTCCTAATGGACCAGTAAATAATATTCACTTTCAGTCTCTTCTGGCTTCCTCTGTAGAGGCTCTAGGTTATGACAGAGTTAGCTGTGAGTATGAAGGAAATAGAAGTCAATGTCCAATCGTGGCTAAATTGGAGGAAAGAAAACAATGGAATCTGAGGGGAATCAAACAATAGTTAGGGAATGTTCTATTTTCTTAAATTCCCTACTAGCTTTCTCACCCTCCTGTAGTGATTGCCAGGTCCCTCTAGCCTCAGTAGTGGGAAAGGGAGTCATTTACTGAACACCTACCCTGTGCCATTTTACATACAGCTCACTTAAATTTCACCAAGTAGGCAGCCTTCAACATCACAGGTGATTCAATCAAAGTAATTTGCCAGGGGCCGCCAGCTTCAGCCGAGCTAAAGCTGGTGCCTAGGCCTATTAACCCGAGCCCATGCCTTCATGTATCACTGCATAGTACAGAATGGCAGCACATACTGTGTGTAGACATTTTTCTACACACGTGGTCAGCCAAGAGTAAAAGCCTCTGCATCAGAAAGCAAGAATCTCCTATAGCAAGTAGAAGTGGTGATGAGGGAAGAGGCCAGAGTTGTTTAAGGCTCCCAAAGTCCTTATGGTCTAAAGGCTAAGATCCTAAAAGTGCTAGTTTAGTACTGGAAATCTGAAAACTCAATGGTTTTTCCATACTGAGACCCTTCCTTTAGCAGGATATAGCCTGGGCCCATCTCTTCCTCTGCCTATCCTTGTAGGACATGCTCACTCCAAGCTCTGGAATAGGTCTGTCTTTGGAAACCACTCAAACTAAGATGTCACTGACTGCCAGAGCATGGACCCCATTTCCAATGAGAAAACTTGTCCTGCTCTCCCCACCCAGCCCTGCCCTTCCACCATGTTATGCAAGTCTTCGGTTTCCAGACAATTCATGGCACTTTCCTTCTCCCTAACAGTTCCAGGCCTAGGTGAGGTGTGGTTGACAAGATGATCCCATTCGTCCTTTACACAAGCCCTCCCACACCCACAGGCACTTCCTCCTTCTGCCAAAACAAACTTTATTGCACCAAAAAGGAAAACAAAAAAAACAAAAAAACTTCATTTATATACAGTCAGATATAAAGACATCTCTTTGACTCCTGTGCATATATTTCCTCAACTCAAGATTAGGGCATAAAAGTCAGGCTGCTATGCCAGACATGCTCTGCCCTATGGCAGGGCCAAGGAGAGGATTGTCACTTGAAAGTGGGAACACTTAAATGGATGACAGACAACACTGGACCCACAGACCAAGAGCATTCTTCTAAGCCCTGGAGTAGCTCGAGGAATGGAAGAGGGAAATTGGAAGCAGGGTCCCTTTTCGATCTTCATGTGAAGAGACCCAGCCTCTTCAAGGGTATCCAAGATAAACTTCCGTTCCCCAAGCCCACCAATCCCTGTCCAGTTCCTTTGCTTCCTGCCCTCCCAAATAGGACATTCTCCTTTGTGCCCAGCCCCCCTTTGCACAGATCCTCCAAGGGGAGTCCCATGATCCACAAGGCAGAGACCTTCATAGCAGAGGGCAGGGCAGGTACACACTATCCTCTCCCTTATGCATGGCTGGACACTGACTGAGGCCCTGCATCACAAGAATCGCCAATACCCACTGGGAGCCATAACAATAAATCTGGAAGTACGGGGAGAACATATCAAAAAGGGGAAGGATGGATTCCCTTGATGCCCAGGATTACAGGGCACCTAAAGCACATTTTTTTTTTTCTGAGCCAACCAGCTAAAGGATCACTGCAGCTAAATACAGATAGAGAAGCAACAAAGCCAGGCAAATACCCATCAGAGACAGTGACAAGAGCAGCTGGGGGCACGGGGGAGGCGGAAGGAAGAGAAAGAAGGGGAGGAGCCTCCAGAGTCCCAGCCCCAACCCCCTCTGCCATTGGCTACCCTTGCTCCCCAAAAATCCCTGGGGTTGAAGTGAGGAGGACTACAGGCTGGGGTGAAAATACACAAGGACAGCCCAACAAAATACAACAAGGACTAGCATCAGTCTCCCCCTTACTCCACCCCCAAGAAAAATACCCTTATTGTGACTAGTATTTATGAAAATCTGTAAGAGACTATTCTATGTAGTGGCTCTAATCCCATATACACAGCAGCTGCCTGTGTTGGGAACTTTTCAAATCAGTGATTGCGGGAACAAACAGTATTTTCAGCTTCTTACGGTGCCATGCAGGCTTTACCAAGACCTTGGTTAAGTCCCAGTCACATTTACTTTCTGTCTTACATCTAGAAAAGGGTGAGGAAAGAGGGGAGGGGAGAAAGGTGCTCAGGTGCTAGGTAAAGCTTACTGATCAGCAGCCTAGACTCCACCACTGTTCCTTCTCTTTGGTCTGTCTAGAACAGTGACTATAAATTAGGAAAAACAAAATTATGCTGGCCTGTGGGAAATAATGGGGGAAGGAAGGCAGGGAGGAAAAGGGCATTGGGAAGCCCTGCTTCAAGACTGAAGACAGACAAATAGACAACCACCCAGACTGCTTAAGTGTCACAGACAGCCCCCACCCCAAGCTCCCTTCCAGGTATCCCCATAAATCATTTGGGCACACTCCCTCTTGGAATTGCAATTTCCATCTTCCACTTATCCCTAAGGAGCTGGCCCTGTGGAGAGGTGTGTTGGTTGTTTTGTTTTTGCCAAAGGCCCTCGCTCTAGGTGCTCCTGTAAAGGTACCTTGGCCCCTGATACGGGATGAATGGATGAACGAAGCCCCAGATGCTCCAGTGCCAAGGAGGTCAGACCGGGAACAGGCCCCCACTCCCACACCCTGGGATCGGAGCTTGCTTGGTTCTTGCCATCTTGCAGGATGACTTCGAGTCTGGAGGGAGATACACAGTGCCTCTCCATCCCTGGGGTGGGGGGAAGGGATTCTGCTGGGACTCTTGAGTGGGGGAAGGGGAGATGGGAGCAGGGTCTAAACCCTCAGGCTCCCATGAAGGTCTGTCTCTGTCCCAGATGAACTGCTATCAGAGTCCATTTCTGCATTCTCATTATGGAGCCTCTCCAGCACTTTCTGACGTATCAGTCCCAGGCGCATCAAGAGGGACTGGTAGTCAAAGTGGCCCCGCTTCTCTCCAAAAGGGTCCTGTGGGGAAAGGAGACAAGGGGATGGAAGATTCAAGTCTGGGTGGCTGATCCTAGAGAAAGCAACTTCGGGCCCATGTGAAATGAAAGCTCAACTTCTGAGCCATGGGAGCAGGAAGGCCTAACAGCACAGGCAGTCCCAAACAGCAGGCAAAATAACCTTTGCTTAAAAATATGACACCTGGGCCAGGCGCGGTGGCTCACACCTGTAATCCCAGCACTTTGGGCGGCCGAGGCGGGCGGATCACCTGAGGTTGGGAGTTTGAGACCAGCCTGACCAACATGGTGAAACCCTGTCTCTACTAAAAATGCAAAATTAGCCGGGTGTCGTGGCGCATGCCTGTAATCCCAGCTACTCGGGAGGCTGAGGCAGGAGAATCACTTGAACCCGGGAGGCGGAGGTTGCAGTCAGCTGAGATCGAGATCGCACCATTACACTCCAGCCTGGGCAACAAGAGTAAAACTTGGTCTCAAAAAAAAAAAAAAAAAAGACACTCTTACCGCCCCAAATAGGTGTAGCTTGGGCTAGAGTGAAAATGTATTGGTATTCCTCAAAAGCAAACCAATATCCGGAAGAAGGGACAATAAGGGTGAGATAGATAGGAATGAGAAATTCAAGACCAGAATTATAATTGTTAAGTATGCCTATGTTTTTAATTAACCTCATAAAAACCACAGAAGGTAAAAGTTGCTCTTTATTCTCTGTACTCAAAAATGGTAATCTGCTTTTCTAAGGTCAGAAGCAGGTCTAGAATTCAAGAGTTCTGACTTTCAGATAAGCACCTGTACTCCTCCCCAGGGACTCGTCACTCCATTCCCATCCAGGTTTCTGGGCATTGCTCCAGGGCCACCCAGCCTCGATCTTAGTCCTTCTTGTTCTAGATCAAAGATCCCTAAACGTTGTACAGAAAGGTTTAATTGTCCCCAAAGTCTCAAAAACAACTAGTTGAGTGGATGGTATAAAAAAGAGTTTAAAATACTATATAGGGACTTAGGCAGCAAAGCAGTGCAACAGCCCCCAAAAGGTACACAACTTTCCCTCTCACATTGTTTGCTTCTCTCACAAAAACTCCTTCCATACTTCTGCCCACACATTACCCTCATCCTGAGTGGGATGGCAGTGGATGCTAGTCACTGTCACTGGGACTACAGCCTGCACTTCTCCTTCATGAGAGTTAACTCCCTCAAGACTGAGCTCCACATTTACTACTATGGAGCTGTCAATTCTGCAAATCTTGTTTCTTTCATCCGTGGCTCCAGCTCCTCTAATGCTCCTCCTGCCCAGATGCTGTACTCCCTCCCATCCCTCATCACCAGTTGTTTTTCCTTTACACACTGATATTGCTAATGCTGTTGGATACCAGCAATTAGAATTCCTGATGGGGAACAAACTAGGACATATGTCATTGATATACTCTCAAAAAGGGTTTAGGAGACAACTTAGTCCTGAGCCAGCCCTGCCCTTTGTGCTTAAATGAGACAGGTGGGTGGAAAGTCCTTGAAAGAAGGAAGGGAAAACTACCATTTATAAGTAGCACTGGAGGGCATAAGTCATCTCCTCCTACGCTGTTGGTGTTGGGGTGGGTGAACAGACATAGTACGAGAGCTGGAGAGAGCCTTAAGAAATCTTAGTCAATTATCCAAGTCTCCCATTTCTTTTTCTTTCTTTTTTTTTTTTTTTTTGAGGTGGAGTCTGGCTCCATCGCCAAGGCTAGAGTGCAACGTGATCTCGGGTCACTGCAACCTTCACCTCCCAGGTTCAAGCAAAATTCTTGTGCCTCAGTCTCCTAAGTAGCTGGGACCACAGGCACGCACCACTACATCTGGCTAATTTTTGTATTTTTAGTAGAGGCAGGATTTCACTGTGTTGGCCAGGCTGGTCTCAAACTCCTGATCTCAAGTGATCTGTCTGCCTCGGCCTACCAAAGTACTGGGATCACAGGCATGAGCCATTGCGCCAGGCCCCACGAGTATCCCATTTCTAAGCAAGACCACCAGTAAGATGATCCAAACACCCAAGAACTGATTCTCCAGGACAGGAGAATTCTCATTCTCTTACCAACCAGGTGGTTTACATTAGTCTATCTATAATTTTTGTCTTTTTTTTTTTTTTTTTTTTGAGACAGAATCTTGTTCTGTTGCCCAGGCTGGAGTGCAGTAGTGCAATCTCAGTTTACTGCAACCTCTGCCTCCCAGGTTCAAGCATTTCTCATCCCTCAGCTTCCCAAGTAGCTGAGATTACAGGCATGAGCCATCATGCCTGGCTAATTTTTGTATTTTTAGTAGAGATGGGGTTTCACCATGTTGGCCAGGCTGGTCTTGGACTCCTGGCCTCAAGAGATCTGTCCACCTCTGCCTCCCAAAGTGCTGGGATTATAGGCATAAGCCACCGCACCTGGCTGTCTATCTACAATTTGGTCAATGATAGCCTCCTTCCTTAAAACAAGCCTAAATTTTGAGTTCTTATGGGAAGCAAAAGCACACTTTTCCCAGTAGAGGCAAAGAATGAACAATGGTTATCATCTTTGAATAGGAATCTTTCAACATGTGACACTACAGGTATGTTGTTTCTCTAAGCTACTGTTTCTGTGATCAACCCTCAGGGCTGGGAACAGAATTTAAATAGAGGATTCATATAATCCCTAAGATTCTGGGAGGGCTGAACGCATCTTAGCTTCAAAACACTATGGGCTGGGTGCAGTGGCTCACACCTGTAATAATCTCAGCCTCCCAGTTTGGAGGCTAAGGGAGGAGGATCACCTGAACCCAGGAGTTGCCTGGGCAATAGAGTGGGACCCTATCTCTACAACCAAACAAAACAAAACAGGGCCTGTAATCCCAGCACTTTGGGAGGCCGAGGGAGGTAGATCACTTGAGGTGAGGAGTTCAAGACTAGCCTGGCCAACATGGTGAAACCCCGTCTCTACTAAAAACACAAAAAATTAGCTGGGCATGATGGCGTATGCCTGTAATCCCAACTACTTGGGAGGCTGAAGTTGCAATGAGCTGAGATTGCTCTAGCCTGAGCAACAGAGCAAGACTCTGTCTCAAAAAACAAAACAAAACAAAAACTAGCTGTGGTGGTGCACACCTGTAAGTCCCAGCTTGGGAGGCTGAGGTGGGAGGACTGCTTGAGCTTGGGAGTTTGGAGTTGCAGTGAGCTGTGACCCAGCTACTGCACTCCAGCCTGAGTAACAGAGTGAGAACCTGCCTTTAAAAAAAAAAAAAAAAGAGGCTACTGACCAAGGAAAGTAAAGAGTTCCCTATGACTTCATGAAAATCAGTCTCCTCTCTGGCTCTCAGTCCCTCAAATGATATAGGTTGCTTTTAGCTTTTTTTTTTGAGACCGAGTTTCGCTCTTGTTGCCCAGACTGGAGTGCACTCAGCTCACTGCAACCTCGGCCTCCCAGGTTCAAGCGATTCTCCTGCCTCAGCCTCCCAAGTAGCCGGGATTATAGGCACATGCTACCACGCTGAGCCAATTTTTTGTGTTTTTAGTAGAGGCGGGGTTTCATCATGTTGGCCAGGCTGGTCTCACACTCCCGACCTCAGGTGATCTGCCCACCTCAGCCTCCCAAAGTGCTGGGATTACAGGCGTGAGCCACCGCGCCTGGCTATTTTTTTTTTTTTTTTTTTTTTTTTTTGAGACAGAGTCTCGGTCTGTTGTCCAGGCTGAAGTGCAGTGGCACAATTTCAGCTCACTGCAACTTCTGCCTCCTGGGTTCAAGTGATTCTCCTGCCTCAGCCTCCTGAGTAGATGGGACTACAGGTACACGCCACGATGCCCGGCTAATTTTTTGTATTTTTAGTAGAGACGGGGTTTCACCGTGTTAGCCAGGATGGTCTCAATTTCCCGACCTCGTGATCCGCCCGCCTTGGCCTCCCAAAGTGCTGGGATTACAGGCATGAGCCACTGAACCCAGGCTTAGCTGTGTCATTCTATGACAGCTGTCGATGCCACGCTTGTGGGGGGCTTTTACATGGCCAGCTGTAGGGCTTCTGCAATTAGCAGCAGGGGTTGTATTACCTGCATAGTTTGGCCTTGAAGGTGCAGGCGATCTTTGCAGGCCACCTCGTAGAAGTCGTAATACTCCAGAAAGGACTTCTCCATCACCCCTCTGGAAAACAAGCAGAAAAGTGTAAGTGAGAAACCCAGGGGTACAGGTCACCCCTTCCTTACCTAACCTTTTTTTTTTTTCAGATGGAGTCTTGCTCTGTAGCCCATGTTGGAGTGCAGTGGTGCAACCTCAGCTCACTGTGACCTCTGCCTCCCGGATTCATGCAATTCTCCTGCCTCAGCCTCCTGAGAAGCTGGGATTACAGGCATATGCCACCACGCCTGGCTAATTTTTGTTTTTAGTAGAGACGGGGTTTCACCATGTTGCCCAGGCTGGTCAGGAACTCCTGACCTCAACTGATCTGCCTGCGTCGGCCTCCCAAAGTGCTAGGACTACAGGCGCAAGCCACCACACCTGGCCTCTTTACCTAACCTTAATGCCAAATTAAATACCTACCATTCCCAAGTCCAGATCTGTTTTCTACAAAGATCTTTTCATTTTATTTATTTTTTATTTTTTTGAGACTGAGTCTCGCTCTTTTGCCCAGGCTGGAATACAGTGGCGCAATCTCGGCTCACTGCAACCTCCGCCTCCCAGGTTCAAGTGATTCTCATGCTTCAGCCTCCTGAGTAGCTGGGATTACAGGTGCGTGCCACCACACCCGGGTAATTTTTGTATTTTTAGTAAAGATGTGGTTTCACCATGTTGGTCAGGCTGGTCTTGAACTCCTGACCTGGTGATCTGCCTTCCTTGGCCTCCCAAAGTGCTGGGATTACAGTTCCTTTTGGAAAAAGGAACACCTAACTGCCCGTGGTTGACTTCCCCTACACATCAGGAATTATGAGTGTGACTGTAATATTCACCATTAGTTTTCTTTTTGAGGCAGGGTCTTGCTGTGTTACCCAGGCTGGAGTGCAGTGGTGTCATCACAGCTCACTGCAGCCTCAACCTCTTAGGCTCAAGCAATCCTCCCACCTCAGCCTCCTGACTGGCTGTGACTGCAGGAGCGTGCCATCACACCTGGCTAATTTTAAAATTTCTGTAGAGATGGGGTCTCCCTGTGTTGCCCAGGCTGGTCTCGAACTCTTGGGCTCAAGTGATCCTCCCGCCTCAGCCTCCCAAAGTACTAGGATTACAGGCGTGAGCCACCACCAAGCCAATACTCACCATTTGAATCCCAACTTCAACTCATGACTTGCTCCACCTCCATTGCTTTTCATCAGCCATCCCCAATCCCAAACCTTACTCAAAATTCTCCTAGAAGTTTATTTATTTAACCCTGACGTTGCTCATCCAGTTTTGGCACTTAAAAATAACTTCAGCACTAAGAAATGAGTCTTATTATGAAGTACTCTACACATTTGGCTGGAAAAAAGTACGTCCAAGCCTTCATCAAACTGGAAGCTCCCTGAGCGTGTGGACTGCCTCTCCCAAAGGCATGGCATTCTCCAACAACAGAGTAGCTCTCTGAACTTCCTCTTGGGTAACCCTCAGCCACTTGTTCTTTAAAAGCAGGAACCACATCTTTCCTTCTTCTCTATCTCCCTCTGGTACCCAACACTGTACTCTGCCCCAAAGATGCCAACTACCCAAATGCCCGAAAGGAATACCAAGCAAGCCCGCTTGACACATACCGTAGGGGTTCAGGACAGGGACACTTTCCTTCCATCATGTCACAGACTGCAACTCTGATGGTCTCGTGCCGGATACATTCATTATAGTTTTTGCTGTCTCCTGGATGTCTCTCCTATAATGTAACAGATGCCAGAGTATTCCAAAAATTAAGCAAAAAGAAAACCAATGGGAAGGGACTTCAAGATTAGTATGGGGTATGTCAGCCAGTCACACAAACTAAAAAGATACCTTTCCCACTGTATGGCAGATCCATGAAGAGCAACCACACCTTTATTTTTGACACCATTCACCTCCACCACCCTCCAAATATACCAACAGGTTACAGGTCATTTGGCCTATCACCAGCAAACTAGATCCATCATATTTTCCTGAATGTGAAGTGAAAGGTCTATCAAGTAAAGATTATGTGGGAAATAACCAAACATAAGAATGATGGTAGGGTTGCTAAGCCTGGTGGCATAAACTAATAGTCCCAGCTACTCAGGAAGCCAAGGTGTGAGGATCACTTGAGCCCAAGAGTTTGGGTTCAGCCTAGACAACAAAGTAAGTTCCTGTTTTTTCAGTTTTTCTTTTTGGAGACAGGGTCTTTGCTGTTGCCCAGGCTGGAGTGCAGCGGCACCATCACAGCTAACTGCAGCCTTGACTTCCTGGGCTCCAGCAATCCTCAAACTCCTGGGCTCTAGCGATCCTCCCACCTCAGCCTCCTGAGTAGCTGGGACTAAAGACATTCGTCACCATGGTGGGCCCCGAGTTTTTATTTTTTATTATTTATTTGTTTTTTTGAGTTTTGCTCGTCACCCAGGCTGGAGTGCAATGGCACGATCTCAGCTCACTGCAACCTCCGCCTCCTGGGTTCAAGCGATTCTCCTGTCTCAAGCCTTCCAAGTAGCTGGGATTACAGGCGCCTGTCACCACGCCCAGCTAGTTTTTGTATTTTTTAGTAGAGACAGTGTTTCACCACGTTGGCCAGGCTGGTCCTGAACGCCTGACCTCAGGTAATCCACCTGCCTCAGCCTTCCAAAGCGCTGGGATTACAGGCATGAGCCACCGCACCCGGCTTGTCTTTTATTTAAAAAATTTTTAAGAGGCAGGCTCTTGCTTTGTCATCCAGGCTGGAGAGTGGTGGCATGATCAGAGGTTACTGCTGCCTCGAATTCCTGGGCTCAAGCGATGCTCCTCTCCTCAGCTTCCCAAGTAGCTGGGACTCAAGGCACATGTCACAATGCCCAGCTATTTTTTTAAAAAAGTTTTTCGGTAGAGACAAGGTCTCACTACGTTGCCCAGGCTGGGAAACACTTGTCTCTTTAGGGGGAGAAAAAAAAAAGACAGAAAGAATGATGGTGGGACAAAAAGGTATAAATGAAGTGAAGAGTCTCAGTGTAGAAAACCTTCAGGCATCAACAAGTAAAGGATGCTTCCTGGTTAACCCCTTTACCTGTTATATGTCTCTAGGGTCCCACCATCATTGAACCAATTATTATAAATCAGAAGTAGGGCTGGGCCCGATGGCTCATGCCTGTACTCCCGACACTTTGGGAAGCCGATGCAGGCGGATCGCTTGAGTTCAGGAGTTCAGGATCAGCATTGGCAACATGGTGAGATCCCGTCTCTATAAAAAATACAAAAATTAGCTGGGCATTGGTGGTGTGCACCTGTCGTCCCAGCTACTCAGAAGGCTGAGGTGAGAGGATGGCTAAAGCCCAGGAGTTCGAGGCTTCAGTGAGCTATGACTGTGCCACTGTACTCCAGCCTGGGTGACAAAGCAAGACTTTGTCTCAAAGAAATAGTACAATTAGAAATAAATCTATCAGAAGCTTCGAAAGATAAACTTCAACTTTGGTCTAGAAAGCCAATATAAACAGGGTCTCACTATGGTGTGAATAGAAGGGGAGTATGGCCTCTACTCCTTTAATTTTTCCTGTGCTCTTCTCCTCTTACCACCAACCCCAGTCAATTAGAGCCCTGGCCTCTGATAAAAATAGCTGATGGGCCAGGCGCGGTAGCTCACACCTGTAATCCCAGCACTTTGGGAGGCCGAGGCAGGTGGATCATAAGGTCAGGAGGTGGAGACCAGCCTGGCCAAAACAGTGAAACCCCGTCTCTACTAAAAATACAAAAATCAGCTGGGTGTGGTGGTGTGTGCCTGTAAATAAATAAAAAATAAATAAATAAATAAAATAAAAACAACTGCAAGTCATTCTGGAAGTAAAAAATAAAAAACACAAGGCTGGGCATGGTGGCTCACACCTGTAATCCCAGCACTTTGGGAGGCGGACGTGGGCAGACTGCTTGAGGCCATATGTTCAAGACAAGCCTGGCCAACAGGGCGAAACCCCATCTCTACTACAAATACAAAAATTAGCCAGGCGTCATGGTGTGTGCCTGTAATCCCAGCTACTTGGGAGGCTGAGGTACTAGAATCGCTTGAACCTGGGAGGCAGAGGTTGCAGTGAGCTGAGATCACACCACTGCACTCCAGCCTGGGTGACAGAGTGAGAGTCTGCCTCCAAAAAAAAAAAAAAAAAGACAAGACCTAAAAATCAGCTCCTGCTAATGAGGTCTATTTCAATTAGACTCTCCTCCTGAAATGAATGTTTGGAGAAAGGATGGGTTAGGAAATAATTTTTGTTAACTTTTGAGGCCAGACTCTGTGGCTCACACCTGTGATCCTACCACTTTGTGAGGCCGAGGCAGGCTGATCACCTAAGGTCAGGAGTTCAAGACCAGCTGGCCAACATGGTGAAACGCCACCTCTACTAAAAATACAAAAATTAGCCAGGCGTGGTGGTGTGCGCCTGTAGTCCCAGCTACTCAGGAGGCTGAGGCAGGAGAATTGCTTGACCCTGGGAGGTGGAGGCTGCAGTGAGCCGAGATCACACCACTGCACTCCAGCCTGAGTGATGGAGTGAGACTCTGTCTCAAAAAAAATTTTTATTTTTCATTTTTGAAAGGCATTTTATTATCCTTTGTTCAGGTCTATAGAGGAAGAATCAAAGTTGGTGTCATATGTAATAGTTTAAAAATAAATTAAGTTGGCCAGGCATGGTTGCTCACGCCTGTAATCCCAGCACTTTCAGAGGCCAAGGCGAGTGGATCACCTGAGGTCCGAAATTCGAAACCAGCCTGGCCAAGATGGTGAAACCCCTTCTCTACTAAAAATACAAAAAATTAGCCAGGTGTGGTGGTGCGTGCCCGTAATCCCAGCTACTCGGGAGGCTGAGGCAGAGGAATCACTTGAACCTGGGAGGCAGAAGTTGCTGTGAGCCGAGATTGTGCCATTACACTCCAGCCTGGGTAACAATAGTGAAACTCTGTCTCAAAAAATAAATAAATTAATTAAGCTGTTCTAATCACCTATCCGGAATCATTTTCTTTTGGGACTATCACTGGAACTTTTTCCCGTGCTCATGAGTAATTCAGGAAGGCACATCGGAAGAGTGGGAGAAGTTGGGCTCCAATGTAAGTCTGGGGTCCTATCCTGATCTGTGTGTCTTTGTGAAAGTTAATTAACCTCTCTGAGGCAACATTATTTCACTTGAAAATGGGAATAACCATATTTAACCTCACATAGTATGAAGGTTAAACAAGAAATTATATATAAAAACTTGGTAGTGTCCAGCACAGAGCATGCTCTTGGAAAAATGTGAGTTTTCTCCACCTTCTCGTTGGCACTGTTAACTCAAAAAGTCTTGCCCGGGACTCCTAATGACTAGCTCCTTTGACTCTGCAGGTAACAGTCCTTCATAACCCCAGAAGAACAGCTGGCTGGGTAGTAGTCCCTACAGAGCAACTTTAGGGGATGCTGAGAATATAGGCACATAGAACCCACTGGATGCCACAACCCCCAAAGCAGGTCAGAATTAATTTCCAAAGGAGTCCATTGACTTCCATGCTATAAAGGAATCCAAGTCACATACTTATTGTAACTCTCACAAATAAAAAAATTCATTATTATTATTATTTTTTTAAGACGGTGTCTCGCTCTGTCGCTCAGGCTGGAATGCAATGGCCCAATCTTGGCTCACTGTAAGCTCCACCACCTGGGTTCACGCCATTCTCCTGTCTCAGCCTCCGAGTAGCTGGGACTACAGGCGCCTGCCACCACACCCAGCTAATTTTTTGTATTTTTAGTACAGACTGGGTTTCACTGTGTTAGCCAGGATGATCTCAAACTTCTGACCTTGTGATCTGCCCGCCTCGGCCTCCCAAAGTGCTGGGATTACAGGTGTGAGCCACCGCGCCTGGCCATTATTATTTTTTTGGGGGTGGGGGGACCGAGTTTCGCTCCTTACCCAGGCTGGAGTGTAATGGCGTGATCTCAGCTCACTGCAACCTCTGCCTCCAGGGTTCAAGTGATCACACCCAGCTAATTTCTTTTATTTTTAGTAGAGACAGGTTTTCACCATGTTGGCCAGGCTGGTCTCAAACTTCTGACCAGTTAATTTTTAGTAGAGATGGGGTTTTACCAGGTTGGCCAGGCTGGTCTCAAACTCCTGACCTCAGGTGATCCACCTGCCTGCCTCAGCCTCCCAAAGTGCTGGGATTACAGGTGTGAGCCACAGTGGTCGGCAAAAAATTTCATTACTAAAAAACACGTGTCAATTCCCTTTTTTTCCCTATACCAACAAATGTAGTACATGGGGCTGTGCTAGGTCCAAAACAAAACAAAACAAAACAAAACAAAAAAAACCTCCCAAGCAGATCTCTTAAAACACTATTCTGGCTGGGCGCGGTGGCTCACGCCTGTAATCCCAGCACTCTGGGAGGCCGAGGCAGGCGGATCACCAGGTCAGGAGCTGGAGACCAGCCTGGCCAATATGGTGAAACCCCATCTCTACTAAAAATATAAAAATTAGCCAGGCATGGTGGTACACGCCTGTAGTCCCAGCTACTTGGGAGGCTGAGACAGAATGGCTTGAACCCGGGAGGCGGAGGTTGCAGTAAGCTGAGATTGCACCACTGCACTACAGCCTAGGTGACAGAGGAAGACTCTGTCTCAAAAAAAAAAAAAAACAAAAAAACCAACCAACCAAACAAACAAAAACAATAGTCTACACCCCAGAGCCAGGCCCATCTGGCCTTACCTGTTCAAAGCCGGGCTCATTGTGATAGGGGTTCTCAGTCATCAGGGACTGGATAGAGATGAGCACTGAGGAGATGCTCTGGGCTGGGCTCCAGGCAGGTCCAGTCCATGTACTGTAAACACATCAGAAGGAATGGAGGGTGAGGCAGAGAAAGAATAGGGAACAAGTACCCTGGGGCCCGGCAACACCACCATAAGTGACTCACCATAAGTTTCTCTTTCACTATTAATACTCTGGAATTTCCCAGCCTCTGTCTCATGCTCATGTTCTGATTTCACCAGAAATCAGTCAATTGCCTAATCCTCAAATCAAGGGGGGGGGGCAAAAGAACAGGTAATAGCAAGCTATGTAACTTTGAAGGGATTTTCTTTGTACTAGAAACAGTTACGACAATCAAAACAAAAGAAATTAGGTAAGCAATTAGCTCCAAAGTTGTCTAAATGTTAATCTCCGTGGATCTCAAAGAGCTTGTTTATGGGTGGTGATGGAGTTAGTGAGGGGAGAGGGAAGTTGAGCATAAAGGGACACAGGTGACTGAAGCCATCTGGTTAGAGGCCATGTGGTGGGGCTATTGGGGATCCAGTTCTGTATCAAACCCCCAAGGAGTGTCAAATTCTCTTAAGACTACACAACTCTTCCAAAGAACAGGAAGAGAATAAGGGGTGCTTCCAGACAGTGGAAGGTCTGAAAATAATATATGGAAAACGTCAAATACCAAAATTGCTCCTCTCTTTCATAAACCCAACCAAGTATTAGGGGGAGGGGACAGCTTGGATGTTAATGACATTTATTTTTAGCTCAATTAATTGAAGAGATGGCACCGGAGCTGGAAGCCGAACACAACCTAAGCCAGGACTGGCTTGTTCAAGTTGACTGCCTGCTTCTGTTTCCCTGCTGTACTTGAGGAAAGCCCAAGTCAGTAATGCCTAATAGTAACTTCACTGGGGACTGCTCTTAAGTGCCTCTATCTTTTCAGCTTTGCTCCCCCAGGAACTCTAGACCTACTGCTCTCTGAAGCTTTACAACAGAGTCAACTCTCGTTAAATTTCTTTTGTCAGTAAGTCAGCCCAACATTGTTTTCTAGGTAAAGAGGAAAAAAAAAACATGGCTGATAAAGCTAATACAGTCAACTAGGAACACCTAAGAATTTTCTTTTCTTTCTTTTTTGAGACAAAGTCTCCCTCTGTCACCCAGGCTGGAGTGCAGTGGCGTGATCTTGGCTCACTGCAACCTCTGCCTCCCAGGTTCAAGCAATTCTTGTGCCTCAGCCTCCCGAGTAGCTGGGACTAGAGGCATGCGCCACCATGCCTGGCTAATTTTTGTATTTTTAGTAGAGACGGGGTTTCGCCAGGCTAGGCTGGTCTCGAACTCCTGACCTCAGGTGATCCACCCGCCTCGGCCTCCCAAAGTGCTGGGATTACAGGTGTGAGCCACCGCACCCGGCTGAAATTTTCTACTCTGTGATTCTTTATGGCAAATTTTCAATTTCAGGGCAGCTTCTCCTTTTCTACCTAACACACTTCTACTACTTTTACCCCACTGTCCTGTGGCTGGTATCTCAAAAGAGTTTTATATTGACCCAATGAGGGAGAGCCTACTTTGAGACACGCTTTCGCGAACAAATTTCATACAGAAGCAACGACTAAATTTCTTTATCATCATGGGTTTTAGCCTACCAGCAAAGACAATTAATTAAGTACCCTAACGAGATGAAGTACTTCTTTAAGGACAACCTCCTTTAAAAGACTTCTTCACTGCCAAAATCACAGCAGAACATATCCCTGGGTCTGAGCAAGTCCTAGAAAAATGAATCATGTCTCTAAGTTTATTTCAAATGCTGCTCTTCCCTCACACAAACCTGGAAACATGTTGGATAGCAGGAAAACAGAATAATCAGTTTGGGGGTACTTTCTCAACTTCAACCTGCACGTGTTCTCTGTCCCAGAGAAGTTCAGACCACTATAAAAACACCAATCCAAAATATGCGAGAAGATGTCCACACTGAGTTTTCAGCCCCCAAAGGCAACTAAAATGGGAACTCTATGAAGCAAAACCTCAGAAGCATCCAGAAAGAAGATGCACTAGAAACTCATTTCATATCTAATGTGATTTCCAATCTCAGACATTTGTCATTATTAAAATATTATAATCAGGTCAGGCATGGAGGCTCATGCCTGTAACCCCAGTGCTTTGGGAGCCACAAGAGGACGACTGCTTGAGGACAAGAATTCAAGACCAGCCTGGGCAACATAGTGAGATACCTGCCTCTACCAACAAAACAAAACAAAACAAAAACAAACAAAACAAAACAAAAATGAAACCATAATGATCACCACCACCACCACCGCCACTGCCTTCAAAGCAACTTATTGCAAGACTCAAATTAAGACACCCCAAATCTTGAATGGCACAGACCTGCAGCCTTTCTCAACCTGTTCAGGAGAGAAAATAAGGCCTTAACACCCCAAGAGAGTGGTTCTGAAACTGCAGTATGCACCACAATCATCTGGAGAGCTTGTAAAAAACAGATTTCTGGGCCGGGCACGGTGGCTCATGCCTCTAATCCCAGCACTTTGGGAGGCCAAGGTGAGTGGATGATGAGGTCAAGAGATCGAGACCATCCTGGCCAACATGGTGAAACTCCGTCTCTACTAAAGATACAAAAATTAGCTAGGTGTGGTGGTGCACGCCTGTAGCCCCAGCTACTTGGGAGACTGAGGCAGGAGAATCGCTTGAATCTGGGAGGCAGAGGTTGCAGTGAGCCAAGATCGTGCCACTGCACTCCAGCCTGGCGACAGAGCAAGACTCCGTCTCAAAACAAACAAAAAACAACAACCAAAAAAACCAGATTTTTGGCCCCAACCCCAGAGTTTCTTTTGTAGGTCTAAGATAGGGCCCCAGAAACTGCTCGGCTACAAGTTCCCAGATGCTCAGGGCCACACTCTTAAGAGAACCACTTCTCAAAGGTTACCACTGTAATAAATTAACTTCTCCCCTCTGCATCTAGAATGATACTAGTCACATACCATCCTGAGGAGATTTGAGAAGAGTCACTCAATCATTTTCTGTGTTCTGTAGTTCAGATGAGGGACTCCGGTTGATAAAGGCTGACCTAGAGTAATTATCTGCTAACAACCGACTTGGCTACTTAAAAGTCTCCTCTTACCCTAGAATACTCAAGCAGACTTTCCCATTGCGGTAGAAGTTGGGGTTAAACCTCACTGTGTTATTGCCCGTTGTCATCAGTTTGACCCGAGGTGGGTGGATGGGATAGTCGGGCGGACACCGAAACACGAACAGGAAGAAACCCCCTTCATAAGGAGTGTCAAATGGGCCTGTGATCAATGCATGAATCTGCAAAATAAAACCCCATCTCAAAATTGTGAGGTGATGACCCACCCCAAGCCCTCCTGGCTACCCTCCACCTACTACCCACACCAGAAGCAGAGTCCATAATCTGGTACACATGTTCTATATCCTCACCATGCAGAAGGAACATCCTGTATTCACTCATACTAATACGTAGGTTTGGAATTTTAAGAAATCTCATTACAGTGGAATGACATCTTACTCAGGGGTTACTTCTAAAGTTAGAGCCCAAGGCGAAAACTGAATCTAGTCAAAATCACTCTTGAGTATCCCCTAAAACTCTCTTAAAGCATTTTTTTTTTTTGTGCAGACCTCCCTGATCAGTGTTACATATAATGGATAAAACACCACTGTGGAAAAATATAATATGCTTATCTATAAAATATAACCCTAGCGTTTTTAATTTTGAGAAATCGACACAGATTTTGACTGAATATATGTTTGGATTTGCCCAGGCCAAACATGCATATGATGCAACCCCACCCTACATTTATGTGGCACGAAGGGAAAGTATGATGAAAGGAGACGAAGAAAGGGATTGGAGGCCACAGCCCAGTGCCAGTAACACAGCAGGGTTAGGGGGTGTGATGGATGCCTAGGGTATCTGCTTGCTTCCTCTGCAGAGGATCAAACCTATTGTGGAGGATGTGGCTCAGGCAGCACATCATGACTGAAAATGGGGAAGACTCAGGGTCCACTCAGAGCCATTAGACCAGTCCCAGAACTTTCCCCAATACTGTTTAAAAAAAAAAAAAAAAAAAAAATCAGCCGTCCTGAAAACGACACTAAATTCTCTTCCCCCTCAAGCCATAATTCTTCAACAGGATTTCCCCCCCTGAAGGGAGGAAAACCTGAACTGACTCAGTTATATTTCTTCTTCCACAAAGGCTCCTAGGCATTTAGGTCTGCTAAGCATTTGAACAGCAAAAGGAAAGGGACGTGGCAATCCAATGCCTAAGTCTATAGTTCCCACCTTGCCCTCCTGGCAAGACCCTACGTCATATTCTGGCTCTCAGTCATTTGGAATAGTAAACTCAACTGGTCTCAACATGGCATCAACTCTGGGACCCCAGGTACTAGGCTATTAACACTGGTACTTGACTGAGGACGAGATGTCCTAGGAAAAACATTTCTAACTACATAAAAAAAAAATATGAAGGGAAATCTATTCAAAACAACAAAAAAAGATACACCAACAATACAAAATCTGAATTTTTACTGTAAGAAATTTACTGTAAGAAAACTATGTGTTTCACTTAAACAGCATTAGGTTTAGGAAATATGATTTCTTTCTAACATCAGTTTAAGTGCAACTGCACTTCTGTGGGTAGAGCATTCAGTGACAGAGAAACCTAGGTATCTATGCCAGAGAAATGTGACATTATGTATTAAGCTTTCTCTCTGAGAGGAGGACAAGAGAGGTATAGTCTTTGGGGTGGAAGGGATACTTAAACGCAACCAGTAAGGACAGGATCCTGAGCAAAGTCCTTTAACCACAAACACTTCAGTCAAGCTTGCCCTATTCCCAACCTTCCCTACATCTGATTTATAGTACCATAGCATAGTTAATGTCAAGAGTAACGGGATGGGGGAAGAGCTGGGTAGTACAATGGATAGGGTGACCATATAATTTATTATCCAAACAGGAGCATTTTTGAGAGTGAAAGAATGCCCTATAAATAGTCAAGCTGCGACAACAGACATGAACTGGGATTTTCCAAGCCAATCAGTACCTATGGGGTACACTAATAACAGACACCTCTTCAAAGTGCTGCTCCACCTCACTATGTGACCTTGGACAAGCCACTTACTCTCCTGGGGTCTTGATTTCTTCATCTGTGTAATCGGAGAGGTGAGCTGAATAATCTCTTTTAGGCTTTTGCAACCTTATGGCCCCCAATTTCCCAAAACCCCCCAAACCCCCATCAAGTTACATACCTTAGTCATGTCAACAGTATCAGGTACAACGAACATTCCTGGAGGAGGCTCCTTATAAATGGACATGATATCCCTGTATAACACCAAGAGGAGGTGGGGGAAGGAGTGAGGAAGAGGGGGAAAGGGGGAATCCCTTGAGCAGGACAGTTGTTATCACCTCAATGAGGCCAGGGTTTGAGAAAGTGGTGCTTGGTACCGCAAGTGTTTGTACTGTCTTGTTGGCTGAGAAATCTCAGCTGAGTACTTGTCAGGCAGGCAGAGAGCAAATTATTATCAAAAGGGCATTGTTTCCTCAGGGGGAGGGGAGGGAGAGAGGAAAAAAATCAGAGATCCCAATGGCATCAAATGTCAGCCTGGAAAAGCCACTTTCCACTTACTCTCACTTCCTCCCACATGGCAATTCATTCACTCCCCACCTCCATGATTCCCAGGTACTACGACTGAATGCTAAATGAAGATTTTTTAGTAACTGGAAAGGCATCATCAACTCCACTAAAAAACTAATTCTATAAACTATACAGTGGACCTTTATTGGTAAGGGGATTGTATGAAGCAAGCCAGCCAGCAGAGAGTAAGACTATCATGGTGGCCTTCTTGCCCAGGGGTGTCTCAGGGTAGAGATCTCTTCAGGCTGGGGAGGGATCCTCAGAAATTGCTAAGAATCTCCCATCTGGAAGATGACATGTGGACTTCCATAGGAGATAAGATTTCTGACTCATATCTCACCAACTGGAATGGATCAGTTGAGAGCAAGGGGCTAAAGAACATTCTAGGTGGCGAAAAGCCTAGGGACTTGCTAGGGTGGGTAGGGACATAAAAAGGGCAAATAGGCGACAAAGCAGAGGAAAGCATTGGCCAAACTCAAAGGTATGTCAGAATTGGATGACTGAAATGGCTGGAGGAGGAAAAGAGTTGAGTGCTGAGTTTCAGTTAGAGGTGGCAATCCCTCCACAGTTGACCTCCTGTGTCAGGCACTGTGCCAGGTACTTTACACACATTATATTAATTTTTATTACAACCTTGAAAAGTAGACACAGAGACATCTGAAAGGACGTGGAACATGGGGAATAAGAACTAAACGAAGATGCTTGTGATGGGGGCATGGGGAGAAGTCAAACAGGTTTCAGGATTAATAGCTAAAGAGCACTGCCCTTTTCTTATGCGATAGGTACTATTCTATGTGCTTCTGGAAAACATCATCTACTAAATGATAGGATCTAAGATCAGTCACCCAAGAAATAAGCACAGAAAGGACTTAGGCCTTTGTTCCTATATTTGATGAGTATATTTGCTTCATAGAAGTAAAACAGACGACCCGGGGAGGGTGGGGGGTGGGGGGAGGGAAATTACAAGAAAGAAGCTCCTGAGTGGGATATTACAATCCAGAGTGGCACTGGGGAATTGGGGGGAGGTAGCCTGTGTTTCTGGAAGAGGCGTAAGAGTGGACAGCTTTGGGACACTGGAAAAGGGGTTCAAGGAAAGATTGGGGCGAGGGAAGCGATCTAGACCTGGGAAAAGACTGTGTGGAGGGAATCTGAGAAAAACGGAGGATAAAAAGAAAGGTTGGCTCGAGTCAGAGGCATGGCAAAGGAAGCTGAGTTCGTCTGTGTTAGGAACGGGGCTCCAGAGGAGAAGAGAGGGGACCGATGGGTGGGGCCTGCGGGCAGCATCTAGCAAGGTTGGGGTGGGGAAGGGGAAATAGGGGCGGCGCCGAAGGCGGGAGGGGGCGTTACTGAAGCGCTAAAGGGTCGGGTTTCCACCCGGAGGTGGGAGGTGTGGGGGAGGGTGGCCGGAATGGAGACGGAGGGCTCACGGGAGGTTGTCGAGGGGCGGGGTCGGATCTGGGCACACGAGGCGGGGGTTGGTGCTTGCGGGTCTGAGGGTGGGGGGAGAAGGGAGTTGGATCCCGACGCCCGGAGCTGGCAAGATTTGGGCCGTGGAGGTGGGCCGCCGCGAGGGCAGCGCAGTGGGTGGGGGGTGAGTTGTAGTGGGAGAGGGTGGGGGGCGGGGAAGGTCGAGCCCCGGAGCTCGGGGCTGGGGGAGGAAAAACCCCGGCTCACCGCTTGATCCGGAGTAGACACTGCGGCGCGGTGCGCTCGCCGTCCCAGTCGGAGCTGAGCGTGGGGTCCCAGTGGCTAAGCAGCGCGGCCCCGTGGGCAGCGGCTGAGGGCGGGAGCCCGGGCAGCGGAGCCAGGCCGCTCCCCGGGCCCCCGGCCCCGCCCGCTGCCGCCGCCGCCGCCCACACATCCGGCAGGAAAGGCGGCCCGAACCCGCCGCCGCTGCCGCTAACGCCAACAACACCAGCAACGCTGCTCGCCCCGGGGCCCGCCGCCCCGGCGCCCGCCGTTGCCGCCTCCTCAGTCGGACTCTCCGCCATCGCTGCTTCGCTTCCGGGACTACTCGGCAGCACGTCCGCCGACCAGAGCGGCCGCTGCTCCCGCCCGCTCCCGCACCACCGAGAACCGGGCCAGAGTGTCCCCACCCCCTCCGCTTCCACAGCCCAGACGGTGCTGGCTCCGCCCACCCCCGCCCCAACCAGCGAGAGGCGCTCTGCAAGAGCGTCCACCTACGGTCCTCCAGGACGGGAGGGGTGGGAACTAGCAGGCCGTGATGGTTCTGGGCTCGTGTGGGTCCTGCGCTGTGCGGAAGTAGCGGAGAGCCCAATTCAAGTGTTGAAAGGGGAGAAGAGAGGAGGGAGTGGGGGAGGAAGGGCCATATCATTCCCGTTAATGGCGGCGACCCTCAGACGTCTGCATGGTTAGGATTGGGGATCCAGCATCCTCATGGGAAGCTCAGTAGAGAAGTTGACTCGCTTTGGGCCCCTTCTCTCGGAAAGGCTCTGCGATTGATCCCTCCTGCACACTTGTGCACCTAGGGCAGGGTACCATTGCCCTTGCCTGCAACAGGACCAAGAGAGAACTCAACTTGGAATGAAAAGCTACCTCTTTTAGAGTTTATTCAACATATATTTATGAAGGGCCTACTAAATGCCAGTCACTGTTGCTAGTTGTTGCCATGGGGATAATGAAACAGAACTAGAGAAGCTTGGTGAAAGGAAGAAACATCAGGCCTCCTGACTCCAAGCTTAGTACTTTTTCTTCCCACAAATCTTGGAATATACAGGAATCGAGGTACTGTGAGTGTAAACCCTGAGGATTCTTTGGGTCTTTCCTAAAATGTTTAAAGTGAAAAATAATCTGCCAGGCTCGGTGGCTCACGCCTGTAATCCCAGCACTTTGGGAGGCCGAGGTGGGCGAATCACGAGGTTAGGAGTTCGAGACCAGCCTAACATGGTGAAACCCCGCCTCTATTAAAAATACAAAAATTAGCCGGGCGTGGTGGCGTGCACCTGTAGTCCCAGCTACTCAGGAGGCTTAGGCAGGTGGATCACTTGAACCCGGGAGGCGGAGTTTGCAGTGAGTTGAGATCACGCCACTGCACTCCAGCCTGGGCGACAGAGCCAGACTCCGTCTCAAAAAAAAAAAAAAAAATTCCTATGGACTAAGAATGACAGGGGCCTTCCTAAAAAACTGTTTTTCCTTGCCGGGCGCGGTGGCTCATGCCTGTAATCCCAGCACTTTGGGAGGCTGAGGCGGGCGGATCACTAGGTCAGGAGATCAAGACCATCCTGGCTAACACTGTGAAACCCCGTCTCTACTAAAAATACAAAAAATTAGCCGGGCGTGGTGGCGGGCGCCTGTAGTCCCAGCTACTCGGAAGGCTGAGGCAGGAGAATGGCGTGAACCCGGGAGGCGGAGCTTGCAGTGGGCGGAGATCGTGCCACTGCACTCCAGCCTGGGCGACAGAGCAAGACTCCGTCTCAAAACAAAAACAAAAACTTTTTTCCCTAGCAAAAATATAGGATCAATATTAACTGGAAACCAGTGGGGCCAGATGTATTTCAGACTTTGGAATGACACACCAAGCAAGGAGTGGGGCAGCGCCGGGTAGCCAAACCTATTGACATTTCTGCATCAAAGTGTATGAACATTCGTACCAAGTCAAATGAATAGCCTCACTTTGGATGTTTTGCCACCAAGTTTGGTTTTTTAAAAAAGAAGTCTGGGCCGGGCACGGTGGCTCACGTCTGTAATCCCAACAATTTGGGAGGCCGAGGTGGGTGGATCACCTGAGGTAAGGAGTTCGAGACCAGCTTGACCAATATGGTGAAACCCCGTCTCTACTAAAAATACAAAAATTAGCCGGGTGTGTTGGCAGGCGCCTGTAGTCCCAACTACTCAGGAGGCTGAGACAGAAGAATCACTTGAACCCGGGAAGGAGAAGTTGCAGTGAGCCGAGACTGAGTCACTGCACTCCATCCTGGGTAAAAGAGTGAGACTCCGTCTCAAAAAAAAGAGTCTGGCTTTAGAGTTTTTTTGTTTTTTGTTTTTTGTTTTTAAAGAGGGAATCTTGCTCTTGTCACGCAGGCTGGAGTGCAATGGCGCAATCGTGGCTCACTGCAATCTCCGCCTCCTGGGTTCAAACAATTCTCCTGCCTCAGCCTCCCCAGTAGCTGAGATTACAAGCATGCCTCTATGCCTGGCTAATTTTTTGTATTTTTTTAGTAGAGGCGCCTCTACGCCTGGCTAATTTTTTGTATTTTTTTAGTAGAGGCGAGGTTTCACCATGTTGGCCAGGAAGGTCTCCAACTCCTTTTGGAGTTGGATCAAGTCATCCGCCCTTCTCGGTCTCCCAAAGTGCTGGGATTACAGAAGTCATCCACCCACCCCACCCTTCCTGCCTTTTAGAGTTTTATGAATTTACAGTAATGGAATGCAGACCTGAAGGATAATGACCAAGATTTATGGAGAGCTAAAGATTGATTTGTTTTGAGACAGGGTCTTGCTCTGTCACCCAGACTGGAGTGCAGTGATGGGATCACAACTCACTGCAACCTCTGCCTCAGCCCTCCAAGTAGCTGGGATTACAGACACGTGCCACGATGCCCGGCTAATTTTTGTATTTTTCTGTAGAAGCGAGGTTTCACCATGTTGCCCAGGTTGGTCTCGAACTTCTGGGCTCAAGCAGTCCTTCCGCCTTGGCCTCCTAAAGTGCTCGGGATTACAGGCGTCAGCCACCGTGCTTGGCCTAAAAAATTATTTTTTTAGCAGACATTTATTGAGTGTTTAATATGTGGCAGGCATTTTGTATACTTTGGCTTTATTCCTTTCAACACTCAGTGAAGTAGTAGGTACTATTATTTATTTATTTTTATTTTTTTTTTGGTTTGGAGTCTTGCTCTGTCGCCCAGGCTGGAGTGCAGTGGCGCGATCTCGGCTCACTGCAAGCTCCACCTCCAAGGTTTACACCATTCTCCTGCCCTAGCCTCCCAAGTAGCTGGACTACAGGCGCCCACCACCACGCCTGGCTAATTTTTTATATTTTTTGTAGAGATGGGGTTTCACTGTGTTAGCCAGGATGGTCTTGAACTCCTGACCTTATGATCCATCCGCCTTGGCCTCCCAAAGTGCTGGGATTACAGGCGTAAGCCACCGCACCTGGCCTTAGGTACTATTATTAATCTGGTCTGATAGATGGAAAAACAGACTTACAGAGGTTCAGTGAATTACATGGGGTCATGCTGAGAGCAAGTCGCATAATTGGGACTGTAAACCAAATCTGACTTCTGAGAACAAGTGCTAACCACTACGTGACACTCCCACACTTATATTTTACCTTGTACTAATTATGGTCCCTTGGTACCTGTTGCCCCCACCCCCCCCCCTTTTTTTTTTCTGTGAGAGGGAGTCTTGCTCTGTCACCCAGACTGGAGTGCGGTGGCCTGATCTCAGCTCACTGCAACCCTGCCTCCCAGTTTCAAGGGATTCTTGTGCCTCAGCCTCCTGAGTAGTTGGGACTACACCACGTCCGGCTAATTTTGTATTTTCAGTAATTCCTACCTCTCAAAGTTTCCCAGAGGATTAACTATGACATTTCCAGAAGTTTTTGTAAAGTGTGGGCCACCATGCCCAGCTGCTTTTTATATTTTTAATAGAGACTGGGTTTCGCCCTGTTGGCCATGCTGGTCTCGAACTCCTAATCTCAAGTGATCCACCCCACTCAGCCTCCCAAGTGCTGGGATTACAGGTATAAGCATCCCCATCCCCTCTTAACACACATACGCACACAACGTGTACACCCTTGGGGCTCTAGACAATGTATTATATGTGAATCCAGCACAGGGCATGGCACAGCTTAGGCGCAACATGAAATGAAATGAATCAATATAGTATTTTATGCAGATTTTGCGTTTTGTTGGTATAGTGTTTTATCAGCATAATAAAGATGCCAGAATATCTATAAAAGGATACACAAGGCCGGGAGTGGTGGCTCATCCTGTACTCCCAGTACTTTGGGAGGCTGAGGTGGATCACCTGAGGTCAGGAGTTCGAGACCAGCCTAGCCAACATGGTGAAACCTCGTCTAAACTAAAAATACAAAAATTAGCTGGTCATGGCAGCAGGCGCCTGTAATCCCAGCTACTCCTGCTGAGGCAGGAGAATTGCTTGAACTTGGGAGGCAGAGGTTGCAGTGAGCTGAGATCGTGTTGTTTCACTCCAACCTGGGCAACAGAGTGAGACTGTCTCAAAAAAAAAAAAAAAAAAAGAGGATACCCAAGAAAATGTTAACAGTGGTTGCCAGCTGGGTGCGGTGGCTCATGCCTGTAATCCCAGCACTTTGGGAGGCTGAAGTGGGTGGATCATGAGGTCAAGAGATCGAGACCATCCTGGCCAACATGGTGAAACCCCATCTCTACTAAAAATACAAAAATTAGCTGGGCGTGGTGGCACGCGCCTGTAGTCCCAGCAACTCGGGAGGCTGAAGCAGGAGAATTGCTTGAACCCGGGAGGTGGAGGTTGCAGTGAGCTGAGATTGCAAAGCGCATGCCTATAATCCCAGCACTTTGGGAGGCTGAGGTGCACGGATCACTTGAGGTCAGGAGTTTGAGACCAGCCTGGCCAACATGGTGAAACCCCATCTCTACTAAAAATACAAAAATTAGCTGGGCGTGGTGGTGGGCACCTGTAATCCCAGCTACTTGGGAGGCTGAGGCAGGAGAATCACTTGAGCCCGGGAGGTAACACGCCACTGCACTCCAGCCTGGGCAACAGAGGGAGACTATGTCTCAAAAAAAAAAAAAAAAAAAAAAAGGACTCCAGAATTTTGCTTGATTATTATTTATTCAGTAAGGTGGTCAAAGGTCAGTTTGCTTGGTAACCTCATACAAAGAAAAACACTATTCCATAGCTCCTCCATAGCTACAGAATACAAAGGCCCAGAGGTGGCCCATGGGGTGAGGGGATTCCTCAGTGTATCTCACCACTGGACCATTATTTTCAAGTACAAGGTCTGGTAGTGATGGGGCAATGAACAGAAAACCCTTACCTTAGATTTAGATGGAGGTTCAGGTTTTTAATCTGCATCTCTTACCTTCTTTGAAGCCTATTTTTGCAGCCTATATTTTGCAATATAGAATAGTGAAAATTCCTACCTCTCAAGGTTTCCCTGAGGATTAAGTGTGGCATTTCCAGAAGCTTTTGTAAAGTGGCAAGGACTGTACAAATAATTGGCATCTCACTTTCCAGTGTACCTTCTCCCCCCTCCAAGCCTTTGCCCATTTTTTCTACTTGGAATACTCTTTTTTTTTTTTTTTTGAGGTGGGATGGAGTTTCACTCTTGTTGCCCAGGATGGAGTGCAATAGTGCGATCTCAGCTCACTGCAACCTCTGCCTCCCGGGTTCAAGCGATTCTCCTGCCTCAGCCTCCCAAGTAGCTGGGATTACAGGCATATACCACCACTTCCGGCTAATTTTGTATTTTCAGTAGAGATGGGGTGTCTCCATGTTGGTCAGGCTGCTCTCGAACTCCTGGCCTCAGGTGATCCGCCCGCCTCGGCCTCCCAAAGTGCTGGGATTACAGGCATGAGCTACTGCTGCCCGCTGGAATACTCTTTACCTCTACCATATCCTAGGTAGGGAAATCCTAGTTGTTTAAGCTCTATGAACCTCTGCTCTTCATCAGCAAAATTGAGAAAATAATAGTAGCTACTAAGATCATGTGATAATGAATGTATACAATGCCTGGTCACTGGAAATGTTCAATAATTATTAACTCTTATTATTCTTACTCATTCTTCAAGGCTGGCTGGAATATTACTTTCTCTGCTAAACACTGACACTTCCAGGCATATTATTATTATTATTTTTAATTACTCCCTCCTCTGGTTCTCATGGCTGATTACTCATACCTTTATTATAACATGCACTACTTTTTATTTTAATGGCTTTTTACTCATCCCTCTGGCCACTAGATATGACCTCCTCCTGGGCAAGAAGCATGGGGGCACCTATCTTTCTATCACTTGGACCTGACATTCAGTGGGTGTTGCATAACTGGTGAGCAGAATGGAAATGAGAACACGGTAGCCAGCTGCCCTTCCCCTGGCTATAGATCTTACAGTTTTTATCTAAAAATATGTTTAGAGGCCAGATGCGGTGGCTCACGCCTGTAATCCCAGCACTTTGGGAGGCCGAGGTGGGTGGATCACTTGAGGTCAGGAGTTTGAGATCAGCCTGGCCAACATGGTGAAACCTCATCTCTACTAAAAATACAAAAATTAGTCGGGCGTGATGGTGTGTGCCTGTAATCCCAGCTACTTGGGAGGCTGAGGCAGGAGAATAGCTTGAACCCGGGAGGCAGAGGTTGCAGCAAGCAGAGATCGTACCATTGCACTCCAGCCTGGGCGACAGAGTGAGACTCAGTCTAAAAAAAAAAAGAAAAAGAAAAAAATATATATATGTATATATATGGAGACAAGGTCTCACTTTGTTGCCATATATATATATATATATATATATATGTATATATATGGAGACAAGGTCTCACTTTGTTGCCATATATATATATATATATATATATATGTATATATATGGAGACAATGTCTCACTTTGTTGCCATATATATATATATGTATATATATGGCGACAAGGTCTCACTTTGTTGCCATATATATATATATATGTATATATATGGAGACAATGTCTCACTTTGTTGCCATATATATATATATATATATGGAGAGAGAGAGGGAGACGGGGGCGGGGGTGGGGGGGCGGGGGGAGGAGAGAGACAGACAGACAAGGTCTCACTTTGTTGCCCAGCTGGTCTTGAACTCCCGGCCTCAAATGACTGTCCCGCCTCAGCCTCCCAAAGTGTTGGGATTATAAGCATGAGCCACCATGCTTGGCAGCTATATATCTTAGCATTTACTTCCTCTGCCATGCTTATTTTTTCTTCTTTTTTCCTCCAGTATCCTCATTTTAACAGTATTATACCTATTATATTTCCAAAAAGGCTGAGCCAAGCTTGCACAGAGAACCTGCAAGTCAGGGCCTGAAGGGCTGCAGGGGATGGCAGCTGCTTAAAGGACCAGTTAACTACCTCTGGGAGGCCTCTAAGCTGGGGGAGAGAGGAAGGGCCAGACAGAGGGAGCAGAACATAAGCTGGTGCTTCTTAGTTCCGTGCTCACTTTTTCAAGGCCAACACTTAGCTGCTTTCCCCTGGCAGCTTGGGCAGAGGGCAAACATGTGCATCCTTGGAGCCACTTCCATACCCTCAGAGGTAATTGACACAACTGAGTGGAACTCAGGAACCTGGATCAAAGCCTCTCTCTCCTTAGCACTGACTACAGTGCATTGGGCTGTCTCTTGGTGCAACAAGGTTTGGTAGCACGTCGCTCGTGGCACCTAGGCAAGTGCCCTCCATCTGACAGGCATTAGCAAGTGTCCTGGGGTTCAGGTCTCTGCTGTGCCTCAATCCTCTGAGAAGATACACCATGAAGATCCTTCTCCTTCCCTTCCCTAAAATCCTGGGTCCTATGGCCCTCTGGAGTAGACCTCCAGGGCCCAGCCTTTTGTCTTGGTTAAATGCCAGGGATAAATGAAAAAGAATTCCCACCATGTCATAAACCTTACACTAAAGAGAATAATCAGAACTTGGACTAGATGTTTTGAAGCTTCTGATTGTAATATCTGTTTTTTTTTTTTTTTTTTTTGAGATGGTCTCTCGTATTGTCACCTGGGCTGGAGTGCAGTGGCGCGATCTTGGCCCACTGCAACCACCACCTCCTGGGTTCAAGCGATTCTCCTGCCTCAGCCTCCCGAGTAGTTGGGATTACAGGTGGCTGCCACCACGCCCAGCTAATTTTTTGTATTTGTAGTAGAGACGCGGTTTCACCATGTTGGCCAGGCTGGTCTCGAACTCCTGACCTCGTGATTCACCTACCTTGGCCTTCCAAAGTGCTGGGATTACAGACGTGAGCTACCGTGCCAGCCATGACATCTGTTTTTAATAATTTAATCTGTTATGTGTTATCCCGTTAATTCCCTCTCTTTGCCACCATTGCTGAACTCTTAAGGTGATGGTTGCTAATTGTTTTCTGCTCACTATTCCTCTGAGAATATAATGAATACAATGGGCCCTCTCCCAAGAACAATGCATTGCTGTATCCACTAAAAATATTTTACACTAAACAAAATGGTCTCATCTATGGACCAGTCCATAGACCCTAGATAAAGAACCTTAATGATAAAGTTCTGGGACTAACTAGCTTGGTAGGGGGTAAGGAAGCATTCTCCCCTGACTCTCCTGGACTCCGTGGGCCCACCAACCACATTCCCAATTCTGCTGACTTGAGTTTATAAATGCAGCCATTCCAAGGCTGTTTGGAGCCCTTCATGAAGGGAAATTCTTTTTAAATTTTTATTATTATTTTAAAAAAACAGAATATTTATTGCATGACTAATGGTTGAAAGTTTTTTTTTTTTTTTTTGAGATGGAGTGTCGCTCTGTTGCCCAGGCTGGAGTGCAGTGGCACGATCTTGGCTCACTGCAACCTCTGCCTCCTAGGTTCAAGCAATTCTCCTGCCTCAGCCTCCCGAGTAGCTGGGACTACAGGTATGTGCCACCATGACCAGCTAATTTTTTTTTGCATTTTTAGTAGAGACGGGGTTTCACCATGTCAGCCAGCATAGTCTTGATCTCTTGACCTTGTGATCCAGCCGCCTTGGCTCCCAAAGTGCTGGGATTACAGGGGTGAGCCACCGCACCCGGCCTATCGGTTGAAATTGTTAAGATGACTCGGATGCTGCAACAGCTGCCCTTTTGTGTTTAGGTGTTGTTTCTTCACGAAATCCATGCCTGAATCTGTGGTATACAGCTTTTAGGTGTCTCATTCGACCAGTCCCAGTGGCATTTCATCTTTGAGCCTTGGCACTCCAGTTATACTTCCTCTTGTGCTTGGCAGGGTAGCCACATTTGCCACAGGTCGACTTTTTTTTTTTTTTTGGAGATGGAGTCTCACTCTGTTGTCCAGGCTGGAGTGCAGTGGTGTGATCTTGGCTCACTGCAACCTCCACCTCCCAGGTTCAAGAAATTTTCTGCCTCAGCCTCCTGAGTAGCTGGGATTACAGGCGTCTGCCACTGTGGTCGGTTAATTTGTTTGTATTTTTAGTAGAGACGGGATTTCACCATGTTGGCCAGGCTGGTCTTGAACTCGTGACCTCATGTTCCCCCCCCCCCCCCCCGCCCCCGCCGCCCCAGCCTCCCAAAGTGCTGGGATTACAGGCGTAAGCCACCGCGCCTGGCCCGCCACAGGTCGACTTCTGAAGGTGGTAGGCCTTAGAGCCATATTGGTGGCACAACCTGTGTGTCTTATTGCAACGCTTGCCAAACGTTGACGTTCCCTTCGTCTTGCTTCTGCAGCCGAGACCAAAGAGCAGGAAATTCTTTTTTTTTTTTTTTTTTTTTTTTTTGAGACGGAGTCTCGCTCTGTCGCCCAGGCTGGAGTGCAGTGGCGGGATCTCGGCTCACTGCAAGCTCCGCCTCCCGGGTTCACGCCATTCTCCTGCCTCAGCCTCCCAAGTAGCTGGGACTACAGGCGCCCGCCACTACGCCCGGCTAATTTTTTGTATTTTTTAGTAGAGACGGGGTTTCACCGTTTTAGCCGGGATGGTCTCGATCTCCTGACCTCGTGATCCGCCCGCCTCGGCCTCCCAAAGTGCTGGGATTACAGGCGTGAGCCACCGCGCCCGGCCGAGCAGGAAATTCTTACCAGCCTCTTGGCAAAAACTGGATTCCTGGAATTTCACAGGAAAGATAGAGCAACCACCTTCCCTGGGGGCTGCTTCTTGATTGCCACTGGAGGTGGTAGGAAGTGACCTGGTAGGAAGCCAGCTGTGCCATTCTGTTTGTGTAACAGCATTACCAGTTAATCCATTGCTCTCTTGGTGAAACATCAGTCACCAGTTTAACCTCAGTTCCATTTCCTATTCAGCCGTGAGATTCCTGGGCTTTGCTTCTGGTTGTCACTGGCTTGTTGTGGGCAAACTTGAGGGAGTTTCTTAAGGTGAAAAGGCTGAGGAGATGCAGCAGATTGTGGTAGACCAGTAGCTCTCAACTGGGCATGATTTTGCCCCCCAGCCAGGGGGCATTTGTCAACATTCTGACATTTGGCAATTTGTCGTCACAACTTGGGTGGGGATGTCAGTTGCTACTGACATTGAACGGGTAGAGGTTAGGGATGCCGCTAAACATACACTACACGAGGGAGTCCCCTCCACAACAATGAATTACCTGGCCCCAGATATGCCAAGGTCAAGAAATCCTGGGGTAGAAACGCCATGATTGTATAAATGTCAGACTGGGATTCGAATCATTGGCATGCTCTATGACCTTGGGCAAGTCACCACACTTGTGCAAACCTCAGATGAGTCAGCACAAAGCTAAGAACACAGGTTCTGGAGTTTGAATCCCAGCTTTACTAACCAGCTGTGGTTTAGTAGAATTTAGGCAGAATGCCTCACCTCTCTGAGCCTCTTCATTTGCTTACTTACCTGTAAACTGACTTATTCTATAGGGATGTTGGAAGTTAATCGTGGAAAGTGCTTAGCATTGTGCATGACACACAGGTGCTCAAATGTTAGCCCACATTATTATAACTCACACCAGCCTCCTTTTTCCTCTGGGAACTTCTATAGCACATAGCTCATGTACCCACATATACAATGAGGTAGGGCATGGTGTACTTATTTCTACTCTGTTGGTGCCCCAAACTCCTTGAGGGCAAGGACATTAGAATTAGATTTCTTTGCTTCCCCTAAGGTCCCTAGGAAGATGCTTAAATACCTACATGACTGTCTTTAAATTGCACGTAAATGGAATCCAAATTTTCTGTATGTTTTAACCCTCTTTGCTAGTTGCCTTTCAGTTAGAAGGTGTTCTTAACACCAATTAGATATTTTCTTGGTTTCACTATTTCACATTTTGCAGTTGAGGTATAAAGTTTTCACAGAATGGATCCCACTTTACGTTACTACTCCTTTTGAAGCCATCCAATTTGAGACAGACCACGTTCCCAGCATCTTTGCATGAGTTCTCTGTCCATGGCTTGCTCCTGCAAGGACTTAGAGAAGCAGCAACTGTTGATATGTCAACTTAGCTAATTTTACATGGGTTATCAGTCCCACTTTAGCCAAGAGGGGCAAGACTGGTGGGCATAGACTTTGAGAACCCAAGGAAGATGCTGGACGAAGCTCTTTATGGAATTCATTATTTGGCACACGCCCCCAAATCATCTTTTTTTTTTTTTTTTTGAGACGGAGTTTTGCTCTTGTTGCCCAGGCTGGAGTGCAATGGCATGATCTCGGCTCACCACAACCTCCGCCTCCTGGGTTCAAGTGATTCTCCTGCCTCAGCCTCCCAAGTAGCTGGGATTACAGGCATGCGCCACCATGCCTGGTTAACTTTGTATTTTTAGTAGAGACTGGGTTTCTCCATGTTGTTCAGGCTGGTCTCGAACTCCTGACCTCAGGTGATCCGCCGGCCTCAGCCTCCCAAAGTGCTGGGATTACAGGCGTGAGCCACCATGCCTGGCTCCAGATAGTCTTTTATCCTAGCAAAACTAAGGTGATAAATTCTCCAAGAACCAGGATTGTGTACTTTATCTGCTTTAAGAACATTTAGATACTCTGAGAAAGGCTAATTGATAGTGAAAATGAAACCTACAAATGGGGCTAAACACAGGCAGATAGAAGCCTACCTCTACCTTTCACCTGCTATACAACTTCTTTGGGACTAAGTTTCCCTTTCTGTGCCACATTAATTGTTGTGTGACCAGAATGAAAATAGATGGGACAAAAAAAAAAAAAAAAGAAAATAGATAGGACAACAGTGCAGTTAAGGTTTAAGCTGGCCTGGGGGAGAAATCCCCAATCTGCCACTTACTAGCTCTGTGATACTGGATAAGTTATTTTGCTTCCCCAAACCCTGGGTCTGTCATTGGCAAAACAGTTTTAAAGTTGTGCTTATAACTCTTAGGGTTGTTGAGATAACGAATGTAAAATGCTTGGTGTAAATTAAGCCCTTCAAAAATGTAACCTATTAATATGCAGTTGTTACAGTTATCCTTTGGTATCTGTGGGAGATTGGCTCCAGGACCCCAGTGGATACCACAGATGCTCAAGTCCCTTATATAAAATGGTGTAGTATTTGCATATAACCTATGCACATCCTCCCATATACTTTAAATCATCTCTAGATTACTTACAATACCTAAATACTAGGTAAATGCTATATAAATAATGGCTATACTGTATTGTTTAGGGAATAATGACAAGAAAAAAAAAGCCTGTACTTGTGCAGTACAGACACAACCATTCACTTTTTTCCCTGAATATTTTCTGTCTACTGTTAGTTGAATCCACAAATATGGAACCTATGGATACAGATGGCCAACTGTAATAAATCTGAAGGGAAAAGGCAAAAATCTCATTACTCAGACAAACCCATATTCCTCCTGGGAGAACATGAGAACCCTCTGTTCTTACAGTCATGGCAGTGCTCCTTCTCAGCCCTGAGGAGTTCCCATCACCCATGGCTGAGCAAATTCCCTCTCCTCACCCTTCTACCAAGGCCCTCCTGAAGGTCAAAGGACAGAGGCACAGACAGGGGTTTAGAGAAACGTTGTGTTTAATGGTAAAGCTTAACACACCCCAGCACCAAGAATGGTGTGGAGTTGCAGTAGCAACAGGCCGGTGACCCCCCCATGGAGCCTCACATGGCGAAGAGGATGAGGAAGGCGACCATCAAACAGAAAAGCCCCATGGCCTCAGACAGGGCAAAGCCAAGAATGGCATAGGAGAAGAGCTGCTGCTTGAGAGACGGGTTCCTGGGAGGGACAGAGATCATTGCCAGTTGAGGGAGAGGAAGGGGTGAGGGGAGGGGAGGACACAGGAGGGTGAGGTGAATGGGGACTGTTACTCCTGGGAGAGGGCCTAGCCTGCACAGATCCTGGGGATTTGGATGGACAAGCAGAGTGGGCCAACCTGGTAAGTTTAAGTGAGCCAGGCTGGATGCATGTTTTCTCTGGAGAAACTATGATGTAGATGAAATCAACCTGAAGGCTCCTGAAGGGAGCTCCTCCAGCTGAGGCTTCCCCAAACGGGGTGGAATTTACAGTGGGAGATGCTGTAGACCACCCAAACTTACCTGGCATAGCCAATGATCAAGCTGCCAAACACGGTTCCAATGCCAGCCCCTGAACCAGCCACACCAACTGTGGCTGCCCCAGCACCAATAAACTTGGCTGCTGTGTCAATGTCCCGGGAGACAACACTGGTCTGGAACTCCCGTCTGGCCACCTGGAGTGGGAAGTTGCTGTAGGAAGGCTAGAAAGAGAAGCAAGGCAGGCGAGATAGCAGAGAGATAGTATGGCATAAGGACAGGTGGCTGACTCTACCTCCTTCACCCCACCCACCTGAGCTCTGAAACTGTTGGCAAACTGCCTGGTAAATGCAGAATACTCTGATTGCAGAGTATGCTGGGAATTAGTCTTAGAGTCTGTTGTCAGACAGCAGACAGGACTAGGGAAATTTCATGGGTTAGGCACACCTCACTTTTATAAGTTTCTTACCTACAAGGCTTACCTTGGGGGACTTAGAACTATTAAAGCATACAGATTCTCCAACTCTCCTCCCACTTTGGTCTAAAGGCAACTTAAGCTGAAGGACCCCTGTCTGGGAACATTCCTTGATTTAAAAAAAATTAATTAATGGGTTTTTATGAGTCAGGGTCTTGCTCTGTCACCCAGTCTGGAGTGCAGTGGCATAGTCACAGCAGTCTCGACCTCTGGGATTAACCAATCCTCTCATCTCAGCCCTGGAGTAACTGGGACTACAGCCACATGCCACCACACATGGCTAATTTTTTTATTTTTTTTGTAGAGATGGGGTTTCACTGTGTTGCCCAGGCTGGTCTTGAACAACTGGGCTCAAGTGATCCTCTCGCCTCAGCCTCTCAAAGAGCTGGGATTACAGGTGTGAGCCACCATCCTGGGCCTTGGGAACATTCCTAAGAGAGCTATTCCTCCCTTACCTGTTTAGATGAATTCACTGGGCTATTCAAGAAGGAGGCAGACACAGGCCTGATTAGACCCCTGGTACAACAGCGGATCTGTAAAATCAGAAAGCCACATCCTACCAAATCAGTCAAGGAAAAAAAATCCTAATTGCTGAGCTGTCAAAAATGACTACAGATTTCATAAACAGAATAAGTTCAATGTATTTCAAGGTCAATTTATTCCTGTTCCTATCAGATAGGCCTGCCCCAGAGACAGCTGTCTCAATAGCTTGATATAGTCAGCAGTGGCAACCTTCACCATTCAAAACCAAACCAAAGTTCACTTCTTTGGGCACAGCTTTAATCAGCTTCTCAGAATGGAACAAGAACCCACACTAATACCAAAGCAGGTACAGGAAAGGTTTATACCCAGATCACCAAGTAATCAGATGGGGGAAATTTTATTCTGCTAAAATACACTCACAGCTACACACCCTAAATGGAGTGGGCCAGTCAGCCCCGGAAACCGACTGGAATAGCCATCCAAGGAGAGCCATCTGTAACATGGCTTTTTTGAAATAATTTTTAGTGCAGTGGTTCTCAAACTTGGCTGCACGGTGGAATCATCTGGAGAAGTCTTAAAAGATACAGATGCCTGGGTTCCACCCCCATTCCCAAAGTCTGATGCAAATGGTCTAAGGTGCAGCCTAGGCATCAGGATTTTAAAAAGTTCCCTGGATGATTCTAACGTGCAGCCACTGTTGAAAACCACTGTTTTAGTGGGCTGTCTCTATGGCCAGGACAGACTGGGGATAAAAATCAAATCCAGACTCTCTGACCACATTCCAAAGCCAAGATAGCTTGGTTCACAGGCCCAGATAAACAGGGGTTACCTTCATCACATCCTACAGCCACCTCAAAGAGCCTACATCATCAGGACGCCAAGCTCCCCTGGGTTCATTCATTAAACACTGATGGCGTCCACACCATACACCTGGTACTACAGAGCACTGCGGCGCGGCACCTTACCAGAGCTGGAGAAATGAATAATGCCCCGGCGGTCTGCATTTTTTCAGTCTGCAGAGGGGGAAAAAATAGTAATAATAATCCCACTGAGACCCTGGTTGTTTGCTTATAATGACGACCTTTGGTCGTCCCCTTCACCCCCGTCCGTCCTCCCTAGACCACGCTCTTCCTTGCACCGTGCCCCAGCTGAGGAGGGCATTAGAGGTCAGAGGGACAGAGCAGTGGGTCTTCAAAGCAAAGTCATGGAGATCGGAAGTCAAGGAAATGTGCCCAAGCCCCAGGAAGGAAATGTTGCGAAAGGGAATGGTCTCTCGGGAAGACTGGAGGCGGATACTGGGCAGGTGTCGCGCAGGATCCTGCCCATCTTACACAGCAGTCCCCGACCCGCCCCAGCCGAGGCAGTCAATCGTTCATTACCGTTGGTAATTAACATTCATTGATAAGGCCATATCTAGATTGCCATAGCCTCTCCCAGCACTGGGGGGAAATACCCCTCCACACTGCCCAGCCCACAACCCTGCCTATTGCTGGCTCCCGGCCCCAAGTCACCTGCACTCCTACTACCCTGCAACCCCTGCTTGGCCCACAGCGCTCGCCCGGCTCAAGGTGACAGACTCACCTCCCAGCTTTAGCCCTTGGTCTCAGCGCTCAGCTTCCCCCACCCACGTGTCCTGGACCTTCTCCATTCTCATTGGCCGTAATATCCCCGCGTCCCCATTGGTTGACGTCATCGATTCCCCACTCTTATTGGCTTTCCGCAGCTGCTTCCTCTCCCTCCACAGGAGCTTCGTGGCAATTCCCGCCTCCATGCGGATAGAGGCGGGGCTTTCCTACGAGATCTGGATTACGATTGGCCGATCCCTGAAACGCTCGACCATAGAGTTGGCGGGACTCAGAGGTTCCATAACCTCGCGCACAAGATGGCGACCAAGGTGTACGCTGAAGAAAAAGGCGTGGGAGAGATGACGGGACGTGTGACGCAGTCAGACACATGACTTTGGCCCCGAGCCTTCATTCGGGCGCTTGGGCCACGGGGCGCGTTGCATGTTGGGATTGGTAGTTGCGCTGAGGGGGGGGGCCCAAGGACAGCTGAGATCCCGCGAGATATTCTAGGCCGGGAGAGCCGATGCCTTTGCAGTAATTCCCACCGTGGAGGTTTGTGGAAAGACCGCTTTCCATGGAGAGTAAAGGCCGGCTGGAAAGTCCCCAAGCGGTGAGCGCAGTTTTGTGGACCTCAGCCGGTGTTCAGCAGTCATGGACTATCATCCAGATGGCTTTCTAAAACATTTGTTGGGCCGGGTGCAGTGGCTCACGCCTGTAATCCCAGCACTTTGGGAGGCCGAGGCGGGCGGATCACCTGAGGTCAGGAGTTCGAGATCAGCCTGACCAGCATGGTGAAACCCCGTCTCTACTAAGAATACAAAAATTAGCCGGGCATGGTGGTGGCGCGTGCCTGTAATCCCAGCTACTTGGGAGGCTGAGGCAGGAGAATCGCTTGAACCCGGGAGGCCGAGGTTGCAGGGAGCCGAGATCGCGCCACTGCACTCCAGCCTGGGCAACTGAGCAGGATTCCGTCTCGGGGGAAAAAACAAACAAAAAAATTGTTTATTTTGTAAAAACAACACTGAAAGAATGAAATAATATCCCTATAGAAAAACGAGCAAAGGATAGGAACAGGCAATTCAGTAAGGAAGAAATATGAATTGCAGGAACGAATGTCAGCCTTCCTAATCAAAGAAATATAAGTTTAAACGCTCCGCTTAGTACTGCTCAAAACAGCAGAGTTCTTTTTATTAATGTGAGCCACACGCTCTCCTATATTGCTGGTGAGAGGATGAATTAGAAAACCTTCCTTGAAAGCAGTTTGGCAATATTTATTTTTATTCAAAGGCTGTGAATGGGCCATCCTCTTTGACCCAGTAATTCTTGAGTAACTAAGAGCCTTTAAGCTCTCCATCCACTTTTCATCCAGTAATATCACTTCTAGGAATTTATTTTGAAGAATCAGAAATGCAGATTCTTTTAAAAAGATGTGCATTTGCAGAGTTTGTCGAAATTGGAAACAAGTAAATGTTCCACTGACAGTAAAAGGTGAAATAAGTTATGATATTTTCACTTGATGAAATAAGCAGAAATAAAACAGGAAATAAAATCATGTGTTTTTTTTGAGACGGAGTCTCGCTCTGTTGCCAAGCTGGAGTGCAGCGGCGCTATCTCGGCTCACTGCAAGCTCCGCCTCCCGGGTTCACGCCATTCTCCTGCCTCAGCCTCCGGAGTAGCTGGGACTATAGGCGCCCGCCACCACGCCCGGCTAATTTTTTGTATTTTTAGTAGAGACGGGGTTTCACCGTGTTAGCCGGGATGGTCTCGATCTCCTGACCTCGTGATCCGCCCGCCTCAGCCTCCCAAAGTGTTGGGATTACAGGCGTGAGCCAGCGCGCCCGGCCATGTTTTTGAAGAATATTTTATTTTTATTATTATTATTTTTTGAGACGGAGTCTCACTCTGTTTCACACACTGTAGTGCGGTGGTGCGGTCTCTGCTCACTGCAACCTTTGCCTCCCCGGTTCAAGCAATTCTCCTGCCTCAGCCTCCCAAGTAGCTGGGATTACAGGCGCGCACCACCATGCCCGGCTAATTTTTGTATTTTTAGTAGAGAAGGGGTTTCACCATGTTGGTCAGGCTGGTCTTGAATTCCTGACCTCAAGTGATCTGCTCGCCTTGGCCTTCTAAAGTGCTGGGATTGCAGGCATGAGCCACTGCGCCTGGCCTTGAAGAAGATTTTATATTGAGAAATATTTTATAATGCAAAACTATGCATAGAATTGTGAAAAAATATGCATGGAAAAAGAATGAAAAAAATGTTGAAAATTAATAGTGAATTCTAGAGGGTGTAATAAATTGATTTATATTTTTATGAGTATGGGTACTTTATAATAGAAACATATTTTAAAAATTACACTAATCTGGCAATTCACAAGTCTGGACTCTTAAGAAAACTTTTTTTTTTTTAATAATTTTTTTGTTTTTAGAAACAGGGTCTCACTCTGTTGCCCAGGCTGGAGTGCAGTGGTGCAATCATCCCTCACTATTATAGCCTTAATCTCCTGGGCTCAAGTAACCCTCCCTCCTCACTCTCCCAAGTATCTAGGACTACAGGTGGGATCTTGCTATGTTGTCCAGGCTGGTCTCAAACTCCTGGCCTCAAGGATCCTCCCACTTCAGCCTCTGGAAGTGTTGGGATTACAGATGTGAGCTACCTGCACCTGGCCAGAAAAACATTTTCTTTTCTTTTCTTTTCTTTTCTTTTCTTTTTGAGATAGAGTCTTGCTCTGTCACCCAGGCTGGAGTGCAATGACGTGATTTCGGCTTACTGCAACCTCTGCCTCCCGGGTTCAAGCAATTCTCTGCCTCAGCCTCCTGAGTAGCTGGGATTACAGGTGCGCACCACTATGCCTGGCTAATTTTTTTGTATCTTTAGTAGAGATGGGGTTTCACTCTGTTGGCCAGGCTGGTCTTGAACTCCTGACCTCGTGATCTGCCCGCCTTGGCCTCCCAAAGTGCTGGGATTACAGGCATGAACCACCGTGCCCAGCACATTTTCTTTTTTTTTCTTTTTTCTTTTTTTGTGAGACTGAGTGTCACTCTTTCGCCCAGACTGGAGTGCAGTGGCGAGATCTCGGCTCACTGCAACCTCCGCCTCCTGGGTTCAAGCCATTCTCCTGCCTCAGCTTCCCGAGTAGCTGAGACCGCAGCGTGCGGGCCACCACGCCCAGCTAATTTAAAAATTTTTTTTTTTAGTAGAGACAAGGTTTCACCATGTTGGCCAGGCTGGTCTCGAACTCCTGACCTCAGGTGATCCACCTGCCTCAGCCTCCCAAAGTGCTGGGATTACAGGCGTGAGCCACTGTGCTGGGCCAGCACATTTTCATATCATGTGGAGATTTAAAATATCCTGCTAGCATGGTATAATTGAAAGTGTGTGGGAGGCCAAGGTGGGCAGATCATTTGAGCCCAGGAATTGGAGACCAGCCTGGGCAACATAGCGAAACCTCATCTCTCCAAAAAAAAAAAAAAAAAAAAAAAATTAGCTCGGTGTGATGGCAGGTACCTGTAGTCCCAGCTACTCAGGGGGCTGAAGTGGGAGGATCACTTGAGCTCAGGAGGTCAAGGCTTCAGTGAACTCTGATTGCACCACTGCACTGGCCTGGGCAACAAAGCGAGACCGTATCTCAAAAACAACAACGACAACAACAACAACAAAAAGGAGAGTGGAGTTTTGAGCTCACTACCATGGCTACAACACATAACTGGTATCTTCTGAGCAGATTATCCAGTCTTTCTTTGTGTTAGTGTTATAAGCTATCATTTATCGATACCTCATTATATGACAAATACTGTGCTAGGTGCTTTGAACCCAGGTCTGTCTGGGTCCAAAGCAAAAGTTCTTTTTTTTTTTCTTTCTTTTTTTTTTTTTTTTTGAGACGGAGTCTCGCTCTGTCGCCCAGGCTGGAGTGCAGTGGCGCGATCTCGGCTCACCGCAAGCTCCGCCTCCCGGGTTCACGCCATTCTCCTGCCTCAGCCTCCCGAGTAGCTGGGACCACAGGCGCCCGCCACCACGCCCGGCTAATTTTTTTTGTATTTTTAGTAGAGACGGGGTTTCACCGTGTTAGCCAGGATGGTCTTGATCTCCTGACCTCGTGATCTGCCCGCCTCGGCCTCCCAAAGAGCTGGTGTTACAGGCTTGAGCCACTGCACCCGGCCTCTCTTTTTTGTTTGAGATGGAGTTTTGCTCTTGTTGCCAGGCTGGAGTGCAATGGCGCAATCTCGGCTCACTGCAACCTCCGCCTCCTGGGTTCAAGCAGTTCGCCTACCTCAGCCTCCCAAGTAGCTGGTATTACAGGTGCCTGCCACCACGCCTGCCTAATTTTTTTTTTTTTTTTTTTTGAGACAGAGTCTTGCTCTGTCACTAGGCTGGAGTGCAGTGGCGCAGTCTCAGTTCCCTGCAACCTCCACCTCCTGGGTTCAAGCGATTCTCCTGCCTCAGCTTCCCCAGTAGCTGGGATTACAGGCACCCACTACCACGCCCAGCTAATTTATAGATAGATAGATAGATAGATAGATAGATAGATAGATAGATAGATAGGTAGATAGATAAATAATTTTTTTTTGAGACGGAGTCTTGCTCTGTTGCCCAGGCTAGAGTGCAGTGGCGCGATCTCGGCTCACTGCAAGCTCCACCTCCTGGGTTCACGCCATTCTCCTGCCTCAGCCTCCCGAGTAGCTGGGACTACAGGCGCCTGCCACCATGTCCAGCTAATTTTTTTTTTTTTTTGTATTTTTAGTAGAGATGGGTTTCACCGTGTTGGCCAGGATGGTCTTGATCTCCTGACCTCGTGATCCACACGCCTCGGCCTCCCAAAGTGCTGGGATTACAGGCGTGAGCCACCGTGCCCAGCCTGCATTCCATTTTTTCAACAACTTAGACCTTCAGTCTATGGTTCTCAGTCATTATCTTTGCACTAACTTCCAAGTTCCTTCTCCCTCTCTTCTGATTTAAAAAATTAAAAAATGTGAGGCCAGCACAATGACTCACACCTGTAATCCCAGTACTTTGGGAGGCCTAGGTGGGAGGATTGCTTGAGGTTAGGAGTTTGAGACCAGCCTGGGTAACATAGTGAGACCCCATCTCTACAAAAAATTAGTGGGGCGTGGTGGTACAGGCCTGCAGTCCCAGCTATTTGGTAGGCTGAGGTGGGTGGATTGCTTGAGCCCAGGAGTTTGACGGTGCAGTGAACTATGATTTTGCCATTGCACTGAAGCCTGGACAACAGAGCGAGACCCTGTCTTTAAAAAAAAGTCAAATGGGCTGGGCGTGGTGGCTCACGCCTGTAATCCCAGCACTTTGGGAGGCCAAGGCAGGTGGATCATGAGGTCAGGAGTTTGAGACCAACCTTGCCAACATAGTGAAACTCTGTCTCTACTAAAAATATTTAAAAATTAGCCGGGCGTGGTGGCAGGCACCTGTAATCCTAGCTACCCGGGAGACTGAGGCAGGAGAATTGCTTGAACCCGGGAGGCAGAGGTTGCAGTGAGCTGAGATTGTGTCACTGCACACCAGCCCTAGTGACAGTGCAAAACTCCGTCTCAAAAAAAAAAACAGTCAAATGGTACAGCCTTTTTTTTTTTTTTTTTTTTGAGACAGGATTTTGCTCCTTCAACCAGGCAGGAGTGCAGTGGCACAATCATGGGTCACTGCAGCCTTGACCTTCCAGGCTCAGGCATTCCTCCCACCTCAGCCTCCTGAGTAACTGGGACCACAGGCATACACCATCACACCCAGTTTGTTAATTTTTTGGTAGAGACTGAGTCTCACTATCTTGCCCAGGCTGGTCTCACTACTCCTAGGATCAAGCAATTCTCCTGCCTTGGCCTCCCAAAGTGCTGAAATTATAGGTGTGAGCTACTGCACCCAGCCCAATCTATTTCTTTTATTTTCTTTCTTTCTTTTTCTTTTTTCTTTTCTTTTCTTTCTTTTTTTTGAGATGGAGTCTCACTCTGTTGCCAGGCTAGTGTGCAAGGGTGCGATCTCTGCTCACTGCAACCTCTGCCTCCTGGGTTCAAGCGATTCTCCTGCCTCAGCCTCCCGAGTAGCTGGAACTACAGGCATGCGCCACCATGCCCAGCTAATTTTTGTATTTTTAGTAGAGACGGGGTTTCACCATGTTGGCCAGTATGGTCTTCATCTCTTGACCTCGTGATCCGCCTGCCTCAGCCTCCCAAAGTGCTGGGATTACAGGCATGAGCCACCGCTCCCGGCCAGCCCAATCTATTTCTTTTCTTTCTTTCTTTTTTTTTTTTTTTGAGATGGAGTCTTGCTCTGTCGCCCAGGCTGGAGTGCAATGGTGCAACCTCAGCTCACTGCAACCTCCACCTCCCGGGTTCAAGCAATTCCAGTTCTGCTGCCTCAGCCTCCCGAGTAGCTGGGATTACAGGTGTCTGCCACCATGCCTGGCTAATTTTCGTATTTTTAGTAGAGATGGGGTTTCACCATCTTGGCCAGGCTGGTCTTGAACTCCTGACCTCGTGATCCACCTGCCTTGGCCTCCCAAAGTGCTGGGATTACAGGCATGAGCCACCGCGCCTGGCCTCCCAATTTATTTCTATAATCAGTTTTGCACCTGCCAGCATTTTAGTGACCAAGACATGTTAATCTAATTTTATTGGTTCATTGAATTTTTCGAACACAAAATATTCCTAAATATACACACATATGTAGTATCAATTTTAAGGTATATTTCCTTATATATTACTGACCATTACAATTTCCCAATTTTAATTGATTGGCAATACCTACTATTAATCACTACTCATATGCAATAGTGGGAGGAAAAAAAAAGAGACATTCACAATAGCTACCATTAAGAAAAGGGACACCTCCAAGGAAGCACCATACTTGGCCATTGGTCCAGGAGCTGTGTTGTGTCTTGCTGGACAAGGCTGTACAGGTAGATGATAGAAGCAGCCAATGACAGAACCAACAAAGTTCACAAGCCTCGTTTTTATGTAACTCACTTCCTGGACAGTGAGTTCTTTGGTCCCTATGGTCTACCTGTTTGGAAGACTTCCCTTGTATAACAAGCATCCTTCAGGAATGCTCCAAAGACAAGCAATGAGTAGGGTTTCCTGTTGGGAACTGTGCAGTTTGAGCCATCCACTTCCTACGATTGCGGGAATCTTTTGTATGTCTGTCTGGGGTTGTCTTCCTGCAACATTGGCTTTAAAAAAATCTCAGGCCTCGGTTGGCCAGCACTATGTATTGTTTCTTCCTGGTGCTACAATTCCTAAAACACCTGATGGCTTGAGCATTTCATTTAGCGGGAGTCACTGCTAAAAAACTCAAACCAGGAAGCTTGTCTTCTTTGAGAATTTCCAGGCCTGGTAAGGATTCAGAGCAAGGCTTGCTTGGGGGGGTTCTTTTCTTTCTTTCTTTTTTTTTTAGAGACGGGGTTTTGCCATGTTGGTCTCGAACTAACTCCTGGCCTCAAGAGATCCATGGGCCTCGGCCTCCCAAGGTGCCAGGATTACAGGCCACTGCGCCTGGCCCGGGGTGGGGGGTGCTTTCATCCATCCCAGTTCCTCTCCAGTTAAGGGCCTTAGCCCCAGGGTATGGATGGTGAATAATGGGGGTGGAGGTGTCTCATGGGAGCCTTTCTCCCCTAATCCACTTTTTTGTTTATTTGTTTTGAGACGGGAGTGTCTCACTCTGTCACCCAGGCTGGAGTGCAGTGACTGGATCTTGGCTCACTGCAACCTCCGCCTCCTGGGTCCAAGTGATTCTCCTGCCTCAGCCTCCCGAGTAGCTGAGATTACAGGCGTGCACCACAACGCCTGGCTGATTTTTATATTTTTAGTAGAGACGGGGTTTCACCATGTTGGCCGGGCTGGTCTCGAACTCCTGACCTCAAGTGATCCGCCCGCCTCGGCTTCCCAAAGTACCGCACCGGGCCTCTAATCCATTTTGGAAGGTTAGTCTTACATGGTTGTTGCATTCCACAACTATCGGTAGATTATCTTTAAAAAGGGAAGCAATTTCACATTTGTCCAGCAGAGGGAGCTCAGTGGGAGCTACTTTGGAGAGACCCGAGGTTTGGGTTTTTCTTTTCTTTTTCTTTTCTTTTCTTTTTTTTTTTTGAGATGGAGTTTCGCTCTGGTTTCCCAGGCTGGAATGCAGTGGCGCAATCTCAGCTCACCGCAACCTCTGCCTCCCAGGTTCAAGCGATTCTCCTGCCTCAGCCTCCCTAGGAGCTGGGACTACAGGCCCGCCACGCCCAGCTAATTTTGTATTTTTAGTAGAGACGGGGTTTCTCCATGTTGGTCAGGCTGGTCTCGAACTCCCAACATCAGGTGATCCTCCCGCCTCAGCCTGCCAAAGTGCCGGGATTACAGGCGTGAGCCACCGCTCCCAGCACCTAGTTTCTTTCATGTCTTGCTCAAATCTTGCCTTTTCGGTGAGACCTGCCTGATCTCCCTATTTAAGATTGCAATTGTCTCTTCCCTAGTCTCTATGAACTTCTTACCCATATCATTATTTGTTATGTTTACTACTGTATTTTTCATCTTTATTCTTTCTATAATTTAAGCTCCTTGAGGGCAGGGATCTTTGCCTGTTTTGTTCACTGTGCTTAGGATAGTACCTGGCATGGAGTAGGTGCTCGATTAGTAAATTATTGAATTAATGAATCAATACCCTTATTCCAACAGCTAAGATCTGGCCAGATGCAGTAGTTCACGCCTTTAATCCTACCACTTCGGGAGGCCAAAGCATGAGGATCACTTGATCTCAGGATTTTGAGACCATATTGGGCAACATAGCAAGACCTCATCTCTACTTAAAAAAAAAAAAAAAAAGCCGGGCCTCAGGAGGCTGAGGTGGGAGGATCGCTTGAGCCCAGGAGATCAAGGCTGCAGTGAGCTATTATCGTGCCACTGCACTCCGGCCTGAGCAGCTGAGTGAGACCCTGTCTGAAAACAAAAACAAAGAAAATATCTTGCAGTTTTCTTTCTCTTTTTTTTGAGATGGAGTCTCACTCTGTCACCCAGGCTGGAGTGCAGTGGCATGATCTCAGCTCACTGCAACCTCCGCCTCCCTGGTTCAAGCGATTCTTCTGTCTCAGCCTCGAGTAGCTGGGATTACAGGCACCCACCACCACGCCCGGCTAATTTTTGTATTTTTAGTAGAGACAGGGTTTCACCATGTTGGCCAGGCTGGTCTCGAACTTCTGACCTCAGGTGATCCGCCTGCCTCGGCCTCCCAAAGTGCTGGGATTACAGGGGTGAGCCCATGCGCCTGGTCAAGGGTTACTTCTTTTCTTCCCCCAAGAGTGTGACTTTCCAGAGCACCTCTGTTAGTTTGATTGCCTTACCAAGAACCATGTTTTCTTCTTCTTAATCACTCACCGGTTTGGGCCCGGTGTTCCTCCTCTGCGATGTTCTGTGTGTCAGCAACTCACACAGAGGCAGAGCCTGAAGCGAGTGCTGGCCATTCCGTTTCCTTGCTACTGACTGGTTAGTAAGCGTCATGTATCTTAGGCTGGGTTCACTAGAGCATAGCCTGAAACCGGGATGCTTGTGCAAGTGATTGATGGACAGACTGTTCTCCGGAGCAGGACATAAGGGAAGCGGGGGAAACGGGGAAAGGGGAAGTAAGGATCTGATCTCATTTGGAGATCAGATGCAGCCTGAGCCCATGGGGAGCTCCAGAGCATGAAATACTCCCCTCATGGAGCAAGGGGACAAGCTTTTGCCCTCTTGGAGGAAGATAGTGCCAATTCTGATACGTTTATTTTCTTCTGTTTTTTTTTTTTTATTTTTTATTTTTTTAGAGTTGGGGTCTTTCTCTATTGCCCAGGCTAGAGTGCAGTGGTGCAATCATAGCTCACTGCAGCCTGGAACTCCTGGCCTCAAGCGATCCTCCCACTTTGGCCTCTCAAAGTGTTGGGACTACAGGCGTAAGCCACTGCGCCTGGTCTATTTTGCACTCCCACCAGCCAACTATGAGAATACCTATTTCCCACACAGCCTTGCCACAGAGTGTATGGTTGAGCCTTTGAATTTCTGCCAATGTGATTAATGTAAAATAGTCTCATAGTGTGGTTTTAACTTGCATTTCTCTTCTAAGTGAAGTTCAGCATATTTTCACATATGTAAAGGCCATTTGTAGCCCTTTTTTGTGTGAGTAAACCATCACCTAATGCCTTTTGCCCACTTTTCTAACAGGAAAGGATTATTTTTAAAAAACATGCTGCATTAATTAAAGGTACATGGTAATCTGCTATAACAAAGAGGCACCAGAATCCAGGGGCTTAGGTAAGATAGATCCGAAAGAAGATCATTTATTTTTCATGTAGCAGTAAGAGGTGAGCAGCCCGGGGTTTTCAGAGTGACTCTGCCATCCTCAACATGTGGCTTCCATCTCTGTGGCTAAGGTGGCTACACCAGGTGTTACCACTTCTCAATCAGCAGGAAGGAGAAAAATGAAGAGCAAGCAACTTTCTTCCTTCTAAGCATGGGATCTAGAAGTTGCACAGCTCCCTACTGCTCACCTTCCATTGGCCAGAACTTAGTTTCATGGCCACAACTAGTTGCAAGGAGGGCTATTAAATCCAGTCTTTGGCTGGGCCACCATGTATCCTACAAAAGCTTAAGGATGGGCTTTCCATTACTCTTTTTTTTTTTTTTTTTTTTTTTGAGATGGAGTCTCACTCTCTGTCGCCCAGGCTGGAGTGCAATGGCGCGATCTCTGGTCACTGCAACCTCCGCCTCCCGGGTTCAAGCGATTATCCTGCCTCAGCCTCCTGAATAGCTGGGATTACAGGCATGTGCCACCACACCCAGCTAATTTTTGTATTTTTAGTAGAGATGGGGTTTCACCATGTTGGCCAGGCTGGTCTCGAACTCCTGACCTCAGGTGATCTGCCTGCCTCGGCCTTCCAAAGAGCTTGGATTACAGGCATGAGCCACTGTACCCAGCATTTTTTTTTTTTTTTAAAGACAGGGTCTCTCTCTGTTGTTGCCCAGGCTGGAGTGTAATGGCATAATCATAGTTTACTGCAGCCCCAAAGCCCTGGGCTCAAGTGGTCCTCCTGCCTTGGCCTCCCAAAGTGCTGGGATTACAGGCGTGAGTCACCTCACCCAGCCAGTGCATCATTAAGTGACTTTCTCAAGGTCTCGCAGCCAGTTGATGGTGAAGACAGGATTCCTGTCCAGGAAGGAAACTCGAGTGAAGCAGGAATTGTTAGGGAGATAGGAGAGCCACAGGTGTTCTGGAAGCTCTCCTGGCTCCTCTTAGCATGCTCTGCTCCCTTGTCTCACCTGTACTCCCACCTGAAAGTTCCCCACCCACCCTGGCCTCATCATCTCAGCACTAATGTCTTCAGCTGAGACCACCTGAGAGGCAGGTACTGTGTCTCAGTGTCTGAGATCCTGGTCCTGGATATGCCTGATTCTCTGAATGGCTGGGTCAGGCCTCCCTCTTGTTTGGCACAGAGTTCTGGTCAGAGCATCACGTCCTGTTTTGTTTGGTTTGGTGTTCTTGAGGAGTTTATTTGGTCACACCCAGGGTGAGAGGGCCCTTCACCTGTAAGATGTCGGGCCTCTTGGTGGTGACACGTGGCTTGTTGCTGGCCACAGAGGACCCAGTGAGGCAGCAGGAACTCAACCTTGGAGTCATGGAGCTGTGTGACTGCTGGCCAGTTGCACTTGCTGGCTGCAGTCTCCTCCACCTTCATGATCTGGATGAAGTGGGCCCAGGTGCGGTGCTGGGTGCCCGCGTCTCGGTCTGCAGAAAACGGGAGAGGGCAGGGTGACTGCAATCACTGGGATCTGGGCATTTGACAAACCTCATATCAAGTACCTGGCACATTCTGTCAGGCACAGCAATTGCTTGGGAGCTCCCACTTGGGATTAACTGGGGGACTGGGTGACCATGAGTGGCGTAGAACCTCCAAAGTCACTTTGAGGGGCCCAACCACAGCCCCTCAAAGGCGACAAGATCTTCCTGTTTGTTCCTCTGTTTAAACCACTGCTGCAAGAAAAAGAGTCTTAAGTTTAAGTGCGACATGTCCTACTTTTGTTTTGTTTTTTTGTTTTATATATTTTATTTTTTGCTTTTTAGTTTTTATTTTTTGAGACGGAGTCTCACTCTGTCGCCCAGGCTGGAGTGCAATAATAGCATGTGATCTCGGCTCACTGCAACCTTCGCCTCCCAGGTTCAAGCTATTCTCCTGCCTCAGCATCCTGAGTAGCTGGTATTTCAGGTGCCCATCAGCACACTGGGCTATTTTTTTTTTTTAATTTTTTTTTTTGAGATGGAGTCTTGCTCTGTGGCACAGGCTGGAGTGCAGTGGCGCAATCTCGGCTCACTGCAAGCTCTGCCTCCCGGGTTCACACCATTCTCCTGCCTCAGCCTCCTCAGTAGCTGGGATTACAGGTACTCGCCACCACACCTGGCTAATTTTTTTTGTATTTTTTAGTAGAGACGGGGTTTCATCGTGTTAGCCAGGATGGTCTCGATCTCCTGACCTCATGATCCACCCGCCTCGGCCTCCCAAAGTGCTGAGATTACAGGCGTGAGCCACCGCGCCTGGCCTATTTTTTGGATTTTTATTAGAGATGGGGTTTTGTCATGTTGGCCAGGCTGGTATCAAACTCCTGACCTCAGGTGATCTGCCCGCCTCACCCTCCCCAAGTGCTGGCATAAGCCACCGCACCCGGCTTTGTTTTATTTTTGAGACGGAGTCTCTCTCTCTCTCTCACCCAGGCTGGAGTGCAGTGGTGCGATCATGGCTCACTGCAGCCTTCACGTCCTGGGTTCAAGTGGTCTTCACACCTCAGCCTCTCAAGTAGCTGGGACTACAGGCTCATGCCACCATGACCTGCTAATGTTTGTTTTTTTTTTGTAAAGATGCAGTCTCGCTATGTTGCCCAGGCTGGTCTTGAACTCCTGGCCTCAAGTGATCCTCCTGCCTTGGCCTCCCAAAGTGCTGGGATTACAGGCATGAACCACTGGGCATGGCCTGTTTTCTGTTTTTTTTTTTAAGAGACAGGGTCTCACTATGTTGCCCAGGTTGGAGTGCAATGGCTATTCACAGGTGTGATCATAGCTCACTGCAGCCTCAAACTCCTGAGCTCAAGCAGTCCTTCCATCTCAGCCTCCCGAGTAGCTGGGAGTACAGGTGAGCACCACCACACCTGGCTCACTTCCTGTTTTTTGAGTGGGAGTTTCACTATCTGGTCCCACCTGCCTCTCTAGCTGGGTCTTGACTGTTCGGTACTATGCATGCTCCAGCTTTGCCACACCTCTTGCTGGCCCTCAACAAGCCTGCATTTCTACACTGCCATTCCTTCTGCCCCGAATGCCTTTCCTCCCCAGCACTACATGGCAAACTTCTACACATCCTTCAAGGCCCATCTTGAATGCCACCTTCCCTGTGATGACCTCCCCTATTGCCCCAGACTTATTTCCTTGCCTTCAGTGCTCCCATAGAACTTGGTGCACATCTACTCCAGTAGTCATTGCACAGAACAGTAATCATTTGTTTATGTGTTTGCAGTCACTGCTACAACATGGTGACCTCCTGGAGAACAGGGACGTGTGGTGTTTCTCTTTGTATTTGTCTTTTGTTCCCAGAACAGGTAAGTACACGGTGCCGGGTATAGGTAGGTACTCGCTCAATAAATGTGAATGAGTGAACGAGTGGTGGGGTTGATCTTATCCTGAAAGAGGGAGCTCCCCACCTGCACTTTCCTGTAGCAATCTCTAGAGGGCAGTCTCACACCATGCTTGTCTTCTCTAGCCTCCGCCCAAGTTGCTTTTTTTCTACCATAGACAGCTCAGATAGATATGGGTGGGTGGATAGATGGATGGAAGGATGGACAGATGGACGAATGAACGAACGGATGGATGGATGGGTGGATGAATAGATAGATAGGGTGGGCATGGTTCACATGGGCTCTGGAGTTGACAAGCTCTGGGACCAGGGAATCCAACCAAGTCAGCCTAAGCACTGGAGGGACTGCTGGCCCATCCCTTAGACACAATGGCTTAGGAGCTAGGGCTTATTATTGAAACCTGGAAAAAAGTTATTGTTTTCAAAATAAAAAAGACAGTTGCAAAATGGCATTGGATAAATATTGAAATAAATGGCTACAAAACAAAATCTCAACCAACTGCAACTCAACTCAGTTTGTATATATAGTTTATGTATAAACCACATTTCAGGCAGGGCATGGTGGCTCACGCCTGTAATCCCAGCACTTTGGGAGGCTGAGGTGAGCGGATCACCAGAGGTCAGGAGTTTGAGACCAGACTGACCAACATGGGGAAACCCCATCTCTAATAAAAATACAAAAATTAGCCAGGCGTGGTGGCACTCCAGCCTGGGCGACAAGAGCGAAACTCCATCTCAAAAAGAAAAAAAAAATTCTGTGGGATGTCAGTGCATTTTAATATTTTTGACATGATGTGGGCACTCCTTAAAGTGTCAAGGGCCCTTGACTTCTTGGAAAGGCCCTGCAAGGAGCAAGCAGAATGGAACCCAATACTCCCCACCAGAGGGCTCAGGACTCTGTTCATTATAAGTCCCAGTGCTGAGTCTGAGGCTGCAGGTCCAGTCCCTCTTCCTGCTGAGGGCTCTGGAGCCAAGCCCACGAAGATAACATTCAGTAACACAGGCTGCCCTCAACCACAGTCTTTCCTAATCTCAAGGTAAGATGGGAGAGGGGTGGTGGTATTTCATTTACTTAAGCTCCTACATGGGGGAGATACTGAATAGGAAGAGGCTGTCTCCTGGGACTGCTGGCTCGGGGGTGGAATGGACAGGAGACAAGAACAGAACCAAGTGTCGTGTACGCATGCCTGTAGTCCTGGCTACTCAGGAGGCTGAAGGTGGGAGGATCACTTAAGCCTGGGAGATTGAGGCTGCAGTGAGCCGAGATTGCACCACTGTACTCCAGCCTAGGTGACAGAATGAGAGCCTGTCTCCAGAAAAAAAAAAAAGTCAAGATTCAAGGGCATCTGATGTCAAACCTAGTGCTCTTAATCACTACATCATAATCATACCCTCTTTCAGAGTGACCTGCCCAATTTCACAAAGCTGTTAATCAGGTGGCAGGGAAGAACACGTATTGAGTGCTTACAATCAGCGTGTGTCAGGCGCTGCTCTAAATGCTCTACCCATTTTAACTCATCTAGCTGTAGCAGAGACTATAATTGTCAATGCCATTTTACAAATGGGGAAACCAAAGCCAAGAGCGGTTGAGTGACTTGTCTAAAGTTGCCACCAGACAGTCTAGTTCCAGAGTCTGGGCTCTTCACCATGATGACCTACTAGCCTGTCTACTTTATGGAGGGACAAGGTTTGGGGTTGTCAAAACTCGGGGTCAAAAATGACAGGACAAATGGAATAGAGGATGGGCAGGATGGATGCAGGGGTATGTGAGGTATGTGAAAGAGGTGAAACATGAAGGAGAACCCAACCACAGATGTTCACAGATGTTCTCTGCTGTTTCCTCAGTAGGAACTCAATGCTGAGTTCCTATCGAAACTACTGACAGCATATCTCCCCAAATATCATTTCCTTAAAAGGCATTTTGTCAGTGTCCTTTTTTTTTTTTTTTAAGAAATGGCGTCTCACTTTGTTGCACAGGCTGGAGTGCAGTGGTGTGATCTTGGCTCACTGCAACCTCAGCCTCCCAGGTTCAAGCAATTCTCCTGTCTCAGCTTCCTGAGTAGCTGAGATTACAAGCACTTGCCACCACACCCAGCGAATTATTGTATTTTTAATAGAGCTGGGGTTTCACCATGTTGGCCAGGCTGGCCTCGAACTCCTGACCTCAAGTGATCTGCCCGCCTTGGCCTCCCAAAGTGCTGGGATTACAGGCCATGCTCAGCCTGTCAAAGTGTCTTACTTAGCAAATACAGCTGCTTTGCAAACAGGGGTTCCTTTTTCCCTTGTGACTAGGGCCACTGTTCTGCCAGAATGGCTATCTAGTCCTCCAGATAGGGTTAGGAGCCACTTTGTTGAGAAGGATATGAGCAAGATGGCTGTGCAGGGGGAATGACTGGTGTGGACTTCATCAGAGATTGAATTAAGTGATGGAAAGGGAACGTTCCATGGCTCTCGTCCCTAATAGAAATCTATTCAGGGTCTTTGGCATCAGCACTAGGTTTCCTGACTCAAAGGGAAGTCATAAGGACAGGTTTACAGAGGTAGAATGATCCCATTTGGAGAAAGGAGAACTGGAAAGAGACACAGAGCATCTGTAATTAAGTGCAAGAGCTCTGAAGTTGGACTGCCTGAATTAAAATCCCAACTCTGTAGGCAGGGCATGGTGGCTCACACCTGTAATCCCAGCACTTTGGGAGGCTGAGGCTGGCAGATCGCTTGAGCCCAGGAGTTTGAGACCAGCCTGGGCAACATGGTGAAACCCCGTCTCTACAAAAAATACAAAAATTCTGGCAGAGCGCGGTGGCTCATGTCTATAATCCCAGCATTTTGGGAGGCCGAGGTGGGTGAGACCAGCCTGGCCAACAAGGTGAAACCCTGACTCTGTCTCAAAAAAAAACAACAACCAAAAAACACAAAAATTCACTGGCCATGGTGGTGCACACCTATAGTCTCAGCCACTCAGGAGGCTGAGGTGGGAAGATTGCTTTAGCCCACAAAGTAGAGGCTGCAGTGAGCTGAGATCATGCCACTGCACTCCAGCCTGGGCAACAAAGCAGGACTCTGTCTCAAAAAAATAAAAAAATCCCAACCCTGTATGACCATGCGTGATTTACTCAACCTCTCTCCGTGACCCATCTGTGAAATGGATTTATTCATAACTTTGTTAATTATCACATATTAACGATTAATGTTTTGTTGTGGGGGTTAAAATCATCAAATATGAAGTGCTTAACACAGTGCTTACCATATAAGCACTCAATGCCTACTTTTTTTTTGTGAGACGGAGTCTGGCTCTGTTGCCCAGGCTGGAGTGCAGTGGCGCGATCTCGGCTTACTGCAAGCTCCGCCTCCCGAGTTCACGCCATTCTCCTGCCTCAGCCTCCGGAGTAGCTGGGACTACAGGCGCCCGCCACCATGCCCAGCTAATTTTTGTATTTTTAGTAGAGATGGGGTTTCACCATGTTAGCCAGGATGGCCTCGATCTCCTGACCTTGTGATCCACCCGCCTCGGCCTCCCAAAGTGCTGGGATTACAGGCGTGAGCCACTGCGCCCAGCCTATTTTTTTTTTTTTTTTTTTTTTATTGAGATGGAGTTTTGCTCTTGTTGCCCAGGCTGGAGTGCAGTGAGTGGTGCGATCTTGGCTCACTGCAACCTCTGCCTCCTGGGTTCAAGCGATTCTCCTGCCTCAGCCTCCCGAGTAGCTGGAATTACAGGTGCGCGCCACCGCACCCGGCTAATTTTGTATTTTTAGTAGAGACGGGGTTTCACCAGGTTGGCCAGACTGGTCTCGAATTCTGACCACAGGTGATCCACCCATCTCAGCCTCCCAAAGTGCTGGGATTACAGGCATGAGCCACCGCGCCCGGCCCAATACCTACTATTTTATCCAAATTAAAAGGAGATGTTACACTTAAAATTTTGTTAAGAAGCTAGATCTCGCCTTCTTCTGCCGCTTCTGGTGCTGCTTGTGTGCTCATTTGGTGCGGACCTGGTACCTCTTTTGTGAAGCGGCAGCTGAGGAGACTTCAGTGCTCGCCATGGCCGACGAAAAGCCCAAGGAAGGAGTCAAGACAGAACAACGATCATATTAATTTGAAGGTGGCGGGGCAGGATGGTTCTATGGTGCAGTTTAAGATTAAGAGGCATACACCACTCAGTAAACTAATGAAAGCCTATTGTGAACAACAGGGATTGTCAATGAGGTAGATCAGATTCCCATTCGACGGGCAACCAGTCAATGAAACAGACACACCTGCACAGTTGGAAATGGAGGATGAAGATACAATTGATGTGTTCCAACAGCAGACGGGAGGTGTCTACTGAAAAGGGAACCTGCTTCTTTACTCCAGAACTCTGTTCTTTAAAGACCAAGATTACATTCTCAATTAGAAAACTGCAATTTGGTTCCACCACATCCTGACTACTACCGTATAGTTTTCTCTGTTCTTTCATTTCCCCCTTCCCCATTCCTTTATTGTACGTAAAGTAACTGGTATATGTGCACAAGCATATTGCATTTTTTTTTTTTAACTAAACAGCCAATGGTATGTTTTGACTGACATCAAGGGGAGACGGGATGGGGAAAAATACTGATTCTGTGAAAATACCCCCTTTCTCCATTAGTGGCATGCTCATTCAGCTCCTATCTTTATATTCCAGTAAGTTATTTTGCTCTCACTGTTTTAACAACAACAACAAAACAACAACAACAACATAAAAATCCTTGCATACCTTGTTCAATTGGAGAATTTTAATGTTTTTCATTTATCATTGTAAAACCAAGGACAATTTTATAACTTTTTTGTACGTAGCTGTTACATGTAGGGTAATCTGTCTTTAAGTAAGGATAAATTACTCTAAAACAAAAAAGAATCCTACATAGTTTTCCCTTCAAGTCAAGCGTCTTGTTGTTTAAATAAACTTCTTGTTTAAAATGAAAAAAAAAAAAAGAAGCTAGATCTCACATTGTGTTCTTACCACAATAAAAACAAAGTTATGACAGATAAGTAGGTAGTCAGCAGAAAAACAAACAAACAAAAAAAAAAAACAAAGAAAAAAGAAAACAAAGTTAACTCAGAAAAAAATAAAAGGAGATTATACACGGCAGATGTGGAACACAACAAAAATAATACTGTTGTTCACTATGTGTTAACAGGGACTGAAGCTGGCTACAGAAAGAATGTCCCAGCAACAAAGAGTGGGAAGCCCTGAGCAAATTGTTAAAAGCTCCTTCTCAGTTTCTTCCCAAGAGAAGTTTTCATCTCAGGGGTGGTCATTTCTGGAGGCAGGGGCCTGCAGGAGACACCTTGGTAACAGGCAGGTCTGTTTGGCTTCCTGAATCCATGACAGTTGATAAGCAAGGCCCCTTCAGATGCTCTGTTGGGCATTGCCTGGAGTGTGTAACCAGATGGAGTGCCTGCATTTCCAAGATCATTTATAGCTGTTTCCTGTACCCGAGTAAATTTTTTATTTTAAAGGTGCCTCCTGGCCTGACCCAAATTTCGGCTTAACATTAGCAGTTACTTCTCTTTGGCTGAGCAGATGAACTGCAAAAACTCCCAGAGTGAAAGAGGGAAGGAGGGTGGGGTTGGGTGAGGTGGCAGGGATGGGTTCCGGAAGATGGGAGGTGGGCCTGGTTCATCACCAGGGCCTCTCTGGTAAACTGGAAGGCCAGGCAGGCTACTGGCAAAGAAAGAGTTACTGACCATCAGCTGAAGGGATGGCAAGCAGTGAAGGAGGCTCTGGCCCAGCAATTCTTATCTTCAGGAAAGTTTAAGAGTCATTGTCACTTGCAGGGAATTTCCTGGACTATGAATTTTATTGCAGAGAGGACAGAATGGCTGGGTGGGAGGAAGTTAGCCTCAGGCTCCACACCCACCCCTCCCATTCCCCCACAGCTGGGTTTGCTGTTTCTCCAAACAATTTAGTGTTAACAACATAAACCCTGGTCCAGCCTGACCTTCTGCAGCTGTGCGGCCTTCAAGTCTTTATCCTTGCTAAGCCTTGGCTCCCTCATCTATAAATGGGCTTAATAACAGCACTTGCTTATAGTAAATGCCGAATATATGTTGGGTTTGAATAATGATGAGGAAAGCTGGGGCCAGAGATTTGCACTGAGGAGAATGAACAGAAATCTGTCCCTGTTCTTCTTCTTCTTCTTTTTTTTTTTTAGACGAGTCTTGCTCTGTATCCCAGGCTGGAGCGCAGTGGTGCAATCTCGGTTCACTGTAACCTCCACTTCCCGGGTTCAAGTGATTCTCGTGCCTCAGCCTCCCAAGTAGCTGGGATTACAGGCACCCACGACCACGCCCAGCTAATTTTTGTATTTTTAATAGAAACGGGATTTCACCATGTTGGTCAGGCTGGTCTCGATCCCTTGACCTCAGGTGATCTGCCCGCCTCGGCCTCCCAAAGTGCTGGGATTACAGGCATGAGCCACCATGCCCAGTCTGTCCCTGTTCTTGGGAGTTGATTAGAGGAACAAGACAGGCATGCATCAAAATAAATGCACTTGGTTGCCTCGTCTAATCAATGGTGCAAAAGCACCAATCTTGAAAACAATTTCTAGTTACACCTTGTAGTATATTTTGGGTTCTTGTTTGTTTGTTTGTTTTGGAGATGGAGTCTTGCTCTGTCGCCCAGGCTGGAGTGCCTTGGCATGATCTTGGCTCACTGCAAACTCCACCTCCTGGTTCAAGCAATTCTCCTGCCTCAGCCACCTGAGTAGCTGGGACTACAGGCACCCACCACCTCGCCCAGCTAATTTTTTGTATTTTAGTAGAGATGGGGTTTCACCCTGTTGCCCAGGCTGGTCTTGAACTCCTGAGTTCAGGCAATCCGCCTGCTTCAGCCCCTCAAAGTGCTAGGATTACAGGCATGAGCCACGGTGCCTGGCCCCTTGTAGTACATTTTGTCTTCCCAGTCTATTTTGAGATGTTATTCAAGTAAATGTGTGTCCCCAGGGCTCCAGCAGGCTCACAGCAGGAAGCAGCAGTCAGGAAGTACAAGGTGGCAAGCAGGACACTGGGTCAGAACGTGTTCTGGACCCACTGGCAGGTGAGGTTTGCTGAATTCTACACAACAGCAGCTACCACGTCCCTGTGTTCTGGAGCCAGGGAAGGCTTCCAGACAGAAGGGGCTTCTCCCTGTAATTTGAGGGAGATTATTGGCTCAGGCAAAGGTGAGAGGGTTTAAAGAGGAAAAAAAGAGAAGAACCGAGCAGCCTCAAGCTGGAGAAAGCCCTGGGGACCTTGTAGAGATCCTCTTCTGGGGACAAAGACCATGAGGGGTCATAGGTGGCAGAGCAGTGCACAACATCCCAGGGAACAGATGTTGAAGATGGATTAGACCCTGACAACGGATGTGAAATATTGACCCAGCGAAAAGTGCCTGGTGTTTGCACAGGCCAAATCAGTGCAGCAACTTCCATGGGAGGAGGGGCCGGAAAGTACCCAGGTCCAAAGGTCACTCTCCACACTCCCACACACTCTCCCAGGGCCCACAAGTCAGTCTCCAGCTCAGGGAGGATTTAAAGGAGGACGCGTGTGTTGGAAATCAAGGCAGGCATTCACGGGCATGCACGCACACATGCACACAGTCTTTTTTCTTTCCTTGAAGGCTCACCTAGTTCTGTTTGTGTTAAAAAAAAAAAAAAGAACACTCACCTAGGCCAGGCATGGTGGCTCACACTTATAATTCCAGCACTATGGGAAGCCAAGGCAGGAGGATCACTTGAGGCCAGTTCAAGCCCAGCTTGGGCCACATAGCAAGACCCTGTCTCTACAAAAATTTTTAAAAAAAAATTAGCCAGGTGTCATGGCATGTGCCTGCAGTCCCAGTTACTCAGGAGGCTGAGGGAGGAGGACTGCTTGAGCCCAGGAGGTCGAGGCTGCAGTGAGCCATGATCACACCACTCCTGCCTGGGTGAGATAGAGTGAGATACCATCTCAAAACCCAAAAAAACTCACAAGCTCACCTATATATAGAAACAACTAGATGTACTGGGTCGTGGTGGTATATGCCTGCAGTCCCAGCTACTCCGAGGCTGAGGTGGGAGGATCACTTGAGCCCAGGAAGTGAAGGTTGCAGTGAAGTATCGTGTCACTGCACTCTAGCCTGGGTGACAGAGTGAAACCCTGACTGAAAACAATGTTTTAAAAAATGGATGGAAATGCTAATAATTGTGTTTGGTTGATGTAACTATACTTTTGTACTTCATGCATTTCAAGTGTTCTTTAATGAGAATAAATTTTTTTAAAGAGAGAAAAAAGCTTATCTGCCTGTCAACATTAAGTTCCTAAAATCAAAGGTTTCTTTCCAGTCCTACCCTACTAGTATTTGACACTATTGAACTCATTTTCTGAAACTATTTCCTTGCTTGGCTTTCAGCCTTCCCATTTTCTCCTGGTTTTTCTTCCCTTCATGGATGGCTTCTGGTCCCCTGCCTGACTCCTAAAGTTAGCATTATTCAGGGTCTGTCCTCAGCCTGCCCTATCTTTTCTCTCCAGATTTGCTCGTCCACTCCCTTGGTTTCAGCTATGCCACTCATGTCAGGAATAACCTGCAGCTCCAACCCAGCTCTTTGCTGAAACATTTATCCCATTGCCTACTGAGTATCCTCACAAGACCCTCAAATTCAGTTAAAACTTGAACTTCCCTCCCTGAAGTTCAAGCCCTGAAGGCTGCTGTTTCTTCTGTGTGTTCTATCTTGATTGGCTGGGTCAGAATCCTAGTAATCATTTATCTGCCCCTACCTTTCTGTAGTGGGTTGAATGGTGCCCTCCCACCCAAAAAGAGATGTCCACACATGCCACCAAGCCTGGCTTTTTCTTTTTTTGTAGATAGGAGTCTTGCCACATTGCACAGGCTTCTCATACCCTTTACATACTGAACAAGTAATGCCTTATATGACAAAAGGTGATTAAGGATCTTGAAGAAAAGACTTATCCTGGATTAGCCAACTGGGCCCTAAATCCAATGACATATGTCCTTATAAGAGGGCACACAGAGCACACACACTGAGGAGAGGCGGCGGCATAGGAAGGAGGCACTGTGGCCATGGAAGCAGGTTTTGGAGTGATGCCACAAGTCAAGGGACACCAACAACCACTGAAAGAATGGACTGTCCCCTACAGCCTCGGGATGGAGCCTTGTCTCTCACTATGACACACTAGAACACTATACCCTCACCTCACACATGGTTGCAATTCCCTCATCTCAACATGCTCTTTGAGATAATTATAGATTCACATGCGGTTTAAGAACTATGGCCGAGTACAGTGCTGGGAGACTTGCAACCTGGGATTCTGAGCCACTCCTATATCCTCATAACACAATCCTTCCCCACCCTTACCCTACCCCTTGTTAGCGCAAATAAGCTTGTTAATGTGGCTCAACTAGGTTGTGGTGTCTTTCAGGACAGAAACTGATTTCTTTTTATGTTCTAGTATTTTTGCTTACCAGTCCTTCGCATTCTGGTACTGCTTCTCCTTCTGCCTTTGCAGAGAACCTCAGAATACATTCCCCGTGTCTGTCTGCCATCTCTGTCTCTCTGCCTCTTCCAAAGCACACTTCTCTAACATCCTTAACTTGGGCTTTCAAAACACCTTTAATTAACACTGAGGTCCCACAGCTGCCAAGTCCTTAATTTGCAGGATGACTTCCCTTATCTTTTAAGAGTCCTTAGGGCTGCCAACCGGTTAGCTCAGTTGGTCAGAGTGTAGTGCTGTGAGTATCTTTACATTGCTTTTCTGGGTGGTTTTCTCCTTTCCCCATCTGACTGGGAGAGCCCTGAAACCGAAGACTTTTTCCCCCAGCAGTTTCCCAGCTCCCTGAGGGCAGAGACTTCATTAATCTTGCAGATCCCTCAGGGGAAGAACTTTTTACTTTTCAAATCCTGGTCTGATACTAGCTCTGCACACTGTGGGTGCTCAATAAATGTTGATTGACTGAGTAAACAATGAATGTAGTCCCCTGGAGTGTCATATTTCTCCTTTCCACAGGGAGAAAGTAATAACATTAGGCAGAGCAGGCTGGATCTCTTAATGTGATTACCTGGGATTTGTGGGCCAGTGACTCTGTCCCCCAACTTTATTGGGTACATCCATCTCCACAGAATAGATATTACCAGAGACCACTAATGCTGTTGGCCAAATGGTGGGCTATCACTAATTCCCTTGACCCTATTAATCTTGATTCTATCGCACTGAAGCTGCTGCCTCCAGTCCAAGATAGGGGGAGAACACAGCACAGTTGTGGCAGTGATTGTACTGACATCACCGTAATCTATCCAAGTTCAACAGTGTTTAACTTGCTCTGTGTTTGTATTTGAGACATCCTTCATGTCCCAAATGATAATTTGAGATCGAATTCACAATGCATAAGATGCATCCATTTAAAGTATGTAACTCGGCCGGGTGCGGTGGCTCAGGACTGTAATCCCAGCACTTTGGGAGGCTGAGGCAGGGGGGATCACTTGAGGTCAGGAGTTCAAGACCAGCCTGGCCAACATGGTGAAACCCGTCTCTACTATAATACAAAAACTAGCTGGTTGTGGTGGCACACGCCTATAATCCCAGCTACTCGGGAGGCTGAGGCAGAAGAATCACTTGAACCCGGGAGGTGGAGGTTGCAGTGAGCCCAGATCGCACCACACTCTAGTCTGGGTAACAGAGTGAGACTTTGTTTCAAAAAAAACAGTATGTAACTTGATGGTTTTTAGTATATTTGGTCGTGTAACCATCTCCACAATGAAGTTTAGAACATTTTCTTTATCCTCCCAAAAGAAACTCCATACCTATTGGCAGTCACTCTCCATTTCCCCCCAACCCCTAGCCCTAGGAAACCAATCTATTTTGTTACTACAAATTTGCCTATTCTGGACATTTCAAATAAATGGAATCATACAATAATGTGGTCTTTTTGACTGGCTTTTTTCACCTGGCATAATTTCAAGGCTCATCCATATTGCAACATATATGACTACTTCCTGTTTATTGACAAATAATATCCCATTGTATGGATACACCATATTTTATTTATCCATTCATCAGCTGATAGACATTTGGATTGTTTCCACCTTTAGCAAGTTATTTCTGCATGTTTCAGCTTATTCATCCATAAAAATGAGTTAATAGCTGCCTTGTCTTGGAGGATTATGAGAGGCACACAGGGAATATGTGAAATACATTCTAAACTATAAAGCGGTACAAGAATGTAATGATATTTTATTACTTTAATTTTTTTTAGAGATAGGGTCTCAACTCTCTGGCCCAAGCTGGAGTGCAATGGTGCAATCATGGCTCACTGCAGCCTCAACCTCCTGGGCTCAAGGGATCCTCTTGCCTCAGCCTCCCCTGTAGCTGAGGCTACAGGTGCATGCCACCATACCTAGCTTATTTATTTATTATTTATTTATTTTGGAGAGACGAGGTCTTGCTATGTTGACCAGGCTGGTCTCCAACTCCTGGCCTCAAACAATACCAGCACGGGGTATTATAGGTGTGAGCCATCACACTGGCCTAAAGACTTTTTTTTTGAGATGGAGTCTCACTTTATCATCCAGGCTGGAGTACTGTGGCACGATCTCAGCTCACTGCACCCTCAACCTCAGCCTCCCAAGTACCTGGGATTACAAGCATGCCCCACTACACCCAGCTATTTTTTTTTTTTGAGACAGTCTCGCTCTGTCGCCCAGGCTGGATTGCAGTGGCACGATCTCGGCTCACTGCAACCTCTGCCTCCTGGGTTCAAGTGATTCTCCTGCCTCAGCCTCCTGAGTAGCCCAGACTACAGGCACCCACCACCACGCCTGGCTAATTTTTGTATTTTTTTTTTTTTAGTAGAGACGGGGTTTCACCATATTGGCCAGGCTGGACCGAAACTCCTGACCTTATGATCCACCCGCCTCGGCCTCCCGAAGAGTTGGGATTACAGGCGTGAGCCAGCACTCCTGGCTAATTTTTCATATTTTTAGTAGAGATGGGGTTTCAACATGTTGGCCAGGCTGGTCTTGAACTCCTGACCTCAGGTGATCTGCCCACCTCGGCCTCCTAAAGTGATGGGATTACAGATGTGAGCCACCATGACTGGCCCTAAAAACTTTTTTTTTTTTTTTTTTTGAGATGGAGTCTTGCTCTTTCACCCAGGCTGGAGTGCAGTGGTGCGATCTCGGCTCACTGTAACCTCCACTTCCTGGGTTCAAGCGATTCTCCTGCCTCAGCCTCCCGAGTAGCTGGGATTACAGGAGCCCGCCACCATGCCTGGCTAGTTTTTGAATTTTTAGTAGAGATGGGGTTTCACCACGTTGGCCAGGCTGGTCTCGAACTCCTGATCTCGTGATACACCTGCCTCAGCCTCCCAAAGTGCTGGGATTATGGGCATGAGCCACTGCACTCGGCCAAGACTTTTTTTTTTTTTTTTTTTTTTTTTGAGACAGAGTCTCACCTTGTCTCCCAGGCTGGAGTGCAGTGGTGCGATCTTGGCTCACTGCAAGCTCCACCTCCCGGGTTCACGCCATTCTCCTGCCTCAGCCTCCCGAGTAGCTGGGACTACAGGTGCCTGCCACCAAGCCCCGCTAATTTTTTGCATTTTTAGTAGAGATGGGGTTTCACCATGTTAGCCAGGATGGTCTCGATCTCCTGACCTCGTGATCTGCCCACCTTGGCCTCCCAAAGTGCTGGGATTACAGGCGTGAGCACCGACTAAGACTTTTGAATATTTATATGAGAGCAGCTAAGGAAAGCACTGGGGCCAGTGTAACTTCACTGAGCTTATGGCCTATTGTTGGTTAACTCAGGGCAATCAGATGAATATCTCTTTGGATCTTGTCTCTATGTAGAGTCCATTTTGCTTTTTTCCCAGGTAATGGACTGCATCCACATTTCATCCACATTTGTTCCTAGGAGACCAGGTTAGAGTATGCTTACCTCAGTGTAAGCCACTGCCACCGTAGAAAATCAAATCACAGGAGAATGATATTTGAACATCAAGGCAGTCACATTTCATCCCAATTTTTAGCAAGACCAGGGAAAAGAGCTGAAGCTATAGGTGTTAAGGCCTAGGTTTACCAAATATCTTGCCAACTCTCTCTCTCTTTTTTTTTTTTTTTGAGACAGAGTCTTGCTCTGTCGCTCAGGCTGGAGTAAAGTGGTGCGATCTTAGCTCACTGCAACCTCCGCCTCCCGGGTTCAAGCAATTCTCTGCCTCAGCCTCCCGAGTAGCTGGGATTACAGGTGCCTGCTGCCACACCTGGCTAATTTTTTGTAGTTTTAGTAGAGATGGGGTTTCACCATGTTGGCCAGGCTGGTCTTGAACTCCTGACCTCGTGATCCACCCGCCTCGGCCTCACAAAGTGCTGGGATTACAGGCATGAGCCACCGTGCCCGGCCTCCTTTTTTTAAGTTAGCTTTCTTTCACACTCACATGTGCCAGGGTGACTTTATTCTCCCTTCACTGCCCATCCAGTAAGCATGCTAAGGTAATGCAAAAACATTTTAATATTAGACCAAGAGAAAAGAAATTAGGAAGGAAAACCTGTTGCCATAACAAGTACAAAGATTCAAAAATTCAACTCAGATAACTATTTGCTCTCATAACTTCCTATTTTTTGCAGGTATTTTACAGCTATATAATGTGTGGGTGCGAGGGGGATGGAGGAAGGCCAGGGTGGGCAGTGGGTTATATAAGAACTATTGTTGGCTGGGCGCAGTGGCTCATGCCTGTAATCCCAGCACTTTGGGAGGCCGAGGCCGGTGGATCATGAGGTCAGGAGATCGAGACCATCCTGGCTAACGCGGTGAAACCCCGTCTCTACTAAAAGTACAAAAAATTAGCCGGGAGCGGTGGCGGGCGCCTGTAGTCCCAGCTACTCGGGAGGCTGAGGCAGGACAATGGTGTGAACTCGGGAGGCGGAGCTTGCAGTGAGCGCCTACTGCACTCTAGCCTGGGTGACAGAGTGAAACTCTGTCTCAAAAAAAAGAACTATTGTTTACTACTAGTGGCTGCCTAGAGCATAATTTCCCCCTTCAAAGCCTTGGTAAGAGCAGCTGGGGATAATGAACAGTGGTTAAAGATGCTTTGTTTTACACCCAGCAAAAAGGGTCATTAACACCTCAACTGGTTTTTTTACCAAGCCCTGTGGAAGGGCTCCTGCTGCTGTTGACAATCATGGTAACCCTCGGGGTAGCAGGGGCAAAGGGGTGGGTAATTCACCAGAAAATGGTATTCACTGATTTGGATTATGTGCACCACTGTTCCTCTCCATTCATGTACTTAATTAAGAGCTGACTGGTACAAAATAAATGAAACTGCAATTCTTCACTGGATCTGGGGAGCAACAGAAATTCTGTAGGGAGGGTATGTGCCAGAAAAACTCCTTTATTACCATCTCCCTATTACATTTCTATTCTAGGGTTAGTGTTAATCTCAGGTCTTATTCTTAAGACAGCAAAAGGCTTGGAGAAGTAGTGTAAGTTTCATCTTCATTTTATCAAGGATGAAATCAAAGCAAGGAGCTGTGACTAGGACAATACAGTTAGTCTAGGGCATAACTCCCAACCACATTAGGGAAAGCCCAGTAGGAACACAGAGCTATAGTTGGCTCAACCCTTATTCATGACATCGTGTTTCACATCATTCAAAAGTTTTTGTGGAAGTCTCTGTAGTGACCACCTGATACTGCCTGGGAGTTATTTCCATTTGTTCAGTCCCTGAGGGGATAGAAAATGGAATTATTACTTTCTTATAGTTCAATTAGGCAAATTTGGATAGAGCGCATTGAACTTAGTTCACAAAGGGTGCGAAAATCCACACTGCTCCTTTTAAAAAAAATGCATGGAAAGTTACAGCAAGAAGTCAGGGCCTCGGGCCCAGCACAGTGGCTCACGCTTGTAATCCCAGCACTTTGGACGGCTGAAGTGGACAGATCACGTGAGGCCAGGAGTTCGAGACCAGCCTGGCCAACATAGTGAAACCCTGTCTCTACTAAAAACACAAAAATTAGCTGGGCATTGCGGCACACACCTGTAATCCCAGCTACTTGGGAGGCTAAGGCATGAGAATCGCTTGAACCTGGGAGGCAGAGGCTGTAGTGAGTCAACTGCGCCATTGCACGCCAGCCTGGGTGACAGAGAGAGACTGTTTCAAAAAAAAAAAAAAAAAAAGAAAGAAAGCAAGCCAGGGCCTTGGATTTCACAAACTAATGTTTCATCACCTCCTTCCCCACCTCAAGATAACTGCCAGGACACTCTTTTTTATTTAATCTTAAGACAGGTGAAGAGAAATCATTGGCGGGGTCTGCCCTTCCCATAGCCCTTTTGATCACAATTTTCCCATGAGCTTCAAAACAGAAGACCATAAATTGAAGGTTTATTTTAAATTACCTAAGTCCCTGAAATAGAAGAGTAATTTATTTTTAGTATTAAAGAGATTAACAAGTTGTCTCATTATTCTGATTTACCCATATTCAAAACTCACCTACTCAGAAAACTGCAAACCCATAGTTGCTAACAATCCTATTTAACCATTAAGAAAGGATTTACAACAATAAAAGCTATGTACATAGGAAATATCAGAGAGTAGAAAGTGCTAACCAGAGGTACCCAGAAAAGCTTTCTGTGACTGAAACAATACTTCCTGTCTAAGGTTCAGGAGTAAGATGCTTCTTTGGGGGCTGAGAAATTAACATGAGAAACCTTTGGTATCCAAATTGGATTTCTGAGCTCTTTGCCACGGCATTTTTGGCTAGTCTAAAACAATCATTTGGAGAAAGCAACACCAAGGATGAGGAGGAAGGAATTCTCAACCTCGGACCAATCTCTGGCCCCAGGGTTAGGACTGAGAACAAATACACTCAAGGGCTGACTTTGAATGGCAGTGGGACAACTTGGAAAACTAATCACTTAGTATCAAGTCAGGCCTGTTGTGAATACCCAGGTTGGCTCCATCCCAGGGCCCTTGTACTGAGACCCTCAGAAGAATGACAGGTGAGAGGATGATACAGCTAGAGTTATGCGACTTAAAGGTAGCAACCCACAAGGATGGCAGCAGAAGCCCTTAACAGTGACCTTCAGATCAGTGACATAACTCCACTGTTAGCGGCAGCAGGGCTGAGTAAATCCCTAATAATTTCAGGTTAGGCAGGATCTTGACTCATATAACTCATGGTAGAAGCTATAGGTTCTATTCTATAAAATCTCTGTATACATCCAAGAGGTTGGGATACTCAGAGAGAGTGGCAGAACACGTGGTCTTCAAAGATCTGCTTCTCTGTAGCTGGGAAGATCTTGTCACAAATTGGACAATTGAAACAAAGGGGCTGCATCTGCTGTTGCTCCAAGGTGTGATCACAAATATCATCTGCTTTGCAGATAGGGCATTTCTTGATGGAGAGCTGGGAGGAAGAGCAAAGAGGTCAGTACAAATGTAAGCTATATGTGGCACAGATGTGGCCATCCTGTCTTCCACTGTATCCTCAGTGCCTAGCATAATGACTGGCACATGGTTAGGCACTCAAGAAATAGTGAATGAATGAAGAGAATGCACATTTGAAGATGCTTACCAGGCTTCGTCTAACCCCAGAATTGAAATGGCCTAATATTGCTGAAATAGCCAACATAGCTTCTAGCCTTGAAGGGGCATTGGACAGAACTTGTTTGGCTAGCTGCCTGGTTCAGATCTCCTCCCTACTTATGCTACCAAATAATTCAAAGGTATAGATCCTAAGCAAAATGCTGATGGATGAACTGTGCTTTCATCTCCCTTCCACAACAGGCTGGCTCAGCCTTGGGCCCAAAACAAACTGATCCAGCTGACTTCTGGAGTTATCAAAATGAACCTGTCTCCCTATGGTTCTCCCATGAACTGGAGCAGGAAGGGAAATTTTCAAGTGCTTTGTGGGAATATTCTCATGAATCAAATACTTACCGGGCTGGGGGAAGAACTTTCTTGGATACCTGAAAAGAATAAAAAAGATCTCATTCAATGAGAAAATACCATCCCTAGCTTCTCCAACTGTGTTCTGGCAGATATTTCCTGTAACTTTCATTGTTCCCTTTCTCCTCAATGCCTCTGATTCTTTCTCTCTCATATATATACCGTTACTTCTGATAGAGGGGATCTAGGTCAATGATAAGGTGAAAAGAAAACATAAATAATGAAATCGTATTTTTTTTTTTTTTTTGAGACAGAGTCTCGCTTTGTCGCCTAGGCTGGAGTGCACTAGTGTGATCTCAGCTCACTGCAGCCTCTGTCTCCTGGGTTCAAGCAATTCTCCTGCCTCAGCCTCCTGAGTAGCTGGGATTACAGGTGCCTACCACCATGCCTGGCTAATTTTTGGTAGTTTTAGTAGAGACAGGGTTTCTCCATGTTGGCCAGGCTGGTCTCAAACTCCTGACCTCAAGTGATCCGCCTGCCTCGGCCTCTCAAAGTGCTGGGATTACAGGAGTGAGCCACGACACCCAGCCTGAAATTGTATTTTCATTATTTCAAAATAAAATTACAAATGAAAATTGTATTTTCATTTCACACACACACACACACACACACAGGCTTTATATATATATATATACACACACACATATATATATATACATATATATATATGTTATACAGTCAGAAAAAAACAACAAAGCTATTTTCAGATTGGGGAAAATGAGATTTTAATAAAAACAGTAACAATTTAATGACTATCTGAGAATAGGTTTTAAGACTGTATCCACAGTCAGGTACGATGGCTCACATATCCCAGCACTTTGGGAGGCTGAGGTGGGTGGACTGCTTAAGCTCAGGAGTTCGAAACCGGCCTGGGCAACATGGCAAAACCCCATCTCTACATAAAATACAAAAATTAGCTGGGTGTGGTGGCTGGCGCCTTAGTCTCTGCTACTTGGTAGGCTGAGGTGAGAGGATCAGGTGAGCCCAGGAGGCGGAGGTTGCACTGAGGTGAGAGGATCGGTTGAGCCCAGGAGACGGAGGTTGCAGTGAGCCAAGTCCACTACTATGCCCAGCTAATTTTTGTATTTTTAGTAGAGACAGGGTTTCACCACGTTAGCCACGCTTGTCTCGAACTCCTGACCTCAGGTGATCTGCCCGCCTCGGCCTCCCACAGTGCTGGGATTACAGGTGTGAGCCACCGCGCACGGCCACAAACTTATTTTAAAGGAAAAATAAACTTGTTGCCTGTTATAAACATCTGGTTGTAACTCTAAAGATAATACTGCTGCTTTAACTGTCCCAAAAAGTAAATGAGATCTCATATTGCTTTTGGAGACAAATGAGAAAAGCTCCCTGTTTGGCAAGGACATGTTACCCCAAGTCCTTTTCACCCCCATTTCCTGTCCTACCATCGAGGAGTCTCTGTGGAGCACGTTTCTGTCATCCTTGGTTAGCCATCAGGGTGGCTGCTGTAACTGCTAGTTCCTGGGCGGCATAACTTGCCTCTCTTGCTACCATTTCAAAACCTTAATTAGCTTCCTCAGCTTTGTATGTGTATATCTTCTACATAAAGACATTTCTCTGATTTACACATTTGGAATATAGCCACGGGACTCAATTTGTGTCTGCTGCCTCTAGGCGAATGATCTGATTTGTGTCTTCTGGATTCAGATTTATTTCTCAATTAACACTTCTCGCCTGGCAATCTTTCTACTGGGTCCTCAGCTTCTGCCCAGCAAGTCTTAACAATGAGACTGGTCTTAATTAGCACCTCAGAAACAAAAATTTAGTAGGGGAAAGGGATGCAGGCAGGGTCCTTCCAGTTGGAATGGGAAAGTTGTCTTACCAGAATATGGGTTTCCATAGGCAAGTCCTGGATTTTGTCTTGCGCCTCCTTCATCTGAAGTAGGTACTTGATACGGCAAAGAATTAAAATCCAGACCCATGTAACTGAGCAATCTGCTGTTCTCCCTCTTCAAAAGCTAAGGATAGAGGATTTATAGACATGTTGAAAGACAATACCAAGAATGGCCACCAGGAACTGGCTAGGAGATGCCCCTCCCAGGTAGTTCTCAATTAGCAATGTGGCACTGGAGAAACTCAATAATTGATAATCCATAATTCTTCAGAAGAGAAGGCAGCAGTTTCAATATTCCAAAGATCTAAGTTCTTTATACCTGAATTTATTTATTTATTTATTTTGAGTCAGAGTCTTGCTCTGTCACCCAGGCCAGAGTGCAGTGGCACCATCTCGGCTCACTGCAACCTCCGTCTCCCAGGTTCAAGTGATTCTTGTGCCTCAGCCTCCCAAGTAGCTGGGATTACAGGCACCCACTACCACGCCTAGCTAATTTCTGTATTTTTAGTAGAGACGGGTTTCACCATGTTGGCCGGGCTGGTCTCGAACTCCTGACCACAAGTGATCCGCCCGCCTTGGCCTCCCAAAGTGTCGAGATTACAGGTGTGAGCCACTGTGCCCAGCCTATACCTGAATTTAAATATATTTACTACATTTTGTTTATATTAATACAAAAAAGTTTTAAATCTCTAAATACATGCCAACTACAGGGAGGAACAAATATGTAGATATATGAAAGTGGCAGGAGCTATATTAACACTGCAACTATTCTGATAGGTATATTAACGTTGAAACTATTGTATATTATTATTGTTGTTGTTAAATTTGTTTTTTTTAGAGACAGGGTCTTGCTTGGTCACCCAGGCTGGAGTGCGGGGTGAGATCATAGCTTACTGCAGCCTTGAACTCATGGGCTCAAGCAACCCTCCCACCTCAGCCTCCTTAGTAGCTGGGACTACAGGCACACGACACCGTGCCTGGCTGATTTTTAAATTTTTTGTAGAGATGAAAGGCTCTTGCTTTGTTGCCCAGGCTGGTTTCAAACTCCTGGCTTCAAGTGACCTTCCTGCCTTGGCCTCCCAGTGTTGTATATTATTGAGAGCAGAATATTTTTTCAGTTTCTTTCCTAGAATAATTTCTTACACAATGCAAATATTCACCTAAAATAATTTTTCCTTCTTCAGGTCTTATCCCATTCAAATGGATATATCAACACAGAGAATGAGTAAGAAGACAGGGTGGGAGGGAGGTAATGAAAAAGAGAAAAAAATTACTAAAAGTGGCACAGACAGCATTTCAAGTTCTTAGGAAAAAGAAAATAAGCAAAATTCCCTTATCATCTTAAGAGGGCTTTACTACAGTTCTTTTTTTTTTTTTTTTTTTTTTTTTTTTGAGACAGAGTCTTGCTCTGTCGCCCAGGCTGGAGTGTAGTGGTGCGATCTCAGCTCACTGCAACCTTCCACTTCCCGGGTTCAAGCGATTCTCCTGCCTCAGCCTCCTGAGTAGCTGGGATTACAGGCATGCACCACCACACCTGGCTACTTTTTTGTATTTTTAGTAGAGATGAGGTTTCACCAGGCTGGTCTTGAACTCCTGACCTCGTGATCCACCCGCCTCGGCCTCCCAAAGTGCTGGGATTACAGGCGTGAGCCACAGCACCCGGCCTACAGTTCTTAACAAAGCTTCCAAATACCAAATCTTTCCCTTTGTTTTGCAAACTGTGTGTGCACCTGCCCCCCCCCACAATCAAACTAACTCAGGAAAACAGGGATTTCAAACTCAAGGTATAAATTAAGAGAATGGGAATAGGCCGGACACAGTGGCTTATGCCTGTAATCCCATCACTTTGGGAGGCTGAGGTGGGCGGATTGCTTGAGCCCAGGAGTTCAACACCAGCTTGGGCAACATGGTGAAACCCCCTCTCTACTAAAAACACAAAAATTAGCTGGGTGTGGTGGTGCGCACCTGCAATCCTAGCTACTCAGGAGGCTGAAGCACAAGAATCACTTGAATCTGGGAGGTGGAGGTTGCAGTGAGCCAAGATGGTGCCACTGCACTCCAGCCTGGATAACAGAGCAAGACTCTAAAAAACAAACAAACAAACAAAACAAAAGCAAAACAAAACAAAAAAGAGAGAATGGGAATAACAAGACTAGAAAGAGAACCCAAAAAGCCTTCTGCAATTATGAAACACATTGGCATAAATGATATAATCAAAAGTAGAAAGTGAGGGAGAATTAATGTTTTAGTAGGTATGAAGTTTTAATGTTGCAAGATGGAAAAGTTCTGGAGATCTGTTGCATAGCACTGTGATGCACTTAACTCTACTGAACTGTACACTTTTACATTATTAAGATGGTAAAATTCTATTCTATTCTATTCTATTCTATTTTCTATTCTATTCTATTCTATTCTATTCTATTCTATTCTATTCTATTCTATTCTATTCTATTCTATTCTATTGATGTAGTCTTGCTCTGTCAGCCAGGCTGGAGTGCAGTGGCACGATCTTGGCTCACTGCAAGCTCCACCTCCTGGGTTCACGCCATTTTCCTGCCTCAGCCTCCTGAGTAGCTGGGACTATAGGCGCCTGCCACCAAGCTCGCTAATTTTTTTTTTGTATTTTTAGTAGAGACGGGGTTTCACTGTGTTAGCCAGGATGGTCTCGATCTCCTGACCTTGTGATCCACCTGCCTTGGCCTCCCAAAGTGCTAGGATTACAGGCGTGAGCCACCGCGCCCAGCCAAATTTTATGTGTTTTAACCGCAATTTTAAAAAGAAAAAAATAGTAAAAATGATCACTAGGAGGCATAGGCCAGAAGGATTATAGAGGGTAAAGATCAGGAGGTGGAGGTTGTAGTGAGTCACGATCATGCCACTGCACTCCAGGCTGGGCAACAGAGTGAGACTCCGTCTCAAAAAAAAAAAAAAAAAAAAAAAGGGCCGGGTGCAGTGGCTCACGCCTGTAATCCCAGCACTTTGGGAGGCCAAGGCGGGTGGATCACCTCAGGTCAGGAGTTCGAGACCAGCCTGACCAACATGGAGAAACCCCGTCTCTACTAAAAATACAAAACTAGCCAGGCGTGGTGGCAATTGCCTGTAATCCCAGCTACTCAGGAGGCTGAGGCAGGGGAATCGCTTGAACCCGGAAGGTGGAGGTTGCGGTGAGCTGAGATCGTGCCATCGCACTCCAGCCTAGGCAAGAAGAGTGAAACTCCGTCTCAAAAAAAAAAAAAAAAGGGTAAAGATGAAGAATTGATGGAAGTATAGATACAGGAGTAGCAGCCAGAATGCATGGACACCTATTATTTGATGCTGAGCAAGAACATGAGAATGGGCCGGGCGTGGTGGGTCATGTCTGTAATCCCAGCACTTTGGGAGGCCGAGGCAGGAGGATTGCTTGAGCCCAGGAGTTTGAGAGCAGCTTGGGCAACACAGCAAGACCTTGTCTCTACTAAAAATAAAAAAAAAATTAGCCGGGCATGGTGGCATATGCCTATAGTCCCAGCTACTTGGGAGGCTGTGGCAGGACGATCACTTGAGCCCAGGAGATCAAGGCTGCAGTGAGCCAAGCTTGTGCCACTGCACTCCAAGCCTGGGTGACAGAGTGAGACCTTGTCTCAAAAACAACAACAACAAAAAAAGAAAAAAAAAAAAAAGAAAAGAAAGAACATGAGAATGACCTTGACTTCAAGTACAACCACTTTATTTTTTGCCATATCATCTTCAATCAATAATAAATGTTGGTTGGATGAATGAATGAACCAATGAATGAATGAATGAATGAATGAATGAATGCACAGCATTTATTAGGGGCCTACCATGGGTCCAGCACTGGTACAGACCACCACTTCTGCTCCTGGTTTGGCAGCAGAGAAAAAGGAAAAAGTTGTGCTGAAGAAAAGGAGTTCCCCACTAGCATAAAGTTATGTAGGACGTTATTCCCCTATCCCCCAAGGCAACATATATTAGCTGTGAAGTTAAAAGCAAAAATAAGTTAGGTCTTCATCAGTGTGGCTTCTTTCAAGGTGACTATTGCCATGCCAAACAAATTTCAGTTGTAGAATAAAGACAGGGTTTTGTGGTAGATTAGGAAATTAGATTAAATTTACTCTTCGTTTAGGAACAACTGTTTCACCCACTGTCCCAGAAAGGGCCCTTAACTTTTTATTTTTTTCACTACATCTCTGGGCCACCCTGATCCTTCCCCTTAAAACCTTGGGGTTTTATACCCTCTTTCACACACTTACATCATTTTCTCCTTCCAATCTCTCTTTCTGTCTCTGCAGAGCATTACATATAATTTCGTTCTCACTCAGTCTTTTTGACAGGTCAAAGTTTTCATCCTGTCAACAATAAAAAAAATTAGGATTAGGATCACATATTGCAGTCTGGGTACAAGGTGAGAAATTGTAGAGAATCTGGCATTGCAAAGCGGGGAGACTGAGATGGAGGAGAACGCAACTGGGAGGAAGAAATGGTACTATGGGCAGGGTGCTAAATTAAAGTGACTTAAAAAGACACCTGAAGGCCTGAGCTGGCATCAAGATGCCAATTTTTTTTTTTTTTTTTTTGGTTTAGCTGAGGGTATAAGTGACCAAGGAGGGAAAAAGCAACCTTGGGGAAAATCTCAAGACTGACTTATCAGAATTAGGGATAAATGAAACCTTGTTGAATCCCACCTAACCATGAAAACAATAATCTTTGTTTTGAATAAACGTCTCACTCAGCGAAGCCTGAAGCACTTAGGTTTGGGTTAGTGTGATTCCTTCCTACAGTGTGAGAATAGGCATCTCGGCTCAAGTTACATGAAGGAAGAGGGAACACAGGAAGGCATTTGTCCAAGGATACAAGGAGCTCAGACTGGGGCCATAAGCAACCCAGTGTGATGGGTTGACCTAACTGGTTTCATGCTTCAGAGCTTCCCATCTTCTACCTGCATACATACACATGTGCATACCTCACAAACACACTTAAGCTAAGCCTACTAGTTGTGGTTTTTCATCCAAGATTTTTTATTTGAATGCTGGTGCCCAAACTGCTGTGCATGTCTAGCCGACCCTGAGGTAGTAATGCCAGAGGGGGCTACCCAGTGACAATGCTGACTGCAGGCTCCTTGCTTCCCATCCCCGTTGGCTCCTGATGGCTCTTCTAGTCCTGCTTCACTTCCTCAAAAGGCAGAAATAAGAAAGGGCTCTCTGAGTCTGCACAGAAACCTGCTTGATAGTTACAAAAACCTTCCCTGAGACCTGTGGCTAAGTTGGGGCCAGTATTTCCAGGGACCCCCATGCTAGTTTCTGGCCATACACTACATCCCTCTTTTTAGTGCAAAGATAACTTTCTCACCTTAACAAGGGTGTACCATTTTCTGGACTTGGTCTAAGAACCACTAACCTTTGCACCTCTTGCTTTCCTGGGCCCCCTTATCTCTGTCACCTACCAGTGCAGCCGCCCCGAGTTGGCTGATCTGTTTGTGAAGTCATTGACACTCTTTGTACTTCTCTAAGAAATAGGCTTTCCTGGCCTCTACCTTTGCCTTAAGGCGTTCCACCTCTTGTGCTAACTGCTCCTCCACAGTTAGTGCCGCTTTCTTGTTCCTAGGCTCCTGAAGCATAAGATACACAGTACTCATATTTAGCGGCCTTTTAGGATGTATGAGGAATTAGGATTGCTATCAGCCAGGTGGGGAGCCCCTAGGTCTTGAAAAATATTCCATGAAAACTAAGAAAATTGGCCGGGTGCAGTGGCTCACACCTGTAATCCCAGCACTTTGGGAGGCCGAGGTGGGTGGATCACCAGAGGTCAGGAGTTTGAGACCAGCCTAGCCAACATGGCAAAACCCCGTCTCTACTAAAAATACAAAAATTAGCCGGGCATCGTGGCGGGTGCCTGTAATCCCAGCTACTCAGGAGGCTGAGGCAGGAGAATAGCTTGAGCCCGGGAGGTGGAGGTCGCAGTGAGCTGAGATCAGGTCAGCGCACTCCAACCTGGGTGACAGAGCAAGACTGTCTCAAAAAAAAAAAAAAAAAAAAAAAAAAAAATATATATATATATAAATAAAAGAAAACCAAGGAAATCCATACCTATCACAAAGAGGTTCAAACCTTTTTTTTTTTTTTTTTGAGACGGAGTCTCGCTCTGTCGCCCCAGCTGGAGTGCAATGGCGCGATCTCAGCTCACTGCACCCTCCGCCTCCCAGGTTCAAGCGATTCTCCTGCCTCAGCCTCCTGAGAAGCTGGGATTACAGGCGCCCACCACCATGCCCGGCTAATTTTTGTATTTTTCGTAGAGACGGGGTTTCTCCATTTTGGTCAGGCTGGTCTCGAACTCCTGACCTCAGGTGATCCACCTGCCTCCGCCTCCCAAAGTGCTGGGATTACAGGCGCGAGCCACCGCACCCAGCCGGGACTATAGATCATTTAAAACAGTAATTTATTTGCTACATCAGAGGTCACAAACTGGAATGTGCCTATAGAGAGCAGGCAAGAAATGTAATCAAACGAAGGAACTGAATGCAATAAAACAGTGCAGACTGCAGCTAGATGGAGAATCTATAGGGACAGCAGCTACTCAGCTCTAGCTATTGCTGCTGCACAGGAATGTGGGCTCAATGTTGCTAGGTCCCTTCATTTCCCAAAGGAAGTTGGAAATACAAATTTTTATGGGAAATATTCCTATTTTTAAATGTTGGTAACTACTTTCTAAAACATTTCTGTGGTCTGACCTTGACCTATGATCTGCTGATTTGCAAACTTTGTTCTACTCTTTCCTATATCATGCTAAAGCATACAGTATCTTAGATACAGTAGGTACTCAATGGTTGACTGGATGATGCATATATGATGTGAATTATAATCAGATGACTGGATATCCCTCAGACATCAGGATTACTCATGTCCTTGGATCAACTAAGTAAACGGGGCTTCCAGGCACCTGTCAACGCCCTGGGGACTCTTTTTCAACAATATATTACAGGAAATTATTAGTCAATTAGCCTTTCATTCCTACATAATTGATAATGATGATAATTGCTAATATATTAATTATAACAAGATTTGCTTTGGGTGGTATATTTTCCTGTCGTAGAGCCCTTTATAACCATTCATTTGTCTGCCCCTATTGTAACTCTGTAAGAAGAGGGTAGGGGTTATTCTGTGTGAGCCCTAGTCCAAGGATCTAGTTAACTACATCTTGTCATGAAGTTTAACTTGCAATATTCCTTTATTACTTATCACATATTAGAAATGCCCACTTCTAAACATTTTATAAATGGCAGATTCTCTGTCCTTTTGGCTAGAAAGCAAAACATCTAGAGGTGAACACTCTCTTATTTATCCTGTCCATCAACCGGAAAATAGGCCCATATCCTTTTCTTCTACATCCCTATAGGCTCCCTCCCACATAACCATCCAAAGACAGACATGCCATTAATTCCTGTTGTTTCTTCATTGCAGTAGTTTCATTCTGCTTCATTTGCTCCACTGTCTGCTCGAGCTTCTTCTGGTCCTTCCTCTGCACAAAAAGAGATTTCAGTACCATTGCTGGGAAAACACACACATGCACACACACACCATGGAAGGGCCTGCTAAGCTAATGAGCAAGCAGGATGCATAGGGAGAGGCAAGTCTTCTCTCGTCAGTTTCTGAAGAAAGCCATGAGCTATCTCATTTCAGATAGCTTCCTCTGAGCCCTTTCCTAAAGCCAGTGACATCCAGGTATATTAAAGAACATTAAAATGTTCTTTATACAAAGAACAACGTATATTTTCTTGCAAATGCCTAAAAGTGTTGTTTTCTCTCATGACTCTACCTGTTCAGTTAAACTGAGAAAGAGGTGGTCATTTTCCTTTTTCAGCTGCTCTAACTGCTCTGTCTTATCTTGATCTCCCTGAACAAGCTTCTCCATTTCTTTCTCTTGAGTTGACAGCTGGGCCTAAAACAAAAATAGTGAACATAACCAAGATATAAAAGAAGGAAAACAAAACAGGAACAATGCTTTTTAACGTACAATAACAAAGAGATGTGTTTCCCTAGCAACTCCCAACTGCCAACTGAGTAAAATTAGACAAATCACTCTTTAAAGCACCTCTTTAAGGCATAGCTTCCTAAAAATGAGAGCAGTTCTGCTATCTGCTCTATATTCCAGACTTTTGAGTACGATTTTGCTTGAAAAGATTAAAGTTTGATTATTGATATAGATGATTGTCATCTATATTAAGAGCTCATGGTAAACTACCTTAGTAATACATGAACAAATCACTAAGTTCCTTGTGAATCATGATTTTTTTTTTTTTTTCTCTTGAGACAGAGTCTTGCTCTGTCACCCAGGCTGGAGTGCAGTGGTGCAATCTCTATTCACTGCAACCTTTGCCTCCGGGGCTCAAGTGATTCTTCTGCCTCAGCCTCCCGAGTAGCTGGAATTACACGTGCGCCTGTAAATTAGCACGCCCAGCTAATTTTTGTATTTTTAGTAGAGACGGGGTTTTGCCATATTGGCCAGGCTGATCTCGAACTCCTGACCTCAGGTGATCCACCTGCCTTGGCCTCCCAAAGTGCTGGGATTACAGACATGAGCCACTGCGCCCGGCTGTGAATCATGATTTTTTTTTTTTTAAAAGCAGGGGCATGGGTAGGGTGGAGGCTTACCTGGTCCAAGAATGGAAAATACATAACCTGAAACTTTAGTGTGATACTTTGAAAAGTATGCCATTAGGCACTCACTGCAATGAAATACATCTTTCTAGGCCACCAAATTGGAGCAGTGGTAAGGCTAAGAAAATATCCTTTGACAAACATATGGCATTACCTACCTGAAGCTGATCCACTCTGATTCCCATCTTCTCATTTTCTGAGGACATCTTCTGGTTTTGTTCTTTCAGTCTGTAGAGGTGGAGATAACTATGTGAAAAATTCACTGATTCCAGGTCAGCTACCCCTGGCCTTAAGTGATTTAAGGCTGGCTTGGCCCTAAGCCTGCAGAATTATTTAAAAATCTACTAGTCTCCATTGCAGTCCTGTTTTGGCTTCCTGACTCCAAAAAACTGCAAGTATTCAATCCCTAAAGTTAATATTTGAAATCAGATCATTTTTCCTGACTATTCTGATACCAATTTTCTAATTCATGATTCAAAGGGTGGAGAATCACATCATCAATGTCATAACAGTGTTTTCTCACAAATTCCAGAAATCTAATCTGACTGTACTTAAGGGTACTGATGGTACAGCAGCTCTTCCCCTCCCAGAATTATGGGATGCACTCACTGAAGCAGCTCTGTCTCCCAATAGTCCTTCTGTTCTTTCACTTTCAGTTCCAACTTCTTATTGATGCTCTGTAGGGTTTCTAGCTCCTCCTATAGATTGAAACAACATCAAAGGGACAGACTAGTTCTATGACTTTTGAATGAGTATCTTAGGCAGGCAACAAATATTTATTGAGCACTTACTATATGTCAGGCATAGCATGACACAGCAGTAAATGAAATACTCAAATAAAAGGAAAATGTTCTTTTTTTTTTTTTTTTAAGACAGTGTCTCACTCTATTGCCCAGGCTGGAGTGCAGTGGCGCAGTCTTGGCTCACTGCAACCTCTGTCGCCCGGGTTCACGCAATTGTTGTGCCTCAGCCTCCCAAAGTGCTGGGATTACAGGCATGAGCCACTGCGCCTGGTCACAAAATGCTCTTTTTATATTAAAAATGCATCACCTTAATTTCTCATTCCACTGGAGCTTATAATTTGTTCATTAAACAAATATTTACTGAGAGCCTATTCCACACTAGACACTGTTCTTGCATTGCAGACACAACAGTGGACAAAATAGACAGAACTGCCCTTTTCCTAGAACAGCGCTGTTCAATAAGTGAGAGCTACATATAATTTTAAAATCTTAGGAGGCACATTTTTAAAAAGGTAAAAAGAAACAGACTAATTTTAATAATACTATGTGTATGCATATATATATATTTTTTGTTTTTAATTTTTTTTGAGATAAAGTCTTGCTCTGTTGCTCAGGCTGGAGTGCAGTGGCGTGATCTTGGCTCACTGCAATCTCTGCCTCCCGGGTTCAAGCAATTATCTTGCCTCAGCCTCCTGAGTAGCCGGGATTACAGGCGCATGCCACCATGCCTGGCTAATTTTTTTTTGAGACAGAGTCTTGCTCTGTTGCCCAGGCTAGAGTGCAGGGGTGTGATCTTGGCTCACTGCAACCTCTGCCTCCCAGGTTCAAGCAATTCTCCTGCCTCAGCCTCCTGAGTAGCTTGGATTACAGGTGCCTACCACCATGCTTGGCTAATTTTTGTATTTTTAGTAGAGACGGGGTTTCACCATCTTGGCCAGGCTGGTCTCAAACTCCTGACCTTGTGATCCACCTGCCTCGGCCTCCCAAAGTGCTGAGATTACAGGCATGAGCCACCACGCCCGGTCTCCTGGCTAATTTTTGTATTTTTAGTAGAGACGGGGTTTTGTCATATTGGCCAGGCTGGTCTCGAACTCCTGACCTCAAGTGATCCACCCATCTTGGCCTCCCAAAGTGCTGGTATTACAGGTGTGAGCCACTGCACCTGGCCAAATGATAGTATATTTAACCGAATGTACCTAAAATATCATTTCAACATATGAACAATTAAAAGGAGATATTCAGACAGGGACGGTGGCTCATGCCTATAATCCCAGCACTTTGGGAAGCTCAGGCGAGTGGATCACCTGAGGCCAGGAGTGCGAGACCAGCCTGGCCAACATGGTAAAACCCTGTCTCTAAAAAATATAAAAATTGGCTGGGTGTGGTGGTGATCACCTGTAATCCCAGCTACTCGGGAGGCTGAGGCAGGAGAATCGCTTGAACCTGGGAGATGGGGGTTGCAGTGAGCCAGGATCGCACCCTTGCACTCCAGCCTGGGTGACACAGTGAGACTCCATTTCAAACAAACAAACAAAACTAATGCCTGTTCAAAGATACTGGTATAAGAAGGTGAGATCACAGGCAAAACAGAATATGGTGCTGGATAAGAGGCACCATCCAATTCTGATCTCCATGCTCCAAGGTCACCTATAACCAGCAGCCATACCTGCTTCTTTTGGAGCTCAGCCTGCATGTCTGAGTTCTGCTTCTGGAGGCTGATACAGCTGTCCTTCAGCTCCTGGTTTTCTTTGCAAAGCTCCTTGTTGTGCTGCTCAATCTCTTCCACCTCTCCCTACAAAAGAACATTCCATAAACTATATTCCAAGTCCCTCTAGCAGAAAATTCCCATAGGTTAGGATGGTGAGGGACTGGCTGATTCCCATTCACTGCAGTGACACCTATGTATCCCAGATGGGGGCTGCTCCTTAATACCTAGGTAAGGGTATAACAGAGGTATGTCTTTATAATTGCAGCAATACCAAGAAAGGCAAGCAAAAATTATATCCATTAAAATTAAAAGGAACAATGATATAAGAATGTAGCTTCTTCTTGCAGACGCTTAGTATTGTTTGTCTCTCCCAATGGACTTAGCTCCTTGAGGCCAAGGACAGTGTTTTAACTGATTCTTCATTGTGTTCCCAGTGCCTACCATAGTGCTGGATGAAAAGTAGGTGTCCTGTTAAATGATGAAGTAAGAAAATGAATCTAATACTCACGTATGACAGACAGGCTGTAGGCCAGAACTGAAAGAGATAAGAATATTTGGTGCTTCTCTCCTCAAAGGAGCTTTTACATTTACCATTGTGATAAGATGTGTAGATGACAAAAATTAAGCAATTGGAAAGTTAAAAGAATAACTGAATGCCAGCTGAGTTAAAGAAGTTTTAGAAAAGAAGAAACCACTTATTGTTATGAGTCTTGTTAACATTCCGAAGTCATTCCTGAGTGAGTCTGTGTGAGTACTACATACATTTTTTCCAATGATACCCGTTAGATATTCAATAAAGCCTTATTAACTCAAATTCCATCCTATCCTATATTGCTACCCGTAATGGCAGTAAGGGATTGAGGTGAGAAGTTTTACAAACCTGAGTGGTAACAACCAGGATGTCTTCCTCATTTTCTGGACGGAATTGGAAAGGAATACTTGCTCCCCGGACCACACCATCCTCATCCACATAGCAGAACTGGTAATACTCATCATCCTTGGGCAGGTAGTAAGCTGAAAACACAACATAATTTTTCATCCAAAATAAGATCTATTCAGAAAAGTAAAATTCTGGAAATCTTTTTATCTGCCCCAGAAAGCTCAAGCTGAAGGGAATTAATTAGTCTTGGCTACTGTCTTCAACACCTTTGATCCAGTATTTTTCTCACCTTTGAATTGGACTTCCTGCTGTTTAGCTGATTTGTTGTTTAGGTCAATGGGCAAAGTAACCCACATGAAGGTGTAATACTCACGGGTTGTCTTCCACCCCACCTGCAATGACAAGAAGTTCTTATTTAGTACCTGAAAGGGGACTGGGGAAAATCCTAATTGGGCTACATCTTCTTAAAATCACTTTTTATTTGTATATATTGAAAATATAGGCCGGGTGCAGTGGCTCATGCCTGTAATCCTAGCACTTTGGGAGGCCAAGGTGGGTGGATTGCCTGAGCTCAGTAGTTTGAGACCAGCCTGGGCAACATGGTGAAAACCCGTCTCCATTAAAATACAAAAAATAAGTTGGCACGGTGGTGTGCGCCTGTAATCCCAGCTACTCAGGAGGTTGAGGCAGGAGAATTGCTTGAACCCAGGAGGCGGAGGTTGCAGTGAGCCGAGATTGCACCACTGCACTCCAGCCTGGGTGACAGAGTGAGACTCCGTCTCCAAAAAAAGAAAAAAGAAAATATAATAGAATGAGTTCATTATGACAAGATTCTCACGCCAGGGCTCAAACCTTTTTTAATTTTTTATTTTATTTTTCACTTATGACAAATACATATGGGAAAATGTCTGATACAACCAAAAATTGGGGTGCACATACACAGCTCAAAATACAAGTCTTAGAAGGATTTGAAAACTAGCTCCTCACCACCCAGGAAAAAAGCTCCAAAAATTCTATCTACAAGTCAGAGATAGAGCTGAGACTGATTTAAGGGGAAAGTTGCGGGAATATGAACCCTGATCCTCTTACAATGGCATTCTTTGGACTTCTAAATCAGAAATCACTTCTGACCTGCCCTCTCTATTGGTGTGTCCTCTATTGTGTCCAATTAAGCCTTGTCATATACCAACCTGGATATACTACTGCATTAAAAAAAAACCCATTATTTTTCATAATGTCTGTGTTGGGGGCAGAGGGAGAACAGGGTTCTTAGATTATGAGGCACCAGATAAGAGATTCCAGGTCTATATAATTTTTTTTCTTCATGCATGCTTAATGATGGCTTTTTGGTAATAAAGATATTAACAACAATCTGGTAGTCGTAAAGGCCTCTTCTAGGTATTGAATACAATAAATCATAAGACATAAGGATGCAGCAAAACACGCCTCAGAGCAGAAAGCTGGCTAAGTGGAAAATATTCTCACAAATGTGAAGGGGGTAAAAGATTGCTCAAATCTTATCTAGAAAATAAAAGCACACCAGAGAATAGAAAGGAAGCTATTGTGTCTTCAAGGGGACAACACTCAGCAAATGAGAAGCAAAATTACATTTATTGCCATATTTTGACCCTGTCTGAGCTCAGTAAGAAGAGAACTAAAAATAAATTCCATTTTTATATATTAAGGAATCAAAGCAGGGTTGAAAAGTCTATACCAAAAACTCATCAGAACATCCTAGGGCATGTTTTAGAGTCTCATTAATACACACCCCATTGCTGTAAGCATCTCAGAGCCACTGCAGCCTGCGGTGGTACAGGAAGCAGGAATTTTATGGAGTCCTCATTCACATCCTGGAGTTTCTTAATGCACTGTGACCAAAATATCATTGGGAAGGCCTAAGAATTATTGCTGCCTTGGAACAGGGAAACAACTTCTAGCCACCTGCAATTTCTGTCCTTGGCTCCTCCATTTGAGTAGTTCTTGTTCCAATTTGTCTTGGAAACATTTAAATGCCTAAGTCAAGGAGAGTATGAAGCATAGGATTATACACTGAGGGAAGGAAAGCAGACTGCTTCCTGCTTTAGGCTCCATCATTGGTGGTGGCTTTCACTATAGAGAAGATGTAACATATTTGTATGTATTAAAAATATTTACTGACTGGGCACAGTGGTGCATGCCTATAATCCCAGTTACTCAGTGGCTGAGACACGAGAATCACTGGAACCCAGGAGGCAGAGGTTGCAGTGAGCCCAGATTGCACCTCTGCACTCCAGCCTGGGTGACAGAGCAAGACTCTGTCTCAAAATAAAATAAATTTTAAAAAATAAATAAAAAATAAAAAGAGTTACTGAGTACCTACCTGGTGCCAGATACTACCAGTGTCTGGGGTGATGAGGAGTTGAATAGTCTGATTAAGACTACACTGAAAGAACACTGGGGAGAGCATTTGAGGTGAGCTGCAAAGGACGAAACTTTACAGCCAACTCTTCATTCTCTAATTTACTATCTGTTGCTCAAAGGAATTCAGCAGAGTAGAGGAGGAAAAACCAGAGGTTTGGGAGCCAAACCTGCTTCACGGCTTATTCACTGTGAGGCCTTGGGAAAGTCACCATCTCTCAGGGATATTCATGTTACTTACTTATGCCCAAGAGATACTACTACCCACCTCAGGGGGCTACTGCACTGTGAGAATTTTTCTTTCTTTTCTTTTCTTTTTTTTTTTTTTTTGAGATGGAGTCTCGCTCTGTTGCCCAGGCTGGAGTGCAATGGCATGATCTTGGCTCACTGCAACCTCCGCCTCCTGGGTTCAAGGGATTCTCTTGCCTCAGCCTCCCAAGTAGCTGGGATTACAGGCATGTGCCACCACGCCTGGCTAATTTTGTATTTTTAGTAGAGACAGGGTTTCTCCATGTTGGTCCGGCTGGTCTTGAACTCCCTAGCTCAGGTGATCCACCTGCCTCGGCCTCTTAAAGTGCTGGGATTACAGGCATGAGCCACAGCACCTGGCCCACTGTGAGGATTTAATTAGGCAATACACACACACACACACACACACACACACACACACACACACACACACACACAGTGAGGATTTAATTAGGCAATACACACACACACACACACACACACACACACCCTCAACATAGGCCTAGCATAGTGTGTCCTCAGGGTAGGTATTCAAGTCAATAGCTTTATGGACAAGGGACATTAGAAGCCCTTCTTCAGATTAACGATTATTTCTTTATTGGGGTATGGTAATACCTCTGAAATGTATGAAGCATTCCAAATATAGATACATCTTTAAAAAAAATTTTTTTTTTGAGATGGAGTCTTGCTCTGTTGCCCAGGCTGGAGTGCAGTGGCATAATCTTGGCTCACTGCAACCTCTGCCTCTTGGGTTCAAGCAATTCTCCTGCCTCAGCCTCCTGAGTAGCTGGGACTACAGGTGGGTGCCACCACGCCTGGCTAATTTTTGTATTTTTAGTAGAGATGGGGTTTCACCATGTTCGCCAGGCTGGTCTTGAACTCCTGACCTTAAGTGATCCATCTGCCTTGGCCTCCCTCCTGGGATTACAGGCGTGAGCCACCGCACCTGGACAAAATATTTTTAAACACTTGTTTTTAAAAGGCCCCAGATTGGCCGGGCGCGGTAGCTCACGCCTGTAATCCCAGCACTTTGGGAGGCTGAGGTGGGTGCATCATCTGAGGTCAGAAGTTCCAGACCAGCCTGGCCAACGTGATGAAACCCTGTCTCTACTAAAAATACAAAAATTAGCTGCGCATGGTGGTGGGTCCCTGTCATCCCAGCTACTCGGGAGGCTGAGACAGGAAATCGCTTGAACTGGGGAGGCGGGGTGCCTGTAATCTCAGCTACCTGGGAGGCTGAGGCAGGAGAATCGCTTGAACCAGGGAGGCAGAGGTTGCAGTGAGCCAAGATCGCGCCATTGCACTCCAGCCTGGGTGACAAGAGCAAAACTCCATCTTAAAAAAAGAAAAACGCCCAAGATTTTCATATGATATATGGTGAAGTCTTTACTGGTGGTTGCTAAGCGCTTGGGGGAATACAACCAGTCTAAGCAAAATAGAAATATAACGATGTTCCAAAAAGAAAAAAAAAAGACGTTATAAACTACGTTTTAAAGTCTGGTAAGTAATTTTTGAATCATTCTCTTTTTCATGATCTGTACCTGCATTAACCAATGATAGCCACTAGCCACATGAAGCTATTTAAACTTTAATTAACATTAAGTAAAATTTAAAATCCAGTTACTCAGGCCGGGTGCGGTGGCTCACACCTGTAATCCCAGCACTTTGGGAGGCCGAGGCAGGCGGATTACCTGAGGTGGGGAGTTCGAGACCAGCCTGACCAGCATGGAGAAACCCTATCTCTACTAAAAATACAAAATTAGCCAGGCGTGGTGGCACATGCCTGTAATCCCAGCTACTCGGGAGGCTGAGGCAGGAGAATCGCTTGAACCTGGGAGGCGGAGGTTGCGGTGAGCCGAGATTGCGCCATTGCACTCCAGCCTGGGCAACAGAACGAAACTCTGTCTCTAAATAAATAAATTAAATTAAATTAAATCCAGTTACTTAGTCACACTAACCACATTTCAAGTGCTTAACAGCCACATGTGGCTAGTAGCAGCTGTACTAGACAGTGAAGCTACAGCTCCATTGCAGAAAACTCTTACCAGGCAATGTGACCTATACGCTTTGCTACATATGAGGAAGAAAAACAACTACCATCTTCTTTCTAAGACAGAAAACACTCTGGTGGGTTGGCACGCCTTTTAGTCTGATGATTCAACACCTTGCAGTCTCAACAGCTGTCATGATACTTGCCAGTGTCCTGCTGGTTGGCCACAATCCCTATCTCCAAACACCAGTCTTGTTACCTCCAGCTTCCGTTGCTCATCAATAAGCTTGATGTTCCAAACAATTATGGAAAAGGAATTCAATGAAGGATATAAATAAGCAACAGCTCCTTCACAGTGCAGTTGAGAATGGTGTCTGATTTCAGGATGAATAGCACTGGCAAATAGGCACATGACATACTGAGGTGTCAAACCAAAGGTCACTGACGTTGGGAGTTGGCAGTGTAAATTAATTAAATTTGACCTTTATTTCTTGTCTCTGGAAATAAGAAGATTTGTCATTATGGTGTATGTGAGATGTATAAGAGGGAAAGACACGGATGGGAGGGCAAAGGGGACATAGAGAGTAAGCTAATTAAAATTTAAAAATACCATTCTGTACTTGAACTGACGGGGTGATCAGACACTGGAAGAGGTCACTAAGAGAGCTCATAAACTTTCAGTCCTTGGAAATCATTATAAAGTAGTCAGACGCACTTATTCAGGAATAAACTTTTTGGATACAGGATGTCAATATCCTCAATATCCTTTCCAGATTTGAGGTATTTGTATCAAAACAAACTAAACATCATACCAAGTAAGGAAGTAATGTTTAGTCTCAGAAATGACATATGAGGTCAGCCATCTCAGTCAAGTCATACATAAATATTTCAAAATAGGATCATGTAAAAAGCATTTAATTTGGGAGGCTGAGGCGGGCAGATCACAAGGTCAGGAATTCAAGACCAGCCTGACCAACATGGTGAAACCTGGTTTCTTCTAAAAATACAAAAATTAGCAGGGTGTGGTGGCATTCGCCTATAATCCCAGCTACTCTGGAGGCTGAGGCAGGAGAATCGCTTGAACCTGGGAGGTGGGGGTTGCAGTGAGCCGAGATTGCACCACTGTACTTCAGCCTGGGCAATGAGACTCCGTCTCAAAGAAAAAAAAAAAAAGAAAGAAATCAGTTAGGCATTGTTCTGCATACCTGTAGTCCCAGCTACTGAAAAGGCTGAGGTGGGAGGATCACTGAGCCTGGGAGGAGGTTGAGGCTGCAGTGAACTACACTCCACTCTGAGAGACAGAGCAAGACTCTATCTCAACAACAAGAAGCAAGTATTTATATTTGGTTTTTGACAGCATAATAAGGACAGGCGTGGTGGGTCACGCCTGTAATTCCAGCACTTTGGGAGGCTGAGGCAGGCAGATCACCTGAGATCAGGAGTTTGAGACCAGCCTGGCCAACATGGTGAAACCTCGTCTTTACTAAAAATACAAAAATTAGCCAGATGTGGTGGCAGCTACCTGTAATCTCAGCTACTCGGGATGCTGAGGCAGGAGAACTGCTTGAACCCGGGAGGTGGAGGTAGCAGTGAGACAAATCGTGCCATTGCACTCCAGCCTAGGTGACAGAGCAAGACTCTATTTCAAAAAAAAAAAAAAAAAAAGAAAAGAAAAAAGCAAAAAAAAAAGCATAACAAAATTTGAGGATTATATGATTTGCCATCTTATTTTAGCTTGACACTGAAATGAAAATTTGAGTCCCACAGCACACATTAATGTGTGAAGAGAGAAGTGCTGTGGAGCTTGGCTAGAATTTAAAAACTGCCAACACATATTATACAAAATGCTTATAATACACAGAGAGTCACACAGTTAGGTAACTAAGAATCACCTCTAGTTCCTGATCACTTGGTACTGAATTAACCACTTACTCTAAAGATGCCAATCCAATCCTTTCGACGAGGGATGAAATGCTGGGTGAAGGTATAATGACATGTGACGTCCCCTCCAGGGATGTAGAACTTCTCCACACTGTTAAAGATGACCTGAGAGAAATGACAGTGATCCAGCAAGACAGCTGATGTGGGGGGATCTTTGATGGTCTCCTCCATGGTAGGGGTCCTGTTATGAAATGTGGAACAGAGTAAGGCTCAGAAAGCATTGTCTGAAATGTTGGTGATTTCTGGGCTTTCATCCAGGGAACATTCTGTGCAAAGCAAGTCAGGAAAAGCAAAATCCTGACAAATACTGAGATTACACAACTTGCTTTCTGTTTCACTTCGAGCCATCTCAGTCACAACTTCCTATGCTACGAGAATTTTCTGACAATATCTTTAACTTCTTCACCACAGGCACCACAACCCTCACATGAACAGAGGCTTATAGCTACTTTAGTTCCCCTTTCTCTAAATGACTTAAATAAGCAAGGCAGCCTAGATAAAATAGCCTGAGCTGGGAACTGTTAAATTCTAGATTTTTCATCCCAACAAGCCCTATGACTTTAGGAAAGTCCATCTCTCTGGATTTCATCTTCTATATTCAATCCCATTTATCCTATAATTATCAGGACCTTCCATACATAAGATACTCTGCTAGGACCTGGGGATGGGAATGAGAGAAAATTATTTGACATGCAGTAGTGACAAGCATGGGTTCTAAATTAGAATGGTGGCGTTCAAATTCCAGCTTCACCACCTATTAAATTTGTGGCATTGGGCAATTTATATAATCTGCTGGCTCTGTGCCTGTTTCCTTATCTGTAAATTGGGGCTAAAAATAACATCTACCCCATTTAGTTTTTTGTGAGGCATAAGTGAAATAATGTAAGATGTCCAGCCCTTAAATCAGTGTCTGCCATTGTAGGCACTTCACACAAAGTTGATGCATGTTGAATGACAAAGTACTTAGCACAGAGTCTGCATAAAGGGTTTAAGAGACGTTAGTTATAGTTAGTTATATAGTTATTACTGTTGTAGTTGTGGGTTTTTTTTTCCTGGTACAACCTTAAAAAGGGTCCCAATCCAATAGAGAGGATAGAGGAGTATACAAATGACTGCCAAATGAATCGAATAAGAAGTGCAAAATGCTCTCGGGTTCAAAACAGGGAGAGATGCAACTGGTTAGGAAAATAAAGAAAACTTCAAGGAATGAGAAGAATCTTAGATTAGCCCTCAAAGAGGATTAGGATTTCGACAAGTGAGTTTTTGAGTGAGGGCATTCTAGGTGAAGGAAACAGCATGAGTAACAACAAAGAAACAGAAAAATGCAACCCACATTTGGAAGACAGCAAACAAGTTTGGATCCCTAGCTATAAATGGGGATAATACACTGTGTTTCACCTTTCTAGGTTATAGTACAGATAAAATGTGATCAAGAATAGGAAAGTTGTGGCTGGGCACAGTGGCTCACACCTGTAATCCCAGCACTTTGGAAGGCAGAGGCGGGTGGATCTTTTGAGTCCAGGAGTTCATGACCAACCTGGGCAACATGGCAAAACCCCATCTCTACAGAAAACTACAAAAATTAGCTGGGCGTGGTGGTGCTCACCTGCAGTCCCAGCTACTCGGGAAGCTGAGATGGGAAGATGGCTTGAGCCTGGGAGGTCTAGGCTGCAGCGAGCCAAGATTGTGCCACTGCACCCCAGCCTGGGCAACAGAGCAAGCCCCTGCCTCAAAACAATAACAATGACAACAACAACAACAACGAAATAGGAAACTAGGGTAGTGCATGCCTGTAGTCCTAGCTGTTCAGGAGGCTGAGGTGAGAGGATTGCTTGAGCCAGGAGTTCAAGTCCAGCCTGGGCAATATAGTGAGACTGTCTCTATTAAAACAAACAAGCAAAAAAAGCCAGGCATGGTGGCTCACACCTGTAATCCCAGCACTTTGGGAAGCTGAGGCAGGTGGATCACCTGAGGTTAGGAATTCGAGACCAGCTTGACCAAGATGGAGAAACCCCATCTTTACTAAAAATACAAAATTAGCTGGGCGTGGTGGCACATGCCTGCAATCCCAGCTACTTGGGAGGCTGAGGCAGGAAAATTGCTTGAACCTGGGAGCGGAGGTCTCAGTGAGCCAAGATCATGCCACTGCACTCTAGCCTGGGCAAGAAGAGTGAAACTCCGTTTAAAAAAAAAAAAAAAAAAAAAAAAGCAAAGCAAAGCAAAGAAAAAAGGCCGGGCACTGTGGCTTACACCTGTAATCTCAACACTTTGGGAGGCTGAGGCAGGTGGATCACCTGAGGTCAGGAGTTCGAGACCAATCTGGCCAACATTGTGAAACCCTGTCTCTACTAAAAATACGAAAATTACCCGGGCACGATGGCAGGCACCTGTAATCCCAGCTACTCAGGAGGCTGAGGCAGGAGAACCGCTTGAACCCAGGAGGCAGAGGTTGCAGTGAGCCAAGATCATGCCACTGCACTCCAGCCTGGGGGACAGAGTGAGACTGTCAAAAAAAAAAAAAAAAAGAGAAACCATTTTGGAGTCAAAAACAGTACATAAAGGAAACAAAGTGGGCCGGGCACAGTGGCTCATGCCTGTAATCCCAGCACTTTGGGAGGCAGAGGTGGGTGGATCATGATGTCAGGAGATTGAGACCATCCTGGCTAACATGGTGAAACCCCGTCTCTACTAAAAACACAAAAAATTAGCCGGGCGTGGTGGCGGGTGCCTGTAGTCCCAGCTACTCAGGAGGCTGAGGCAGGAGAATGGCAGGAACCCGGGAGGCCGAGTTTGCAGTGAGCCAAGATTGCCAGATTGCGCCACTGCACTCCAGCCTGGGACACAGAGTGAGACTCCGTCTCAAAAAAAAAAAAGAAACAAAGTGATTTTAATTGTTGACACCTAATACTTCCTGCCCCTTAAACAAATCACATGCACTGTTTTCTAAATGACTAGCTGGTCTAACATTTAGTGAGTCCGTAATTCTCAATTTAGGGTTTTACTAGGACATGAAAAAAATATTTCAGTTGTACACAGAAGATGAAGAAAGAGCTATACACATGCAAATACTATATAATATCTTACAAATTCAGCTATTGGTATATGCTGGAAGATTGTGTACACATACAGGCACACATGTAATTGTTATATATATATATATTTTTTAAGACAGAGTCTCGCTTTGTCCCCCAGGCTGGAGTGCAGTGGCGCGATCTCGGCTCACTGCAACCTCTGCCTCCCAGGTTCATGCCATTCTCCTGCCTCGGCCTCCCGAGTAGCTGGCACTACAGACGCCTGCCACCATGCCCGGCCAGTTTTTTGAATTTTTAGTAGACACAGGGTTTCACCGTGTTAGAAAGGATGGTCTCGATCTCCTAACCTCGTGATGAGCCCACCTCGGCCTCCCAAAGTGCTAGGATTACAGACATTAAGGGAGGAGACCACCCCTCATGTTGTCTTATGCCCAATTTCTGTCTCCAAAGAAAAAAAAAGTAAAAACTAAAAGGCAGAAATGAAATCCACAAGCAGACAGCCCGGCGCCACACCCTGGGCCTGGTAGTTAAAGATCGACCCCTGACCTAATTGGTTATGTTATCTATAGATTACAGACATTGTATAGAAAAGCACTGTGAAAATCCCTATCCTGTTTTGTGACGATCTAATTACCGACACATGCAGCCCCCAGTCATGTACCCCCTGCTTGCTCAATTGATCACGACCCTCTCACGCATACCCCCTTAGAGTTGTTAGCCCTTAAAAGGGACAGGAATTGCTCACTCGGGGAGCTCAGCTCTTGAGACAGGAGTCTTGCTGATGCCCCCGGCCTAATAAACCCCATCCTTCGTTAACTCGGTGTCTGAGGAGTTTTGTCTGTGGCTCTTCCTGCTTCAATGTAAGCCACCGCGCCCGGCTGGCACACATATAATTTTTAAAAATAAATAAGTACAATAACCAAAAAAACAAGACCTCCCAAACAACCATAATACTTATTCTAGCCCCATCCTATCTATTTACTGGTTTTACTTTGAAGTCTAAGCAACCAGGCCTGCTCTTCCAACTCCCCAGAAGTCAGTTTTTTCATAAAGAAGGCAACAGGACTTTGGAGCACTAAACTGTCTATTCTTGAAATTGAGTTAAGGAACTAAAAAATGCATTGACTTTCTGGTTTGTGACACAGTTTAGCCACATCCTCAACCTCAAACCTCAAAAGTTTTTCTTTCCATTTTTTTTTTTTAGACAGAGTTTCGCTCTGTTCCCCAGGCTGGAGTGCAGTGGCGGTATCTCAGCTCACTGCAACCTCCGCCTCTGGGGTTCAAGCAATTCTCCTGCTTCAGCCTCCTGAGTAACTGGGACTACAGGTGCACGCCACCATGCCCAGCTAATTTTTTGTATTTTTAGTACAGAGGGGGTTTCACCATGTTGGCCAGGCTGGTCTTGAACTCCTGACCTCAGGTGATCCACCCACCTCAGCCTCCCAAAGTGCTGGGATTACAGGCATGAGCCACCATGCCCGGCTCAAAAGAGTTTTTCAACGGTGGGGGAATGTTCACATTCCAGTCTAGGTCAAGATTTTTCCCTATAATAAACTGTTACCTGTGTACAATGAGGGTTTCTCTTGGATGCTATGAGAGAGTGGGCAGGGAGGTTTCTCAGCTTGCAGACCCTTTATTTCCAAGTGGTCTACCGTCATATGGAGGCCAGCATATCCCTCTGTCCTAAGCCTGGAGCACCAATTTATCTGTGCGTGTAAAATTACTTAACTTGTCCTTTGCGGATCATGAAGAACACTCAGATAAGAGTGTTCTGAGTGTTCTTCTGAGTGCTGCGTGTGGTAGCTCATGCCTGTAATCCCAGCACTGGGAGGCCAAGGCAGGCAGATCACCTGAGGTCAGGAGTTCAAGAGCAGGCTGGCTAACATGGTGAAACCCCATTTCTACTAAAAATACAAAAAATTAGCTGGGTGTGGTGGCATGCATCTGTAATTCCAGCTACTCAGAAGGCTGAGGCAGAATAGCTTGAACCTGGGAGGCGGAGGTTGCAGTGAGCTGAGATCGCACCACTGCACTCCAGCTTGGGCAATAAGAGCAAAACTCTATCTCCAAAAAAAAAAAAAAAAAAAAGAGTGACTTCCGGGACTGCCCCTCATACGCTGGCCTCCATATGTCAGTAGACCACTTGGAAATAAAGGGTCTGCAAGCTGAGAAACCTCCCTGCCCATTCTCCCATAGCATCCAAGAGAAACCCTCATTGTACACAGGTACCAAGTACCTTATCCCCATTTCTTTTCCTTCACAACACTATCACCATTGTATACATAACACAATGCCTAAGGTGTAGTAATCACTGATTAAGTATTTGTTGGATAAATGAACTAACAAGATATGCACATCATTCATCAAAAAGTAAAAAAGGAAGGGGCTTTGTAGGTAAACAATGGTAAGGGTGACTCTGGGGCTAAGAGTGTGTATGTTTTATTTTTTTAAGCCCTCTTAATTTGTTGTTGACCCTTGGAGAAACTGCTGTTTCTCAGCTTTCTCTTTTCTAAAATAGGGTGAGGAGATGATAATCTCCAAGTGCTAAGTCACTTCTTGGTATGGCTGGTTCAGCTGGCATGGCTGGTTCAAGTGGCATGGTGCCAAAAAACCAAAAGGAACAGATTTGATTTCCTTAAGAACCCATCAAATTCACACTCCATTACCTACCTTACACACACTCAAACTCTGGCAAGCTGTTGTGAAAATGGATGCTACTCTGAAAGGCAAGACCAGCTAAGGGCATGGGGTAGCTTGGTATAGTTTCTCTTTCATTACCAGAAAAACAACCAATCTGGCCGTGTGCCGTGGCTCACACCTGTAATCCCAGAACTTTGGGAGGCTGAGGTGGGTGGATCACTTGAGGTAAGGAGTTCGAGGCCAGCCTAGCCAACATGGTGAAACCCTGTCTCTACTAAAAATACAAAAAATTAGCCGGGCGTGGTGGTAGGCGCCTGTAATCCAAGCTACTCAGGAGGCTGAGGCAAGAGAATCGCTTGAACCCAGGAGGCGGAGGTTGCAGTGAGCCGAGATTATGCCATTGCACTCCAGCCTGGGCAACAAGAGCAAAAAACTCTGTCTCAAAAAAAAAGAAAAGAAAAGAAAAGAAAAGAAAAGAAAAGAAAAACAACCAATCTAAGTTAGCTCATAAGCAGAACGCTTAAGAAAGGACAGCACATATATAGACAACACGAAAGAGCTCATGTTCTGAGGCTTGAGTGTATAGTCAAAGGAAATTCTAGCTATTTTCATTCACCTGAAAACCTAATAATCTGTCTGGAAAAGTGAACAGCTTTGGTTCCTTGCTTATCAAAAATGCAAAAGACCCCATGGAGTTTCCCATTTCAGAAATCTCATCACCTTCCCAGAAGGGACTCAGAGGGCATCCAATGGCATGTGAGGTATTGAGAACTCAATCATTCTTGAAATAAGGTTAAAATTCTCCTCTGCCAAGGCTGGGGAAGGGTTTGAGGAGGCAAGTAGATGAGAACAGCAGTGGCTTCTCTTCTCTCCTTTTTACCAAGCTGTGGACACAAAGGGCCATGAGTAAACTAGAACATAACCATGCCAACCCGAACTTGGTCAGTGAGGAAGTATTCCAGCTTTTCCTGGAGGGAGGGCATCTACTGAGTTTTCAGGTCAGTAATCTTTAGTCTTCCCTTCCTCCCAGTGATAAAATTCCTGGGAGAAATGGGCTCCAACAATGGCTTGGGAAATTACCTTTCTGACAAAGTAGTCTAGAAATGAGTATTTGTGGACAGGGGAGGGAAGATATGTAAAGAGAATTATTTTTTTTGCGGGGGGGCAGGGTCTCACTCTGTCACCCAGGCTGGAGTACAGTGGCACAGCCATGGCTCACTGCAGCCTCAACCTCCCAGGCTCAAGTGACCCTCCACCTCAACCTCCCAAGTAGCTGGAACTATAGGTATGCGCCACCATGCCCACCTAATGTTTGTATTTTTGTAGGGATAGGGTCTCCCTATGTTGCCCAGGCTGGTCTTGAATTCCTGGACTCAAGCAATCCTCCCGCATTGGCCTCCCAAAGTGCTGGGATTACAGGCGTGAGTCACTACACCTGGCCCATGAAAATTAAAATGACTTAAGCATCAACTTCCCCTCCTTTAACCACCTTTCCCACTATAGAACCTGTCTACCATCCATTTCTAACTTGGCAGCAATTCATAGAGGTAAAGAAAAGAGAAGAAATATAAGAGCAAAAGTTAAATTTAGAAGCCCAGAGAACTGCTGAGTTATGAAAAATTAGTGGGACGAGCTAGGTCCCCTAGAAATTATAAAGTGGTATTTTACCTAATTCCTTATTCCAACCCTCAAATCAAAGATTGGCCACATAAGGAATGAACAGAGAAAACAAATAGGGATTTTCAAAAACAAAACTATCAAGCATGGGTAAAATAATGCACAAATTCCACAAACTGTCAGAGGCAACTTTATTTGGCCTCTGACATAGTCATTACCTTTTTTCAGCTCAGTTTCCAAAAGGATTAGGGCCCTCAGAGGAGCAGGCAATAATGGGAAAGTATTTTTAAATGAGTCCCCTGAACTGTCTCCTAGCTTCCAAGAAAACCTGACACATCTTCATCTAATGAGCTTTTCAAGCCTAATATACTACTCCCAGGGCTGTTCCATGAGGACATAGATCCTCTTATGTCTTCCTGAAGAAAAGGAACAGCAGCCTGTTCTACTTCTGCTCTTGCTTTTTTTTTTTTTTTTTTTTTTTTTGACATAGGGTCTTGCAGGCTGGAGTGCAATGGCATGAATGTGGCTCACTGCAGCCTTGACATCCCTGGCTCAAGCAATCCTCTCACCTCAGTTGGAGTAGCTGGGACCCTAGGCATGTGCCTGGCTAATTTTTGTATTTTTGTAGAGACAGGGTTTCACCATGTTGCCCAGGCTGGTCTTGAACTCCTGGACTCAGGCGATCCATCTGCCTCGGCCTCCCAAAGTGCTGGGATTACATGCATGAGCTACCGTGCCCAGCCTACTTCTGCTCTTTCTAACTGCATCTGCAAACTACACTGATAGGTTTTTTAGCAGAAAATTTTTTAAATGGCCAACATGTTTACATTAGCCTTTTTTATACCAGTGGGCATATATTTCAAGAGAAATGAAGACTACAGATTAGTTCACAGAAGGAAATCAAATGCTTCTACAGGCAAGAAAGACATGCAAATCAATTCTTCATTTGAGAACAGTAAAAACAAAGATAAAAGTCAAACCCAATTTAATTGGATTCCTTTATCTTTCTGCTTACTTTTTTTCTTTCTTTTTTTTTTTTTTTTGAGACAGAGTCTCTCTCTGTTGCCCAGGGTGGAGTGCAGTGGTGTGATCTCAGCTCACCACAACCTCTGTCTCCTGGGTTCAAGTGATTCTCCTGCCTCAGCCTCCCAAGACTACATGCATGTGCCACCATGTCCGGTTAATTTTTGTATTTTTAGTAGAGACGGGGTTTCACTATGTTGGCCAAGTTGGTCTCTAACTCCTGACCTCGTGATCCACCCACCTTGGCCTCCCAAAGTGCTGGGATTACAGGCGTGAGCCACTGTGCCCGGCCTTCTGCTTACTTTTCTTTCTAAACGATTAGCAATTAGCAAAAATGGATGAATTGATTTGAATCCCGTTTCTCCCTGGCTATGGCAGAAATGCTTACACATAACCAGCCTTAAAGAATACCAGCAGTGGATACTATGGGTGTGTGTAGATGGCCCTGAAACAGGTAGCAAAAGCAAAGACACAATCACTGGTCTTCAAATTATCGAGCCATTTGCTCTAGCCCAAAATTTCCAAGTTAATTCTAGACCCTTACCTAAAATATGAAAATGTTTCAGAGTGTCTTACAAAAATTTTACACCCCAGGAGGCCTTTATTACTACTCATTAACAATTGTTTGAATTTGCTGTCCAGCTTTTTCTAAACAGGCCCTCATCTCACATCCACACCACCATAGTGCTGGCGCCAGTTCTAGGGGAAGATGGAAAAAATAGTTCTGGGACATCAGGTGCGGGCAACTGGAAACTCTGAAAGGCTCAAAGCTGTGTACTAATCTCCATTTTACTGAGACCATCCACTTTTCCCTTGACAGGGGTGATTCTAACATGCCATGTCCCTGTGACATGGGCAGTGACAGTGTTTGAAGTGTGGTGGAAAGGGGACTAGGCTAACAGCCAAGGGAGCTGGGTTCCTATCTTAGTTCTGCCACTCTGAGAGCTTGGCCAAGTCACAGTACCCTTTTCTGGCCTGTTTCCTCATCAGCAAAATGCATGGCTAAGGCTAGAAAATCTTCAAGGACCTTGCCTGATATAATGATGATCCTAAGTGAAGGAAAAAAGAAGTGAAAGAGTTCATTTAACTCTCTTTTCATCTAAAAATAATTAAGGATACATGACATTCTATCAATACATACTGCCAAATTAAATTTTTGTTTGTTTGTTTTTTGAGACGGAGTCTCACTCTGTTGCCCAGGCTGGAGTGCAGTGGCGCCATCTCGGCTCACCGCACCCTCCGCTGTCTGGGTCCAAGCGATTCTCCTGCCTCAGCCTCCCAAGTAGCTGGGATTACAGGCGCCCGCCACCACGCTCCACTAATTTTTGTATTTTTAGTAAAGACAGCGTTTTGCTATGTTTGCCAAGCTGGTCTTGAACTCCTGACCTCAGGTGATTCTGCCCGCCTGGGCCTCCCAAAGTGCTGAGATTACAGGCGTGAGCCACCGCGCCTAGTCAGCCAAATTAAATTTTTAAAGAGCCACAGATGTACTATCTGACTCGAAAGACAATATGACCTGTTAGTGCCAGGTAACTCAGGATTATCGACTACCTTTTTCAAGGCCCTTTCCATTCCACAGCTGTCATGTCTGCCAAAGGATAGAGTTTCCAGGTCCCTTGAAAATACCTGGGAAACTGAGCCATCTGGATATTCCTTAATCATGTATTCTCCACAAGCTACAAAGACCTACCACATAAAGTCCTTTACTTGCAATGGTGTTTCCAATAATAGAATAAGTTATATTATCCATATTTTACTCAGCTCCAACCATGGTCACTTGTTGGCTTGCATGTGAAGCAAGAATCCAAGTGATAGAAAAGAGTTAACACGTCCAGTGGGGTTGAAATAATATACGAGTGGGAACATTAGCTCCCAAACTAAGCTGGGTCAGTGGTGGAGGGGCAATGGATTAACTGTAGAGGCAGGTCACGACACCGTCTTTCCTCCTGCCTAGAACGTCTTCTCCGACAGCTGCAGCATGCAAAAGGCAAGGCGCTTCAGGGATCAAACCTACTCGTAAAGGGGGACACTGAGGCCCAAAAAGAAAGTAACTTGCTCAGGGTGACGCAACAAGGCTCCACCTCCGCCTCGAAGCCAACGGCGATGACATCCAGGCGAGGGATTACGGAACCACCACAGCCTGGGCCCGCGGGAGGGGACGGGACGCCACGACCCGTGGGGCGGCAGCCGCCGCCTCAAGACCCTCGCCGCCGCCAGGGGTGTCACTTCTTCCCGAGGAGCCTCCCACCCTGCCACACAGCACTGCAGCGCTGCCCTCCGCAAGACAAAACTGCCCCGCAACCCTCCCGGGCCGCGGGAGGGGCTCCAGGGCCTTCAGAACACCACTCCCACTATCACCCCAGAGGGTGAACTGCGGTGAGAACCGAAACTTGCCACACCTCTACCCCCGTGGCCCCTTCTCAGGACTGCAAGTCTGAATGTGGGCACCCCGAGGGCCTAACTGCCCCTTTCCACTTGAGGCACTCACCAGGGACAGCAACCAGCAGCGGCGCGACAGCAACAGGGCAGAGTGGGACGGGGGCGGGGCTAAGCACCCAAGGGAGAGCCCGTCCCGCCTGCCCCGCCCACACGTCACAACGGTCAGCAAGCCCCGCCCCCGCGCGGCGCTTGCTGGGACTTGTAGTGTTCAGGTGACCGGGCCCCAGGAGCGGTCTTCTGCCTTTGATGGCTCTCCTAAGTCCTGAGCAGCAATCTCACCGAAATAAACCTACTTCATCCCCTGGAAGAAGCTGTTTACTTTTCTTTTTTTTCTTTTATACCTTTATTTCTTTTTTCTTTTTCTGTCGTCCAGGCTAGAGTGCCATGGTGCGAACACGGCTTACTGCAGCCCCGACCTCCCGGGCTCAGGTGATCCTCCCACTTCAGCCTCCTGAGTAGCTGGGACAACCACGGTGCCCATACGGCGCCCGCCACCACGCCAGGCTAATTTTTGTATTTTTAGTAGAGATGGGGTTTTGCCATGTTGCCTAGGCTGGTCTTGAACTCCTGGGCTCAAGAGGTCCAGCTGCCTCGGCCTCCCAAAGTGTTGGGATTACAGACCTGAGTCATCGCGCCTGGGCTACATCTTTATGTCTTTCTTCCCTGAATGAGAAAGCTTTATACATTTGAAGGGCCATTAAGAGGTCATCTTCATTTTTCTCCTGGGTCCACTTAACACTACTTCACGAAGAGTCTTTATTTTTTTTGAGACAAGGTCTCACTCTGTTGCCCAGGCTGGTGTGCAGCGGGGCGATCTCGGCTCAGTGCAACCTCTGCCTCCTGAGTTCAAGCTATTCTCGTGCCTCAGCCTCCCCAGTAGCTGGGATTACAGGCACCCGCCACCATGCCCGGCTCATTTTTTTGTATTTTTAGTAGAGACGGGGTTTCACCATGTTGGCCAGGCTGGCCTTGAACTCCGTCTCAAAAAGAAAAAAGAGAATAAACTCATGGCCAGGCACAGTAGCTCACGCCTGTAATCCCAACATTTTGGGTGGCCGAGGTGGGAGATCTCTTGAGCCCAGAAATTTCAGATCATCCTGGACAAGATAGGGAGACCCTGTCTCCACAAAAAATAAAAAAATTAGCCGGGTGTGGCGGTGGGCCCCTGTAGTCCCAGCTACTCAGGAGGCTGAGGTGGTAGGATCACTTGAGCCTGGGAGGTGGAGGCTGCCATAAGCCATGATCACACCACTGCACTCCAGTCTGGGAGACAGAGCGAGACCCTGTCTCAAAAAAAAAAAAAAAAAAAAAAAAAAAGAATAAACTCAGTAAGAAAAGAATTCTGCTAAGTCAATTTAAAGAAAATCCCCCATCCTTAATATCTAATAACCCTGGCCTGCCTTCAACAAGAGTCCTGTTAAGTTGGTTTAACAAGAATCTCCTTTTAGTAATTTTCCATGCAGTGACCCCTCACTCTGCTTGTTGGCTATAAATCCCACTTGTCATTATTGTATTCAGAGTGCAGCATAATCTCCCCTTTGGTCCTGAATAAATTCTTCCTTGCCATTTTAACAAGTTTCAGAATATTTTTTTCTTTAACATCCAGAAGATGTTAAATGCTGTATATGCTGTCTATGAAAGATTAAATTTGGAAGTGCCCCTTCTTCCACTGTTTAAATGTGGAAAGAAATTTTTCTGTGCCATCTCAGGCAGGGGAATGAGCATTCCTTTTTTTTTTTTTTTTTTTGTCGAGACAGAGTCTTGCCCTGTCGCCTAGGCTGGAGTGCAGTGGCATGATCTGGGCTCACTGCAACCTCCACCTCCCGGGTTCAAATGATTCTCCTGCCTCAGCCTCCTGAGTAGCTGGGACTACAGGCGCCCGCCACCACGCCCGGCTAATTTTTGTATTTTCAGTAAAGACGGGGTTTCACCATATTGGCCAGGCTGGTCTTGAATTCCTGACCTTGTGATCCACCAGCCTCAGCCTTCCAAAGTGCTGGGATTACAGGCATGAGCCACCACACCCAGCGGGAATGAGCATTCCTAATCTGCTTCCTCACAAGACTGGTGGCATTCAACTGAGATGAACGGATGGTGGGAAATGATGAGTAAGCCAGGAAGTGGGTCATCCGTCTAAAGTTCAAATCACCTTCTGAGTTACCAAAATAATATCTTCCATTTTAAACTCGGTCTGCAGGGACAAGTGCCCTCAGTATCCTGGATACATTTCCCTTAATTTTACTTATTAGATTTTCTAAAAGCACTGAGAATGAAAACCATCTGCACCCACACAGCTTATTGTCTACATTAACATGATAACTATTTCAGTAAATTAAAAATGAAGGCTGGCCGGGCATGGCGGCTCACGCCTGTAATCCCAGCACTTTGGGAGGCCGAGGCGGGCGGATCATGAGGTCAGGAGTTTGAGACCAGCCTGGCCAACATGGTGAAACCCAATCTCTACTAAAAATGCAAAAGTTAGCTGGGCATGGTGGCAGGCGCCTATAATCCCAGCTACTTGGGAGGGTGAGGCAAGAGAATCGCTTGAACCCAGGAGGCAGAGGTTGCAGTGAACCAAGATTGCGGAGGTTGCAGTGAACCGAGATTGCACCTTTGCACTCCAGCCTGTAGTCCCATCCACTCAGGAGGATGAGGCAGGAGGATCACTTGAGCCCAGGAGTTTGAGTTTGCAATGAGCAGTGATTGCACACTGCACTCGAGCCTTGGCAACAGAGCGAGACCTTGTCTCAGAAAGAAAAAAATAAAAAAAAACCAAACTTGCCTTTATAAAACTAATAAAAGGCCACAGATTTAGAATTATGAGAGGGGCCTGAATTCTGCTAACGTGTTGGCATAGTTAAATGATTACCAGCCATTATTCTGGAGGTCACAAGATTTACAACTTTCCCAATTACTCCCATAAATAACATCACTATTGTAGAACCTAAGATTGGCCTCTTGATAGATCCTTTCAGACTTTGGCATTTCTGACAATCAGATGGCTCCACCAGAACCCAGGACTCTTAACTGGTCCTGTGACTCCCCACCCAGAAACAGACTTAGCACACAAGAAATATTTTCCATACCCCTGTGATTGCATCCCCAACCAATTAGCAGCATCCATTCCCTAGCCCCCTGCCTGCCAAACTATCTTTAAAAAACCCAGCCTCCAAATTTTCAGAAAGACTGATTTGAATAATAATAAAATTCTGCTCTCTCATTTAGCTGGCTCTATGGGTATTAAACTCTTTCCCTATTACAATTCCCCTGTCTTGATAAATTGGCTCTCTCTGAGCAGTGGACAAGAACTCGTTGGGTGTTTATACAACCGCTGGCCTCAAAATACTCTGTTGTGTCTACCAGTCCTAAATGATTGTATCATGATCCTTACCCCATCCTAATCAACCCCCAACCCGCATTGAAAGAGCCTACACTTAAACCAAATTTCAAAGACTCAGTATATACCACTATGTGCTCCCTACTTTGAGCCTCCACAATTCTGTCAAAGTAGTGCTCTTCTCACTGCAGTAAGGATAAACTAGACTTTGTTTTATCAACAGGTTATTTTGTTGATATTTTCAGCACCTAAATTCAATAGCACAAAATAAAACAGTTAGTCTGATTTTTCTCTCTCTCTCCCTCTCTCTGTCTCTTTTTCTTTCACGGAGTCTCCCTCTGTTGCCCAGGCTGGAGTGCAGTGGCATGATCTCAGCTCACTGCATCCTCTGCCTCCTGGGTTCAAGCAATTCTCCTGCCTCAGCCTCCCAAGTAACTGGGATTACAGGTGCCCACCACCACGCCAGGCTAATTTTTGTATTTTTAGTAGAGACAGGGTTTCACCATGTTGGCCAGGCTGGTCTTGAACTCCTGACCTCAGGTGATCCGCCCGCCTTGGCATCCCAAAGTGCTGGCTGGTATTACAGGTATGAGCCACTGCACCTGTTTTTTTTTTTTTTTTTTTTTTTTTTAAGTAGAGATGGGGTCTCACTGTGTTGCCCAGGCTGGTCTCGAACTCTTGGGCTCAAGTGATCCTCCTGCCTCAGCCTCCCAAAGTGCTGGGATTATAGGCATAAACCACCATGCCCAGGCTAGTCTGATTTATGTATTTATGTAGTTATTTATTTATTTATTGAGATGGAGTCTTGCTCTGTCACCCAGGCTGGAGTGCAGTGGTGTGATCTCAGCTAACTGCAACCTCCACCTCCTGGGCTCAAGTGATTCTCCTGCCTCAGCCTCCCAAGTAGCTGGGATTACAGGTGCATGCCACCATGACCAGATAATTTTTGTATTTTTGGTAGAGACGGAGTTTCACCATGTTGGCCAGGCTGGTCTCAAACTCCTGACCTTAAGTAATCTGCCCATCTCGGGCCGGGTGCGGTGGCTCACGCCTGTAATCCCAGCACTTTGGGAGGCCGAGGCGGGCGGATCACGAGGTCAGGAGATTGAGACCATCCTGGCTAACACGATGAAACCCCGTCTCTACTAAAAGTACAAAAAATTAGCCGGGCGCAGTGGTGGGCGCCTGTAGTCCCAGCTACTCGGGAGGCTGAGGCAGGAAAATGGCGTGAACCCGGGAGGCGGAGCTTGCAGTGAGCTGAGATCTCGCCACTGCACTCCAGCCTGGGTGATGGAGCGAGACTCCATCTCAAAATTAAAAACAAACAAACAAACAAACAAACAAAACCAATCTGCACATCTCGGCCTCCCAAAGTGCTGGGATTATAGGCGTGAGCCACTGAGCCAGGCCTTAATCTGATTTATTTCTAATAGAAATGTCGTGGGAGGGCTGTAGCTGCAACCCTTTATAACTGGATATGGAAGGAATAGGAATTTATATTCAGACCTACAGAGAAAATCTTTCACTTCTATCTTCAACTGCTAAGTCTCAGGGCAAAAAAAAAAAAAAAAAAAAAAAAAGATTGAGGCGGTATGTGGTTACTCTGTGCATGACACAGTAGATTATCTCATTTCATTCTTCTAAGGGAAGTATTTTTATTATTCGCATTTTATAGATGAGAAAAGCAAGGCTTAGAGACATAAAATTATTTTCCCATGCTCACATAGCTAATAAGTGCCATCAGAAGAATTTGAGCAAAGCATTCTGACTCCAGTACTGTACCCTTCACTTTTTTTTTTTTTTAAAGAGTCAGTGTCAGAGGTGTTTGAACCAGAGTGACTCCATCTTGAATAGGGGCCGGCTAAAATAAAGCTGAGACCTACTGGGCTGCATTCCCAGGAGGTTAGGCATTCTTAGTCACAGGATGAGGCAGGAGGTTGGAACAAGATACAGGTCATAAAAACCTTGCTGATAAAACAGGTTGCAGTAAAGAATCCAGCCAAAACCCACCAAAACCAAGACGGCGATGAAAGGTCGTCTTCACTGCTCATTATACTCTGATTATAATTCATTAGCAGGCTAAAAGACACTCCTACCAGCACTATGACAGTTTACAAATGCCATAGCAATGTCAGGATGTTACCCTATATGGTCTATAAAGGGGAAGAACTCTCATTTCCAGGAATTTCCCACCCCTTTCCTAGAAAACTCATGAATTATCCACCCCTTGTTTAGCATATAATCAAGAAATAACGGGCTGGCCGTAGTGGCTTACGCCTGTTATCCCAGCACTTTTGGAGGCCAAGGTGGGAGGATCACAAGGTCAGGAGATCGAGACCATCCTGGCTAACACGGTGAAACCTGTCTCTACTAAAAACACAAAAAATTAGCTGGACGTGGTGGCACGTGCCTGTAGTCCCAGTTACTCGGGAGGCTGAGGCACGAGAATCGCTTGAACCCAGGAGGTGGAGGTTGCAGTGAGCCGAGATCACGCCACTGCACTCTAGCCTGGGCAACAGAGCGAGAATCCATCTCAAAAAAAAAAAAAAAAAAAAAAGAGGCTGGGCTCAGTGACTCACACCTGTAATCCCAGCACTTTGGGAGGCCGTGGCGGGTGGATCACCTGAGGTCAGGAGTTCGAGACCAGCCTGGCCAACATGGTGAAACCCCGTCTCCACTAAAAATACAAAAATTAGCCGGGCGTGGTGGCGGCACCTGTAATCCCAGCTACTTGAGAGGCTGAGGCAGGAGAATCACTTGAACTGGGTGGGTGGGGGGCGGTGGAGGTTGCGGTGAGCCGAGATTGCGCCACTGCACTCCAGCCTGGGCAAAAGAGTGAAATGCCATCTCAAAAAAGAAAGCAAGAAAGAAATAACCATAAAAATATCCAACCAGCAGCCCACCAGGCTGCTCTGCCTATGGAGTAGCCATTCTTTTATTCCTTTACTTCCCTTATAAACTTGCTCTCACTCTATGGATTCACCTCGAATTCTTTCTTGCTGGAAATCTAAGAACCCTCCATTGGGGTCTGGATCAGGACTCCTTTCCAGTAACAACAGGATCTCACTCTGTCACTAGGCTGGAGTTCAGTGTCATAATCACCGCTCACTGCAGCCTCAACTTCTGGGGCCCAGGCAATGCTCCTACCTCAGCCTCCTGAGTAGCTGGGATTATAGGCATGCACCATTGTAACGGGCTAATTTTTTTTTTTTTGAGACAGTCTTATTCTGTTGCCCAGGCTGGAGTGCAATGGTGTGATCTCGGCTCCTGCAACCTCCACCTCCCAGGTTCAAGCAATTATCCTGTCTCAGCCTCCTGAGTAGCTGGGATTACAGGTGCACACCACCAGGCCCAGCTAATTTTTGTATTTTTAGTAGAGATGGGGTTTCACCATGTTGGTCAGGCTGGTCTCGAACTCCTGACCTCGTAATCCGCCCACCTCAGCCTCCCAAAGTGCTGGGATTACAGGCGTGAGCCACCGCACCCGATGTAGCTGGCTAATTTTTTTATTTTATCTAGAGATGGGATCTCACATTATGTTGGCCAGGTGGGTCTCGAACTCCTGGCCTCAGGTAATCCTTCTGCCTCGGCCTCCCAAAGTGCTAGGATACAGGTGTGAGCCACCTCGCCTGGCCCCATTCTTAACCACTGTCCTCATTATGTTTTTAATGAAGAATTCAGCAAGCTATAAGGGAAGACAAACACATAAATGACTATAATACCACAAGATATTGGTTTTATTTATTTATTTTTTTGAGATGTAGTCTCACTCTGTTGCCCAGGCTGGAGTCCAGTGGTGCGATCTCAGCTCACTCGCTGCAACCTCTGCCTCCAGGGTTCAAGCAATTCTCCCTGCCTCTCAGCCTCCTGAGTAGCTGGGATTACAGGCGCATGTCATCATGTCCAGCTAATTTTTATGTTTTTTAGTAGAGATGGGGTTTCGCCATGTTAGCTAGGTGGGTCTAGAACTCCTGGCCTCAGGTAGTCTGCCTGCCTCAGCCTCCCAAGATGCTGGGATTACAGGCGTGAGCCACTGCACCCGGCCAAGATATTGGCTTTAGAAAAGGAATTTTTACACAGTGCTAAGAGAGCACAGAATCAATTTTTCCTAGGGGCAAGCAGGAAGGCTTCATAGGAAAGATGTTAAAGAAAAAATCATTCTGAAGCCTGTTAAAATAGTAAGGAGGACTTCATCCAGGACTGTTGCATTAGGGACATTACAATAGGTGAAAAAGAGTGTGCTCAACTCCAAATACAATAACGACAAATGGGATTTATAGCTAAGGAGCAGAGTGAGGAAAATCCACGGATGGAAAATTATTAAGAGGAGACATCAAGAGTGGGGGGGCGGGATTCTTGCTAAACCAACTTAACAGGATTCTTGCCAAAGGCAGGCTAGAGATTGATCACATATGAAGAGTGGGGGAGGCTGGGCGCAGCAGCTCATGCCTGTAATCCCAGCACTTTGGGAGGTGAAGGTGGGAGGATCACAAGGTCAGGAGTTTGAGACCAGCCTGGCTAACATAGTGAAACCTGTCTCTACTAAAAATACAAAAAATTAGCTGGGCGTGGTGGCGGGCACCTGTAGTCCCAGCTACTTAGGAGGCTGAGGCAGGAGAATTGCTTGAACCCAGGAAGTGGAGGTTGCAGTGAGCCGAGATCGTGCCACTGCACTCCAGCCCTGGCGACAGTGAGGACTCCATCTCAAAAAAAAAAAAAAAGAAGAGTGGGGGGTGAGGAATTTGATCAGTTTTTGAGGGTGATCAGTTATCAAGGGTGGAGGGTTCTCTTTAAACTGCCTTAAGAATGTTGCCAAAACTGCTGGGTGCAGTGGCTCACGCCTGTAATCCCAGCTTTTAGGGAGACAGAGGCAGGAGGATAGCTTGAGCTCAGGAGTTTGAGACCTGCCTGGGCAATATAGCTAGACTCGGTTCTTCACAAAAAGGAAAAAAAAAAGAAGCCAAAAAGCAAAAAAGATTCTTGCTAAAATCAGACTCAGTAAGGACAGACATGGAAGCCCAAGGTCAAAGAGGGCTCAGAGGAGCCTAACTAAAGTTTGGTCAAAGAGAATCTGTGGCTGGGAGTGGTGGCTCACTCCTGTAATCCCAGCACTTTGGGAGGCCGAGGTGGGCGGATCACCTGAGGTCGGGAGTTCAAGACCAGCCTGACCAACATAACATGGAGAAACCCCGTCTCTACTAAAAATTCAAAATTAGCTGGGCAAGGTGGTGCATGCCTGTAATCCCAGCTACTCCGGAGGCTGAGGCAGGAAAATGGTTTGAAGCTGGGGAGCGAAGTTTGCAGTGAGCTGAGATGACGCCACTGCACTCCAACCTGGGCGACAGAGTGAGGCTCCATCTCAAAAAAAAAAAAACAAAAAAAACCCAAAAAACAAAAAACAAAACAAACAAAAGTAGTACTGGGAGAGCTGGGTGCTGTGGTGCGCACTTTTAATCCTAGCTACTTGGGAGGCTGAGGTGGGAGGGTCACTTAAACCCATGAGTTAGAGACTACCCTGGGCATCATAGTAAGACTTCATCTCAAAAACAAAAACAAAAACAAAAACAAAACAAAACAAACAAACCAAAAAACAACCCAAAACTTCTGGTTCACCAGGTCTGACAAAAAAAGAAAAAAGTTATCTGCAGATTTTCAACTGCCTAGGGGGTTGATGCTCCTAACCCCTGCATGGTTCAAGGGTCAGCTGTAAAATCCTTAACATGTGTTCGTTTTTATATCTATATGAGAGTCCTGGTTTTATCTTTATTAAGAAAATTCTCTCTTTTTTTCCAGTTTTTTTAATATGTAAATACATGTTTGACATAGTCATAGCCTTTATATTTTTTTCACTCACTACTTTTATTAAGTAAAAAACTTCCTTGGTGCAATGAAACTTCATATATGTTAGTTTCTTTTTTGCTGTAATATAATTGATTCTACCATAATTTACTTAACCATTTTCTAACAATTGAATATTTAAGCTGTTTATTAAAAAAAAATTTTTTTTTTTGAGATGGAGTTTCATTCTTGCCCAGGCTGGAGTGCAATGGCACCATCTTGGCTCACTGCAACCTCTGCCTCTTGGATTCAGGTGATTCTCTTGCCTCAGCCTCCCGAGTAGCTGGGATTACAAGTGCCCACCATCACACCTGGCTGATTTTTGTATATTTAGTAGAGATGAGTTTCACAATGTTGGCCAGGCTGGTCTTGAATTCCTGACCTCAAGTGATCCGCCTGCCTTTGCTTCCCAAAGTGCTGCGCTTTATAGGTGTGAGCCACCGCACCGGGCCCAATTTTATTTTTTTGATCCATGGTCCCATTCTGTCGCCCAGGCTGGAGTGCAGTGGCATGATCTTGGCTCACTGCAGCCTCCACCTCCCAGACTCAAGCAATCCTCCTCCCTTAGCCTCCAAGTAGCTGGGGCTCCAGGTGTGCACCACTACACCCAGCTGAGTTTTGTATTTTTAGTAGAGACGGGGTTTCTCCATATTGCCCAAGCTGGTCTTGAACTCCTGGACTCAAGCAATCTGCTCTCCTTGACCTCCCAAGTGCTGGGATTACAGGCATGAGCCACGGTGCCCAAATAATTTTTTTTTTTTGAGACGGAGTCTCACTCTGTCATCCAGCCTGGAGTGCAGTGGCAAGATCTTGGCTCACTGCCAACCTCTGCCTCCTGGGTTCAGGTGATTCTCCTGCCTCAGCTTCCTGAGTACCTGGGATTAACAGGTGCCTGCCACCATGCCAGGCTAATTTTTGTTTTTTTAGTAGAGACGAGGTTTCACCATGTTGGCCAAGCTGGTCTCAAACTCCTGACCTCAAGTAATCCGCCCCCCTCGGCCTCCCAAAGTGCTGGGATTACAGGCATGAGCCCCTGCGCCCAGCTAATCAGGGCACTGTCTATGGAACTTGTCTGAGGGCCATCTACACCAAGACAAGGATGCTTTAAAAACAGCCATGTTGTTTCCTTACAGGGCAAAAAGAAAAAAAAAACCCAACATCTATGAACAGGGAAGTTTGTTTTCCCAGAAAGTGGAGGAGGATGAAGAAGAAAGGCAAAATAAAAACAGAAACCTGCCTGTAATCCCAGCACTTTGGCATGCAGAGGCGGGCAGATCACCTGAAGTCAGCAGTTCGAGACCAGCCTGGCCTACGTGGCGAAACCCCCATCTTTACTAAAAATAAAAAAAAATTATCTGAGTGCAGTGGCTCACGCCTATAATTCTAGCACTTTGGGAGGCTGAGGTGGGTGGATCACCTGAGGTCAAGAGTTCAAAACCAGCCTGGCCAACATGGCGAAACCCCGTCTCTACTAAAAATACAAAAATTAGCCAGGCGTGATGGCAGGTGCCTGTAGTCCCAGCTACTCAGGAGGCTGAGGAGGCTGAGGCAGGAGAATCGTTTGAACCCGGGAGGCGGAGGTTGCAGTGAGCCGAGATTGTGCCACTGCACTCTAGCCTGGGTGACAGGGCGAGACTCCATCTCGAAAAAACAAAAACAAAAACAAAAAAACCCAGAAACCTGGGAGCTCCACTGCTCATGGGTGGGCAGTCCCCTGTCCAGGGGCTCTTTCAGCCCCATCAGATACAGTTACACATCAAAATGGAGAGGATTCAGAAGAGGTGCTTGGCAGCAGTTTCTATTGCTATTTCTATTTCACTAATATCAGAGCATGTGGAGGAAGGGGTAATGGACTCTATGACCCCACTGCAAGCCTTGAGCAAAGCCATCCCACTTTCCTGGGCCTCAGTTTCCTCATCTGAAAACAGGACAAATGCCATGGAGGTCTCTAAGAACTCTTCTGATTTAAAAGAAGCCCAATTCTGTGATTATATACACTTCTACAACATTCTCTCATGCATTGCAGACTTAAAGCAAAAAAAATCTGGGGTATGCAAAATTTTATCTAAGCATCCTTGCCTCATTCCCACTCCTTACATCATTCCTGGTACACATATCAAGACTTTATTTTGGCTGGGCACGGTGGCTAACACCTGTGATCCCAACATTTTGAGAGGCAACAAAACAAGATCCCGTCTCTACAAAATTGTTTTTTTAAAAAATTAGTCAGGCATGGTGGTAGGAGCCTGTAATCCTAGCTACTCAGGAGCGTTGCTTGAGCCCAGGAGTTTGAGGCTTCAATGAGTCATGACCGTGCCACTGTACTCCAGCCTGGACGACAGAGCAAGACTCCATCTCGAAAAAAACAAAATAAAATTATTTTGGCCGGGTGCAGTGGATCACGCCTGTAATCCCACCACTTTGGGATGCCGAGGTGGGCGGATCACGTGGTCAGGAGTTTGAGACCAGCCTGGCCAACATGGTGAAACCCGTCTCTACTAAAAATACAAAAATTAGCCGGGCATGGTGGCGGGTGTCTGTAATTCCAGCTACTTGGGAGGCTGAGGCAGGAGAATTGCTTGAACCCAGGAGGCAGAGATTGCAGTGAGCTGAGATCGCGCCACTGCACTCCAGCCTGGGCGACAGAGCAAGACTCCGTCTGAAAAAAAAAATATATTTTGACTGGCACAGGAAGAAAGGGCTTCTAGGAGGGACCTTGGTTCAGGGAGCAGAAGCAGGATCTCTGTTTGTTTCATTAACTACTTAAAGGAAGAACTCCAAACTGAGAAAAAACGCTGTGTGTGAAGTGCAGAGCAAACAACCTTACGGGGATTTTACTGTTGTTTTACTATTTATCTATTTAGTCAGGTGGGTGCCTTAGGAACAAAACAGCAGTGAAAACAACAGGGTTGGACCTGGATTTTTCCACACACTCTTGCCTCTGACAGCTTCTAGGACATGGTCCAAATTTTTTGACAATTAGGACCCTCCATCATTCTGCTTCAGTTTTTCATGCCCAGGCCGAGTAAGTCCCTCAGTGTTTACCTTGTGGATTTGTCTGTTTAGGGTTTGCCAGGCACAAATCACTGATATTCTCTGCTTTCCTGGCTGTCACTCGGGTTGAAGCTTGCTTTGCTCTACAGTGAGGGCAGCTCCACTGTTCACCGTGTTCACCCTGTGTTTGCTCCTGACATCAGCCCTGAAAGGACAGTAGTGCCAGGCTCTGGCCTATAAGCTCCCGTTGCAACATCTCATAAATAACCAGTTGTCAGGGATTTTAGTGGAAACTCTCTGAAAGCCGTAAATCTTTGCTGCTCTCTCCTGTATCCTCTCCCTCATTTCCATCACAATATCACTCCTGAGGGACCGGAGACCAAACAGGAGCTAGGCAGAGCAGATTGGTAGGACGCTGGGGAAAGACAACAGTGGGATGGGGGAGGGGACCAGGCTGGGACAGTTGGTCTTAGGGAAGCATCTGCTGGGTGACCAGTTAATGATGGTCACTTGGCCCCTTAGGGCCTGTCGGGGAGGGGCACCACAGCACGGGGCCACCTGCGGGGGGAAAAGGGAAGAGTGCTGACTGGATGGCAGAGAGGTTTCTGAAAGAGCAGCAGATGGGCCACTGGTTCCACTTTGGGCCTTCTGTTCACTCCGGGGTGACTGTAAGCACCACGTAGTAGGCTTCCAGGGTCGGCTTGAGGCTAAGCTACACCCTTGCCTCTGGTGTTCTGCCTGTGCACATCAGCAGGTGAAGGGGATCTGGGTTGGGAGGAACTTAGGTTACCAACTCAGGCCCAAATGAACAATGTTTATTTATTTATTTGAGACAGAGTTTCCCTCTGTTGCCCAGGCTGGAGTGCAGTGGCGCGATCTCAGCTTAATGCAACCTCTGCCTCCTGTGTTCAAGCGATCCTCCCGCCTCAGCCTCCCGATAGCTGGGACCACAGGTACGCGCACCGCGCTCGGTTAATTTTTGTATTTTTAGTAGAGAGGAGGTTTCGCCATGTTGTCCAGCTGGTGTTGAACTTCTGAGCTCAAGCGATCCACCCACCTAGGCCTCCCAAAGTGCTGGGATTACAGGCGTGAGCCACCGCGCCCGACCATCTTCAATGATTTGAATCCAGTCACTACTACAGATTCTCCACCTGAGACCAAATGGTTGCTCTGAGAAGCCCAGACCCCTAACCCCTTAAGTCTCACTGACTCTTCAGTCGGTCTAGGCGGCCCTCTCTTACTGATCAGTTCACTGGAGGCCATGACCCCCACACTCTGGAGGTGAGGTCAGGGTTCAATACGCCTGAGCGGTCATCACAGGTTTGCAACACCCATTTTCCTGTTGAAGAAGCTAAGCCTCACAGAGGTAACGTGGCCTGCCCAAGGTGACACAGGCACTAATATGCCTGAGATGCTGATTTAAGTCTCCAACCAGTGTTTTCCCACAGTGCCTCCTGCTTCAGGTTTGCCCTCTCCCGAAGGCCTAAATTCAAGGTGCCCCCCTCCCTCACCGCAGCCCCGCGCAGCTGGACCTCTGGAGCCAGACGTTCTGGCCGCGCCCGCGCACGGCGCCCGACGGCACCGGCGCGGATGGGCTGGGACTGCGGCTTGGCTCGCTGGGCAAGGGTAGGGCTGCGGGAGCGAGCGGCGGTCCAGCCCCTGGCGCCCGGGTGCGCGGTGCGCGCGTCCTCCGCGTCTCCCGGGACAACCGTGGGCGCGCCCCTCCCCTAGCGCCTGGGCGGTTAATTGGATTCGGGAGGGAGGGGGCATGGCAGCTACTGCAGGGGCCAATCGAAGGCCTAGAAGGCCCCGTATGCAAATATGAGGGCCGGGCGGACCCAAAGTTAGGGCGAGCGCGGGTTGGGGTTGGGGCTGTCTGGCAGCCAATGGGAGCGTTACTCCTTCATCCTTCGAGGAGGGGGCCGGCAGGTGTGGTTGCAAGCTGGACTAGCAGCCCAGCGGGGCGAGACGGGGGAGTAGGAATTGCGGGTAAGAGCGCCCCAAAGCCCGGTGCTGGCTCCAGACCGCAGCCTCCTGGTGCCTGTCCCCTGAAAACCTGGCTAGACACGTCTCCTTAAACCCACACGGGACCCAGGTCCCCAGGGTAGCCCGCTGCCCTCCCTGGTGGCGTTCCATGGCGCCAGGCACTCACCCTCACGGTCCCTCGGCTCCGGGACTCCCCCCTTCTCAGTCCCTCTTATTAACGTTCATTTCCCGCCCTCCCCCGATTTCCTAAACCACAGTCCACCAAGGAGCTGTCGCTTAGACACCAGCGATCCCTGGGACTCACACAACTCTCTTCATCCCCTTCATCCCCATCATTGGGTCATTTTCTTCATCACTGTTCTTCCTTTGTCTGGAGAAACCTTCCAGCAAGACACTTCCCATTTTTCATGGCCGGCATAGTCCTCTGCTGATGCCCCTACCGCCTTCCAGCCTGGTGTTCTTTCATTTCCAGTTGTTATTTCTCACCCCTCCTGAAAAAATACTCTTCTGGCTTTGCAGAAAGTTCTCCTTTGGGATTTGAACTCTAGGAAAAATATCACATTGGGGGATGAAGTGGGAAGGGAGCTAACGTTTTGAAAGCACCAGTATGTGCGAGGCACTCCAAAAAAATTTAATATTTATGCCAATCTTATTATTATATTTTCTTTTTTGTTTGTTTTAAGAGATGGAGGTGGGGGTGGGGGGGCTCACTTTTTTGCCCAGGCTGGTCTCGAACTCCTGAGCTCAAGTGATCCTCCCACTTGGGCTTCCCAAAGTGCTGGAATTACAGGCATGAGTCACCACGCCTGGTTTATATTTTCATTTTACAATATAGCCTTTATTTTGAACCAAGCACTGCTTTAAGGGTATTAGAAATATTAACTCATTTAATCTTTAAAACAGCTCCATAAAATGAATATTATTATCATCCCCATTTTACTTATACAGAAGCTGAGGTACAGAGAGGCTAAGTTACTCACCCATGGTCACACATTCTAGAAACTAGTAGAGCTGGGATTTGGATCCAGATCCATCTGTCTTTGTTAGCAATGCCCTGAATATTGTGGAGAAAATGACTAGGCATGAGCCTGATCTGAATATTGCATCTTCCAATCTTGCAGAATTTCTCAGTTTCTAGAAGAATAAAAGATGGCATCTAAGTCAGCAAGATTCTTATTGTTCCCACTACAGGTGACTTGTCATTCTCAACACTTCTTATTGGCAAAGCCCTTGAGCAATTGGGTGCCCCATCCCTCCCTTGTTAGTTCACATTTTGCTTAGGACCCTTTCAGGCCCCGGGCTGAAATTCAAAGTGTGACTAAAACGAAAAGTCAAAAGACCACAAAAAACATCTTATTTTATCCTGTCTGAATCAAAGCTCAAAGCACTTTTCTAGATGTGAAGCTTTTATCCTCCTAGTGGTCCTGTAATTATAGAGAAGATAGGGAGTGGGAGAGGAAATAATTGCTTGGATTTTTATGACATACTGAGTTGGAGGGGCAAAGCTGAAAGCAAGATCCAGAGGTCTTACCTCCACATCTTTTCTTCCCCCATCCAATTTGACATTTTCCAAGAACCACTGGAGGCCTTCAGAGGGATGCTTCCAGTAGGGAAATGAGGACCAAAAGATGAAAAGGAGGTACGTGAAGGAAAACCTATTATCTGGTGAAAGAGAGGGACTTCACAGACAGACACAATAGGCGAAACTTTCAGTGCTCTATATATTCCTATAGACTAGAAAAAAAGTCCAGGTGATGAAGGTCAGAGATGAAAAAACTTGGCTACAACTTGAAATATGTTCTCCCAGGGTTCTCTTAGTCAACCACCAAATTATTGTTTTCTATCATTTATAGGATGCCCGTGTTCATTCAGTTTTGCAAAAGAAATCACTAAACTGCTGGGCGCGGTGGCTCATGCTTGTAATCCCAGCACTTTGGGAGGCTGAGGTGGGCTGATAACCTGAGGTTGGGAGTTTGAGACCAGCCTGACCAACATGGAGAAACCCCATCTCTACTAAAAATACAAAATTAGCCAGGCGTGGTGGTGCATGCCTGTAGTCCCAGCTCCCGGGAAGCTAAGGCGGGAGAATCACTTGAATCCAGGAGGCAGAGGTTGCGGTGAGCTGAGATCGTGCCATTGCACTCCAGCCTGGGCAACAGGCTGGAGTTTGAAAGAAAGAAAGAAAGATAAAAGAAAGCACTAAACATTTTCCACCCTCTGCAACACCTCCAGGGAAGAGGAGAGTAGTCAACAGGTATAGTCCTTCAGAAGTGGAAATAAGACAGGGACCCTCCTCTGAGTTTTTTCCAAATAACCCGCAATGGACCCGTCCCAGTGGACCCGTCCCAGTGCTCATTCCCTCCCCCTGGTGGCCAATGTAGGACATTTTCGTGCTGTCTAACCAGGATCTTGTTGACAGCCTCTGGCTTGGAAGATCTCAAGATCAAACCCTATACTAAAATGGAAGGAAACATGAGAATTTTTTCAGTGTCTTAACTATATCCTACTTGGAAAGGTGGACTAATACCCTTCCTTAATGACACAATGCTCTTTCTTGTGTCATTAAGAAAAACTGAAGATGCTATTTTGCTATTTACTGTGTTTGTTACATTGGTAGTACAGCTCTTAGTCTTTTTTTTTTTTTTTTTTTTTTTGAGACACTGTCTCCCTCTGTCACCCAGACTGGAGGGCAGTGGTGCGATCTGGGCTCACTGCAACGTCCGCCTCCCAGGTTCAAGCGATTCTCCTGCCCCAGCCTACCGAGTAGCTGGGATTACAGGCGCCTGCCACCATGCCCAGCTAATTTTTGTATTTTTAGTAGAGACGGGGTTTCACCATGTTTGCCAACTTGGTCTCCAACTCCTGACCTCAAGTAACCCACCTGCCTTGGCCTCCCAAAGTGCTGGAATTACAGGCGTGAGCCACCGCACCCAGCCTTAGTCTTTTAAAAACTCTCTAAAGCACTTAGTCCACTTTGTCTGTCCACTAACCCAGCATAATGGGAAGATAACTTGGGGACCAGGAAGCTGGGGTTTTGATGGTGCTTCTGATTTCTTGCTCTCTGGCTGGGTACAAGTCCCCTCCCCTAGCACAGACTGGCAGAGGGCAGAGAGTTCAAAACCTCCTCTAAAAAGATTCCTCCCAGCTCTAACATTCAGGAATTCCATAGAAGCTTAGAAAATATTCTAATTACACCCTTAATAGGAGCCCTGGTACAATGTGGACATTGGAGAAAAGAAGGGAAAGAGAGTGAAAATAAATACAAGTAGAAACAATACAGCTGTTACCAGGTTATGGCAAATCTGGAGAGATCCAAGCCCTTGTTGGAGATGGGAATTTAAAGCAGTTGACTTTAAGGAAAATGATGTGGGACCAACTGATTATTTTTCTCTTTTTCTTTTTCTTTTTGTTTTTGAGGCAAGGTCTAGTTCTGTCTCCCAGGCTGGAGTGCAGTTGTGTGATCTCTACTCGCTGCAACCTCAGCCTCCCGGGCTAAAGTGATCCTCCCACCTCAGCCTCCTGAGTAGCTGGGACTACAGGCACACGCCACCACACCTGGCTTATTTATTTATTTATTTATTGGTAGAGTGGGGTTTCACCATGTTGTCCAGGCTGGTGTCAAACCCCTGGCTCAAGTGCTCTGCCCACCTTGGCCTCCGAAAGTGCTGAGATTACAGGCATGAGCCATCGTGCCTGTCCCCAACTGACTCTTAAGAGACTAAAGTCACTAAGATTGCTTTTGGGAGTTAGGAGATCAGTTACTTTAGTTTATGGTCACACTATTTATGGATGGCCTGCCGAGAGGAAAAGGCAGTGAGGGGAGCATGGAGAGACAGGCTGTGGGGTCAGATGGACATGTCTTCCAACCCCAGCTGTGCCTCTTACCTTAGTCTCTCTGTCTCAGTCTTCTCATCTGTAATAGAGGAAAGAGTATCCATGATAGGTTATTATGAGGATGAGACATTATGTTTATAAATGCTTTAGTGTAATGTCTGCTACTTGGTAAGTGGGTTTTCAATAGTCTATTGTAAGTGAATGAAACAAGCATTTTAAGTGCCAGCTATATGAGAAGGACCCAAGGTTGATGTTTTAACAATGTAAATAACAAATGTTACTTACCTAATGCTCACAACAACACTTCTGTTATATAGCTAAGGAAAATGAACCTTGGAGAAGCTTAATTAGTTCATGCATTTATTCATTCTTCCAGCCCATTAATTCAAGGAGCATATGAACATCTCATTTTTAGTATCTTTTCTAGACACTGCTAGGAGCTGAGAATGCAGAGACACAGCCTCTTCCATCAGGAAGTTCACAGTCCAGGGTTACACAGCTGGTAATGGTAGAGAGCACTTTGTGGGTACCTTCTATGTGCCAGGCACTGTTCTAAGAACTTTGTGTTGCATTAAGTCAAATGAGTAAACTCATTTAATCTCCATAACTGGGAGAAGCCACTTTACAGATGAGGAAACTAAGGCAGGAGGTTAAATAAACTGCCTGAGTTCAGACAACTAGGAAGTGGCAGAGCTGGGATTTAAATCCAGACAGAGACTTCGAAATCTGAGTTCTTAGCTACTACACTGCAGCTGCCTCTTAATAAGTGGCTTAGTCACCTGTAGCTGACGGCAGAGGCCCTTACACCATGATGTATGTATATTTCAGGATGCCACCAGCAGCTCCCCTCACTCCTTTGTATTCTCCTTAGGCCATGTCTTTTGCCTTTCCTCCTTTTATTCCTCAAGGCTACAAGACTGCTTTTGGTGTTGGCACCAACAAAATTGTTACGCAAGACAATAGGTGGGAACTACCAGGTGAGCAGGGAGTGGTTGCTAAGACTGTTAAGAGAAGTCTTGTAGAACCAAATAAAGTCCACATCTGAAAAGTCTGAGCGGGGGGTGGGGGGGGGGGTCCCAGCATCACCTGGGTCAGATTTAATTCTTATTCTGAAAACCAGGGAATTAAAATGCTTTCTGGCTGGGCGTGGTGGCTCACGCCTGTAATCCCAACACTTTGGGAGGCCGAGGTGGGCGGATCACCTGAGTTCAGGAATTTGAAACCAGCCTGGCCAACATGGCAAAACCCCGTCTCTACTAAAAATGCAAAAATAATTAGGCCGGCATGGTGACAGGTGCCTGTAATCCCAGCTATTTGGGAGGCTGAGGCAGAAGAATAGCTGGAACCTGGGAGGTGGAGGTTGCAGTGAGCTGGGATCGTGCCATTGCACTCCAGCCTGGGTGACAGAGCAAGACTCTGTCTCAAAAAAAAAAAAAAAAAAAAGCTTTCTGCTCAGCCCTGGTGGAAGTAGCTTTTGTTTTCACTTGAAACTGCTTGGAGGCCAGAGATACTAGAGCAGAACTGGTATAAATTCAGATGTCTATAGGGTCAGGCATATAGTTTAAATGAAAGAAGTGGGCTGCGTTTAAGAAAATGTCACCTCTCTTGAGCTGGGCACAGCGGCTCATGGTTGTAATCCCAGCTACTTCCAAGGTTGAGGCAGGAGGATCTCCTGAGGCCAGGCATTTGAGACCAGCCTGGGCAACATAGCAAGACCATGTCTCTAAAAAAGAGATGTCTCAATGCTACTATAAGAAAAATAGGCTGGGCATGGTGGCTCACACTTGCTTTGAGTAATCCCAGCACTTTGAGTGGCCAAGGTGGGTGGATCACCTGAGGTCAGGAGTTTGAGACCAGCCTGACCAATATGATAAAACTCCGTTCTCTACTAAAAATACAAAACTTAGCCAGGCATGGTGACAGGCACCTGTAATCCCAGCTACTCGGGAGGCTGAGGCAACAGAATCGCTTGAACCCAGGAAGCAGAGGTTGCAGTGAGCCGAAATCATGCCACTGCACTCTAGCCTGTGTGACGAGTGAGACTCTGTCTCAAAAAAAAAAAAAAAAAAAGAAAAATAATAATATAAGGATAACTGTCACTTGGCTCCTGTGTCAGGGAAACAAAAAGGAGTGTTGGGCATTGGGGCAGACTGGGAAA